>NC_000001.11:146309587-146934587 GCF_000001405.40 Homo sapiens | reverse complement strand
AATTATGGGATGGAGGTGATGCGGAAGCACACAGGGGCCAAGTAACTAAGCAACCCACCTATCAATCAGAAGGCACATGGTGGGTAGAGATTAGGCAGCCCCAGGAAGAGGAGAAAAAAGAAAAAAAAAAAACATGTAAAAAGACCCAAAGCCCAAAGTTCACCAAACTGACGCTGATCCCATTTTGCAGAAGTCAGCCCGTTCTCCCCTCTCTGAGAGTGTTACTGTGCTTAATAAGTCTCTTGCTGCTTTGCTACATGTGTGTGTGTCACTTCCAATTCTTTGTTAAAGACACCAAGAACCTGGGACTTCACAACACCAGCCGGTAACAAAGGTATGTAAGCTTGGGAGGGAGGAAAGAAAGAAGGGAGAAAGAGGAGATTCAGACATGAGATGCGTTCACCCTATGAGTTGAACCCTGGTCTCCAGCGTGGGAGTTGACAATTCTATTACTGAACCATCAATGCTCCGTGTGGTATAACCTCTCATAGTTTTTTTTTTTTTTTCCTTAAAGATAATCTCTAGTGCTATGGGCAGGCATGAGGGGGCAGGGAGGATGGAGGTGGGAAAGTTCTATAATAGGCTGACACAGATATTTTTGGAAAACAGAGCTAACAAAGCAACAGGCACTTGAAGCAAAGGCTTGCCGTAAACCTTCCACAGTTTGCCAAGAGAAGAAATTCTGTAGTGAAATTTTCACTTTCTCTCTTGTGTAGATCTCTGTAAGACACAAAAGTTGGATGACAGTCGTTTTGATTCTTGGACTTTACTAGAGACTCCAAAGACGCATCTGAGGAGAAAAGCTCTGGGTCCCTGGGATGACTGTGCCACTCGACATAGCCTCCTGGAGTGGCCAAAGAGAGTGTGGATAAGAAAAGAAATATTGGAGTGAACTTTCACTCACTCCCACTTCTGTAGGTTTCTTAAAATATATGGGTTTAGAAGCAAGATACTTGGCGTTTTCAAATGACTCAAAAGAGATGTAGATGAAGAGAAGTTCGGTCATCCCACAGATCTTCCGGAGTAACCTGGACACATCCCTAAATCTCTAGCTCCTGGGTCTTCGAAAGCCTGTTTGCCTCAGGGTTGGGAGGAAAGGGTTTGGAAAGTACCAAGGCAAGCGTTGGCAAAAAGATTACCTCATCAGTGAGGAAATGAAATTTCCAGAAGTTTTCGCCAGATCTGGGACCAGAGACAAATGCTGGATGAATTTCCTATGCAAACCTCTTTTAGAACCACCGCTTCAAAGGCCGTCCAGAGACTTCAAATTAGATCTGGTGAAACTGCTCCCGGTAGGGGATTGGTAGTTCAGCGGTAGAGGTTTTTGTCTCCCACGCCGGCGACTCCGGTACGACTCCCGGCCATGCAGGACTTCTTACTCTTCCGGCAGGAAGGGCTACTACGTTTCTACCCAACAAAGTTATTATATTATACAGGCTGTACTGCATTTATGGACCTTGGTCGTGGCAGCTAGAAGCTAACCTGAGGGGCGTGCCACCTCTGGAGCATTCTCTGTGCTCGAACTAATAATCCCGGAATTTACGTTCCTGTGCTCGAAGCCTGTCCTTGAAAGTGGGGAGTGTTTCCGGTGGGTTGCTGCAGTTTTAAATACTGGGAATTAAAACCTTTGCTACTTTCATCTAGTCTCCCGGCAAACCCCTGGGTAACCCAAAGCCCATCAGAGGGATTCGCGTGCTGGGCTTTCCGCTACGTTAGGCCACGTCTCACTATGGAGCGAGGATCAAGAAGGTCCGGGAAGGAGAGAAGCTGCGGGGTCCAGGGAGACTCTTCGGCGGTTGGTCGGAGAGGTTTCAGCGGCCCAAGGAAAAGGGAAGCGTGTGGGAATCTATCCGCGTAGAGATGAGGGGCGCGGCGGAGACAGTCCCACGCAGAGGTATGCCCAAACACCGAGTTACTTAACCTCCTCAACCACCTTGGCATCCGCGCCTTCCGTGGGCCCATCGGTCTTCCGGGAGAGATTCTGTGTCCCTGGTATTGTGTGTCAACAGGTGTTAGCCTGATAGTTATATTTTTAATGAGAGAAAACGAACTACAGAATTTGCGAGTTTTGTTTTTTTTCTGGTTTTGCTTTATACCTCTTGGATTCTCCTTCCAAAGGAGACAAAAACCTCTACCTCATTTAATATGCTAATTAGCCTGCATTTTACAACAGATTGTATTAGAGCCTGGATACACATCCAACTCGATTCCATGTATGGAGCCGTAGTTGATTTGGTCAATAACTTGCATTGTTCTGCATGAGAACTTCCACAATTTGCTTCCTCATTCTAATAGGGTTTGCTTGAATTATATGAAATCACCACCTTTATTGGTCAAAACCAGCTGAATATTGGCAATTTCATGTGGTTCAACCTAATAGTCTGCAGGGGTCTGGGGAGATCATAGCATGTGAATATAATGTTGAATGAGACATAGGAAGAAAGAAACAAGATAGCTGGGACAAAGGGTATTGAATGAGTAGAAAAAAAAGTAGTAATCTTTTTGTTTGGGTTAGGTGTGTGTTCCCAAGGGAAATAATTTTTGAGCATGTAGCTTGAAAGTAATAATACCACTTTTAGGTAGTACAAATGGCTCAGGGGATCAATTGGGATTTAGGGAGCGGGGCTTTTACCTGCAATCTGTCCAATTTAGTCAGACTAACTTGCAATTTTTACACTGTTAAACATCTTATAAATCTGAGACCAACAGATCAAAGAAAAGCTCTTTCAATTGAGTGTCTGGGTAACTTGTGGCAAATTTTTTATCCCCGTTGTAATGTGATTCCTCCATCTCTAAAGTGAAGGCATGGATTACCCACTCATTCTCAATCCAATGTGAAAGGTCCAGAATTCTGTGTCAGAGTTAAGAGAGTCCTGGTGCAGTCAGCAAGGGAAAGTAATTTTTCCAAACTGCCTGTGCTAAAAATAAACCCAGGGTAGTCTCAGGGGAGAGCTACCCAGTCCCTTTCACGGACAGTAAATTCACTGTGGTGGGAGGTGAAGATGGACTGAAAACAAATACCTGAAGAAAGAAAAACATCCTAATGCAGGCACCAGTGGTGAGTTGATGGGAACTGAGCTACCACTGGGAATGCATCACCTGAGCATTTTCTCCAGAGCAGAGTTGTTGGACAAATCTATGAGGAGAAATTCCCACAGCAGGGCACAATTTGGGCTCTGGCTAAGTTCTTGGAATGTCATTTGTCAGCTGTCAGAATCCTATATTCATAAAGGGAGAGGAAAAGTCTCACTAAAATGCAACTAAAGAACACACAGCAGCAGAACCTGGTCTCTTCTGTGTTAACAGAACAAACATGAAAATAGTTAAGCCAACATACTTGGAATTTGTGTCAATCATGATACTTTCATTGCTCGTCTTGAGTTCTCATGTCTATCATGCCACGGTGAGGCAATCACTCAGAACAACCCATGGCATTTTGCAGAGCACCAAAGAAGAAGAAGTGGTGAATCATGGGCCTGAGACTTGGTTACACAGTGTCTTAGAGAAATATCCCAGCTCCTTCTCAAGCTACAAAATTCCTCCTGCTAGGCCAAGAATAGATATGGAATTTCCTATCATCTCTGAATTTTTATTTTACTGAGTTGCAAGCAGAGCTCTTTCTCCTATTGTATTTATATTATCATAAAATTGATCTTGAGTATGTAGAACTTAAGAAAGTCTCCAAAGACAGATCTGGATGGGCCTCTGTCTTCCAGCTTATAAGATGGATTTTGTAAAATTTAGCATAGCTGCTTTTATTATTATAATACCTAAAATGTATGTGATTAAATACATGAACTGCCTCCCTGAAGGTAAGACAGCTTCTAAATTCTAAAGCTAAATAATCTAGCCCACAGGGCCAGACATAAAATTGCACCCAGAAATTCATACCAAATGTCAAGTCACTTTGGGGTTACTCCTGAGGGCTCAATGCTGATCATGGTTAGGAAGAGGTAATTTGCCCCACTGTCTTGCTTGAGGATGATTTTTTACTGCCACACATGGAAAAAGTTGCAGCTAATTATATGATTGTTCCAAATTATGAGTTCTCCTCCCTAAAAGAAGCTTATAATTTCCCATCCCATTGACATCAAGCTTGGTCATGTGACTTGCTTTGGCCATTGAAATGTGAGCAAAAGTGACAATTACCACTTCCCAGTGGAAACTGAGAGCCATCTTGTGGCTCCACAATTGCTCTTCTCCCGCTGCCCAAAGAATGGCATGACCTAAATAGGGACTCAATTTCAGAATGAAGATATGTAGAGCTGCAACTGACCTACAGCCAACCTGTAACAAGAGAGAGAAATAAATCCAGATGGTTGTAAGCCACTGAGAAATGGTGATTGTTTGTTACCAGAGTATAACATAGAAAAAGCTATCCAATACAACAGTAAAACAAACCCATCAGGTACAGGAAGTGGATCTGCTCCCTGAAACCCATAAACGACCACTCTAGCTGTATCTTAGCACAAATAAGGAAGAGGACCAGAAAAGAAAGGAAGAAAGGAGTTAGGGAAAGAAATCTCAATATTTCCCAAGGAAATATTGGTGGTGTTCTAGAAGAAGTGGCTATGTTACAACAGTTGCATCTTAGGACATTTATTCACTTCCAGGCTTTCATCTCCTCTCAGTGCTGCAAGGAATATCCTGCTCTAAGAACACCAGTTTGAAAAGGACTGGCCATAGATGACTTTGGAAGACCAAAGAGTTCTGTATTGACCTCAGTTACGTCCTTAATACTCTCCAGCAAACATACAATATTTCCGTAGTCCATTAACTCTCCTACTCCCCTGAAAACTGTTTCATGCCTACTCCTCCCTTCTCAAACCTCTAAATGCCTCTGTCATCCTCACTCCAAGCTGATTATTTTGCTTCCTAGTTCACTGAGAAAATAACAGCAATCAAAAGAAACTGCACTCAGCCTCCAGCACCACCTCCTTTTCTCCTGCATGTGTGCCCATCTGCTCAACTTTTCCTCCTAGCCATGCTTCTAGTCAAAATCAACCCCTTAGCTTGCTGCTAGATCTTATTTTACTCATCTATTGAAGGACGCTGTTCCAGTGATTTTCTTTTATTTCTTCTACTTTGCCTGTTTTTTCTCTATTTGATCACTCTCACCAACATTCAAACATCTTGTTTTCTCATATTTTTTAAAAGACTCTCTTTACTCCAATTCCTACTAGCGATTCCCCTTTCTCACACTTCCTTAATAGCAACACTCTTTGAAAGAGTGTCCATATCCCCTGTCTCCAATTTATTTCCTTTTGTTCTCTCTAGACCTCACTCTAATCAGACTTTCACCTGCACCTCTCTACAGACACTGCTCTGATCAAGGTACCAAAACTCCTACTTTGCTAAGCCAGTGGTCATTTCTCAGTCCTCATTTTATGCAAACAATCAGTAGCATTGGACACAATCACTCTCTCCTCTTTGAAACACTTTTTTTCCTCCACTGAGCTTCCAGACTCTCTGCTTGTTCAGTGTTATTACTACTTGTCTAGTCACTTCTTTTTGTTTCCCGCGATGCTTCTTCTCATCTCTGCAGTTTTACTCCCCAGGCTCAGTCCTTGAACCTTTTTTTTTTTTTAATCTATGTTTACTCCATTGGGAAGCTCATCCAATCTCAGAGCTGTAATAAATTGGTACTTCCAGCCTGGCTCTCTCCCCTGAAACTCACACTCATGTCTTTATAAGACATGATACATGCATGGAATGGATACCTAACAGGCATCTAATAGTTGACATGTCTAAACTAAACTCCTAATAGCCTACAGCAGCATCACAAAAACTGCATCTCCCACAGTCTTCCCCATCTCAGCAAGTAGCAACTCTTAGTTCAAGTCAAAACTCCTTGCAGTTTCCTTGAGTCCTCTTTTTTCATACCCCCATTCTAAACATACAAAAAATCCTATTGGTTTTACATTCACAACACACCAAGAATCCCATCACTTCTCATTGCTTCTACTGCTGCCGTTATAGTCTGAGCCACCATCATCTTTTGCCTGGATTAGTGCAGTAGCCTCCTAACTGTTCTCCTCTTTCCGTCTTTGACCTTTTCTAGTCTATTCTCTACACTGTTTTAATGAAGCAATAAAGTTATTTCATTAAAACATGCCAAATGGCACTCTCTCCTCAACATCTCCCCAGAGTCTTCTCTCATGCCTCCTGGTACCCTGCTCCTCATTTATTCCATCCACTCCAGCTATACTGGTTTCCTTGTTACTTTTTGAGAATATAAGACATGCTTCGATGTCAGCACCTTTACATTTGCTGTTTCCTCTCCCTGAAAATGCTTTCATTCTCTCCATGAACTGGAAGCAAAGTCATTATGGCTCACATCTTCCTTCAGATCTTTACTAGTGAAGTCTTCCAAGACTAGCCTACTTGATGTTGCAAACCCCACCCAGCATGCTCTACCCACCTTCCTTACTTTATCTTCCGCTAAGCACTTATGATTGTCTAACATATCATATGTTTGACTTACTTAGATTATTTATTGTCTGTATCCCCCAACCTGGAATGTAAGCTCCATGAGGGAAGGGAGTTTTTATTAACTGCTGTACCCCTAAATACCTAGAATAAGGCCTGGCACATAGGAGTCTCAACAAAGACTTGTTGAAAGAATAAATGAAATGTTTTTGCAAATCACCTTCTTAATGCCTGGAAATGTTGATTTTAGTGTTTCATCCCCTTTACTTGGAATAATAAAAGAATATTAAGGTTGCAATGGCTTTAGAGTTAATCTAGTTTAATACTGTCATATGACACAGAAGAAAACTTTGGCCTAGAGGAGGAAATAAGCTTTCTGAGGTTGCACACCTAGCTCCTAGCTAATGGCACAGCAGGGCCAGATGCCCTGGCTCCCAGCCTGTCTCTCCTCCCACAGTACCAACCACCCCATCCTCCTTCTGGCTTCCATGAGTAAAACTAGCTCCTGCTAATGCCTCTGCTTTTATTTTGTATCTCATCTTTGTTATATCATCTTGATATCTTCATAAATCTGCTTTTATCTCATTTTGCAAGAATATTTGTATAAAAATAAAAAGGGATGATTTCCACAGAATTTAAACAAAACCCCTACAGACTCTACTAAAGGTTTCATTAGATTCTTTAAAGATGTATTACGTATAAATATGCAAAAGATGTGTTAGAATTTAAACTCCAGGAAAAAAAAATGTTTCAGAAAACATGATTAACATGTTAATAATGGCACCTAACTCTCCAAAAAGTGTGGCAAAGATTCAGTGAGAAAACATACATTGCCTGCCATACATGAAAGACAGAGGAAGCGTATGCTATAGCACAGGTTGGTGTGTGTGGGGTGTGAGACTTCTGTGAGTACTAGAGTTCCTACGTATCCCTGTTGATGTTACACAATATTGAGACCCAATTTTCTATCTTAATAAAAACATATGTGGTGAATTTGTAATGGTCCAATTTGTCACGGCAATTTATTATTCTACTTCCTAGAGCACTTTAGAGAATACTTTTTAAATACTGATTTAAAAAAAAATAAAAAGAGGCACAACATCTCCCTGAACCAGTAGGTGCCAACAGTTATCATCATCTCCGTTTTGCCTATGATATAAATTAAAGCCTAAAGGTTATTTACCTCAGTTCAAGAACAGCCAAGCAATGGGAGATATGGAACCAGAAGCTCGAATGTGTAATTCCTAAACCTGAATTAGTTCATTGAGTCAGTCAGCCTTGTAAGCACTAGTAAGCAATTCAAGATGAAAAACTAAACATTATTTTTCTTTCATACTAAAAATTTTTCACTCTGTTCCCACAGAGAAATAGGGTCTACATCCCATGGCCTTGAATCTGGGTGGTCTCTGTGACTGTTTGGCCAGTAAAGCCATAGCAAAAGTGAAGCCAGCCCAGATTCCAAGTCTACACCTTATGAAACTGGTAGCTTTCACTTTCTGTCTCTTGGAACACTCTCTCTGGAAACACTTAGTCACTATGTAAGAAGTTCTACTACCCTAAAGCCACCCTACTAGAGAGGCCATGTGTAGACACTCCAGACAACAAGCCCAGCTGAGCCCCACTTTCTAGCCAGTGGCAGTCATGTGAGGAAAGCCATCCTGACCCTCCTGACAAGCCGACCCACCAGCTGAAAACCACTGAGTGTCCTCAGTCAATTTGAAATGGAGCGGAAGAATCACCCAGCAGAGGCATGCCCAAATGCCCAAGCAACAAGGTCCTGATATAATAAAATGATTGTTATTTTTAGCCACTAAGTTTTGGAGCAATTTGCTATGCTGCAGTAGATAATAAGAACAGAATTTGATACCTGGAAGTGGAGTGCTGCCATAACTATCTAAAACATGTGGCCATGGTTTTGGAACCAGACAATGAGCAAACGCTGCAAAGATCTTGAGGACACTGTTAATGAGAATAGAAAAACCTGAAGGAGACTTCTAGTGAATACTTAGAGGAAGATAGTACAGGAATTACTATTGGAGGCTGGAGAAAAAGTGACCCTGGTTATGAAGTGGCAGAAATTTTGACAATACTGTTGCCTGTTGTGATCTAGACAATAGAATATATACCTAATGAACTGATGGATTTGGCTGGGTTTGGATCTCTGATAGGAATGCCAGAAGTGCCAAATGATTTGTTTTATGCATGTATAATACTGTATAGAAAAAGGTGAGCTTAGAAATGAAATGTTTATTGTAGTTAAATAATTAGTTATATTATTTTGTCATATTACTATGTAATTCCTAGGAAGCAGGACTGAGATGTAATAAAAGAATGTGGACATGTGACCAGTAAGATTTCAGAAATACTACAGACTAGGGACTGCTCTTTGCTTTTCATTCTATTTTTGAATGAGAATGCCAACTGCATTTTTCTTACCTTCATCTCGACATTGTGTATTGGGGATGGAGGAGCAAATAATGTGTTTCTTTAGTCCACAGGTCGAGAGGAACCATACTTGAAGAAACATACCTGAAGGGTTTCATCCATATGTGGGCCTGATTTGGATGATAAAATCCTGCATCTTGAGCCTGATCTTGATGCTGCCTGTGTTCTGATGCCATCAGGAGTTGAGAGTCTAGGGGTTTTAGAAAGGGTGAATGTATTTTCCCATAGGCAAGGAACATAATCAATGGCCAAAATGTGCACTGTG
Source organism: Homo sapiens (assembly GCF_000001405.40). NCBI lineage: Eukaryota > Metazoa > Chordata > Mammalia > Primates > Hominidae > Homo > Homo sapiens. The sequence goes on along the minus strand of NC_000001.11, from coordinate 146,925,448 downwards.
ACAGATTAAAGGTTGCTACAAATTCTCTGATACCCTTCCATTAAGAGGTAGGGCAGATATTCCCTCCCCTCAAATCTGGGTGGGCTCCATGACTTGCTTTGATCAACAGAAAACGGCAGCAGTGATGCTGGGCCAGTTGTTGGATCCAGGCCTTAAGAACCAACAACTTCCACTTAAGTTCTCTTGGAACACTGAGTCCCTGACTACCCTAATATCATGTTGGAAAGGCTACATGTAGGCACTCTAGTTGCCAGTCCCAGCCAAGACCAGCTTTTCAGCCATCCCCATCACTAAATTTGTAAATGAAGCCATCTTGGAATCTCCAGACCAGCTCATTTGGCAGCTGGGTATCATCAAGTTATCTCTGCTGACTCCACATGGAACAAAGGAATCACCCAGCTGAGCCCTATTCAAACTATTGACCAAAAAAATAGTGAGACATAATAAAATGATGTTTTAAGCCAGTAAGTTTTAGGATAATCTGTTACATAGCAAGAGATAACCAGGACACTAACTATACATGCATAGAGTAAACAGAGGTAGGCCTACTTTCCACATTGAATTGTGCTTTCTAAAGAGGTGATGATGAGTTACCTTTTTGTAAAGGTAATACATTTCAAATGTGCTAAGGATGCTTTCTCTTTTTCTTATCCATAAAACATGCAGACAATAGTCACTCTCTCCTTAGTTCATAAGAATTTTGAGAGGAACAAAGGAGATAATATATGTCAAAGGCATCTGCAAAGCATTTCTCACTAAGCAAATGTAAGACATTATTACTTTTATAGAAATTTAAGTAAAATACAGGGTTTTGTGCAATTTAAATAATCACCTAGTTTTTATCAACTTTGGAAGTTTAGCTAATCACATATCTGATTCTTCTACATACTCAGGTATTCATACACAGGTATAAAATTGCTGTCCAATAAACATAGACTTTCTTCAGTACTAAATTAAAGCAGTGCTTGTTAATAAAAAAATCAATAATACATTTTAGCACAATGTTGACATGTAACACGTATATTTTAACTCAAATATGTAAAGCACAACTGGTATTAGTTAATTCAATCAAGCATGCAACTCTTGAAGGAGGTGGGAGGATGCAGAAAACAGCTAGCTTGAAATGGAAACCACCCCTGTGCTGTCATTCTGCCTCATCTTGGTTCATGATGTTCTCATCTTTATGCACACTGTGCATAAAGGAGAGAGATAAAGGGGTGTTAAAATACTTTATTCTGTAGCACAGAATAAAGTGTTATGTAAGTACAGAAGTAGACACGTGCATTGTTTCTTGTTAGGAAACCTGAGACTGTGGAAAACTTGCTGAACTTCAGGTTACTGAACTCAAATATAATGTGATGTTTTATGCTTTTAATGATAGTTCTTCCCTCTCAGAAACTTAGCATGTATAGTCTTTGAAAGGTCTTTTCCTATATTTACTATCAAAAAGAAAGCTAAAAGCATATAAACACATGAGCACACGTGCATACAAAAAATTATCCCTTGGTAGCACTGGCAGTGTCTGCTCTTAACTCTAACCTTTCATTTAAACGGACAGTACACAGTGAATTGTCCAGTATCTCGGCTATCATGTCACGCAGTCATCTCTGCATCAGCTCCCCCTATCAATGCCTCTTTGGAGTCGGGCTCCAATCTGCAGAGCAGATAGAATTCCGAAAATCCTGAGCCCCTGTCGCTGTGAGCTTGTTTGCCAAGCACATCACAAGATGAGTGGTGAGATGCTGTTCACATATTGGCCCATTATCCCTTCAATATATGGAGCTTCAAGGATTTTCAGGGCCATATAACTGAAGAGAGTTTACCACCTACCAGAAGAAGGACCAAACTCTGACTGGAGAAATCTTGAAGGTGTAATTAACGTTTGTTTCCATCCCCCTTCAGCCAACACCTTTACTGCACTCACACCTGAGATTCAGGGAAAGTGCTAAAAAACAAAAACTTTTAGTAGAAGCTTCGAAAACATGGGCAAGACAAGACCCAGAATTCATTCTTATTTAGCATGTTGGACTGACTAAGTACATAAAAAGCAGCAGAAGTATTGAGAGCTTACCAGGTATCCTCAAAACAACCCTAAAACTAGATTATCCTCCTCATCCTACAAATGAGGAAACCAAGGAATAGGGAAATTGAGGAGCCCACTCAAGGTCACATGTCTGTCATTTATTGAAAGGAAAGAAACATCCAGCTCCTTGGACTTCAAACCTGAGCCATGTGCCTGGCCACTGAATTATACTGGGTTCTGGGTGAGGATGAGGGCAATAATGACAGCTGTCATTTATTGAAAGACAGCATAAGAGAGGAGAATCTGAGAAATTTAAGATAGGCAGAGCTCCAGTCTCAATTTCCAAATACCTCCATGACCCCAGGCAGGTTACTGAACATAGCTGAGTGTCAAGTTTTCATTTTAAGATGGGAATAATTACAACACTCACTTGTGGGGTTGGTGTGAGTTTTAATAATCTGTCAAGTGGCTGGCATTTAATAAGCACAAGAGATTAATTATTAGTAGTTACTATGTGCCAGGCACCATTCATGTATTCATGTTTCATTTAACCTAACTATAAACATAAAAGGAAAATATTATACCCATTTTACAGATACATAAACTGAGGCCTAGGATTGCCTAGAATCACATAGTTAAGTCAGGATTTGATCCCAGGCCTAAGATTCCAAAACCTGTGTTAGTTACACACCGTTATTTGGCCTCTCTCAATACACTAGCTTATGTCAACCTGTGCCACAAATGACTTTTTCAATAATCAGTTAACATGTGTCAGCTACTAATGTGGTGAGGCTGTATTGTTGAGTTAACCTATTGCTTTTCAAATTCTATTTTATGCTCTAATGCTCAGGAGAAAAAGACATTTAACTTATATGTAACTTATCTCTCTTGGGAAAATTATTGAATTTATAAATGGTAGCACTTTAAGAAAATATCAAAGATAGCTTAATTTCGAGAAAATGAGTCTGGACTAAGAATCAGGACACTTGGCTTTTGTTTTCCTTTGCTTTTCACAATTCTCCACTGACTAGCTATGTGCACTTAGACATGTCCCTTAACCTACAAATACCTCTACTTCGTTTCCATGAAGAGAGACATGAGCTTGAAGGGTATCTTCTGATTCTAAGTTGTTACTATTTAGTGCCTGCGACACATATGCACATATGCACACGCAGAATTCAAGAGCCTCTAGAGCAGTAGTTTTTCTCACTATCCAACAACATCGTTGTTGCTTAAAGAGCTGTTTCAAAGCTCAGATTTTGGGAACCTTCAGAATCTGACTTGGTTAATCAGGTTGAAGCTGGAGGATCTATATTTTGTGAACACTTCCCAGCTTCTTCAGGAGAGAAGTTAGGCCTGGTAATCACTGCTTCAGACCACTTTGCGGGTTTGGCAAAATAACCATGCCCTGAAACCACGAGGATGACCGAAGCCTGCCTCACGACCTCTGTTCCATGGAGGAAGTTCATTGATAAGGCAGAGCTGTAACGCACCAAGTTTGCATTTCTTGGCCATATATTATTACACGGTGTGTAGGTGGAAAAAAAAATTTACAGATTATTTTCCTGTAGAAAAGGGAATGCTGCCAGGGGCGGTGGCTCAGGCCTGTAATCCCAGCACTTTGGGAGGCCGAGGCGGGAGGATCACGAGGTCAGGAGATCGAGACCATCTTGGCTAACACGGTGAAACCCCTTCTCTACTAAAAATACAAAAAATTAGCCGGGCGTGGTGGCGGGCACCTGTAGTCCCAGCTACTCGGGAGGCTGAGGCAGGAGAATGGCGTGAACCCGGGAGGCGGATCTTGCAGTGAGCGGAGATCGCGCCACTGCACTCCAGCCTGGGCGACAGAGCAAGACTCCGTCTCAAAAAAAAAAAAAAAAAAAAAAAAAAAAAAAAAAAAGAAGGAAAGAAAAGAAAAGGGAATGCTGTCCTGATGGCATCAATTTTAAAACTGGAGTAAAACTCTAGAAAGCAGTAGAATTAACCTACTTATTAGTGGCATTCCTAGTATGGATAATTACATTCAACTTGAGAATCACCCAAAGTCGAGAAAAAGCATGATCAATAAGACCCAAATACATGATCAGTACATGAACACCAAACTTGTATTCTAGTAGATAGATTTAGTGAGCTGGGATCATGACATGATACCTAAACAGGTAATAAAATTGAACATGAGGGGCAAAATGTATTGAAGAGAGTCCAAAGACAAAAACAGTAATATATCTATATGAAGAAATGAGTTATAGCTATTTACCACTGTCAAACCCACCTGAAGTCAGTGTAGAAGGGATGCCACCAGTCAGAAAGGAATGGGTCATATTTTAAAGCATTAAAGCATGAATATCACCCAGACCATCATAGTAAACATGTATGTATCAAAGGACCAATGATACCATGTGTAAAGGGCTGAAGGTTATGTAGGCACAGTCCAGTGTCAACATTTCTAAAACTTAAGGATTATGCAAGCCAGCAAGTAAATGCACAAAAATCATTTGCCAATTTAAAGAGAAATTCTGTGTGTGAACCTCAGTAATTATTTTTCAGGTGCTATTTTCAAAATGGAGCTAACAACTCTGTCTACAGAATGTTTGACAATTATTAAATTATAATCTACAACCACACTCAACTCCTTGGCAGAAAAAGACATGTGAGGAAAGGGGTGAAATGGATGAGAGCAATATAGTCCTTAAAAACACCTGGACACCCTCCCATATAAGCTTCAGAAATCACAAGGATCAGGCATTCTTCGAGATCTAATCTCAAAACTTCATCAGGTGTTTATTATGTACTGTTAAGAAAAAAGCTTAATGACAAACTGAATCCTACATAGATGACTAGCTGCCTGATTGCTCTGCCCAGAGGGTCATAGGAAACATAGGGATCAAAGGGTGTATCCATGTTCATGGAAGCTGAACTCCAGTTTCACTGTCTTCTGCTTCCCTTAGGTACATTTTATTAAGTCTTCTGGGCTGAATTTGGAAATCCTTGATGTTGGAAGAAAAGCTGACCTATTTCCTTATGCTGGAGCTTTTCTGAGCTGATGTTCCTCCAAAATTACATTTTTAGACTAAAAGATAACTAACCAGCATCTTGATTTCAATCAGGAAACAATAAAATATGATGCTGTTTGGGTTATTTTCTTATCTTATTATTTGTTGGCTGGGTATTCACTTAAACCAGCCTGCCCTATATGTTAAATATCAACCTAAGTCTAAAATATTTTACCAGATGGCTTCTTAGTAAAACTCAATAAAAGTGAACAGAAGGAAAATCCAGAGCACAGGACCAGCCAAATAACCCAAATAGACTCAACCTAAGTCCTCTTCTTAGACTCATTATCACATTACAGTATCTCTTCACCAACACCAAACCCCTTCTGAGGTGACAGAGGGAGGCAAGAAAAGTTTGTGTTTTGTGTTATATTTATTTCCTTTGAAGTCATAAGCCACATATCATCTCCTTTTCAAAATCAAATACTCCTGACTTCCTCCATCATTCCTTTCTCTAATGTTCAGAGGGCTCTTCGTCTATCCCCATCTTCCCTAAGCCCAGATAAACTTAAGCTTGTTCACTGTCTCAACTGTCGCTCATAAAATATATAATACAGTAGAAAGAGTACTGTTTGGGCAGGAGATCTGAGTTCTAGGTCTAATCCTGCCACTTGCTAGTTTTGGGACCTACAACAAGTCTTAAACTATTCAAGGCTTCAGTGGCTTTATTACTGTAATAATGCATTTGGAAGGGTTGCTATTGAGGATCTAAAATTTTCTAGCTACATTTTCTATAATTGTAGCACTATTGGCTAGCTCCTGAAATTAAGCAAAGATCTCAGGGTTGTCCTATGGCAAATACCTGAAAATGAAATTATTTTTTATGAGCACAGATAATTTTTAAAAAAGCTGATATATGCTAATTTTATTATTTAACAAAGTAAGAAGTCAAGAGATTGTTTCATTCTTGGCACGATTCGAGAAATGTGGGATTATGTATGTTAATTAAAATTTTATGTAAATACAAACACTCCAATCATCATAAGAGGAAAAAGAACAAAGAAAGCCTAGTTCATATATCAAAAGAAAGAAAAAAGGCAGCCACAAAGAAGCAGAGACAGAGAGACAGAGAAAGCATAAAAAAAGATTAAAAAGGATGATATGAGTTAAAAAGCTTCTGCACAGCAAAGGATACAATCAACACAGTGAAGAGACAACTCATAGAATGGGAGTAAATATTTGCAAACTACCTCCTCTAACAAGGGATTAATCACCAGAATATATAAGGATCTCAAACAACTCCATAGGAAAAAATCCGATAATCCAATCAAAAATGGGCAAAAGATTTTAATAGACATTTCTCAAAAGAAGACATACAAATAAATGGCAAACAGGCATATGAAAGGTGCTCAACGTCATTGGTGATCAGAGATGCAAATCAAAACTGCAATGAGATATCAACCCACCTCAGTTAAAATGGCTTATATCCAAAAGACAGGCAATAACAAACGCTGGCAATGATGTGGAGAAAAGGGAATCATCATACACTGTTGGTGGGAACGTAAATTAATACAACCACTATGTAGAACAGTTTGGAGGTTCCTCAAAAAACTAAAAATTGAGCTATCATACAATCCAGCAATTCCACTGTTGGTTACATAACCAAAAGAAAGGAAATCAGTACATTGAAGAGATATCTGCATTCCTGTTTGTTATAGCACTGTTTACAATAGCTAGAATTTGGAAGCCACCTAAGTGTCCATCAGCAGATGAACGGGTGAAGAAAATGTGGTACTTATACAAAATGGAGTACTATTCAGCCATAAAAAAGAATGAGATCCAGTCATTTCCAACAACATGGGTGGAACTTGAAGTCATTATGCTAAGTGAAATAAGCCAGGCACAGAAAGACAAACAGTGCATGTTCTCACTTTTTTGTGGGATCTAAAAATCAAATCAGTTGAGGTCATGGACATAGAAAGTAGAAGAATGCTTACTAGAGGTTGGGAAATATAGTTGGGGGTTGGGAGGCTGGTGGAGATGTGTAATGGGTACAAAAAAATATAGAAAGAATAAATATGACCTATTATTTGATAGTACAATAGGGTAACTGTAGTCAATAATAATTTAGTTGTATATTTTTTAATAACTTAAAGAATGTAATTGGATTGCTTGAAACCCAAAGGATCAGTGCCTGAGGCGATGGATACCCCATTCCCCTTGATGTGCATATTTCACATTGCATGCTGTATCAAAACACCTCATGTACCCCATAAATATATATACCTACTATGTACCCACAAAAATTTGTTTTAATAATTTAAAAAACTCTTTTAAGATTAAAAAATAAAAGCAAAAATATTAGTTATGAAAATGAATATAAATATATTAAAGTTATTTATTAAAAGATCAAGGTTCTTAAACTAGGTTAGAAAAAACTCCAGCTATATACTGGATTAAAAAATATATGTATAAATTAAAAGTGAAAAGATTAGCAAAGATCTACCAGGTTTATGTAAATAAAAATATGGTAAAAAGGCTTAGGTAAATAAAAAGGCAAAGTGTAGGCAAAATTCACTAGATAAAACAAGGAATGTAAATTTAGAATGCCAAAAAAGTTAGACTTCACAATAAAAGTATAAGAGGTAGAAACCATTATGTACTTAGAAACTAGTATTAAACTACATAGCTCTTCAATGTACTGGCAGAAATAGGTATATACACAATTGGAGTCTTCAAACAGTGTTTTCATTCCTTGATAAATCAAGTAGGACTAAAATAAAACAGATTTAGTTAATGATTTTTAGTCTAATTGTAGTAATTTAATTTTTACACTTACATGAGTACATATACTTTTCAAACATCTCTGGAGTATTTTTGGAAGTTAATGGTGTAATAGAACAAAATTATAATTTTTATAAAATCCCATAAAGGAAAAGTACACAGCCCACATTCTAAATGTTTATTCTAAAATAAACTAGAAAATAGTACCAAGAATTTAAAATAGGAAAGTGTTTATTTGTAAATTAGAAAACATATACATAAATAACTATTGGACTAAAGAAAAGAACAATTATGATTACAGATTATTCAAAAAATAATAATGATTAGAAGATTACATATCAAATCTTACAAGATAGAACTAAAACTATCAGTAGGAAAAGCAGATTTATGTGCTTGCTTTATTAGAGCATGAGTAACATAAAATAATTAAGCTGAATTAAATTTAAGAAGTTAAAAGATGAAGTTAGCTTTTGAAGCCAAAAAAAAACCAGCAAAAATAAAAGCAAAGATTAATGAAAGCAAACACTAAAAATTATAGTGTTCTGGCAAATTCTGGAAAGTCCAGAAAAAAGAGAGAGAGAGCCACAGAAAGAGAGAGAGAGAGTTCACAAAAACAAATAAATGAGAAATGAGTTATAACTATAGATATGAGAGACTCTTAAATGATAAGACAATTTTATATGCAGTTAAGTTTTTTTAATTCACTTATGTTCTGAGAAAATATAAATAGCTAAGATTAACTTGATAAGTAGTAAATCTGGATAGGCTTTTGTCAATAGAAAAAAAGTTGAAAAAATAATTAATTCCAATAAAGTTTCTAAGTGAAAACCATTTTACTAGTCTTTGCAATTTTTTTTTTTTTTTAAACAGGGTCTCACTTTGTTATGCAGGCTGGAGTGCAGTGGCATTATCTCGGCTCACTGCAAACTCTGCCTCCCGGGTTCAAGTGATCTCCTTCGTCAGTCTCCCGGGTAGCTGGGATTACAGGCACACACCAGCATGCTCAGCTAATTTTTGTAGTTTTAGTAGACACAGGGTTTCACCGTGTAGCCCAGGCTGGTCTTGAACTCCTGGACTCAAGCCATCAGCCCTCAAGTGATCCTCCCACCTCCACCTCCCAAAGTGCTGGGATTACAAGTGTGAGCCACCACGCTCAGTCTAAGTCTTTGCAAATTTTAAAGGAATAGTTTGCACATCGTATATACTGTTTCAGTACAGGAAGAGATGGAAAACTTACAAATTCCTTGTAGCATTAGCATAACCATAATAATCTAATGAAGATAGTGTGGAAGAAAAAAATTACAAACCAATACTACTTATGAAGGTTGATGTAAATTCATAAGTAAATTTCTAGAAAACTGAATGTGTTACTTAAACAATAAGAACTGGCTGGATATGGTGGCTCATGCCCATAATCCCAGCATTTTGGCAGGCAGAAGTAGGAGGATCACTTGAGGCCAGGAGTTCAAAACCAACCTCGTCAACATAGCAAGACCCTATCTCTACAAAAATAATTTTTTTAAAATTAGCCAGGCATGGTGGTGCATGCCTGTAGTCCCAGCTGCTCTGGAGGCTGAGGTAGCTGGATCACTTAAGCCCAGAAGTTTGAGACTGCAGTGAGCCATGACCATGCCACTGCACTCCAGTCTGGGCAGCAGAATGAGACCCTGTCTCCAAAAAACAAACAACTGTAAAGGGTCTGACATCTTACCCTACTTGCAAGCTAACAAGTTAGCCTGCCAGTTTCATGTGGCAGAAGAAATGAGACTTTATGGTCAGACACAAAGGATTTTGTTGCTCTTGGCATACACAGGAAACAGCATAAGCATCAGTATGCTCATCACTGCTCCTGACCCCTCGCCCACCCGTTCTCAGGTGGGCCATGTGATATGGGCCCAGGTGGACACCTGCACATTCAGTGGATTGCATTACAGGAGAGGAAGCCTGAGTTCAGGAAACTCAGATCTTTTAAAATGGGCAATAAACATGTGCCCGCTGCCCGTTGCTCCAGAGGGAGACTTTATGACACTGGATCAGTAAGAATGTTTGTTTGTTGCACCAGGGAGAGACACTATATTTTTAAGTCTGTAAGCAAACCTACCCTTCATTATGGAGGAAAAGCCTCTATCCTTGAAAACATACTCCCAAAGAGCAGTCAGTGCCTGTGCTCACAAGGAGTACAGAAATGTGAGAGACCCATGGAGAATTGTCTCCCGACACATCATTAAATATTATTCTTAAAATGCAAGGATGGTTTAATGTTTGAAAATATAATAAGACAAAGAAAAATAATATAATAAAATTCAACATCTAGTGCTGGTTGTTAAAGAGAAAATATTTTTTACAAATAGACATATTATTTACTTAAATATCTATTCTAAAGCAACAAGAACTGTCATGTTTTACAGTGAAACCCTGTAGGCATTTCCATTAAAATTTAAACAAAATAAGGATGTCCATTATAATTGTTATTTAACACTATTCTGGGAGTTCCAGTCAATAAAATAAAAATGAAACATATGTAAAAATTGTAAGCAATGAAAGCCATTATTCTAAATGATATATTTATGCACAGACAACTCAGGAGGATTAAAGGAAAAACTTTAAAATTAATGAGGTCAATAAAGAAACTACAAACTAAATAAAAATACTTTTTAAAAATTGTCCACATTGTCCATATGCCAACAATAACCAGTTGTTTTAAACAATGTGAAACCATAATAACTATTTATATAAGAATCTATTCCCAGTAGCCTCCAAACATATAAAATAATAGAAATAACCTGAACAAGAAAGAATGCCACATTCATGAGGACAAATTCAGTACCTGAGACATGCAAGAGAAAATATTTAAGAAGAAATAAATTACAGGTTCCTAGATGGAAAAAAGGAATTCTGTAAAGATATTAAATACTTCCAAACTGAGTTGCAGATGAAACTAGATTCTAACTACATTCCCACTAAGATTTTAGGACAGAGATTTGATAAAATAATTTTTAAATGTATGTGGAAGAATATCACATGATGATAACAAGTTTCTAAAAATAAAGAGTACTAAGGTGGGACTCATCCTTCTAAATATTAAAATATTCCATAAAGCTACAGTAAAAACTTCAACAAACAAATAAAAACAGAGTGAAATTACAGAAAAATTAGTAGGTAGTGCAAAGGAGAAAAACAGAAACCAGAAACAGGTTTGGAAACCAGTGGAGAAAGGATGGTGTTGAGTCAACTGTTTGTTTGTTTTTTCTTCAAAACAAAACAAAAATCTTAGAACGGTTCTCTTATATCAAATAATTTCTGGATGTCAAAAGTTATACTTTTAAAATAAAACCATAGAATCTAAAGGAAAATATAGGTGAAAATCTATTTATTGGGTTGGAAAGACTTCCTAAACACAAAATCAAGATGGAATAAGTCACGAAGGAAAATAAGAATAGATTTAACTGCATAAAAATAAAAATCTGTATATCCCAAAAGTCATTATAATGATATTCAATAACTACAATAAAATATTATTTAAAAAATAACAGACATATTCAACTATAGAAAACAACATCAGGTAGAGTTTACAAGTCAAGCTACAATTGGTGCAAAAAAGTTTGTGTGTTATTTATGATGTAGAATAGATGAAGGGCGATAGACTGAAGTGGCTAGGAACATGGGAGCAAATCCCAGCTCCCTTACTTGCGAGGGGCTTTCATCATGCCTCAGTTCCATCATCTGTAAAATGATAACAATAATACTATGACCTCACAGGGTTGTTGGGGGAATTATATGAGAAAATGCAGCTTGACCCAGAATAAATACTAAATAAATGTTAGCAATAGTAACATTAGTTGAGGTATAGGGCTATAACTATTAATCGTTACATTTTTTTTCTCTTGACTCACCTTCTCCCCTCATCTAAATTAGGAGCAAGTTGAGAAACAACTGCAGGAATCCAGCTGATGAACATCTATCTATAATCCTAAAGGTTGGCCGGGCGTGGTGGCTCACGCCTGTGATCCTAGCACTTTGGGAGGCCTAGGCGGGTGGATCACCTGAGGTCCAGAGTTCGAGACCAGCCTGGCCAACATGGAGAAACCCCGCCTCTACTAAAAATACAAAATTAGCTGGGCGTGGTGGCGCATGCCTGTAATCCCAGCTGCTCCGGAGGCTGAGGCAGGAGAATGGCTTGAGCCTGGGAGTTAGAGGTTGCGGTGAGCCGAGATAGCGCCATTGCACTCCACCCTGGGCAACAAGAGTAAGACTCCGTCTACAAAAAAAAAAAAAGAAAAAAAATAAAATCCTAAAGGTTGACTAAACTGCATTAGAGAAGCAGCTCAACCTGTGGCTACAAGCCTACCACTTTTCCTTCAGAATTAAACACTTCCATCCCCAACTGCATGTCTGCCCTCTGCAGGAGCAAGAACATGCCAGAATAAGTGAGTCTTGTCAGACAGAGAAGCTGACCACATAGTGGGGCCCAACCAGCCATTCCAAGGAGATGAAACACAAAGCCTCAGGGCGTCGCAGAATTGCTGTGGAGAGTGACTGAACTGACACCTCTTCCATCTCAGCAGCCAGAGGAGTCACTCTGCCTTTGGAAAGAAGGAGGGAGGGGATTGAGAGAGGTGACAAACGAGGGTTCCATTTACATGTCTCCTTCTTGGTCATTGAAGAAGAGCCCCTCCCTCACAAGGAAAACATGAGGTGAGAGGGCTGAATATTCCCTCTCATTATCTGGAAAAAGTTTAATATGAAGCATTTATAAAGGAATATTTTACAGCCATTCAAAATTATGTTTTTTTGAAAGAATGTTTTTTTTTGCCTCAGGCTCCCAAGAAGCTGGGATTACAGGTGCGTGCCACCATTCACAACTAATTTTTGCATTTTTAATAGATACGAAGTTTCTCCATGTTTGCCAGGTTGGTCTCAAACACCTCACCTGAAGTGATCCTCCTGCCTTGGCCTCCCAAAGTGCTGGGATTATAGGCATGAACCATTGTGTCCAATGAAAAATGTCTCTTAACATTAGACAATTGTTACAATATAATATGGAGCAATTGAAGGGACTATTGTACCATCTCTACCATATTGGCAGAGAAAAATTTTGAAAGAAGTACACTAAAATGTTAAAACTTGATTACCTTTTGGCAGTAGACTTATGGGTGATTATAATTTTGTATAGTTTTCTGTATTTTTGAAATCTTTCACAGTTTTTGTTACTTTGATATTTAGAATTAAAGAAATATGACGAGCTAGTAGCTTCTTAAGACACTTTCGATCCCTCAAACTAACAAGGCATTAATTTAAAAGGACTTAAAGTGCATGATTTACTTCTTGGCAACAGGTTTTTAGAAATGTGTCTGGAAGAAGAGGTTTTTTCTCCTCTTTGTTTCTATATCCATATCAGTATATTTTTATAAGCATGCATTACTTTTGAAAATAAAATATAAGCTTTTAAAATTTGCATTTTAAAAAGTATTTAAAATATAAACTTTTATATCAAGAAATAAGAGAAACAAAGCAAAGTCAAATATACATATACATAAAAACTTCAAAATTTATGGCTGAGTTTAGATATACCACAATCCACCTAGAAGATAGGTATTTATACCAGGGCTCTATTTCTGTGTGACTCAAAGGCACCAAAAGGGCATTATAAATATTAATAAAAACCTCGAAAGCTAAACCACATTTTTATGGAGTTAGAAGCACAAACTGAAAGAATTAATTTGAGAAGGAGACGGTGGTATTTTTCTATGGTTGTTTTGTTTTGCTTTTACTGAGAAATCCAGTAGTTCCAATTCTGTCACAAAAAGGAAAATTGTATAGCTTGTTGTTTTGAAAATGGGTGATGTGGCCGGGTGCGGTGGCTCACGCCTTGTAATCCCAGCACTTTGGGAGGCCGAGGCGGGCAGATCACGAGGTCAGGAGATGGAGACCATCCTGGCTAACATGGTGAAACCCCGTCTCCACTAAAAATACAAAAAATTAGCCGGGCGTGGTGGCGGGCGCCCGTAGTCCCAGCTACTCAGGAGGCTGAGGCAGGAGAATGGCGTGAACCCGGGAGGCGGAGCTTGCAATGGGCCGAGATTGCGCCACTGCACTCCAGCCTGGGCGACAGAGCGAGACTCCGTCTCAGAAAAAAAAAAAGAAAAGAAAAGAAAATGGGTGATGCTTGGGCCAGATGCGGTGGCTCACGCCTGTAATCCCAACACTTTGGGAGGCCAAGGCAGGCAGATCACGAGGTCAGGAGCTCGAGACCAGCCTGGCCAACATAGTGAAACCCCGTCTCCACTAAAAATACAATAAATTAGCCAGGCGTGGTGGCGGGTGCCTGTAATCCCAGCTACTCGGGAGGCTGAGGCAGGAGAATCGCCTGAACCTGGGAGGCAGAGGTTGCAGTGAGCCAAGACTGTGACACTGCACTCCAACCCGGGCAATAGTGCGAGACTCTGTCTCAAAAAAACAAAGAAAAAAGAAAAGAAAACGGCCAATGCATGATTGTGTCAGGCCACACACAAACATGCAGAGGATCAAGAATATTGTTTTCAGCACAGAATTTATATCTAAATGTCTAGTTGCTGATCTAGTCCTTAGGCCCTCCAGGAGTTAGGTCATCAATTAGGTGGCAATGTATGTTTGTACATACGTGTTTTCTAAAACCTGACCCCCATAGCTGAAGAATATAAAGGGAAAAACGTAACTGTGTAACTGGTCTCTTGAAAATAAAAACCAAATTGAATGAATGGAAAGGATGGGCATTTCTAAGATGAGGCTGCTGGATGGTGAATCCACAGGGACAATGATTAGAGGGGACAACTCAGCAATCCTACCTTCCAGCCAGACTGCATTCCCTGTATAGGCCTGAGAGCTGCTGCATTAAACTTCAATCATAACGGGGCTGTGTTCCATTTACATAGCACATTTCATCCCGAGAATTTGGAGGACTTTGTAGACGTTATCACATTTATCTTCACATCACCCGCTGAAAAGCATGTTGGAGCAAGTGTTATCTTCCTTTCACAGGCTGGGAAACAAAGGCACGTAAACAGTTCCTCCATGTTCCCTGATGAGCCAGAGAGGTAAAGAAGAGACAGTTGCATGTTTTTGTCACTGCGAAGGAGCCAGGCCAGCACACATTCAGGGTTGAACTTTGCCTTCCATTTCAAGAGGAATCCCATTGATGATTAGATAAAGCATCAGTATCAGCAGGTAGAGTTAGCAAATGGAAAGATGTGTAAGGGGCTCAGGAAAAGTCCATTGAACAGCATGGAGAGGGGGTTTCCTTGACTACTTAGATGCCTGAAATTCTACTAACAGAGTTCTTCCTTTAAATTAAGGCACTGCAATTGGAAAAGTCTAGTGTAAAGTATGAATAGCGCTAGAGGCATACTACCTTTCATCACTTTCAGCTATAGCATTGCAATATTGATTAATTTTTTATATTTTGTATCTAATTATATTGCTGGTTAAATCCTGAGTCTCAATGGAATGTGACACAGGACAAATAGATTTGATAGAAGAAGGAAGTATTAGGATATGTTCTAAAGGCTTAAATCATTTTCAAAAAAGCTACACATTAATTAATTTGATTAACTAACTAGAAAAATATGCCCACACTGATTCTGATGGAAACATAAGTGATGGTGCTGATTCATGTCCTGCTGGCCACTCACCAGCTACACGTCCTCATGCATGTCAGCCTCCCAAAGCTCTCTTTCTCTCCTGTTCTGGGAGGACAATCGTGCAGTATGTTGGTGGAGATTCCTTCAAGGACAAATCATGACACAAGGATTGAGAACACGCTTGGGCAGAAATCCCAGAGAGCAATGAGAGGGAATGGTAAGTGAGACAGGAGGGAGAGGAGACAAACCAATAAAGTGGCTGCCATGAGGTTACCACTAGGCCACTGCTGTCAATCTTTTTGAAGACCCTCTGGGAGACCTGGGAACCTACCCCAGAATTGTCCCACCATGGGGAATAGGAAGTCAAGAAATTTTCCCAGAAATTCCTACCCCTCAAAGATTGAGGATCACTCCTGGACTGAGCACCTCTAGCTTAGCCCTCAATTTACCATCTTCTCAGGAGGCGAGGGCACCCTCTCAGGCAAAGGGACACAGCTGTCATGCCATCTGGCCTGCATGAGACCTCCTGGAGTAGGCAAGGAGACAGAGAGGGCACCAAAGGTATTTGCTGCATGTATAGCCACTTCTTATAGCTGTTGAGCTCACACAGTGATGGAGAAAAATATGAATACAATGTGCAACATAATGTTAGGCACACAATGAAGGGCCAATAAATGGTAATTGTGGTGGTGAATGTTGCTATCTTTTTTAAAATCAAGGCAGGCCTAGGTTTAGTGTCATAGCGAAGGAGCCAGGCACCATAGCCAGAAGCCCCTGGGTAGGTCTGGGAAGTCCTAGGAATTGGGAAAGGTGAAAATAGTACAGGTATGGGGCTGTAAAAGGCAAACTTCATGTCCTGCAGTGTTCTGCCTGTGGCTGGTCCTGAGGAGCACTGGTGGGTCAGTTTGGCCAGACCTCCAAAGAGAGCCACAGGAAAAAAAGAAGGCTAGAGGTCCTCATGACCCACCTCCCAAGATACAAGCAGACACTTGAAGTGGAAAATCCCTGCCACTCTGTAGGACAAGAACTACGTGGCCAAAAAGGGAAGCTGCAATAAATAGTTCTGGTTTAACCTGGGATGCATCACAGCTTCTCCAAAGTTTTGCTTTGACTTTAGGCCCAATTCAACCAACATGAAACACCCACAAATTAACTCCCAGGAAAAACATGGCTCTTTGAGAAAAGAACTGACACTTAGTAAGCAGCTGAGCCTGTCAGTCCAGGTTGCAGGATGGAGCGAGTGAGCTCTCGGCGGGTACAGTGGCTTGCACTAGCTGAATTCATTACTATTCCCTTTGTGCAGCCTTGTGCTTTGACCACTCGCATATATGGAATAGGACTTACAAAAGAAAACTGTTTTGTTTGGCAGGTGGGAAATCATTTCAATTGAGATATTTTTTCTGTTTACTCAAGTAAATATAAAGATGCTTTGATTTTCCACAAAGAAAGAGTTGTTATCCCTATTTGAATTTATGTTGCTTCAAAAACAAACATCTTACTTTTAGTATCAGAAGCAGACCATTCTGTTCCTTAGGGAAGTGATATTCTTTAGTAGACTGGTGGGAGACTTGTAGAATATTAAAAGGATAAGACAAATTCCAGAATAAATAACAGGGAAAATTTATTTTCTGAACTCTAATAACTATGATCTGTTCCTACAGTAGAATGGGCATTCAATAACTGGAACATGAAGGATTGGCCTACAGGGAAAGCCCAGGGTGGTCTGGGACCTCCCTGAACCTCCAGCAGATCTCATGAGACTGTCTTTAATTATCCTTTTCTCTCTCTCTCTCCCTCTCTCAGGCCTACAATGAACACTGTGTGGGGAAAAGAAAGAGAGATCAGACTGTTACTGTGTCTATGTAGAAAGAAGTAGACATAAGAGACTCCATTTTGTTCTGTACTAAGAAAAATTCTTCTGCCTTGAGATGCTGTTAATCTGTAACCCTGGCCCCAACCCTGTGCTCGCAGAGACATGTGCTGTGTTGACTCAAGGTTTAATGGATTTAGGGCTATGCAGGATGTGCTTTGTTAAAAAAGTGTTGAAGGCAGTATGCTTGTTAAAAGTCATCACTATTCTCTAATCTCAAGTACCCAGGGACACAATACACTGCAGAAGGCTGCAGGGATCTCTGCCTAGGAAAGCCAGGTATTGTCCAAGGTTTCTCCCCATGTGATAGCCTGAGATATGGCCTCGTGGGAAGGGAAAGACCTGGGAAGGGAAAGACCTGACCGTCACCCAGCCTGACACCCGTAAAGGGTCTGTGCTGAGGAGGATTAGTGAAAGAGGAAGGCCTCTTTGCAGTTGAGATAAGAGGAAGGCATCTGTCTCCTGCTCGTCCCTGGGCAATGATGTCTCGGTGTAAAACCGACTGTATGTTCTATTTACTGAGATAGGAGAAAACTGCCTTAGGGCTGGAGGTGAGCCGTGCTAGCAGCAATATTGCTCTTTAATGCACCAAGGTGTTTCTATACATGCACATCAAGGCACAGCACCTTTCCTTAAACTTATTTATGACACAGAGATCTTTGTTCACATGTTTCCTGCTGACCCTCTCCCCACTATTGCCCTATTGTCCTGCCACATCCTCCTCTCCGAGATGGTAGAGATAATGATCAATAAATACTGAGGGAACTCAGAGACCAGTGCCTGCCGGTCCTCCGTAAACTGTAAGCTGAGTGCCTCCATAAGCTGAGCGCCAGTCCCCTAGGCCCACTTTTCTTTCTCTATTCTTTGTCTCTGTGTCTCTTTCTCTTCTCAGTCTCTCATCCTACCTGATGAGAAACACCCACAGGTGTGGAGGGGCAGGCCATCCCTTCACTGGACAGAACCAATGTACTTCTTACATATATTGATTGATTGATGTCACATGTCTCCCTAAAATGCAGAAAACCAAGCTGTGCCCCAACCACCTCGCGTACATGTCATCAGGACTTCCTGAGGCTGTGTCACAGGTGCACATCCTCAATCTTGGCAAAATAAACTTTCTAAATTAACTGAGACTTGTCTCAAATTTGGGGGGTTCATAGTCCTAAAGTCATTATCTTATTTAATGGAAAAGCATTAGGGATGTTTCTACTAACATCAGAAGCAAGACATAAATATCTATTATCTCTGCTGCTGTTAGAGATATTAGCCAGTGCAATTAGATAAGAGAAATCAGTGAAAGGCATAAGAGTGACTAAATGAGTGGTAAAACTATATTTGCAGATGATATAATAATGTATGTGGAAAATCCCAGAGAATCAATAATAAAACTAACTCAAACAATAAAATAATTTACTGAAGAACACGGATATAAAATTAACATAAAAATCAATAGCCTTCATACAAACAAACAGGGGACATAATGGTAGAGAAAACACCATTTAAATAGCATCAAAATATATGTATTTATGAATAAATATAAGTATTTATGAATAAATTTAATGAGGTATGAAAACCTATGCATGGAAAATGTCAAAACACTCCTAACAGACAGTAATAAAAACTTGAATAAAAGGAAAGACATTCCCAGGTTCTTGGATAGAATTATAGCTTTATGAAAATACCACTTCCCCCTAAGTTAATTTATAAATGTAATACAATTCCATCAAAATATGAACAGGCTATTTTCTGGAGTTAGAGATTTTGATACTAAAGTTCATATAAAAAAAAAGATGGGTAGGAATGAGGTGGAAAACACTGAAAAAGAAAAGCTGTAGTGATTAGGCTTACCAGAAATTAAAACATTTGATAAAGCCTGGATAATTAAAACAGAGTGGTACTGGAGCACAGAGAAATAAAGAAGCCAGTGGAAGAGAATAGTCCAGAATTAGACCAAAATACATATGGAAATTTAGTATATGACGAAAGTGGCATCTCAAATCACTAGGGTAAAACATACCATATAGCAGTATAAACTCCAAGTGGATTAGTGATGTAAATATAAAAACTAAAACCACATAGTATAGAAAATAAATGGCTACATTATTATTTAGCCTTGGTAAGAAAAAGCCTTTCTAACTATGATTTAAAATCCAGCGGCAATTTTTTAAAAGATTAATAAATTTGACTGCATTTTTTTGTGTGATGAAAACCACCATAAACAAAATCAAAGAACTATGATCATACCACTGCACTCCAGCCTGGAAGACGCAGTGAGACCCCATCTCTAAAAAAGTTTTTTAAAAAAGAAAAATATCAGAATAAAAAGAGGATATCGCTGAAGTTATAGTTGTTTAACAAAAAAGAATATAGTATAAGAATTTAGATAATTTTACCACAATTTAAAAACTAGATAAAATAGACATGTGTATAAACAAATATAACCTATAAAAACAGACCTCACTTTGGGAGGCCAAGGCAGGCGGATCACCTGAGATTGGGAGTTTGAGACCAGCCTGACCAACATGGAGAAACCCCGTCTCTACTAAAAATACAAAATTAGCTGGGCGTGGTGGCGCATGCCTGTGATCTTAGCTACTTGGGAGGCTGAGGCAGAAGAATTGCTTGAACTCGGGAGGCAGAGGTTGTGGTGAGCCGAGATCACGCCATTGCACTCCAGCCTGGGCCACAAGAGCAAAACTCCATCTTGGGAAAAAAAAAAAATCAGACCCAAGAACATATAGAAAATCCACTTAGTTCTATTAATATAACCACTAGAGAAATGTAATCAATAGTAAAAAAAATCCTTAAAGAAATTCAGGTTCATAAATGTTTACTCGTAAGTTATACCAGACAATCAAGGATGAAAGAATACTAGTATTCCACAAATTCTTTCAGAGAAAAGACTAAGAGGGAACCCGTTCCAACCAGCATAAAGTTGATACCAAAATCCAACAATAATAGGAGAAAGAAAAATTGGATGCCAGTCTTTCTCCTGAACATAGTGAATTTTAGAAGATGGTTGGGTACAAAGTCATTATACAAAATAAATGAATTGTAGCCAGGCGTGGTGGCTCACGCCTGTAATCCCAGCACTTTGGGAGGCTAAGGCAGGAGGATCACTTGAGGCCAGGAGTTCAAGACCAGCCTGGCCAACATGGTGAAACCCTGTCTCTACTAAAAATACAAAAATAGCCATGCATGGTGGCGCATATCTGTAATCCCACCTACTCAGGAGGTTGAGGCATGAGAATCGCTTGAACCTGGGAGCTGGAGGTTGCAGTGAGCCTGATCACACCACTGCATTTCAGCCTGGGTGACAAAGCGAGACTCTGTCACAAACAAACAAACCCGAAATAAGTGAATTGTAAAAGATGATGGGGTACAAAATCAATACACAAAAATCAATTATATTTCTATATTCTTACAACAAATAGTGAAATTTTAAAAAGATACTATTTGTAATAGCATCAAAATATATAAAACCTAGAAATAAGCCTAATAAAAGATGAATAAAGTCTCTACATAGAAAACCAAATAAATGCTATTGAGAGAAATTTAAAAGGACTTAAATAAGTGGAGATTTGCTCATGGATTGGAAATCTCAATATTGTAAAGATATTAATTCTCCTTCTGATAGACAGGCCCAAGATGGTCCTCAATAATCCCCACCTCTGGGGATTCCCAGCCTCGTGTAGTCTTCTCCCATATGATACCAGGGGCTGACCTGTGTGACCACTGGCATATGGCAGAAAAGATGGCATGTCACTTCTGAGATTAAATGATGAAAGACTGTGGCTTCTATTCTTTTTTTATTTTTTTGAGACAGAGTCTCGCTCTGTCACCCAGGCTGGGGTGCAGTGTTGCCATCTCGGCTCACTGCAATCTCTGCTTCCCAGGTTCAAGCAATTCACTTGCCTCACCCTCCTGAGTAGCTAGGAATACAGGCACATGCCATCATGGCCGGCTAATTTTTGTATTTTTAGTAGAAATGGGGTTTCACTATGTTGGCCGGACTGGTCTCGAACTCCTGACCTTGTGATCCGCCTGCCTCAGCCTCCCACAGTGCTGGGATTACAGGTGTGAGCCACCGCGCCCGGCCTGTGGCTTCTATTCTTGTGCACTCTTTCTCTTAGATCTCTCATCCTAGGGGAAGTGAGCGAGCTGCCATGTTGAAAGCAGCTCTAGGGAGAGGCCCGCATAGTGAGGAACTGAAGCCTCCAGCCAACAGCCAGCAGGGAGCTAAGGCCTTTCCAGCAACCACATGAGTGAGTTTGGAGACAGAAAATCTAGCCCCAGTCATGCTTCGAGATGACTAGCGTCCTGGCTGACAACTTGATTCCAGTCTCCTGAGAGACCCTGAGCCCAAACCACCTGGCCAAGGTGCTGCTCTTAAATCCTGATCCTCAGAAACTGCGCAGACAGTAAATGTCTGTTGTTTTAAGTTGCTAAGTTTTGGTTCATTTGTTACAGATCAACAAATAGCTAATATAGTCTGAAAATAATCTATAGATTCAATGTAATCCAAATCAAAATCCCAACAGGTTATTTTTCTTTTCTTTTTATTTTTTATTGAGGAACTTGACAAGCTGATTTCAAAATTGATATGTAAATGTAAAGGGCCAAGAATAGCTAAGATACTCCAGCAGAACAACAATATAAGAGGTTACTAAGTCTCAACATAAAGCTGGAATAATTGCTTGCTTTACCAGACATCAAACCTTACTCTAAGTAGGTAGTAATTAGGATGCTCTGATATTGGCACAAATTCAGTAATTAGAACATTATGATATCATAGAAAAGCTAGAACAGACCCATGCATAGATGAACTTGATTTATTTCATAAACGGCCCTGCAGAGCAGTGGGGGAAAAGATGGCCTTTTAAGTAAAAACAGTATGAGACAATTTATACCCATTTGGAAAAAAAGAAAACTTGACTTCTGCTCACATATGAAAGCAATTTCAGGCTTTAGGCAAGATGATTGCAGCAGCGTAGTTTGGTATCTCCCCAAATCTCCCCAGGAAATGCACAGATCTACTAGGTTAACAGCAGCAAGAACACATGGCCACGATTTATAACAAAACTCAGTGAAAAGGTAACCCCTCAAATCCCAAAATACTAGTGGGTAGGACCAAATTACTAACAGCTAGCAGATGGATGCGGTATCAGCCACTATAGAGGAAAAGCAGGAGGAAGGCAAAACAGCATCAGTCTCGAGAGCCCAAGAACCCAGAATCGCCTCTGAATTGGGGGCTCTCATGCAACCTGGAAAACTTTTCTTCCCTTGACATTGCATGAACAGGCAAAACCTGGAAAACCCGATAGGACAATTTGACAATAGCAGCCTAAGCTGGAGGAATATTTCGGGCTCCAGTTTATAGTTAATTGCAAAAACTGTTGCGATAAGATTGGACAATATGGGGCAGTATAGGCCATTTGAATGCACAAAACCAAGTGACTGAAGCTCCTTTCTAAGATAAAACTCCTGCACTGAGAGAAATTTATGAAAGTAGAATCTATTTGACCACAACAGAGACACTAGGGGTAAAGGAAAGATAGAGCTCAGAAAAAGGTGGGGATGAGAGCAGAGAAAATAAATCTTAAAAGCATAAGGCTGTATTTGAAAAAAAAATCAACATTTTGCAGTTACAACAGAGGAGAGAGCCTTAGATACACAGGTTACCTTCTCCTTCCAAGAGTATGGAAAAACCTAACATGAGCAATGGAAAAGGAGGATGGTACAATTATACACAAAGTTATCATCTTAAAAAAGTGAATGTGAGTGAGTAACAGTGAAGACAAGATGGGAAGAGATATCTACAAAACAAAAGAGAAAAAGAAAACAGAACAGCCCAGATAACGAGAAAGCACAGGGGGGAATATAAACTTGACTATGTCAGTATATTAAATACAAATAATATAAAGACTCCAGTGAAAAGTAAAGATTGCTAGGATGGATTAAAAAAACAAATCTGGCTGGACGTGGTGGCTCACACCTGTAACTCTTGGGCTCAAGCAATCCACCCGCCTCGGCACTTTGGGAAGCTGAGGCGGGTGGATTGCTTGAGCCGGGGAGTTTGAGATGAGCCTACAAAAAAATATAAAAATTAGCCGGGTATGGTGACACGCACCTGTAGTGCCAGCTACTCGGGAGGCTGAGTTGGGAGGATCACCTGAGCCTGGGGAGGTTGAAGCTACAGTGAGCTGTGATCACCCACTGCACTCCAGCCTGGGTGTCAGAGTGAGACCCTGTCTCAATCCCCTCTCCACCCCCTTCTCTTAAAATCTATCTCATCTATATGCTGTTTATAAAAGACACATTTAAATTATAAGGTCACAGAAAGGTTGAAAGTATGACAATTAAAACATACACTATGCAAATACTAACCAGAAGAAAGTTGTATTAATAGCCAACAAAATGATCTTCAAGGCAAAATCATTAGTAGAGACAAAGAGGATCACTTCGTAATGAAAACAGTTTCAAGTTACCAGAAAAATACTATCATTTTTACTTAACCAAAATATAGTTCAAAGTATATGAAGCAAAACATGACAAACTACAAGAAGAAACAAACAGATCCACAATCATAGTGATATACTTTAATGTATTCTCTTAACTGATAAAAAAAAAAAGCAGACAAAAATGTCAGTAAGAATACAGGAAATTGAACCCGGCTGCGCACAGTGGCTCACGCCTGTAATCCCAGTAGCACTTTCGGAGGCTGAGGTGGGCAGATCATGTGAGGTAAGGAGTTTCAGGCGAGCCTGGCCAACATGGCAAAACCCCATCTCTACTAAAAATATAAAAATTAGCAGGGCGTAGTGGTGTGCGCCTGTAATCCCAGCTACTCGGGAGGCTGAGGCAAGAGCATTGCTTGAACCTGGGAGGCAGAGGCTGCAGTGAGCTGAGATTGCGCCACTGCACTCCAGCTGACTGAGTGAGACTCTGTCTCAAAAATAAACCTCAAAATGGCAAACGCATCCTTTTAAAAAATAGATGGAGGATAAACAACAACAACAACAAAAAACCACCCCACAAAACCACACACTGGGCCATAAAAACAAGTCTAAACACATTCTAGAGAACTGAAATAATATAGAATATGTTCTCAGATCACAAAGTAATTTAAAAAATAACTAGAAAAATCCACATCTTCAGAAATTAAGAAACTCTTCTAATAACCATTAGTTAAAAAAGAAGTATTAATCACAAAAATTAGAACCTTTTTGAACTGAATAAAAAACACTACAATCACAATTTGTATAACTGCTAAAGCAGTACTTAGATATTTATAATTTTAAATGTCTAGCTTGGAAAATCAAGAAGACTAGAAGTCAAAGCACTAAGCCTTCATCTTAGAAATTAAATAAGCCCCCAGTATCCCAAAGGAAGCAGAAGGAAGGAAATAATAAAGACAAGAGCAGAAATCAAGTAACCAGAAAGCAAGCATACAATAGAGTCACAATGGAGACAAAAGATGCATTTTGGAAAGAAACCTCTGGTAAGACTAAGAAACAGAGAGAAGGCACAATAACCAATATTAGAAATGAAAAAGCGACGTCACATTACAAAGGTAATATGACATTAACAACTTTATACCAACATTTTAATATATGGATGCAATGAACATGGTCTTATTACTGATGCAAGAAGAAACAGAAAATCTAAGTAGTCCAATAACCCATTAAAGGAATTGAATAGTAGTAGACAAATAAGTAGCAGACAATCTCTCCCACCTCCACACATACAAAAACCCACCAGGCCTAGGTGGCTTCATCTGTGAGTTCAAGAAAGACGTAATTTCAATCTTTTGTAAACTCACAGAATCCAGAAAGTGAGAAAATGCCTGACTCTATATGGCTTGCAAAACTTTGATATGCAAACTGGACAGAGACAGTACGAGAGAGGAAAACGGTGGTCTAAGCTCACTCATGAACACAGATGCAGATCTCCTATATATAATATTACCCAACTGAAATCAATCTGTTTGTAAAAAGGGAAATTAAGTCCACGAGGAGTTAGCAGTTTATCAGATTAGTAACCTTAAAAAAACCGACAATACCAAGGGTTGGTGAAGACGTTGAACATTAGGAACTCTCATCACTAATTGGCAATTACCTACTAAAGTGAAAGCTATGCACACTCTATGACCTGTGGTTCTACTCCTAGGCATATGCTGTGGAACAACGTATGCCTATGCGCATTGGGAGGATACATGTACCAGGAGATCCATGGCCACATTTTTCAGGATAACTAGACATTGAAACCAACACAAATGACCAGCCTGAAGAAGGAAGTCAGCTGGAGCTGGAGTGAGGGGAACTCGTCAGGTGGGCTGAAGGTGGAAAAACAGAAGAGATTTGATAGAATCTGGACAGTGAGAGTTTGGAGTGATAACCAGATAAAAAGACTCCAAAGAAAGTTCCTCTCCCTGCCAGTTCACAATTCTATAATTCCAGCCATGCACTCCTAACCACTGTCAAAGTTTTCTTGTGCTCCTTCCTGAAGTAGTATGTGTGTGCGCACACTATTACATACCTTGTTTTCCTTTTCACCACACCTATTCTATACTATTTTATTTTATTATTTTATTTTATATTATTTTGAGATAGAGTCTTACTCTGTTGCCCAGGCTGCAGTGCAGTGGCACAATCTCGGCTCACTGCAGCCTCCACCTCCTGGGTTCAAGCAATTCTTCTGCCTCAGCCTCCCAAGTAGCTGGGATTACAGGCACCCACCACCATGCTGGGCTAATTTTTGTATTTTTAGTAGAGATGGGGGTTTCACCATGTTAGCCAGGCTAGTCTCAAACTCCTGACCTCAAGTGATCTGCCGTCCCTGGCCTCCCAAAGTGGTGGGATTATAGGTGTGAGCCACTGCGCCTGGACTCTATACTACTTTTATAATTAAGAAAAAACAAGAAAAATAGTTTTAGCTGGAACAAAGAAAACAAACAAATCACAGAGACAAGGTTCATAAGAGAGAATTCCAAACGATGTGCCCAAGCTCCTATGAGGACTTTAGCAACAAGAAAAGGAACATGAGGGTGATTGTCCCGTCCTCTGCCTTCCTGACCACTGTCAGGGCTGGCCCACCCTCTGGGGATGCAGAGTGTGGATCCAGAGATCTCATGGGTGGAAGCCACTCTCACAGCTCTCAGGGAGCCCCCGACAGCCAAGGGGACGTACCTCGGAGTTGGCAGGCACCACAAACTGGGAGGGCAGGGCGATGTCGGGCATCTGGCATTCTGTGGAGAAGGTCACCGAGTAGGGCAGAGGGTTCTCCAACTTGATGGAGGCTGACGCAACTTGCCGGACTGGGGTCACCATCTCGATGGTTTTGATGATGCCTGAAGGGATGACCCTGAAACTCACATTGTAGTACAAGAACTCATTTGTCACCTCGTTTCGGAAGATCACCTGCATTCACGGGGAGAGAGGGAGGAAGGAGGGAAGAGTAGGGGTGAGCCGAGGGTCCTCTGCACATTTTCAGAGCCTCCTTCTCTTTTTTAGCATTGTTTGGCACATGAAGCACAGGTACCAGGCTGACAGGACGCTCGCAGCCTATCCGGATCCCTGCCAGCCAGACTTTCTAGTTAGGGATTCCGGCTCCTCCCAGATGAGAGATTATTAAATAGCCTGGGCTTGCTTTAGAAGAGGCTAGATAGAGCAGGACTGTCCAACGCCAGCACTTCCCTGGTGGGGACAGCTGGCCGGCTCTGGAAAACAAGCGAGACCTCTGAGGTAACTTTCAACGGTCTTTCTTTTCCTTCCTTCCTTCCTTCCTTCCTTCCTTCCTTCCCTCCCTCCCTCCCTCCCTCCTCCTCTTCTTTCTTTCTTTCTTTCTTTCTTTCTTTCTTTCTTTCTTTCTTTCTTTCTTTCTTTCTTTTTCTTTCTTTCTTTCTTTTTCTTTCTTTCTTTCTTTCTTTCTTGAGAAGGAGTCTCACTCTGTTACCCAGGCTGGAGTGCAATGGCATGACTCGGCTCACTGCAACTCCCACCTTCCGGGTTCAAGTGATTCTCCTGCATCAGCCTCACAAGTAGCTGGGATTACAGGCGCCTGCCACCATGCCTGGCTAATTTTTGCAGTTTTAGTAGAGACGGGGTTTCATCATGTTGGCCAGGCTGGTCCTGAACTCCTGACCTCGAGTGATCTGTCCGTGTTGGCCTCCCAAAGTGCTAGGATTATAGGTGTGAGCCACAGTGCCTGGCCACAATGGGCTTTCTTCCTATTCCTGTTGCTGCTGGGATAGTTTAAAAACAACAATAGCATCTGACACTTAATTAATGATTACTGTATGCCAGGCAATAAATAGAAATGCTTAATTAGTTAATTCACACAATTCGTAGGCACTGTTATTATGCCACTTAACCTTTTAAAATTCAATTTAATTTAATTTAATTTAATTTAATTTTTATTTTGTAAAGATGAGGGAACTGAGGCTTCGCAAACTCAAGTATCTTGCCCAAGGTCACACATAAAGAAGAGTCAGGACCAAGATTTGAACCCAGGTTAGACTGACTCCAGAGCTCACACTTGTAACGACACTATACTGTCCCTTCACCCCTGCAACGGACTTCTTGTGCTGCTCACCTCTTTAAGTTCTTTTCCCTGGTGACTGATAATGTTCAGCATCTTCTCGTGTTTTTATTGGTCATTCACATAGCTGCTTTTATGCAATAGGGTCTATTCAAGTGGTTTGTCCTTTGTAACACATTGGGTTGTTTTATCTTATTATTATTAGGTGTTAATAGTTCTTTATATAGTCTGGCTTTTTACTTTCAACTTCTTTGTGTCTTGAAGAGCTTCTAACATTCCCTTTTTTTTTTGAGATGGAGTCTTGCTCTGTCACCCAGACTGGAGTGCAGTGGCGCCATCTCAGCTCACTGCAAGCTCTGCCTCCCGGGTTCACGCCATTCTCCTGCCTCAGCCTCCCAAGCAGCTGGGACTACAGGCGTCCGCCATCACGCCTGGCTAATTTTTTTTTTTTTTTTTTTTTTGTATTTTTAGTAGAGACGGGGTTTCACCGTGTTAGTCAGGATGGTCTCAATCTCCTGACCTCGTGATCCGCCCGCCTCGGCCTCCCAAAGTGCTGAGTTTACAGGCTTGAGCCACCGCGCCTGGCCTTCACTCCCTGTCTTTTAATTGGAGTGTTTAGTGTTTTACATTTAAAGTGATTTTTTTTTTCTTTTTTCTTTTTTTTTTTTTTTTTTTTGAGATGGAGTCTCGCTCTGTCGCCCAGGCTGGAGTGCAGTGGCGCAATCTCGGCTCCCGGCAAGCTCCCCCTCCTGGTTTCATGTCATTCTCCTGCTTCAGCCTCCCAAGTAGCTGGGACTACAGGCACCCACCACCACGCCTGGCTAATTTTTTTGTGTTTTTAGTAGAGATGGGGTTTCACCATGGTCTCGATCTCCTGACCTTGTGATCTGCTCTCCTCGGCCTCCCAAAGTACTAGGATTACAGGTGTGAGCCACCGTGCCGGGCCTAAAGTGACTGTTTATATGTTTGGCCCGAAGTCTGCTTCCTTGCTAGTTATTTTCCACTTGTCCCTTTTATTTTTCATTTTTCTGTTGTTACTTTCCTGCTTTCGTTTGGATTGATACACAATCTTTTGGCATATATTTTACTTCCTCTACTGGCTTCTTAGTCATATTTTAAAACATATTTTTTTTTGAGATGGAGTCTTACTCTGTCACCCAGGTTGGAGTGCAGTGGTGCGATCTCAGCTCACTGCAACCTCCACCTCCTGGGTTCAAGTGACTCTCCAGCCTCAGCCTCCCGAGTAGCTGAGATTACATGCATGTGCCACCACGCCCGTCTAATTTTTGTATTTTTAGTAGAGACGGGGTTTCACCACGTTGGCCAGGCGGGTCTTGAACTCCTGACCTCAGGTGATCCGTCTGCCTCAGCCTCCCAAAGTGCTGGGATTACAGGTGTGAGCCACTGCACCTGGCCTTTAAAACAATGTTTAGTGGTTGCTCCAGAGCTAAAAATGAATCCTTATCAACATTTATTAAATGTTAATATTTTATCACTTCCCACTTGACAATGGATGCTTCCTGGTCCCTACCTCACACTTAATAATAACCTTGCCTTAGCATCACTTCATTTGCCTGTCCACCCCATCTTTTGTGCTTTTGTTATCATATCTTTTATTTCTATATACATAAGAACATCCACCTTAGAATGTTATTATATTTGTTATAAACTGTCAGTAATCTTTTAAGAAATCCAAAAAAAAACCCTCCAAATATATATTTTGCATTTCCCTAGGTATTGACCATTTCTAGAGCCCCTCTTTTCTTCTTGCAGACTGGAGTTCCCATCTGGTATCATTTCCCTTCAGACTGAAGAAGATCTATTAACATGTTTTGCAGTAATGTAAATCTGCTGACAATGAATGTTCTCAGATTCTTTTATATGAAAATGTCTATTTCACTCTCAGTTTTAAAGGACATTTTTAGTGGATAAAGAATTTTTAGATGGACTGTTTCCTTTCCTTTCATCGCTTTACAGATAGCTTCCATTATTTCCTAGGTGAAGCCAGAACTCTAGGATAGCCATTGTTATCGCTGTCCCTCTTGCTGTAATATGTATTTTTTCCCCCTGGCTGCTTTAAGCTTTTCTCTTTATCTTTGTTTTTTGGCAGTTTGAAAATGAAACGATGCCTGATGTGTACAGGCATAGTTTTCTTTGTATTTCTCCTGCTTGAAGTTTGCCAAGTTTCTTGGATCTATAGTTTTTTTTAAAAAACTAATTTTTTAAAAAATATCCAATTAGGAAAATTTCAGTAATTATTTTTTCAAATACAGCTACACCTCCATTGATTGCACTTCACTTTATTGTACATTGCGGATATTGCATTTTTAAAAATAAATTGAAGGTTTGTGACAACCCTCTGTTGAACAAGTCTATTAGTACCATTTTTCCAACAGCATGTGCTCACTTTGTATCTCCATGTCACATTTAGGTAATTCATATTTGAACATTTTCCATTATTTTTATTTTTCATAAATATGGGGTCTGACTGTGTTTCCCAGGCTGGTCTTGAACTCCTGACTTCAAGCAATTCTCCTGCCTTGGTCTCTCAAAGTGTTGGGATTATGGGCATGAGCCACCATGCCTTGTTGTTTCATTTTTTTGGTATCTGTTATGATGATATGTGATCAGTGATTTTGGATATTGATATAGCTTGGCTTTGTGTCCCCACCCAAATCTCATCTTGAATTGTAATCCCCACATGTCAAGGGAGAGACCTGGTGGGAGGTGATTGGATCATGGGGGTGATTTCCCCCATGCTGTTCTCATGACAGTGAGTGAGTTCTCAGGACATCTGATGGTTTTATAAGGGGCTCTTTCTGTTTGCTCACCACTCTCTCTTGCCTGCCACCATGTGAGATGTGCCTCTTCCCCTTTTGTCATGATTGTAAGTCTCCTGAGGCCTCCCCAGCCCTGTGGAACTGTGAGTTAATTAAACCTCTTTTCTTTAGAAATTACCCAGTCTTTGGTATGCTTTATAGCACTGTGAAAATGGACTAATACAAATGTTACTATTGTAATTGTTTTGGGGTGCTATAAACTGTGCCATACAAGATGGTGAACTTAATCAGTAAATGTTGTGTGTGTTTGGACTGCTCCACTGCCTGCCTATTCCCTCATCTCTATCCCTTCCTCGGGCCTCCCTATTCCTTGAGACATAACAACATTGAAATTAGGCAAATTAATAACCCTATAATGGCATCTAAGTTAAAGTGAAAGGAAGTGTCACGTGGCTCTCACATTAAGTCAAAAGCTAGAAATGATTAAGCTTAGTGAGGAAGACATGTCAAAACCCGAGGTAGGCAGAAATCTAGGCCTCGTGCACCAAACACTTAGCCAAATGAAGAATGCAAAGGAAAAGTTCTTAAAGGAAATTAAAAGAGCTACTCCAGTGAACTCACCAATAATAATTATATAATAAGAATTATTGCTGATATGGATAAAGCATTAGTGGTCTGGATAGAAAATCAAACGAGTTATAGCATTCCCTTAAGCCAAAGCCTAATCCAGAACAAGGATCTAACTCTCTTGAATTCTATGAAGGCTGAAGAAGTAAGGAAACTGAAGAAAAAAGTTTGAAGCCAGCAGATGTTGGTTCATAAGGTTTACGTAAAGAAGCTGTTGCCATAACATAAAAATATAAGGTGAAGCAGCAGGTGCTGACGTAGATGCTGCAGCAAGTTATCCAAAAGATCTAGCTAAGATAATTGTTAAAGGTAGCTACACTGAACGACAGATTTTCAATGCAGATAAGCCAGCTTTCTATTGGAAGATGTCATTTAGGACTTTCATAGCTAGAGAAGAGAAATCAATGCCTGGCTTCAAAGTTTCAAAGGACAGGCTGACTCTTGTTCAGGGCAAATGCACCTGGTGACTTTCAGTTGAAGCCAATGCTCACTGACTATTCTGAAAATCTTAAGGCCTTTAAGAATTATGTTAAATCTACTCTGCCTATGCTCTAGAAATGGAACAACAAATCCTGGATGACAGCCCATCTGATTTCTAATTACAGGGTGGCTTACTGAATATTTTAAGCCCACTGTTGAGACCTACTGCTCAGAAAATAGATTCCTTTCAAAATATTACTTCTCTTTAATAATGCACCTGGACACCCAGGAGCTCTGATGGAACTGTACAGGAGATGAATGTTGTTTTCATGCCTGCTAACACAACATCTATTCTGCAGCCCACAGATGAAGGAGTCATTTTGACTTTCAAGTCTTGTTATTTAAGAAATACATTTCATAGGGCAATAGTTGCCATAGATAATGATTCTTCTGATGGGTCTGGGCAAGGTAAACTGAAAACCTTCTGGAAAGGATTTGCCATTCTAGATGCCATTAAGAACATCTGTGATTCACTGGAGAAGGTCAAACCCTCATGTATGCCTTTGAGGAGTTCAAGACTTCAGTAACTTGAAAAGTAGAGGAAGTAACTGTAGATGTAGCAGAAATAGCAAGAGAACTAGAATTAGAGGTGGAGCTTGAAGATATGACTGAATTGCTACAATCTCATTATAAAACTTGAATGAATGTTGAGTTGCTTCTTATGGATGAGCAAAGGAAGTGGTTTCTCAAGATGGGATTTATTCATGGTGAAGATGCCATGAACATTGTTGAAATGACAACAAAGGATTTAGAATATTCACAAACTTAATTGATAAAGCAGCAGCAGGATTTGAGAGGACTGACTCCGATTTTGAAAGAAGTTATATTGTGGGTAAAATGCTTTCAAACAGCATCACATGTTACAGAGTAATTTTTCTTGAAAGGAAGAGTTAATTTATATGGCAAATTTCATTGTTGTCTAATTTTAGGAAATTGCCACAGTCACCCCCACCTTCAGTAACCACCACCCTGATCAGTCAGCAGCCATCAACATCGAGGCAAGACCCTCCACCAGCATAAAGATTATGACTCGCTGAAGGCTCAGATGATCATTAGGATTTTTAAGCAAATAAGTAATTTATAATTCAGGTATGCACGTTACTTTTAAAGACCTAATGTTATTGTACACTTAATAGACTACAGTACAATGTAAACATAACCTTTATATGTACCAGGAAACAAAAAATATTGTGACTCACTTTATTGCATTATTAGCTTTGTCATGGTGGCCTGGAACCAAACCCACAGTACTTCTGAGGTATGTCTGTAATTTAATTTTCTGCCTCATTCACATTCTCTCTCATTCTCTTCTTCCCAGAGAATGTTATGTTATGTTTAGAACAGTTGCTGTGAAGTCTGCCTGCTAAATCCAACATCTGGCCCGTCTTGGAGTCAGTTTCCATTGACTGCTTTTTTTTCTTGACTATGGATCCCATTTTTCTGCTTCTCCACAGGTCTAGTAATTTTTATTTGTCTACTGGACAATGCTGATGATCATTGTAGAGATTCTGGATTCTGTTGTCTTCCTTTTAACAGTGTTGATTTTGTTGTAGGAGGTAGTTGAATCACTGACTTAAATTTGTGTGGGTTTGGTTTTATGCTTTGTTAGAGCACATCCGTGTAAAGCTCAAGGTATTTATCAGGACCTTCTGACTTGCTGGGATTCAATCTCCAGATTTTGTCCTCCCTGTAGAACTTGCAGGTGCTTAGTTGTAGGCTTTTTTAAAGGGCTGATAAAGAGAAGGCCTTATACTAAGGGAATGGCCCTTTCTCCTAAGTCTTTCTTCTGGCTTTTCTAGTATTTTAGCTGGGTTCTCAGGATTTTAATGAGGTATTAATGCAATCTCTTTCCTTTGGCTGGGCCAGACCTCTAATGTTCCCCAGCACTGATTAACACATAGTATTGCTATTCCTTTATCAACCACATAGCAGCTGCTCCCTGGTAAATCTCATGTTGTCTCACCCTGCACATGTGCAACTCTTAGCCAAGGATAGTGAAGGGAACGCTCATGCTGTCTTCTGACCTGTCCTCTTTACTCATGCACTGGTCCCTTCTCTCTGGTGTCCTACCCTGTAGAGACTAGCCTTTTTGACTGTCCCAAACTCTGATTTCTGCCTCCTCAGCTCCTTGGCGGCTGCTGTGCTTTGCTTGGACTCTAGCTCACTGAATTGTAGTCAGGAAATTGTCCTTAGGCAGAGAACCAGGATAATCATGGGGATTCGTCATGAGTTTTCCTTCCTTTTCGAGGATTGCAGTATTGTGCTGCCTGTTGTCCAATGCCTGAGAAAAGTTGCCTCAGAGATTTTGTTGAGTTTTATATGTTTTTTTTTTTAGTGGGAGGAGTATAAAATGGAGTATTATAATCATTATAACCAGAAGCAGAAATGCTTTTTATTCTTTGAAAAATGTTTGTTATTATTTTTAATTTCAATATGTATTACTGTAAGGAGACTGGTGATTTGGGTTCACTCTGTCATTTTTACTCCAAAGTCTTTTCACTTATATTTTTACATATCTTTATTTTGTTTACATGTACAGTTTATGAATATCTCTATTCTCTTCCTACTCTTCTCTCTGAATGAGAAACCTTCTCTTATTTCCCCCATTCAATTCCTCCAG
This sequence comes from Homo sapiens, assembly GCF_000001405.40. Taxonomy (NCBI): domain Eukaryota; kingdom Metazoa; phylum Chordata; class Mammalia; order Primates; family Hominidae; genus Homo; species Homo sapiens. Next base: position 146,891,116 of record NC_000001.11, on the reverse strand, counting down.
AACGAGGAAATGCTTCTCATTGCCTTATTTTATTCTTCCCCTTGCTATTTTCTATGTTCAGGTCATATGAAATATTTATCTTAGATTGTCTTTCAACAGTTGTTTAAAATTACCTATCAATTTAATTTTGATTATTTGCTTATTATATCCTTGTACTTTCCTCTTTGATTCACTTTTTTTTTTTTTTGAGACAGGATCTTGCTCTGTTGCCCAGGCTGGAGTGCAGTGGTGTGATCTCGGCTCACTGCAACCTCTGCCTCCTGGGTTCAAGCAATTCTCTTGCCTCAATATGGGGTTTCACCATGTTGGCTAGGCTGGTCTTGAACTCCTAACCTCAAGTGATCCACCCACCTCAGCCTCCCAAAGTGCTGGAATTACAGGCATGAGCCACTGCACATGGCTCACTTACTTATTTTTTAAGCTTTGCTAATTCAGAAAGTTTTAATTTTGTATTTATTTTCAGATAGAATTTGTGCGTATGGGTGGGTTACTTTTTTTTTTCTTTTTTTGGAGACACAGTTTTGTTCTGTTGCCCAGGTGGAGTGCAGTGGTGTCACCTCAGCTCACTGCAACCTCAATCTCCTGGGCTCAATCAGTCCTCCTACCTCAGCCTCCTGAGTAGCTGAGACTATAGGCACGTGCCAGCCCACCTTGGCCTCCCAAAGTGTTGGGATTACAGACGTGAGCCACTGTGCCTGGCCCTGGGTCAGTTACTTTGAGTCCTTGCATGTCCAAGTTTTGCTGTCATAAGAGTTTTGTCTGGAAAAAGAGTTCTAGACTGACAATCATTCTCACTCTGAAATTTGGATAGCTTATTCCATTATCTTCTGGTATTTGGTGTTGCCACAAGAAGTCTTATGTTACCATGATTATTAGTTCCTTTTATTTCCTCTAGAATCATTTAGGACTTTCTCTTTCATCCCGGTTTTCTGAAACGTTGCTCTAATGTATTTAGATGTGAGTATTTTTTTCATTCACCCTGTTTGGCAACTTGATGGACCCATTCGATTAGAAGACTTGATCTTCTTAAAAAGCCCTGGAAATATTTCTTCAGTTATTTTGTTGAATACTTTCTTCCTTCCAGTATCTTGTTTCTCTTTCAGGAGCTCCTATTACATATATATTAGAACTTCTTGATTTATACATTGTCTCATATTTCCTTTCATTCTGTTTTTGAAACAGCTTTATTGAGATATAACTCACATACCATACAATCCCTCATTTAAAGTGTTCTATTTAGTGGTTTGTAGTATATTCACAAGGCAGCGTAGCCATCACCACAATAAACTTTAGAACATTTTCATAATCCCTAAAACCCTATAACCATTAAGTCACTCCCCTTTTCCCCAACCCATCCTCTCCAGCCCTTGGTACCATGAATCAACTTTCTGTTTCTGTAGATTGGCTTATTCTTCAAATTTCATACACCCGGAGTCATACAATATGTGAATGGCTTCTTTCACCTATATTTCAAAGCATACATTCACTTTCATTTCAAATCATACATTTGTTACTGGCTTCATTCACTTAGCATAATGTTTTATAGCAGGTATCAATATTTTATTTCCATTTCTTTTTATTGTCAAATTCCATTCTATTTATACACTTACCAGTTCATCGAAATTTGGGTTGTCTCTACGTTTTGGCTCTTATAAATAATGCTGCTATGAATATTTGTGTATAGATTTTTGTGTGCACATATGTTTTCATTTCTCTAGGGTATTACCTAGGAGTTAAATTGGTGAATCATATGGTAACTCTACGTTTAACCATTTGAGGAACTGCCAGACTGTTTTCCAGGGCAGCTGCACCATGTTATACTCCCACCTGCAGTGTATGAGGGTCCCAATTTCTCCACATCCTTGCTGATGCTTGTTATTATTTCATTTCATTCCATTTCTTTGTCCTCAAGGGCTAAGGTCTGGTGATATTACTCAGCTCCATCTTGTAACTTATTAGTAATCTCCATTATAAAGTCCATCCCTCCTGCATGGTTTTCTAAATATTTTATTTTTCATTTCTAGAGTCTCTAATTGGTTCTTTTTCACAATAGCTTATCCTTATTTCATGAGTATGATTTTCTCCCTTTGGGGATATAAATAATATTCACTTAAAGTTTTCTGTTTGCTTTAATAACTCTTTCTTTTCAGAGGTGATTTACTCATTTATTGAGTAGGTATTTCTATTTTATGGTAACTTTTTTTAGATGTTTCATGATGTCTTGTTTTGAGGTTCTCTTAAAATCTTGTCTGTCTGTGAATGCTGATCTGATGAGATGTGATTGGAGCATCCTACTCAGTTATTGTAGAAAAGGAGATCTCACACTGCTGGATGCGTCTTGCCAGCATCTCTCTCTCTCTCTCTCTCTCTCTCTGTGTGTGTGTGTGTTCCTAGATACTTTCTTTTTTTCTTTTTCTTTTTACTTTAAAATGTTTCCCCAAGTGATTCTATCCCACATCTTAGCTCCAAATGCTATCTATAAATGAAAAATTCCCAAATGTTATCTTTAGTCCCGACCTCTCCCATGAGCTACAGATCCACACATGCTCCTTTTCTTCAAAGCACTTATCTCATTTTGTAATTATACATCCATAGTGCAATTATTTGAGCAATGCCCATCTCTCTCCACTAGACTGTGTGTTCTGTGAGAACAGAGATTGTGCCTATTCAGGTCGCTGATGTGTTACCAGCAATCAGTATAGTACATGGCATATGTGCTCAATAGATACTTGTTAAACCACTGAATGAATGAGGTGAAACAACTCATGTGTGAGAGACCCTGTGATGTCTTGGAGCAGTGACTATGGGGGCCATCTTTACTTGCTAACACCAGGATCAAACTCAGGGTCAAATGTCCTGAGTTCCAGGGTGGTGCCTTTGCTATGTAGATACCTTTGCAGCGTACGTTCCCTCCTTGTGGGAAAAGAAGTTCAGCTTGTAGTCTTTCTTAGAGCCAGACAGTACATCAATGTAATCAAGGCCCTTCATAGTGATGCTTAGGTCCGGCTTCTCTGGTTTCAGTATTTCCACGATGACCCGGAATCTGGGGCAGCATAGGAGAACACAAGAGGGGAGAGGAAATGAGACCGTTAACCCATAGGAAAAAAGGAGAAGTGCCAGCTGTACTCTTGATTTTATGGGAAGTGCATGGCTCCAGGGTTCTAGTCTTCACCCTGTCACTAACAATAATGGGAACTGCCATTTACTGGCCACCTATTATGTGCCAGGGACTGAGTGAGTGGCCTGTGTGTTACAGGCATTAATCCTTGCAGTATCTGTAGGAGGTATTAATACATATCACTATCATGTCCACATCACTAAATACAGGCCAAGAGAAGGAAGATAAGATGCTCCAAGAGAAGGAAGGTAAGATGACTGGTTACTGGCAGAACCAGGATTCAAATTTAGGTCAGGCCTTTACCCACTATGCTAAGCAGGAAGCCTTCAGTACATTGTGCCTGGTCTCCCAGTCTAGAGTTCCTTCTCTGTAAAAGAAGGGGACCATGCTTGTTGGCCTTGAGCTTTCCTGGTGCCCGATTTCCACTCTGCTCCTACTGCAAGGACAAGATCCAAGGACTTGCTTCTCTGGCCAGTGGCTTAGGTGATAAGACAGAACACTCAGCAATAACAGTGGTAATTATCATTATGATAATAACGGCTAACATTTATCGAATGGTTATTTTGTGCCAGGAAACTTACAAGTAACTAAGCACAGAAAAGAGAATCTCGCTAGAGGCTTAGTGTTCAGGAAATGCCTGGTCACATCAGGGAACTTTGTCTCTAACTCCTCGAGCCCCTCAACATCCTCTAGAGGTCCTAAGTAGGGGAAGGACCAGGCTAGATGGTGAAAGTCCTCCTTTCATCTCCCCACCCAGCCCCCTAGCCCCACCCCCTTACCTCTGGGGCTTGTTCAGCCAGTTGGTGATTGGCAGAAGCTCAGTGTAGGGGGTCTTACATGGCACTTCACGATAGATATTGGCTACAGCTTTGGGGAGCTCAGAAGTCCCATGCAGAGCATACAGCCAGCCGGTCCCATCTGGGAGGGGGAAGAAGAGGGTGCCCTAAGGAGAAGAAGGATGTGATCAGAATGACACACAGCATTCTTTACTAGGTACTTATTGGACATGTAGAGACCCAGGATTAATGGAGGATAATGGAGGCTCTGGAAAGAAACATAATACTTTTGAAGACATCTTGGTGATATAGTTCAGGAGATAGAAAAATGTTCATATGTATCCGAGCCAGGAATCCTATCCCAGAGAGCCTATTGAAGAAAAATCCCTCCAAAGAAAAAAGTTATGCATATATATAAGAACCAGTTATAATGTTGATGAAAATTTGTAGATAAACATTCAACAAATGGGACTGTAAAACAAATTGTGGAATTCTCATTCAGTGAAATATTGGGCAGTTATTAAAAAATAATTATCATAAAGACCGCATAGTTAAATAGAAAAATGCTACTGCTATACCGTAAAGTGAAAACAAACTGAATGTAAAATTGGGTATGTTATGATGATAGTTATGGCTGTATCTGAATAAGGATTGGTAGTGAAGATAGAAAAGAAAAGTTCATTTTTTAATAGGGTGGAATATTGTGGCCACTTTTTTTTTGTTTTGTTACAGTCACCATTATGTTATTTATGCAATTAAGTGAAACATTAATTACTTGATGCTTGGTCTGGACTCCATTTCAGAACTGAGCCCCTGGCTCTACGAGAATCCCTGTACATTAAAATAAAAAATGAAAAAAGGAAGCCAAAGCTTGATAATCTGCACAATTCCCAAATCCTCACTATTCCAACATGATCTGGGTGTTCCCCATCTAACATTCTCTGAGCTCTCAGCTTCCAAAGTGTTTTTTAATTTAATTTTTATTTTTTTGAGATGGAGTCTCACTCTGTTGCCCAGGCTGGAGTGCAATGGCATGATCTTGGCTCACTGAAACCTCTGCCTCCTGGGTTCAAGCAATTCTCCTGCCTCAGCCTCCCAAGTAGCTGGGATTACAGGTGTGCACCACCATGCCTGGCTAATTTTTGTATTTTTAGTAGAGACGAGGTTTCACCTTGTTGGCCAGGCTGGTCTTGAACTCCTGACCTCAGGCGATCCACCCTCCTCAGCCTCCCAAAGTGCTGGGATTACAGGCATGAGCCACCACGCCCAGCCCCAAAGTGTCTTTTAACCTCATTCACATAGTGCCACCTTCAACTATGCCAGGAAACCAATGGGGGTGGGGGGACCTCAGCCTACCTGGTGCTTGCGGTTCTCCAAGTTCATGGTGCGGGGCCTGTAGGTGATCTCATAGGGCTTGTTTTGCTGGTGGGCCTCCAGGGTGATGAACTCAGGCCCCTCCCAGTGCTCGCCCTCAAAGATGGGGTGCAGATTCCAGGTCTGGTTGGTGCAGTTTGACAGCAGGATGGTCTGCGTGTGCTTGGAGCGCACCTGGCACATGAAATTCACTACCTGGAAGAAAGCAGGCACCTCATCTTCCATGGCACTTCCCCCTGGTCCGTCTCCAGGGCCAGAAGTACAGAACGTGCGCTGGGGAAGACTGACTTTGTCAGTGCTTCCCATCATGAGTTTCAGTGGGTCCATTTCTTTTTCTTTCATTCACTCAACACATACTTACGGGTACCTTCTATGTGCTAGGCACTGTTCTTGGTGGTAGAGATGTAGCAATGAACGAAATAACAAAAATCTCTGCCCTTGAGCTGAGATTCTAGTAGAGGGAGACAGACACACAAGTGGAATGTAGAGCGTGCAGGATAGAAATAAGTGCCAAGGGGAAAGACAAAGTAGAAGGGGTGCCAGATTGGGAGTGGGTTTGAGTTTTTACACAGTGTGATCAGGAAGGGCCTAACTGAGCATATGTATTTGATTAAAGACCAAGAAGGATGAAGTAGGGGAGACCTGGGGAAGAGCCTGAGTGAGCCTGAGTGTAACTGGCAGAGGAAATGCCAGTTACAAAGCTCCTGGTTTTGACAAAAGGCAGGCAGGCCAGTGTGGCAAATGTGAAGTGAGTGAGGGGGAGATAAAGTGACAGGGGACAGCACGCAGGGTCTTGGAGTCATGGTAGACACTTTTTTTTTTTTTTTTTTAGTTGAAAAAGGAGGACTTACGAGTATTTTGAGTAGAGTGACCTGATCGGATCTATGCTCTAACAGAACTGCTCTAGATGCTTAGAGGTGACAGAGGAAGAGAGATTAACTAGAAGACACTTGCAATAGGCCAGGTGGGGGATGACGGTGGCTTAGGTGGCACTGGTAGCACTGGGGATGGTGGAAAGTGGGTATATTCCAGTTGTACTTGGAAGAGCCAATAGCATTTACTTCTGTATGGTATGTTGGGTATAGGTGGAAGAAGGCTCAAGAATGACACCCAAGTTTTTAGTCTGAGCAATGAGCAGAATGGAGATGCCCTTTACTGATGTGGGATTGACTGTGGGAGGAGCAGGTTTCAGTGAGAGATCGGGAGCTCAGGTTTCATACATGTTAAATTTGAGATGCCTATTCGTCAAGCAGGAAGTAGAATTTACAAATCTGGGGTTCAAGGGAAGAGTCCAGGCTGCAGATAAAGATTTGGGAGTTGTCAGTATAGCAATTTCATTGTTGTTATTACTGTTGTTGTTTTGTAGAGATAGGGTCTCACTATGTTGCCCACGCTGGTCTTGAACTCCTGAGCTCAAGCGATCCTCCTGCTTCAGCCTCCCAAAGTGCTGGGATTACAGGCACGAGCTACTGTGTCCAGCCTAACAGTGTTTTTTTTTTTTAGGCCAAGAAACTGGCTGAAATCAACAAGAAATGATGGTATGTAGAAGAAAGAAGGAATCTAAGGACTAGTTCTTGACTGACAAACTCCAATGTTAAGAAGAATCAGAAGGCCAGGCTTGGTGGCTCATGCCTGAAATCCCAGCACTTTGGGAGGCCAAGTTGAGTGGATTACCTGAGGTCAGGAGTTTGAGACCAACCCGGCCAACATGGCAAAACCCTGTCTCTACTAAAAATATAAAAATTAGCTAGGCATGATGGTGGGGGCCTGTAATTCCAGCTACTTAAGAGCTGAGTTAGGAGAATTGCTTGAATCTGGGAGGCAGAGGTTGCAGTGAGCCGAGATCATGCCACTGCACTCCAGCCTGGGGAACACAGTGAGACTCTGTCTCAGAAAAAAAACAAAAAAACAAAAAAAAAAAAAAAACAAGAAACAAACAGAAGATGAGAAGGAGAAGCCGGTGAGTAGGAAGAAACCCAGGAGAGAGTGGTGTGCTGGAGCCAAGTGAAGGAAGTGTTTGCAGGAGGAGGAACGGGTTTATGGTGTCAAATGCTCCCTATAGTTAAAGAAAGAACTGGCTATTGGATTGGTATTGGCATAAAGATGGTCGAATAGATCAATAGATGAGAACAGAACCCACATATATATGATCAATTGATTGTCATTTACAATCAATGACAAAGGTGCCAAGGCAATTCAGTAGAGAAAAGAGTCTTTTCAACAAGTGGTACTAGAACAATTGGATATCCATGTACAAAAAATTTTTGATCCATATCTCACACTATATACAGAAATTAACTCCGAATAGACTGAAGACCTAAACACAAAACTTATGTTCGGAGTATATAAAGAGCTCTAGAAACTTTAATAAGAAGACCAACGACCTAATTAAAAATAAACAGAAGACTTGAACAGACACTTTAACTAAGACAATACAGGGCTGGCAAATAAGTACTCGAAAAGTTGCTTAACATCATTAGTCATTAGGAAAATAAAGCCTCCATGAGATACCTCTACATACTGATTAGAATGGCTGAAATTTAAAACAACTGACTATCAACTGTTGATGAGGATGTGAAGTAAGTGGAGATGTCAGACATTGCTGGTGGCATTGTAAAAGGACACAACCACTTTGGAAAATAGTTTGGCAGTTTCTTACAAAGGTAAACATACGCCTACCACATGACCCAGCCATTCCACAACTAGGTATTTATCCAAGAGAAATGAAAGCATATGTTCCTGCTGAGACTTATAAATACAAGTTCATAGCATACTGTATGATTCCATTCATATAACATTCTTTAACAAAATTATAGACAGGGAGATTGGGTGTCATTTCTACCACAAGCAGTGTTGCTAGGTAACACAGCTGATGGTTCAGTTAGGTTCCCAGGAACAAGGCTAGCAGAGGGATATACCAAGGCCATTTTTTTTTAAACCATAGAAAAGGAGAAAGGTGTTAATGCTTTAATCATAGATCTTAGAATGTGATCTAGCCAGGGATGTCAAAGCAGGCTTCCTTGAGAATGTAATGTTTCAGATGAGAGCTGAAGAATGGAAAGGAATAAACCAAATGAAGAGGGGAGAATGAATATTCCAGCAGTGGAAACGGTGTATTCACAGGCCTCGTGGAGGGAGGGGGCAGGCCTGCATGTTTGAAGGAGGCCTGGCTGAGTTCACTTGCTGGGGTCACTCCTGCCACTGGGCCACCCCGGGCAGCAGCTACTAACCTCTTTTACTGCAGGTGGTCCCACGCAGACTCCAGACAGGGTTAGACTCAGAGGACTGCCTCCCTGGATGTAGCAGAGAATTTTTTTACAAAGGCTCTCCTTTCCCACCTCGGTGGGATGGTAGGTCACTTCAAAAGAAACCTCCATGCCTGAGGTAATATAGCCTTCTTCTGGGCTAATGGAGAAATGAGGCTCAAATTTTTTGATGTCCCATTTAAACCTTTTCCAAGACAAAAGAAGACAAGAAAGAGAGTTTATGGATGTTGTAAGGGTGTCCTCAATGCTACTGAGAACAAGAGACTGCCTGGGCTGAGGTTCACCTCCCTTGAGTCTATCCTAGCACCTAGGAGGAGAAAGATCTCTGCCAGACAGAGCAGAAGCACTGGGGAATGTGGGCCAAGGTCACTTCCTGGGTAGGTGGACTTGGCTCCTTTGCAGAGCTGAGCCAAGGGCAGGAAGTGGCTGCATCTTATTATCCACGAGTGACACATCAGGGAACATATGTATGAACACACATACACATGTGTCGTGTACTTAAGGTCACACAGCTAGGAAGTGGCTGGGCTAGGACAGAAATCCTTCTGGGACTGTGGTCTTAACTGTTCCCTGCACTGCTTCTTGGTTCAGATCCTGGGGGATGGCGACAATCCCTTCCTGTGAGAGTTGCCTCTGTTCTGGGTGGCACTGGTATCCCATGGCCCTGTGTGGTCCTCCCTCTGTGGTTGGGCACTCGCTTATCTGTGAAATGGGTTGGTAGCAGTCTTGGTCTCATAGAACTGTAGTTGGATTAAATGATGTGTGCCATGTCAAGGCAGGAAACAGGCATGGACTAAATATCTTCTGTTATCTCAACTGTAGTAATCATAGTAGCAGCAATCACCCCAGTGAGGCCACTGCTGTCACATCTTGAGGGAAGCAGGGGGATGTAGAAGGGAGAGGACAGAAGTAAAAAGTGATTGCACTTGCAGAACAAGTCCAGGGCAGATACAGGGACAGCAGCCTCTGGGGCAGCCTCAGGGTGGGAGACACTGCTCCCTTACCTTGCACCCACATCGCCTGTGTTCAACATGAGGATGCGACGCGTGGCTTGCGTCTGATACACCACGGGTCCAAAGGGAATATGTTCCTGGTCCAGTGAGATCTCCAGGGCCTGGCAGCAGCCGCTAAGGAGGAAGAGGGGGCGCAGGAGCCCCATGCATTCCATGAACACTTCCTCAGAGAAGGGAGGGACACGCTTCTTCGGGGCAAAGATGACTTCCAGTTTACAGACTTCTTTGGGCTTCAGTGTGATGTTGTGGAAGGGCGCCAGGGTGAGGACCTGAATGAAATAGCACCCAGAGTCAGCAGCTGAGGGTGGGAGGCCCCTAAGGCCTCGGTTCCCGGAGTTCTTGCTGCTGCGATTGGAACAGGGGTCAGATCTCACTCCTGCTCTCCCATCAGCTGTGTATGCTTTGGTAAATTACTTCAACTTTCTGTGACTTACTCTATGTTGAAGATTAAGATCATCTCTATAAAATTTGTAGCACATAATAGATATTTAATAAGTATCATTTCCCTTTCCTGACCCTTTCCTAACTTATTTTGTGTACTTCCTTCTTTCTTCCTCCTCCCTGATACAGGAAATAGTAACGGGAAATAACAAACACTTAGAGCTCTGGCATTTCTCAAGGAGTGTTCCCTGCCTCAGTTTCCCTGTGTGGTTTTTAAAATGCAGATTCCAGTTGGGTGCCGTGGCTCACGCCTGTAATCCCAGCACTTTGGGAGGCCGAGGCAGGTGGATCACTTGAGGTCAGGAGTTTGACAACAGCCTGGCCAACATGGCGAAACCCCGTCTCTACTAAAAATACAAAAATTGGACGGGCTTCGTGGTTTATGCCTGTAGTCCCAGCTACTCAGGAGGCTGAGGCAGGAGAATCACTTGAACCCAGGAGGTGGAGATTGCAGTGAGCTGAGATCACACCAGTGCACTCCAGCCTGGTCGACAGAGTGAGACTCCGACTCAAAAAAAACCAAACAAACATATATACACATATATATACACACATATATATGTATATATACACACACATATATATATGTTTTTTTTTTTTTGAGATGGAGTCTCGCTGTGTTGCCCAGGCTGGAGTGCCGTGGTGCAATCTCGACTCACTGCAACCTCCGCCTCCTGGGTTCAAACAATTCTCTGCCTCAGCCTCCTGAATAGCTGGGATTACAGGCACCCGCCACCATGCCTGGCTAATTTTTAGTAGAGACGGGGTTTCACCATCTTGGCCAGGCTAGTCTTGAACTCCTGGCCTTGTGATCCACCTGCCTCAGCCTCCCAAAGTGTTGGAATTACAGGCGTGAGCCACTACACCCAGCCTAGGAATGTATCTTAAGCACAGAGTCATGCATGCACAAAGGCTTAAGGAGAAACACCTGAAATGAACGAAAATAGAGAACTGGGCTGTCTACACAACGGAGATGTAAATAAACAAATGACAATGAATGACATGGAAAATGAAATGAAAATGCAAAATGAAAATATTGTTCGTTTTCACAAAAACAGTATGGGACTAGTGCACCCTGTAAAGCCCTATACTGTTTTTGTGAAAATGAACAGAGGGAGCACAGGGAAGGCTCTTAGAATGGTCTGGCACATTACAGATGCACAAGAAATGTGAGCTGCTAGTGTTGCCAGCATGGCCATCCTCATCATCAGGGAGCATGAAGGGGCCGCTAGGAGCCCCTCTGAGCACCAACCTTGGGTTCCTGGAGTTCTGGAATTGTGAACAGAATGGACTGATTAAATGTGAGCTGGGCCAGGCTGTTGTTCATGATGGAAACTGTTCTTTTCACAACCTGCCCTGGTAGGACAGCTCCCAACTTCACAATCCTGTTGGCTGGATCTAGGACTAAAATCTGTGGGACAAGAAAGAGTAGGAAGAAGAGTTCATTAGTTAAAGGGAAAAATAAACATTATATGTCTACTCTGGTGAGGCAAGGGTGGTTCCTTCTCTTTCTGTGCCCTCACTTCTTCATATTGGGTGGACATCTGCCTACTCAATAAGCATTTAAGTGCCTCAAGTGCCCACTGAACTCCTCATCACACAATTATACAAGTACAACTGGGTCAAAATATATGTAGGAAAATCTCAGGGCACCTTGAGAGCATATTACATGGGGCTGAAACTAGGCTAGGGGGCTCAGGGGGCCTTTCCAAAGATGGCATGTATACATCAAGAGCTAAAGAAAGGTATGGGCTAGTCAGTTTCAGCCAGAGTGAGTGTGGAATTGGGGAACAACCTAAGGCAGGGAGACAACCTGTGGCCAGGCCCTGAGCCAGAGGGAGTGGCCCAGTGAAGGCCTGAGGCTGGGAGCTAGGACTTGAGAAGATGACTTCAGAGAGGTGGCCAGGTCTTGCAAGGCCTTTTAGGCCATTGCTGAGTGAGAAGTGGGAGAACTGGGCTTCATTCTGGGAGCAATGGGAAGTCAGTGAAGTATGGAGTGTTTGTGAGAGAGCTCTGGCTTCTTTACGGAGAATGGGCTTGAAGAGGGCAAGAAAGAAGGCAGGAGGGAGAGATGATGGTGGTTGGATTAGAACAGTGGCAGTAGAGGCAGAGAAAAGTAGTTATGCTTCCAAGTCCTCAGGTAAGACACTGATTAAAATGGTGCCTGGGTCAGGCCAAGGCCAGGCTGAGCCTGCTCTCCAAAATGGCACTGACCCACAATGAGCAGCACCCACTGGTCACTGTCATGGTCAGTCACTAAATTGCACCCCTCCACCCAACTATCTTTAAACCCAGCCCACATGTTTCCATTTTGTCTAAAAAGGCAAGAGAGTCTGTCCCACCAGTCATGAGCTCTTGGATGTCTGAGAACATGTGTAAGTCACTTCTGCATCTTCCCAAAATATCCAATACATAATGGGTGCTAAATGAACAAGTGAAAGACCAATAGGAAAATGAATGAATCAATGGCATCAGAAGCGACCTTGTCTCTAGCTTGGGTCCAGACACATTAGCTGGTAATGTCCTGTTGCTCCTATGGCTTGATGGGAAGGCTGCCAGGAATACACCCCTCCCCTGGTTGCTGAAATATGCTATGCATTCCTGAAAGTCTTGGAAGGATTTTAATCTTCCAAAACCTTCTATTAAAATACAGATAATCCCACCAGACAAGCACCTTACACATTTACTAGACACAAGAAGGAAATGAATGAGCAGCAGAATATGACCATTCCCTTTCTATCCAGAGTGCCTCGGTAAAAGAAATGCCTTGAACCAAATATCATCCAGGGATCTGTGGCTGGCTGGAGAATGCTAATCAATGGGGTGTTAAGGAAAGATGTTCCATCACTGAAACACGTGTCTGTGTACATTGCTTAAAAATGTTAAAAAAAAATGTTATCTATTAAACCTGAAAACAAACATGCCCTGATGCAGGAGGAAAAGGATATACTTGGGGTGCTGAGTCTGAAAGTCTCAAATTTCTCCAAGAAAAAGAATATTTCTCTAGTGTCTGTGATTACCTGTATCCTTTGATACAGTAAAGTTTGGTATTGAATAAGATCTATGATTCAGTGAGTCTGATCTGGTGATTTGCCCCTTTCTGTTATTAGGAACATCATCTCAGTGGGACTCGCTGACCTACAACAGAGCAGCCTGGGGCAGAGAAGCAGAGGGGCTGGAAGGGTGAAGGGGTTCTGGGGGGCAAAGAAGGATGAGAAGGGTAGAAAGGAGGGTGCCATGCCTGAAGGCCTCCCGACTGTCTGTTACCTTCATTTCGGTACCCTTCCCTTTGATTTCGACTGTTTGTTGTGAGAGCCCATTGATTTCAAAGGGAATGAGTTCTTGATAGTTGATACTTTCTCGAGGATAAAAAGTTATTGGAATCTCCAATGTGTTTCCTGGCTTTACCACATCAACACGGCAGTTCACCTCGAGGTGAGTGGTGTTGGTGTACAGACAATCTATGCTGCAGAAAATCAAGAGGAAGAGGCGTAAGCTCCAAGAAGTCTGACCCAGAGGGGCAGATGCTGTCTCCTTGTCTCTTTGGGCTGGACACTGATGGGTTTCCTGCCCTGCTGTCCTAGAGTCACAGAAGTCATTTAAGAGCTAGAAGGGAGCTCAGCAATGACCCAGCCCATGCTCTCTTAGGCACAACCAAGTTGCTCCAAGTCACATCCTGAGATCCTGGCTGAACTGGGTTTCAAACTCAAGGCTCATCACCCTTTGCCCAATATTCTTCACTCTACTGATTCTGTATTTCTTTCTTTCTTTCTTTGTTTTTTTTTGGAGACAGAGTCTCACTCTGTCACCCAGGCTGGAATGCAGTGGCATGATCTCAACTCACTGCAACCTCCACCTCCCAGGTTCAAGCGATTCTCTTGCCTCAGCCTCCTGAGTAGCTGGGATTATAGGTGCATACCACTGTGCCCAACTAATTTTTGTATTTTTAGTAGATGCAGGGTTTCACCATGTTGGCCAGGCTGATCTTGAACTTCTGATCTCAGGTGATCCACCCACCTCGACCTCCCAAAGTGCTGGGATTACAGGCCACCGCGCCCAGCCTGATTTTCGATTTCTTGATAATGCAACTCATGGTTTTCTACACGAGGGTTTTGTACCCTCTCATAAGAAGGAAATGCTTCCAGAAGTAATTAGGTAACAAAGCACAGTAGGGAGGAGTATATGTTCTAGAGTCAGGCAGAGAGGAGTCTGGATCTAGGCTCCATCACTAATTACCCAAATGATCTCTGAAGAGTTATGTGGCCCACTTGGGTCTCTGTTTTCTTATCTGTAAAATGGGGGTAATGATAACTATTTCTTAGGGCTGTTGTGAGGATTAAATGAGATTAAGTGACTGAAACAGTCATTAAATAGGGCACAGAGGAAATATTCCATAAAGTGAGCTATTATTATTATGACTAATTGTTCAACCAGAAGGGATCTTAAAAGATCATGTCCACCCTACTCCACATGTGGGTAGGAAGGCACCTAGGCCTTTTCATTACAACCTCTCCTTCTCTGCCTTACAGTCTGTAGAGAAGGAGTCTAGCTAGGCCAACATATAGAGCTCAATGCCTTAAGCAAAGTAAGACTGAGATTACATTAAATCATGCAAGAAGTATAGATAGATAAGATTTAAAATTAGTATTTAAAATTACATGACACACTTATAATTTAATATTCAGGGTACTAATAATAATCATAACAGCAGCAGCAGCAGCTAACAATAACTGGGCATTTCTTATGTTCCAGGCAGTGTTCTAAGCACTGTTCCTAGGTGAACTAATGTAATCATCCTAATAGTCTTATATAGATGGTATTATTATGACTACCATTTCAGGCAAGGAGACAGAGGCATAGAGAGTTTTAAAAATTTGCCCAAGGTCACACAACTAGGGAAGAGTTGAAATTTGAACTTAGATCTGTGCTAGCTAATATGGTGGCCACTAGACACATGTGGTTATTAAAATTAAAATTAACATTAATTAAAATAAAATAAAAAATCAGTTCTTTAGTTTCGCTAGCCACATTTTAAGTGCTCTGAAGCCACATTCAGCTATAGGCCACCATATTGGACAATGCAAAAATACAACATTTTCATCATGATGGAAAGTTCTCTAAAGTACTGATAGATAGCTTTGAGTAAACACAGGTCTTTGGGCCAGCCCTTGGAGATTCTATCTCATTAGGTCTTGAATGGGGCTCAGAACCTTGGACTAGAACATCCCACAGAGGGATGGTGCCAAGAGGCTGGATTTGAATCAGAAAGCTTAGGCTCAGTACAGGTCTGCTATTTACTGCAAAGCCACTGGCCTGAGAAATTTACCTTTTAACTCTTCAAACCTCAGTTTCCAAGTCTATTGCACGACAAGATAAATGGAAGTCATAAAACCTCTCATTAGGTCCTTTGGCATTGCTCTACATACTTCACAAAGAGGATTTTTAGCAGGGTAGCTCGTGGCTATCCAAGTATTAGTGTTAGTTATGGGGACAGGGACCTAGGATTCATACCCACTTTTGTTTGACTCTTTCCCATAATCATTTTTTTTTTTTGTCTTGGCAGGGCTTCACCTGTGTGGAATCTGTAGGACCCACAAGCAGCTAGAGAATCATTTGGAGGCTCTGGAAGCCTGCTTACCTCATAGGTGTTTCTTCCTTGTTGGTAATTACCAGGGTTTGTTTGTATGGGGGCATCCCAGCTTGATAGATAAAGCAGGTCCCAAAGTTGTAGCTGGTGAAGGAGAAATGGATAGCCGGGCTCACAGCACAGCCTGAGATGTTGCACATAAATGTTGGACCATGGCTGATCTGTGAGGAGGAAATGGCAGGGGGACCATGATTAGGAGAAGTAGGAGGAGAGGGCTCTTAAGTCCTCAGGTGAAGTAGGAAAGCAGTTGGTGCTTTAACAAGTACAGGTCTCAGGGTGCCATTTCCAGAGATTCCAATTCAGTAGGTTAGAAGTTTGTGTATTGAAGAAAAGTTCCTCTGTAATCAGGCCCTACATTGCCTCCCACTTTGCTCTTGCAGCAATGATTCAGCTTGAAGGCTCAGGGGTATACCAGGCACTGCTAGTTACTACCCAATATCCGCTCCCTATGGCTTCCTTCCTAGCAGGACTCTGATTGGATGCCCATGTGCCTAGGCGCAAATGCTTCATTTTACACCTTCCTTTGAAGCTCAGGATGGCCATCAGACATAGTTCCAGTCATTGAGATGTAAACAGAAGAGGACAAGAGGGTGTTCTATCTTGAATAAAGAGGCTAAGCCTTTCTGGGGAAGTTCTTTGCCTTCACACTCTTCCCCTTTCTTTTCACTCTGGAATGCAGACATAGGATGTCAGGTAGAATGGTCATCTTGTGACCAGGAGATGACAAGAAGGAGAACAAGGCTAATATGCCAAGGATGAAAGAGTGGAAAGATGGAAAGAGCACAGGTCATCATCTGGACTCTCAATCACAAGGTAATATGTGACTCATTGGTACATGAAGTTAATTTGCTCTTCACAAACTCCTCATAATGTGAATTTTCACAAATTGGTAATTGATTTCAAATAAATTATCTATTATTCATTCTAAGCATCATTAGAATAAACATTATTAGAATAAACAGTAGAATAAACATTCATTTTAAACATTATTAGAATAAGTCAGCAGTCATTGGTACAAGCTATCATAAACAACTTTATACATTTAAAAACATTTTCTTATTCAAAGCTTTTATTTTTCTTTTCTTTCAACTTTTAAGTTCAGGGGTACATGTGCAGGATATGCAGATTTGTTACATAGATAAATGTCCAAGGCTTTTAAAGTGTTTACATTTTGTGGCTGATTCAATGAAAAGGATGTAAATTTATCATCTTCAACTCTTCTGCCAACCAGAGTAGAAAGATCTTGTAACATGTTACGTTTCTGTTTGCTCTAAGAAATGCAAGTTCTGAAAAAGTTCTCAAAAGGAATAGGTCCCTTCTGAAGCCACAAACCGGGCTTTTCTCAGAGAAGATGGCTGCAACTTTGCTGCTGAGTTTCAGGCCAAGAAAACAGTGGAGCTTCCCGAACTCTCAATGACCAGTGATGCACCTTGGATTTTTTCATGGCTTGAATGTTTGTCTCCTCCAAAACTCATGCTGAAATTTAATTGCCATTGTGATGGTATTGGGAAGTGGGACTTTTAAGAAGTGATTGGTCATGAGGGCTCGCCCTCATGAATGGACTAATGCCATCACCGTAGGAGTGCGTTTGCTATGGCAGGAATAAGTTCACTCCTTCTTGCTCTCTCTCTCTGTCTCTCTTCCTCCTGCCCCACCCCCGACCTTTCTTCCCGTAACCATTGCCCTTTCATCATGTGATGCCATCTGCCATGTTACGATGCAGCCATAAGGCCCTGACCAGATGCTGGCAACTTGATATTGAACTTCCCAGGGTCCAGAACCATGAGCCTAAACATTTCTATTCATTATAAATTACCCAGTCTCAGGTATTCTGTTATAGAAGCACAAAACAGATGAAGACAGGTTCCAGTGGTTTTACACCCATCTTTCTATCAATCACCTTCTTCCTGAGGATTTGATAAAGATGATGTGTTAGGCTGGGCATCCCAAATTTCTTTCCATTGTGGTTGAAGAACATACTTTGCATGATTTCAATCCTTTTAATTTATTGAGGTATGTTTTATGGCCTAATATCTGGTCAATCCTGGACAATGTTCCATGTTCACTTGAAAAGAATGTCTATTCTCCTGCTGTTAGATGAAATGTTCTGTATATGTCTGTTAGGCCTAGAGCTTTCATAGTGCTATTCAAGTCTTCTTATTTCCTTGCTGACCTTCTGTCTAGTTATATCTATTGTTTAAAACTAGGTACTGAAATCTCCAACTATGATTGTTGGTTTATTTCTTCCTTCAATTCTGTCAGTTTTGTTTCATGTATTTTGGGACTCTGTCGTTACATGCATGTTTATAATTGCTATGTCTTCTTGATGGAGTGATTCTTTTATCATTATAAAATATCTTTATCTCTAGGAATAATTTTCAATCATTGAAAAATGTCTTTATCTATCGCTAGGAATAGTTTTTGTCTGTAAGTCTATTTTGCTTGACATTAGCATAGGTACCCTAGCTCTTGTTGGTTACTATTTAAATGCTATATCTTTTTCTATCCTTTTACTTTAAATCTATTTGTGTCTTTGAATCCAAAGTGAGTCTCTTGTAGACAGCACATAGTTGGATCATGATTTTTCCCATTATTCTGCCAATTTTTATCTTTCTATTGAAGGGTTTAACTCATTTAAATTTAATGTAATTACTGATAAGGTAAAATTTATGTCTTTTTTCTATTTGCTTTCTATATATCATGTCTTTTTAAACAAATTACTAGTCAATTATGTCTTTTTTATTCTTCTATTCCTCCATCACTGCCTTCTTTTGTGTTAAGTAGATATTTTCTAGTGTACCATTTAAATTCCCTTGCCATTTGTTTTACTATATTCTTTTGAGTTGTTGTATTAGTGGTTGCAAGGAAGATTACAATTAACATCTACATTTAAAACAATCTAGTTTGAGTTAATAACAACTTAATTTCTTTTTTTTTTACATAAGTTTATTTATTTATTTATTTTTTTCTTTTTTTTATTATACTTTATGTTTTAGGGTACATGTGCACATTGTGCAGGTTAGTTACATATGTATACATGTGCCATGCTGGTGCGCTGCACCCACTAACTCGTCATCTAGCATTAGGTATATCTCCCAATGCTATCCCTCCCCACCTCCCCCCACCCCACCACAGTCCCCAGAGTGTGATGTTCCCCTTCCTGTGTCCATGTGATCTCATTGTTCAGTTCCCACCTATGAGTGAGAATATGTGGTGTTTGGTTTTTTGTTCTTGCGATAGTTTACTGAGAATGATGATTTCCAATTTCATCCATGTCCCTACAAAGGACATGAGCTCATCATTTTTTATGGCTGCATAGTATTCCATGGTGTATATGTGCCACATTTTCTTAATCCAGTCTATCATTGTTGGACATTTGGGTTGGTTCCAAGTCTTTGCTATTGTGAATAATGCCGCAATAAACATACGTGTGCATGTGTCTTTATAGCAGCATGATTTATAGTCCTTTGGGTATATACCCAGTAATGGGATGGCTGGGTCAAATGGTATTACTAATTCTAGGTCCCTGAGGAATCGCCACACTGACTTCCACAATGGTTGAACTAGTTTACAGTCCCACCAACAGTGTAAAAGTGTTCCTATTTCTCCACATCCTCTCCAGCACCTGTTGTTTCCTGACTTTTTAATGATTGCCATTCTAACTGGTGTGAGATGGTATCTCATTGTGGTTTTGATTTGCATTTCTCTGATGGCCAGTGATGATGAGCATTTTTTCATGTGTTTTTTGGCTGCATAAATGTCTTCTTTTGAGAAGTGTCTGTTCATGTCCTTCGCCCACTTTTTGATGGGGTTGTTTGTTTTTTTCTTGTAAATTTGTTTGAGTTCATTGTAGATTCTGGATATTAGCCCTTTGTCAGATGAGTAGGTTGCGAAAATTTTCTCCCATTTTGTAGGTTGCCTGTTCACTCTGATGGTAGTTTCTTTTGCTGTGCAGAAGCTCTTTAGTCTAATTAGATCCCATTTGTCAATTTTGGCTTTTGTTGCCATTGCTTTTGGTGTTTTGGACATGAAGTCCTTGCCCATGCCTATGTCCTGAATGGTAATGCCTAGGTTTTCTTCTAGGGTTTTTACGGTTTGAGGTCTAACGTTTAAGTCTTTAATCCATCTTGAATTGATTTTTGTATAAGGTGTAAGGAAAGGATCCAGTTTCAGCTTTCTACATATGGCTAGCCAGTTTTCCCAGCACCATTTATTAAATAGGGAATCCTTTCCCCATTGCTTGTTTTTCTCAGGTTTGTCAAAGATCAGATAGTTGTAGATATGTGGCGTTATTTCTGAGGGCTCTGTTCTGTTCCATTGATCTATATCTCTGTTTTGGTACCAGTACCATGCTGTTTTGGTTACTGTAGCCTTGTAGTATAGTTTGAAGTCAGGTAGTGTGATGCCTCCAGCTTTGTTCTTTTGGCTTAGGATTGCCTTGGCGATGCGGGCTCTTTTTTGGTTCCATATGAACTTTAAAGTAGTTTTTTCCAATTCTGTGAAGAAAGTCATTGGTAGCTTGATGGGGATGGCATTGAATCTGTAAATTACCTTGGGCAGTATGGCCATTTTCACGATATTGATTCTTCCTACCCATGAGCATGGAATGTTCTTCCATTTGTTTGTATCCTCTTTTATTTCCTTGAGCAGTGGTTTGTAGTTCTCCTTGAAGAGGTCCTTCACATCCCTTGTAAGTTGGATTCCTAGGTATTTTATTCTCTTTGAAGCAATTGTGAATGGGAGTTCACTCATGATTTGGCTCTCTGTCTGTTGTTGGTGTATAAGAATGCTTGTGATTTTTGTACATTGATTTTGTATCCTGAGACTTTGCTGAAGTTGCTTATCAGCTTAAGGAGATTTTGGGCTGAGACAATGGGGTTTTCTAGATATACAATCATGTCGTCTGCAAACAGGGACAATTTGACTTCCTCTTTTCCTAATTGAATACCCTTTATTTCCTTCTCCTGCCTAATTGCCCTGGCCAGAACTTCCAACACTATGTTGAATAGGAGTGGTGAGAGAGGGCATCCCTGTCTTGTGCCAGTTTTCAAAGGGAATGCTTCCAGTTTTTGCCCATTCAGTATGATATTGGCTGTGGGTTTGTCATAGATAGCTCTTATTATTTTGAAATACGTCCCATCAATACCTAATTTATTGAGAGTTTTTAGCATGAAGGGTTGTTGAATTTTGTCAAAGGCTTTTTCTGCATCTATTGAGATAATCATGTGGTTTTTGTCTTTGGCTCTGTTTATATGCTGGATTACATTTATTGATTTGCGTATATTGAACCAGCCTTGCATCCCAGGGATGAAGCCCACTTGATTATGGTGGATAAGCTTTCTGATGTGCTGCTGGATTCGTTTTGCCAGTATTTTATCGAGGATTTTTGCATCAATGTTCATCAAGGATATTGGTCTAAAATTCTCTTTTTTGGTTGTGTCTCTGCCCGGCTTTGGTATCAGAATGATGCTGGCCTCATAAAATGAGTTAGGGAGGATTCCCTCTTTTTCTATTGATTGGAACAGTTTCAGAAGGAATGGTACCAGTTCCTCCTTGTACCTCTGGTAGAATTCGGCTGTGAATCCATCTGGTCCTGGACTCTTTTTGGTTGGTAAACTATTGTTTATTGCCACAATTTCAGCTCCTGTTATTGGTCTATTCAGAGATTCAACTTCTTCCTGGTTTAGTCTTGGGAGAGTGTATGTGTCGAGGAATTTATCCATTTCTTCTAGATTTTCTAGTTTATTTGCGTAGAGGTGTTTGTAGTATTCTCTGATGGTAGTTTGTATTTCTGTGGGATCGGTGGTGATATCCCCTTTATCATTTTTTATTGTGTCTATTTGATTCTTCTCTCTTTTTTTCTTTATTAGTCTTGCTAGCGGTCTATCAATTTTGTTGATCCTTTCAAAAAACCAGCTCCTGGATTCATTAATTTTTTGAAGGGTTTTTTGTGTCTCTATTTCCTTCAGTTCTGCTCTGATTTTAGTTATTTCTTGCCTTCTGCTAGCTTTTGAATGTGTTTGCTCTTGCTTTTCTAGTTCTTTTAATTGTGATGTTAGGGTGTCAATTTTGGATCTTTCTTGCTTTCTCTTGTGGGCATTTAGTGCTATAAATTTCCCTCTACACACTGCTTTGAATGCGTCCCAGAGATTCTGGTATGTTGTGTCTTTGTTCTCGTTGGTTTCAAAGAACATCTTTATTTCTGCCTTCATTTCGTTATGTATCCAGTAGTCATTCAGGAGCAGGTTGTTCAGTTTCCATGTAGTTGAGCGGCTTTGAGTGAGATTCTTAATCCTGAGTTCTAGTTTGATTGCACTGTGGTCTGAGAAATAGTTTGTTATAATCTCTGTTCTTTTACATTTGCTGAGGAGAGCTTTACTTCCAAGTATGTGGTCAATTTTGGAATAGGTGTGGTGTGGTGCTGAAAAAAATGTATATTCTGTTGATTTGGGGTGGAGAGTTCTGTAGATGTCTATTAGGTCCGCTTGGTGCAGAGCTGAGTTCAATTCCTGGGTATCCTTGTTGACTTTCTGTCTCGTTGATCTGTCTAATGTTGACAGTGGGGTGTTAAAGTCTCCCATTATTAATGTGTGGGAGTCTAAGTCTCTTTGTAGGTCACTCAGGACTTGCTTTATGAATCTGGGTGCTCCTGTATTGGGTGCATATATATTTAGGATAGTTAGCTCTTCTTGTTGAATTGATCCCTTTACCATTATGTAATGGCCTTCTTGGTCTCTTTTGATCTTTGCTGGTTTAAAGTCTGTTTTATCAGAGACTAGGATTGCAACCCCTGCCTTTTTTTGTTTTCCATTTGCTTGGTAGATCTTCCTCCATCCTTTTATTTTGAGCCTATGTGTGTCTCTGCACGTGAGATGGGTTTCCTGAATACAGCACACTGATGGGTCTTGACTCTTTATCCAGTTTGCCAGTCTGTGTCTTTTAATTGGAGCATTTAGTCCATTTACATTTAAAGTTAATATTGTTATGTGTGAATTTGATCCTGTCATTATGACGTTAGCTGGTGATTTTGCTCGTTAGTTGATGCAGTTTCCTCCTAGTCTCGATGGTCTTTACATTTAATAACAACTTAATTTCAATAATAGGCAAAACTTTTGCTCTTATATAGCTCTGTTACTTCCTCTTTCTTTGTGCTATTACCACACAAATTGCATCTTTATATAAGGCCCACTAATACAGATTTATAGTTATTGCTATATGCAGTTGTCTTTTAAATCAGATAGAAAAAGTTGTAAATAAAAATACATTTATACTGATTTTATATAACCTATGCAGTTACCTTTACTGGTGATCTATATTTCTTCATGTGGATTTGAGTTATCCTTTAGTGTCCTTTCATTTCAGTCTGAAGGATTCCCTTTATTACTTCTTGTAGGCCAGTCTGTTAGTGATGAATTCTTTCAGGTTTTATTTATCTGAGAGTGTCCTGGTCTATCCTTCATTTTTAAATTGTTCCCCAAAATCGGCAGAATAATGGGAACTATTTAGAAATAGTTTTACTAGATATAAAATTCCTTGTTGATAATTTTTTTTTTCAGCACGTTGAATATGTCATCACACTGTCTTCAGGCCTCCGAAGTTTCTAATGAGAAACCAGCCATTAATCCTTCTGCCTTCCAGATGATCTGTCTTTGTATTTCAACAGTTTGGTAATGATGTGTCTAGGTGTGGATTTTTTTGAGTTTATCCTACTCAGAATTCAGCTTTCTGGATATTTAATTGTTTTCATTAAATTTGGGAAGTTTTAGGGTGTTCTTTCTTGAAATATTCTTTCTCTTATTTTCTCTCTTCTC
Organism: Homo sapiens; assembly: GCF_000001405.40. NCBI lineage: Eukaryota > Metazoa > Chordata > Mammalia > Primates > Hominidae > Homo > Homo sapiens. The sequence goes on along the minus strand of NC_000001.11, from coordinate 146,867,670 downwards.
TCCTTCTGAGATTCCCATTACATGTATTTTGCTATGCTTGATAATCTCTTATGGGAATCTGAACTTCTGTTCATTTTTCTTCATTCTTTTTCCTTTTTGTTCTTCATATTGGATAATCTCAATTGCTCCATCTTCAAGTTTGCTGATTTTTTCTTTTTCTTTTCAACAATTTTATCCCATCTGCCACAGCTGATTTTCTTTTACCATAACAAATCTGCTATTGAGCCCCTGTTGTGAAATTTTTCATTTCAGCTATTATGTTTTTCAACTCCAAAATGTATATTTTTATAATTTCTATATCTTTATTGATATTCTCTATTTGGTGAGACATTGTTCTCATACTTTGCTTTAGTTATCTAGACATGGTGTCCTATAGTTCTTTGAACATATTTTAAATAGATGGTTTCAAGTATTTGTCTATTAAGTCCAACATCTGGGCTCCCTCAGAGACAATTTCTATTCATTGCTTTTTTCCCCGTATATGAGTTATATGTTCTTGTATCTTTTCATGGCTCATATTTTTTTAGTCAGAAACTGGAGATTTAAAATAATAAATGTGGCAACTGTGAAAATCAGATCCTCCCTCCCCCAGGGTTGGTTACTGTTGTTACTCTTAGTTTGTTTAGTAACTTTTTCAGTAAAGTCTATATTCTTATTTATGCATGGCCAATAAAGTTTCTGCTCAGTTAGTTTAATGGTCAGCTTATGATTGAACAGAGATTCCCTTAAATGCCTGGAACCAATAAGTCTCCCAGCTTTTGCTGAGGGGCTGTGTGTGTGTGGCAGGACATGCCTTTGACACTCAGGCAGGCAGTTGCCAATTCTGCTTTATCTTTCCTGGGACCCAAAGGTTAGTCAGAGGTAAGAGCTTAGGGCCTTCTCAGGTCTTTCCTGAGCAGTAACAGCCTGGAGGTATACACATCTTACACATGCATGGCTGTCTAGATTCCAGGGAATATGCTGAAGCTTTTCAGAGCCCCCCATGAATATCTTCTTCCCAGTCTCTCCTTTTAAATTTTTAAATGAACTTCTTGTTTGCTCCTAAGGTCAATGCTCCCTCAGTCAGCTGCAGTGTTAAACAATTACAACTGATTGTTTTTGAGCAAGCCTGGAGTCAGGTCAAATAAAAGCTATCCCTATGAGGGGGGGTTTCACTGAACTTCTAGACAGGTCAAATAGTGACAACTCTTTTAGAATGGGGGCTTTTGGGGAGTTGCAATCTGTTCTACCTCCTCCAGGGTCTGATTGATTGCTGACTTTCACTTTGATTGCCAAATTGTTGGTTTTCAAGGCTACTGCAGAGCTGGGATGAGGGAGGAGGGAGAGAATAGGGCAAGTCAAAATACCACAAAGCTCACTGCCTTTATGGGTATTCAGCCATTTTTCTTGAATAAATACTCCGAGAATTGTTGCAAGCCTATTATTAATTTTCAGAGTTCTGAAAAAGTTGATTTCGAAAATTTTTTCCAGTGGTCTCATTGCTATTGAAAAGCAGCATTTTGGATGTCCTTCTCTGCCATTCCTGCTGACATCACCATTCTTTTTTTTTTTTTCATTCAATAATTCATCTTAGAAAACATTGTACATATTCTTTCCCTGCCCCATCTATCACTTTTATTTATTTTAGTGGGTGAATGTATTGCAATATAATTGCTTTTCAATCCACACTTACTCCCCAGGCACCTAACCATTGTTGAAGCCTTTGTACTAGACATTGTGAGGCTGTGTCCAACACAGCTACCCTCTAGGAGCTTCTGGACACATGGAGAAGACAAAGAACACACAGGAGAATTAACTTGCCAAGGCAGCATGCTGAGAGTACTTTTGGAGTTTGGACAATGTTAAATGGACTCACCTTGATTATGAGTTCCAGGTCTGTCAAGACACACTTCTTTAATGGTTGAAAAGACAGGGTGGCATGTACACTCTGTCCTACATCCACAGTGCTGTCGATGGGTGAAAATTCCAAGTACTGCAGCAAGGTTTTGGAGCCACACAGCTGTGCCTGGAAGCTGAAGGTGAACTTTCCAGTGTTGATAAAGTTGAATTCACACTGGACACATTCATTTAACTCCACCTAGGAGACAGAGAACAGAGCAGTGAATGCAAACCATAGTTCCCTTGTCTGGGGTCAGCATTTGTAACATGTTGATGAAAAATATCCTTTGGGAAATAAGGATGGCAGATGATGTTGGTGATTTGACTATCTTTAGCTTAATGGAGTCAGATATTCCAGCAGGAGCTACTAAGTATTGGGGTTCTTTCAATATCTCATGGAGCAAAGTGGCAATTTAGTTCTTAGTCCTTTGTTGGTAGTCAAATATCCTTCCTGTATGTTTAACACAAGCACTCTTTCTTCTCCCCACCATCTCTCCACCCCCCCTGAAAATAAAATAAGAAAAGCATTCACATCATATCTACATACATTCTGGGGATAGAGCTGCTCTTGGAGTGTTTCTGTTTTCCTGGTCTCTCTGGCATTTGAAGCAGAAAGACTCAGCTCATATTCATTTTTACTACTTTCCCCAGTCAGAATGGAAGCTGAGATAGATAGCAAGGTCTTCTTACACCTTTACCTCATAGAAGTTGATGATGTTAGTCTGGTTGGGAGTCAACAGAGTGATGGAGCCTGTCCTGTCCTTGCACTTGATCTCCACATTCATAGTGTAGCCCTCGGCCTTGACATTTAATGTCACAGGGTGGACTTTCTTTTCCACATTGCAGATCAAATTAAAGTTCACATCTCCTTGCTGCTTTGGAGTGAAGAAAATATCAATTGGGAACCTGGTTGGGGAACAAAACAGCAGATTACCTGACTAGGCCAACTTGTCAAAACCTTAAAAAATATGAGCCTACTGAATTAGCAGATTCATTACGAGGAAAAGGAAACTCCAAATTATGATGACATTTTAAGATTTGTGGCTATAGTAACCAAAACAGCGTGGTACTGGCATAAAAACAGACACACAGACTAATGGAAAAAGATAGAGATCCCAGAAATAAAGTCACACACCTACAATCATCTGATCTTTGAAAAAGTCAACAAAAATAAGCAATGAGGAAAGGATTCCCTATTCAATAAATGATGCTGGGATAGCTGGCTAGCCATAAGCCAGAAGAATAAAATAAGACCCTTACTTTTCACCATATACAAATATTAACTCAAGATGGATCAAAGATTTAAATGTAAGACCTCAAACTATACGAAAACTAGAAGAAAACGTAGAAAACACCATTGTAGACATCAGCCTTGGGAAAGAATTTATGAATGAGTCTTCAAAAGCACTTGCAATAAAAACAAAAATCGACAAGTGGGACCCAATCAATCCTGCAAAAAAAAAAAAAAAAAAAAAAAGAGTAAGAAAGGAAAAAAGCTGCTGCATAGCAAAAGAAACTACAAACAGAGAAAAAATGCAACCTACAGAATGGGAGGAATTATTCAGAAACTATGCATCTGACACAGGTCTAATATCCAGAATCTCTAAAGAACTTAAACAATTGAAGAAGCAAAAAACAAGTAACGCCATTAAAAAATGGGCAAAAGACATGAATAGACACTTCTCAAAAGGAAACAGAAAAGTGGCCAACAAACATATAAAGAAATGCTTCACATTACTAATCATCAGAGAAATGCAAGTCAAAACCACAATGAGATAACATCTCACACCAGTCAGAATGGCTATGATTAAGAAATAAAAAACAACAGATCCTGGCGAGGCTGCAGAGAAAAGGGAACACTTATACACTATTGGTGGGAATGTAAACTCGTTCTGCCACTGTGGAAAGCAGTTTGGAGATTTCTCTAAGAACTTAAAACAGAACTATCATTCAACACAGCAATCTCTTTACAAAAAACAAAGCAATCTCATAAAAAACAAAACAAAACAAAACAAAAAAGCCAAAAAACCCAAAGTCATTCTACCAAAAAGACAACATGCACTCTCATGTTCATTGCAGCACTATTCACAATAGCAAAGACATGGAATCAATCTAGGTGCCTATCAACTGTAGACTGGATAAAGAAAGTGTGGTACATATACACCGTAGAATACTACACAGCCACAAAAAGAATGAGGTAATTCTTTGCTGCAACATGGATGCAGCTGGAGGCCATTATCCTAAGCAAATTAATGCAGGAACAGAAAGTGAAATACCTCATGTTCTTATTTATAAGTTGCAGCTAAACATCAGGTACACATGGACGTAAAGATGGCAACAAAAGAAGCTGGGGATTACTAGGGGGAGGGGAGGAAGGGAGGCAAGAGTTGAAAAACTAACGATTGGGTACTAAGCTCAGTACCTGGGTGATGGGACCATGTGTACCCCAAACCTATACAGTAAATCCAGTAGCAAACCTGCATGCATATCCCTTGAAACTAAAATAAAAGTTGAAAAAACCCCACAAAACTTTGACGTAAATCTCATACCTTATAAGTTAATAAAAAAGGGGTTACAGACTGAAATGTAAAGCTACACAACTTACGGAAAAAATAATGGAAGGACATTTTCTGAATCTAGGGCTATTCAGAGATATAGAACAGACACTAAAAGGACAGTCCATAAAAGGACAAATAGATAATTTGGACTTCATCAAGAATAAAAGGTTTTGCTCTGTGAATGACCTTGTTAAGAAGAGCAAAAGACAAGCCACAGACTGGGAGAAGATATTTGCAGATCATGTATCCACCAAAGGAGCACTACCTAAACATGTAAAGAACTCTCAAAAATCAACAATAAAAAACAAACAGGCTGAGCAGGAAACTGGAAAGAGACATGAAGAGACATTTCACTGAGGAGGATCCATAGAAGGAAAACAAGCACATATGTGTTGTATGAAAGGAGAGAAGGTTAGCATTTCCCTTGACAATGACGGAAGAGGCCCTCAGGCCTGACAACACACATACAGAAAATAAGCACATGTAAAGATGTCCGACATTATTAGTCATTAGGAAAATGCTAATTAAAACTACAATGAGATATCCTTACACATCTATCAGAAAAGCTAAAATAAAAAATTGTTGCCGGTTGCAGTGGCTCATTCCTGTAATCCCAGCACTTTGGGAAGCCAAGGCGGGTGGATCACTTGAGGTCAGGAGCTCGAGACCAGCCTGGCCAACATGGTGAAACCCCATCTCTACTAAAAAAAAAAAAAAAAAAAAATTAGCCGGGCATAGTGGTGCGTGCCTGTAGCCCTAGCCACTCGGGAGGCTGAGGCAAGAGAATTGCTTGAACCTGGGAGGCGGGGGTTGCAGTGAGCCAAGATCACACCACTGCACTCCAGCCTGGGCAACAGAGCGAGACTCTGTCTAAAAATAGTAATAAAAAAATTGTGACACCACTAAATTTTGGTGATGTTGTGGAGATTCTGGAACATTCAGAGATAACTAGTGGAATGTAAAATGGTTCAGCCAGTCTGGAAAGCATTTTCACAGTTTTTTTTCTTTTTTTTTCTGGAAACATGCCATTATCGTATGTCCATTAATTGCACTCTTGCTCATTTTCCCCAGTGACATGAAGACACAAAAAATCTGTACATGAAAGTTTATAGTAGCTTTATTCATAACAGCCCAAACCAGGAACAATCCAGATGTCCTCCAGTGGGTGAATAGTTCAACTAACTGTGGTGCATCCCTACTATGGAATGGTAGCCAGTCATAAAAAGGAAGAAACTCTCAAAACTACCTGGATGTATGTTGGAGAATTATGAGTGAAAAAAGCCAATCACAAAAGGAATGTATGTGTCTGTGAATACAACATTCCTGAAATGACAAAATGATAGACACAGAGGAAAGTATTGGATTCCAGAGGGTGAGGAGGTGTTGCTTGGGGGAAGGGAAAGGGTGTGGCAACAAAAGGGTCACATGAGGAATCCTGCGGCAAGGGATCTGTTCTGTGTCTTGACTCGTCAATGTCAATACCAGGTTGTGACATTTTACTGAAGCTTTGCAAGATGTCACCCTTGGGAGAAATTTGGTAAACAGTACAGAGTTATCTTTGTCTTATTTCTTCTTCTTTCTTTCTTTCTTTTTTTTTTTTTTTTGAGACAAAGTCTTGCTCTGGAGTTCAGTGAGGTAATCTTGGCTCACTGCAACCTCTGCCTCCCGGGTTCAAGCGATTCTCCTGCCTCAGCCTCCCAAGTAGCTGGGATTACAGGAATGTGCCACTACGCCTGGCTAACGTTTGTAGTTTTAGTAGAGACGGAGTTTCACCATGTTGGCCAGGCTAGTCTCGAACTCCTGACCTCAGGTGATCCACCCGCCTTGACCTCCCAAAGTGCTGGGATTACAGGTGTAAGCCACCATGCCCGGCAGTCTTTCTATTATTTCTTACAACTACATGTAAATTTACAATTACTTCAAATTTTTAAATTTTATTATTAGTTTTTGAGAGAGTCTCACTCCATTGTCCAAGCTGGAGTGCAGTGGTGCAATCTCAGCTCACTGCAACCTCTGCCTCCTGGGTTCAAGTGATTCTCATGCCTCAGCCTCCCAAGTAGCTGGGATTACAGGTGTGTGCCACCACACCCGGCTAATTATTGTATTTATTTATTAATTTTTTTTTTGAGAGGGAGTTTCGCTCTTGTCACCCTGGCCAGAGTGCAGTGGTGCGATCTCAGCTCATTGCAACCTATGTCTCCCAGGTTCAAGCGATTCTGCTGCCTCAGTCTCTCGAGTAGCTGGGATTACAGGCGCCCGCCAACACGCCTGGCTAATTTTGGTATTTTTAGTAGAGACGGGGTTTCACCATGTTGGCCAGGCTGGTCTGGAACTCCTGACCTCAAATGATCTGCCTGCCGCAGCCTTAATTATTGTACTTTTAATAGAGATTGGGTTTTGCCATGTTGGCCAGGCTGGTCTCAAACTCCTGACCTCAAGTGATTCGCCTGCCTCAGCCTCCCAAAGTGCTGGGATTATAGGCATGAGCCACCATGCCTGGCCTGAAAATTAAATGTTTAATTGAAAAAGAGACTTGCCAGGCAAGCCTGAACATTGCACTGTGGATTCACATATACAGTGAATATAGCAAGGAAAAGAATACAAAGAGAAAATATTGAGATAAAGGGCTTAGAATTCTCAATGCTCCATATTCATCAGGAAAACAGATATCAGGGAGTAAGTAGGATGGAGATGGAATTGTTATGATCTAATCTTAGAGTTGAAAGCAATTATATAAATGGGGCACTGTAAGCACTGGCAGGCTTGGGGTCCTGGGCATGTCAGGAGGATGCAAACAAAATGAGACCTTCATTTTTGTTTACCTGGACAGTGGTGGGATCCAGCCTTCCATGGGACATACAAGCAGGCTGTTGCTGAAACCTTCAGAATAGCGGGAGTTGTCCTGGAAGGAAAAATCGAACCCCTGCTCCTCCTTGTTGATGATCTGCACAGTCTCCCTGGCTTCTCTGCCTGAGGAGGAAACACCAGCCCTTAGTGGGGGCCTCCTGACTGCCTGCTGGAGTCTCTCAGCAGACACCGCTTCACAGGCAAGACATTTAGAAGACATTCCCCAACCTCTTCCGCCTTTGTCTACCTCTCTTCTTTCCTTTTCCTCTACAAGTCACCTTCCTTCTTTCGGGAATTCCATGTCTTTCTTCATCAGTTGCCTGCTTCTGCTGAGTGGCTCCTCTGCCCTGGCCACAGCTCTCCTGGGATTCTGGTGACACCGTTTTCTTCCCTTGCTCCTTTAGACCCAAGAATTGTAATGCCTTCCTGAATTTGTTAATGGGGGCTTCACTCTCCTTGGTTGACCCCCTTAACTGCCCATGTATCTGTAAATAATTCTTGCATCGAATTCTTTGAAAATAGACCTTTGGTATTGGCATGAGTTTCCTGCCCAGGGCTCTGACTAATACATTTTCTCTCACTATCATCTTACGCTTTCCTCTTGGCTATTAGACCATTCATTTTTCCACATAAACTTTAGAATCATTTTATCCAGTTCTCTCCCCTTCCAATTCTTTTGGGATTTGGTTGACAGATTTAGCAAATAATTTTTTGGTATAAATATGTCCCGAGCAATATTTGGACTTACTCAGAATTATTAATTGCTATTTGAAATTAAAATTTATGCATCCTGTATTTTATCTGGCAACCCTAGTTGGGATTCTAATTGGAACTTGATTAAATTTGCATTTAATTTTAGGAGAACTAACAAATGATCAGATCTTGTTTGGGGGATTTTAATCAGATTTGATAGTTTTCTTCATGTAGGTCTTTTTTGTGCATGTCTTATTACATTTATCCTTAGCTATTTTATAGGTTTTGCCAGTACCAAGTGGATGTTTTCTTTGGTTTTCTGTTTCTAGGTGCTAGTGCTAAAAAAGAAGACACTATTTTTGCACATTTGTCTTGCATCTGCCCACCTTACCACATTATTCTGTTGAGTCTAGTAGTTTGTTTTGCTTTTTCTCTAGAGTCTCTTGTGGTTTTATGTGTACAAAATCATCAGTAAAAGCAAAACAAGATGACTTTATCCCTTTTTCCCCAATGTTTATGCAAATTATTTAATTTTCTTGTTTTGTCATATTTGCTAAAGTCTCTAAGCAAGTGTTCAATAATAAGGGTGATAATGAACACCCTTACCTAATTCCTCATTTTAATTGAAGCAGTTTTAGTCATTTATTGCAGGATCATATCTGCCTCTTGATTTTGGTTAACCTTTTTTTCCATCAATGTCCATTTTGCTATTAGAGTTTTTGTTGGGAATGTCTGCTAAATTTTGGCAATGCCTTTTCAGTGTATATTAACATGATCACATGGTTGTTCTTCTTTAATCTATTGATGTAATGATTATATTCAAACGTACCACTGTTGAATTCCTGGATTAAACTCTGTCTCACTGTTGTTATTCTTATGCTACATTGCTTATTTGTTCAAAATCTTAATAAATGCCATAATTCCCCCTCCCACCTAATTATATGTATCGGTAAAAATACACATCCAGCAGTTAACACTGCTTTCCTTTGGAGTGGAAAGAGAAAGATGAGACAGGATGAATGTGGAGAGATTAAACTTTTTCTTATGCAACACCACATTGGTGGATTTACTATAAGAATATTATTTTACAAATACAAATCTAACATATTATTAAAACATACTCTGGCTTTAGTTGTATTTTATACACACAGCAGAGATGTCACAACCATGGGAAAGATACATGGGGTTATAAGGGACATGACAATTACTTCGTTTCACCTTCCCACTGCCTCCTGGCCTTCCTTATTCTCCCTACCCTGCTGTCCTCTTCTCTAAAGCACTTATTACCATCTGACATGGTGTATAGTTTCCTTATGTTTCTTTTGGTAGCCTGTTTCTTATTTCTAGAATGTAAGCATCAGGAAGGTACGGACTTTGGGCTTTATCCATTAGCGTAATCCCAGCCCATAGAAAAGTACCGAGGGCATTCTACAGACTCAGTGATATTTGTTGAACCAAATAAATGCACGAAAGGATGAGAGAGAAATCTGACCACTGTGGCACAGACCAAGAAGCATACAGATACCCCCCATAATCTGGGGGCAAATGCAGGAAGGATGGGCCAACTTGAGGCTCTAGAAATAAACAGTCAGCCCATGCCTTAAAGGAATCTGCCAAGTAGGATCTTTAACAAGGCTCCTAAATTTCCTTAAGCTATTAATTGTAGGTTTAAAAGATACTTGGTGGAAATTAGATTGAGCAGTAAATATTTTGTGGCTTTTTAAAAACTGATTAAGACCCTCTGATATGCTTCTGGAAGGGACCAGGAGAGGTTTCTTATGCAAGGCTGCTCCCAGAGCTCTTGATGACCTTGCCCAGATCATGCCAACTCTAAATACATACCATCAGGACAGCCTTACCAATGAGGAGAGAGCTGAAGTTGAGGTGTGACTTGTTCAGAGAGATGAGAGGTTCGGTAGTTTTGCCTACCAGCAGGAAAGGGACTGTGATGTTGTGCTCGGGAATTAGGAAGGTCCATGATGACTCAGTGATGCCCAGATGGAAAGGTGTGAACTGGAACACGATCTAAGAAGACAATTTGGAACAGAGTGGTAAAAGACACTTCTGTATGCTTACTCCACATGTCCCTGGAGACTTGTCAGCACGAGGGTCATGAGAGTTGATGTTACCAGGCTATTGCTACCTTTCTATAGTCCATGTAAGGGCATGTAGGTGTGGCTGTACCAGAAACGTCAATGTCTATCTGACCTGCCCACATGTCCTCCTAAGGGAGTCTCCCCCATCCACAGCTTCTGCTGGCTAAGCTGTCGTGTTTTGTGCCATGTCTTTGGATGGCATGGCTGTGCCATAGCTGACTGGACCAAAGAGTTGGTACCCATTCCAAGGAAAGACAATCCCCATACTTGTCAATAGCTGGGCACACAGCCAAAGACAATATGATTAGCCGGGCCAGCCAGATTTCTCCCTCAGAAGTTTGAAATTAGAAAATGAGTGGCCAGGCCAGCTGGCAGTGGAGCTGATGGTGAAAGGTACCATGCAGGTGAGCTGGGCCACGGCATGCCATAACCAACTAGCTAAGTGATATTACAAAGTAACTGAAGAATAAATCAATCAATCAAGAGTGAAGAAACTGGTCAGTGGAGAGAGAATGGAGTAGATGGGAAGAGAGAAACAGGCAGTCCCAGGAGGAAAGTCCAACCTCAAAAGCTGCTCCTGGTTCTCTCTGTCTCTTTTTTGAGCTAACCTGAGTGAGTCTCTTTGCAATCAATCAACCAGGACTGAATGAAAGAATAACGGCATTTGGCCAAAAAAGAACCACACAGGTTAACATGCATGGTCTATACCACTGCCAGGACAATGTGGGCAGGTGCTCTGGAGGTGTGTCACCTCAATGATATGACTGTCACTTAAAGACCAGCATGACTTTGGATGATGGATTTTGGAACTTGCCTCTTGGAACTGAGCTCACATTTGAAACATTTCTGGGCTGAAGCGGGGGCCATGATCCAGGTAGGATTGTCTCTATGGTGGACCCAGCTCCTGGACCTTGTCACATTTAACTAGATGGCCTGGGTACTGACATTATGCAGAGGTCAAAACCAGGTGGAGAGTCTACAAATATGTTTTGTTTGGTTTGGGAATTGTTAAAAAAAAAAAAAATTGAACTAGCTACCAGCATGTAAAATAGGGCTTCACATAGAACTTTGGAATTTTGGTCAGGCGCAGTGGCTCACACCTGTAATCCCAGCACTTTGGGAGGCCGAGACGGGCAGATCACGAGGTCAGGAGATTGAGACCATCCTGGCTAACACGGTGAAACACTGTCTCTACTAAAAATACAAAAAATTAGCTGGGCGTGGTGGCGGGCGCTTGTAGTCCCAGCTACTCGGAAGGCTGAGTCAGGAGAATAGCGTGAACCCAGGAGGCGGAGCATGTAGTGAGCCGAGATCGCGCCACTGCACTCCAGCCTGGGGGACAGAGCAAGACTCTGTCTCAAAAACAAAAACAAAAAAAAGAAATTTGGAATTTTGTCTTTTCCACAGTTTGGGTGAGTTGGCCCCCTTGGCCCCCGTTGTCTGCAAAGTGGTCATCTACCAGAGAAGCCCTGTGGCCAGTGGCCCTGGTACCCCGTATTATCCACAAATGTCTCCTTGGCCCACTCTATTCACTTGTGTGACCCTCCTGAGGGCACAGGAATTCATAATTTTTGTTTCACGGATTTATTTCTGTCTTCAAGATTCTCTGCAACTGGCTGGACATGGGGCTCACAGATCCGTTTTGGCCAGCAAGTCTGTATTTCTTTAATTCTGCTCCATATCATTTGTGTAAACATTTAGGATGAAGCCATGGGACATGGCTCCACTCTACTTTGCCCTTTGCCTAACCAAGTGAAAACACATCGTGTCCTTTCACCATTTTTGGTCCTTTTGACAAAGATAACTTTTTATGCTACTCTATGAGTCCTAGGGTCCCCAGGCATTGGTGTCCAGTTACCTTTTGCTGCTTAAATGTTCTCAGTTTTAAAAAATTGCAAGTATTAGAGCTCTCTGCTTCTCCATGGCTAGCCAAGAGAGCTCAGGTCTGTCTTGTCATCAGCATTGCCCAATGCATATGGCAGCCATTCACTAAATACTTGTTGATTGATGCACTACACCCTCAGGCAGTTCTTCCTAATTCCACTTACTGTCTATGGCACACTTTCTACACAGCAATGGCTAGAGTGATCTAAGCCTTGGGTTGAGTGGTTCTCATCTGCACATACCTCGGCTTTCTTTTCAGGGTGGATGAAGCCCTTTTCTGTAAGGCATGTGAATGCTGCAGGGTTCTGGAGACTTTCAATTTCTTCAGAGATCCAGCAGAAGGAGTAGGTGCTATTGGCTGGGTTTAGGATGGTAAAGGTCCTGGCCAGGGTGGGGAGAATTGACAGAAGAGAGTGGGACAGGGGATTGAGGATTAAGAGAAATTTCTTAGAACCTGGCCCCAACGCAGTCCCCCATCTGGGAAGCAGAACTGTTCAGAGCACTTTGTTACTGTGGAAATGAAAACTCCATCTCCTCTAGCGATCCACAGTCAGGGTAGGGTTCTGGACTTTGGAATAACAATGCTGCCAAGGGCACAACTGTGCCAATGATCCTCTGTGGTTAAGGAGGTGGTCAGGGATTATACTTTTGTGTCTTCCATATTTTCCTCAGTGGCAAAACTAAGGAGACAGAATTCAGCTTTCTTAACGTAACAGTTCTCTAAAGTCAAACCTCTAAAACTCAGGTCAAACCCCAGGATATCGAGCCTGCTTATAGGAATAGGTCTAGCTCATCTATCTGAATTCTTTTAGAGTTCTTTAGGACCGATGTGAATTCAATCAATGTAAACCTAAGCAACTCACCGGAGATTCTTCCCTCCTATGCCCACAGTGGTGAACTCAATCACCCGGGTGTTTGGATCCAGAGCTCCCCCACTGGACCCTCGGAGCTCTGGGTTGCGCTGATGGCCACTTATGTAGTCCGAGTCTTTCAGATCAAAATGGCAGATGGGCAAGGTGCTCCGCCCTTTTGCTACCAGGACCGGACCTTGCTCTCCAGGTGGCAGGTTGGGAATCCTGAGAGGATAAGGTTATTTTTATTTGTTTTATTTTGTCATCAGTTGTTGCTTTCTTAGTTGGTTGGAAATGAATATTATATCCGCCAGAATGTGAGCTCTATGGGAGTAGAGGCTGGGTCTGTCTTGGTCAATAGCATCACTCAGTGCCTTGAATGCATGACTGGGCTGAGCATAAGCAGCCTGAATTTGGCTCCTTCTGTGTACCTAAGTATGGCCGCAGGTTACTTCCCCCATCAATGTTGAGAAAATATTCCTGCTGCAAAATGAGCACAGTCTTACCCTCTGGTCTCTCTCATAGGCATTTAGTGGAATATGGAAAGTGACCTGGAAATCCTAAAAAAGTATCCTGAGCTCCTCGGAAAAGGTGAACTGGATATGAGCAGATGCTCAGCTCCAGGACCAAGCTGAGGTGGCCTAGGTGTGGGAGGGGTCTCAGTGGTATGACTGCAGGAGGTCAAGGAGGCCCCAGCAGCTCACTTAGGTCTCTGCCACCCTAGGTCACAGCTCACAGGATTTTTCTGTAAGGTGATTGTACTTCTTCAAGTTTTCCTGGGAGCAAGTACCTCATCAGGGACTTTCATTGTCAGATGTCATTGGGTTAGCTTTTCTCTCACTGCTGTGTACCAGGTCCACCAACTCCACCACCACCACCACCACTACCACCTAATGTTTATCGTGCTTATTGTGTGCCAGGCACTGTTGTAAGCACTTTATTTGAATTAACTCATTTAACTTTCCCAACAATTCCACCAGCTGGGTATTATATTTACATTTTATGTATGAGGAAACTGTGTCTCAGAGAAGGTACAAGAAAGCTTTCCTAAGTTCATGCTTGCACAAGGACTGAAACCCACCTGGCTATCACCAGTCTGTTGCTCAGTGGAATCCTACATGCAGCTGGGAAGGGGAAAGTAAGCAGGGGGAAGCATCTGGAGAGGTTGATGAGCAGGACAAAGACCATATTCTCCTTGTTCTCTAAAGGGTGGACCCTTTAGATCCTTCCAAAGGGAAAAGGGATAATTTGGGGATGTGCAGGGATCTAGGGCCAGAAAGGATGGTGGCAGTGGTTGGACAGAAAAGGGGATAAGAGCCACAGAGCTTTGTGCCTGCCAAGAAGGGTGTTGTGGCGAGCACATTTTCTTACTGGCAGAAAAGGTTGCTCTCGAAGTCTCCAATGTCCAACGGGGAGAATTTTACTTTGAACTTCTGATCTTCCCCACCGGCACGATTCCCGAAGAGGGCTCCACAGAGAAGGGCTGTGGGGAACCCTCGGCCCAGTGGTCCATGGTGCTGTCCAGGGTGCTGCCTGTGTGCCTCGTGCCCTGACTAAGCTGATCTTTTTGAGCTGAACCTGGGGACAGACAGGGAGTGGGTGATATTCTGCATTTGCAGTGAGAGGCAGGTGGAAGGGAGCCCACTTACAGGTCCTTAGGGGCCCTCTGCGGATATGGTGGATATGGACTCACCTTTTGTAGCAGCTGTACTTAACCTTGGGTATTAGAGGTAGGGAATTGCTCATATAGCTTACAGGAGACTCATGAAAAATGTTTCTATTTATTCCATAGGGTTTTCAAATTTGTTTCCTTTTGGTTCAAGCGGGTGGGTCAAGAAGATGTTTGTGCCCTAGAATAATGGGCTGTGAACATATTTTTTTGAGAATCATTGTTCTAAAGTAGGGGTTTACAATCTGGGGACCCATGGATAAGGGCCCATTCAAAAGGTCTGTGCATCTCCAAAGTTGAAGTAACAACAATAATAATAATAATAATGATAGCAACTTGCCTACCAAGTGTTGGTTCCTTTTCTAGTGCTTCATATGTACCAACTGAGAACTTGGGCATGGGTGTGTATCTTCCTGGGAAAATGATTCATAACTTTCAAAAGTTTCTCCAAGGGATCTATAATCTCCCACAAGGTTAAGACCTAAGAGACAAGATTCCTAGTTATCTTGAGATGGGGCATTGGCCTGGTGCAGGGACAGAGTTCAGACTCCAGGAGGGTGGAGGTAAGTTTTGGAGTCCCTCAGGCCCATTTGGCTCTGCAGACACCACAAGGTCTCTGCTTTGCTTTTCTTTAGCTACTTAGGAGACCCTCTGAGCAGTGCTGGCCTCTCCATGAACAAGGCTCTTCTAATTGGTGACTCAGGCCAGGCCCTGGGTTTTACTTGTCACTGAATTTACCTTGGTGATCTGGTTTTGCAAAGCTGACTGCCTTTGAGGTATCTTCTGAGAGCCAGCTGAATTCCAGCTGGACACGTCCTGAATTAATCACATCGAACCTGCAAATCGATCAGGGAGCAGATTTGAGAAATGTGCTGCAGGTGGTTTTGGTCCTGGCTGCATGTCATCTATACTGTACTTAACCTTTTGAAGTCATGTCACTTTGTTTCTTAAATATTTTTAAAAAGGCACATTTTAAGTAATTTTATTAGAAATCATGCATATGATATACTCGAACAAGAAAATATATAGTGATTAAAAGTAAAAATATAAAAAATATTTAGCACTTAAAAGTCTTTTGCATTCTTCCAACACCCTGTGCAGCGAGCTCTCAGCAGGCATTGCAGTAATCCTAAACCTCCCCCATGAGAGAGGAAACAAAATCTATTTCACAAGACAGCACCTCCCTCAGGAACAAATTCTACAGGCCCTCCCTTTCTGAATCACCTCCCATCAGAAACAATGTCCCTGGCTGGGCAGGGTGGCTCACACCTGTAATCCCAGTACTTTGGGAGGCCAAGGCAGGCAGCTCACTTGAGGCCAAGAATTTGAGACCAGCCTGGCCAACATGGTGAAACCCCATCTCTACTAAAAATATAAAAATTAGCCAGGTGTGGTGGCACATGCCTGCAGTCCCAACTACTCAGCTACTCAGGAGGCTGAGGCACGAGAATCGTTTGAACCCAGGAGATGGAGGTTGCAGTGAGCTGAGATCATGCCACTGGGCCACAGAGCGAGACTCTGTCGAAAGAAAAGAAAAGAAAAGAAAGGAAGGAAGTCCCTGTGATCAGAAGCCATTTGACCCCTGCCTGTGACCCCTTTCCTGACTGAGGCACAGATTTGAATTTTAGTTACTTCAAACTCAAATTCTAAATCAGCAGAGGCTTTTCCTGCCTCAAATTTTCCTGCTTTAAGACAAGAACAGGGCTGGGTGCGGTGGCTCATGCCTGAAATCCCAGCACTTTGAGAGGCCAGGTCAGGTGGATCACCTGAGGTCAGGAGTTCGAGACCAGCTTGGCCAACATAGTGAAACCCTGTCTCTTCTAAAAATACAAAAATTAGCTTGGCGTGGTGGCGTGCACCTATAGTCCCAGCTACTCGGGAGGCTAAGGCAGGAGAATCACTTGAACCCAGAAGGTGGAGGTTGCAGTGAGCTGAGATCGCACCATTGCACTCCAGCCTGGGTGACAGAGCAAGACTCCGGCTCAAAAAAAAAAAAAAAAAAAAAAAAAAAAAAAAAAAAAAAAAAACAGGGAGGCAGAGTTTTTTTCTGGAATCACTATTAAACTTGATCACAGTTAACAGCAGAAAGATGAAACCTTGGTACAAGAAAAAGAAAATGATGATGAAATAAATCCACACGCCCTTCCTGGTTTTAGGGGAATAGTAAGAGTTAGGAGTTTGGGTGAGGAGTAGGTCTACAGTGGGACGTAGAGATTAGATTTCCACTCTCTAGTCCAGGTAGACAGACCATCTAGTTTCACCTGAAATCAAGTGCTTTGACCACAGTGGCTTGTGTTTATTTTGTAAATTTATGAGCACTTGTATTTATTCTAAAGATAATTTTTATAAAGTGAAGAAATCTCAGTGGCACAGAGTACTTTTTATAAAAAGAGTTCTCAGTTTAGGGGTTGGCAAACTTTTGTAAAGGGCCAGATAGTAAGTTTTTTGTCTTTGTGTCCCATACGGTCTCTGCAATGACTCAGCTCTGCCTTTGTAGTGGGAACGCAGCCACAGTTAGGTCATAAATGAATGGGCATAGCTGCATGCCGGCAAAACTTTATCTACAAAAACAGGCTACAGGCCACAGTTTGCTGACCCCTGCTTTAGGTGAAATGATCATCAGCAGAAGATCACATTTCCTGACATTTATCTTTTGGTTCTATAGTAATTTGCAAAGATGTTTAGAATTCAACAAATGCACGATGAGTTGAATGAGCTAATTACTAATTTGTATGCAGTAGAAATGTCAGTGGCTTACATTTTTGTCCTTGTACGTGTTGCACATGTTGCTCTCTCTGCCTAGAGAGAGCCCTTCATTCTCGCTTCTTCACTTGGCTATCCCCATTCTCACTTCTTTCACTCTCACTTTGTTCTCACTTCTTTACTTGGTTACCTCCTATCTGTCCTCTAAAGTTCAGCTGGGGAACTACCTTGTCCAGGAAGCCTTCCTTGACTCTCTTGATCTGCTTTAAATACCCCTTTGCTTCATGCACATGACATTATGCTGTAATGAAAAATTCTCCTGTTTCTATCTGTCCCCCGGCTGCCACCCTCAGATTATGAGCTCTTTGAAGGCAGGGCCCATGGCATCCTTGAGTCCCTGTGTCTGAATGTGGGTGAAGGGTTAACATAAACTTTTCTCCTTCTCAAAGATGAATTTGACTCTGAAATAGCTTTCTAGGTCTGTTCCCCTGGAGACTTGATAAGGGAGGAATGTCAGTTGTATTATTAGGTGACATTGTTTATACTAAAAATGGCCCCGATGAGTAAATGATATGTGCACTGGGAGGAACTATGACCACCTAGAGGGAAGCCATAGCTGTGGGGTTCTCTGAGTGTAGTGACTCTTGTAACTGGGCATATTCTCTGCAGGGACCCCAGAAGATATATCTGCAGAGTGGTTAGGAGAAATGGTGGTCTTTTGGGTCTGGGCTTCTAAGCTTAGATGGATCCTATACCCACCAGTGTGGATATTGTCTGGGTTACCACTTGGTGCATGGGCAAAAAGAACAGATCCTGGGTGGCTGTGTAGATTGCTGCAAGGACTGCTCCCACTAAAGTGGATTTCCTGATGCCGCCCTCCTGGTGTACTACATTTCCTGGCCTATATCTTGATTTCAAGTGTGAATTTCAATAGCTCTGTGGGCCTGAATGTTTCATTGGACCTAAGACAACACTCTGGTGCATGCCACACAGATACGATGCCTAGTAGATGCTGCTGTAGATAATAGACGTTTGATGAGTGAGTGAGTGAATGATGGAATGAAAGAGCTTTTCCATCTAGTGTCACGAGACTTTTGATGACTCACTCAAACACTCGGGTCTGGTAAACCAAGGTTTCCTTAAAGCGCACATCTCTTGCTTGGCAATGGTATGAAGCGAAATCCACATTGGCACTGATTTGAAGCTGCAGTTCTTGGTAGTTTTCTTCTAGTACTGAGTGAGCAGGTTCCGGATCCGTCTCTATCACCTGTAACAAAGGCAGCTGTGTCCTCAGAGATGCAGAGCACAGGGACAGAAAAACTGACAATGGAATAGAATAGAGAGACCAGAAACATTCTAGGCATATGTAAAATTTAGGTACACTATGTGACAATAAAGTCCTGGCAGATCACTAGGGAACAGACAGGCTAAATGAAAAAGGGATCTAGTAAGATTAGTCATCTAGATGAAAAATATGAAATTGGATCCTTGCTTCACAACATACATAAAATCCAGGCGGGCCAAGAGCTGAAATATCAAAAAAACAAGTCTTAAAAATATATAAGTGAACATCTTTCCGGGAGGAAAGAGTTAAAAATAAGACACAAAAAGTAATACATATAAAAGAAGGGATTAATAAACTTGATGATATTAAAATTAATAACAGAAAAGATAAACTAGGCCAGGCATGGTGGCTCACGCCCGTAATCCCAGCACTTTGGGAGGCCGAGGTGGGTGGATCACTTGAGGCTAGGAGTTTGAGACCAGCCTGGCCAACATGGTGAAACCCTGTCTCTGCTAAAAGTACAAAAATTAGCCGGGTGTGGTGGTGCATGTTTGTAATCCCAGCTACTTGGGAGGCTGGGGCATGAGACTCTCTTGAACCTAGGAGGCGGAGGTTGCAGTGAGCCGAGATTGTGTCACTGTATTCTGGCCTGGGCGAAAGAGCAAAACTCTGTCCTCCTCAAAAAAAAAAAAAAAAAGATAAACTATAAATTTGGTAAGGATATTTGCAGACAAATAATATGAACAGAAGAGTTTATAAAAAATAAAACAACTCACACAAAATATAAGTATCATAATTGAAAAATGAGCAAAAGGCATGAAAAGGCATTCCTGCAAGGGATAACTTGTATGACTAGTAATCATATGAAGAAATACTCAGCCTTATTTGTGATCAGAGATCAGGACAATGCAAAATAGGCTCATAATGAGACCATTTCCCATTCATTCAAATGATAAAAATCAAGAAGTCTGACAATGCCAAGTGTCGGAGAGGACATGGATCAATAAGCTCTCTGCTGTAGGAGTATAAATTGGTACAGCTACTCTGGAAAATACTGGGGGATTATCTTGGCAAGTTGAACATTCATATATCCAATGAGTCAGCAATTCCACTTCTAGGAATATAAACTCTTACAAATGAACACCATGTGAATAATACATCTGTGATAGCAAAACCCCAAATAATTTTCAAAAGGAGAAGGGAGAAATCATAATGGAATTTTATGTAGAAGTGAAATGGATACACTACAGCCACATGCAACAATATGGATGATCACATACAATAACATTTTTTAAAAGTTAAAACTACAACTAACAATATATGTTTTATTTTTATTTTTTGAGAAAGAGTCTCACACTGTGTATTCCAGGTTGGAGTACAGTGGTGCGATCACGGCCCACTGCAGCCTCGACCTCCCAGAGCTCAGATGATCCTCTCACCTCAGCCTCCTGAGTAGCTGGGACTATAGGCATGCACCATCACGCCCAGCTAATTTTTGGTAGAGATGGGATTTCACCATGTTGCCCAGGTTGGTCTCAAACTCCTGGGCTCAAGCAATCTGCCTGCCTCAGCCTCCCAAAGTTTTGGGATTACAGACATGAGCCACTGTGCCTGGCCTGATATACCTTTTAGTGTGCATAGGTTAAAAAAAGAACAAAAAACAAAAACCAAGGGAGTAAACAAGTCAAGTCAAGATAGTGATTACTTCTAGGATGGAGGCAGAGAGTGGAATGGCTGAGAATTACACAGGTAGTCAATATTCTACTTCCCGTGTTGGGTGTGGGTTTGTCTCTGTGTATTATATTGTTTTTAAAAAAACTAACCAAGGAATGAATAAAAGAAGGGCACACATGGACCAAAGATGAGATCCTGTCATGAACCAAAGATTATTACAAATGTGATTCTGGACACCTGAGGGAAAAGGGAAACAACTAAAAGATTAGCATTGACATTTTTGAAGAAGGAAAAGGTGGGAGGACTTGCTCAACTGCTTATCAAGACTTAAGCTAAAGGTCTACCAGTGAAGATGTGTGGTATGTGTAGCATTGATGGCAGGCAGCATGTGTAGAAGTTTAGTTTGTCACTTTTGGAATCAAGGTCAAGTAGAATGGGAACCTTTTCTTTTTACTGTGAAAAAAGGAAATGATGAGGGACTTGAGACCAGTAGGAATCCAAGCATGGAGGCCTGGTCAGATTGGTGCTTGATGTCCCCACTTACTTTTCGTTTTGTAGTGAAAGTCCCAGGCATGTTTCTGGGTACGTCCACCCACTTGACTGTGTGCATGCGGTCATCCCAGTCGGGGATCTGGTCTGTAGGGAGCTGAAACATAATCCTGGAGAGCTTGCACCTGATCCGCATATTCTTTAGGTTGATGGGTACATCTGACTTCATGGTCACCACTATGTCCTTGGCACACCCAGGGTGGAGATGGCCCATCTAGGAAAGAGCCTGGTATTAGTATTTTTGAGAATCCGATCTTGAGGACTCTTGATACCTGCTGGTGATATTCTAGAGAAGGGAAGGAGCCAAAGGTCTTGGCAAAAAATGCATGTTAAGCCTGTGTATGTAGACAGAATTAAATATGTACATGAGGATCTTAGGTAGAAACATAATAATAATAACAAGAACAACTAATATTTATCAAATGTACTTGCTTCAGGCACTATTCTAAACCTTTACACAATTCTACGAATCCCTACAACAACCCTATGAGGGGTACAGCTATTATTCTTATTTTACAGACAATGAAACTTGTAACTTGGTTGAGGTCATTAATTTTTGAGGAGTTGGATTCAGACCCAGGCAATCTGGCTCCAAATGCCATACTCTTAATCAATATGATCTATACAAATTATGGACAGAGGAATACAGTACACTAGCAGTTCTCCAAAGGTGTTCTGGTGACCTTGGGATCCCCAAGACCTTTTCAGGGGATAAATGAGGTCAAGACTATTTTCATAGTAATATGAAGATGTTATTTGACTTTTTCACTCTCATTTTCTCATAAGTGTACAATGGAGTTTTCTAGAGGTTATGTGATATATGGTGATATGGTCTGGCTGTGTCTCCACCCAAATCTCATCTTGAATTGTAGACCCTATAATCCCCACATGTTGTGGGAGGGACCTGGTGGGAGATAATTGAATCATGGGGGCAGTTTTCCCCACACTGTTCTTGTGGTAGTGAATAAGTCTCACAAAATCTGATGGTTTTATAAGGGGTTTCCCCTTTTGCTTGACTCTCATTTTTCTCTCTTGTCTGCTACCATGTAAAATGTGCCTTTTGCCTTCTGCCATGATTGTGAGGCATCCCCAGCTATGTGGAACTGTGAGTCCATTAGCCTCTTTATAAATTACCCAGTCTCGGGTATGTCTTTATCAGCAACGTGAAAATGAACAAATATAGTAAATTGGTACTGGTATAGTGAGTGGGCACTGCTGTAAAGATACCTGAAAATGTGGAAGTGACTTTGGAACTGGGTAACAGGCAGCAGTTGGAACTGTTTGGAGGGCTCAGGAGAAGACAGGAAAATGTGGGAAAGTTTGGAACTTCTTAGAGACTTGTTGAATGGCTTTGACCAAAATGCTGATGATATGGACAATGAAATCCAGGCTGAGATGATTCCTGGAGATGAGAAACTTGTTGGGAACTGGAGCAAAGGTGACTCTTGCTATGTTTTAGCAAAGAGACTGGTGGCATTTGGCCTTGCCCTAGATATTTGTGGAACTTTGAACTTGAGGGAGATGATTTAGGTTATCTGGCATAAAAAATTTCTAAGCAGCAAGACGTTCAAGAGGTTACTTGGGTGCTCTTAAAAGCATTCAGTTTTAAAAGGGAAACAGAGCATAAAAGTTCAGAAAACTTTCAGCCTGATGATAGAAAAGAAAAACCCATTTTCTGAGGAGAAATTCAAGAGGGCTTCAGAAGTTTGCAAAAGTAGTGAGGAGCCAAATGTTAATGGCCAAAACAATGGGGAAAATGTCTCTAGGGCATGTCAGAGACCTTTGTGGCAGCCCCTCCCATCACAGACCCAGAGGCCTGGGAGGAAAAAATGGTTTTGTGGGTGGCCCAGGGACCCCCCCTGCTGTGTGCAGCCTAAGGATGTAGAGCTCTGCATCCCAGCCACTCTGGTCATGGCTAAAAGGGGCCAAGGTGTGGCTCAGGACATGGCTGCAGAGGGTGCAAGCCCCAAGACTTGGCAGCTTCCATGTGGTGTTGAGCCTGTGGGTGCACAGAAGTCAAGAATTGAGGTTGGGAACCTCCACTGTGCCCAGCCTCTCTGCCTTCTTTGATTAAGGCTTTGGTAATAAAAATAATGCACAAAAGCAGATTACCCTATTATATTATACTGTGTTTGTTTCTTCACAGGCAAAATGCAGATAATAGTAGTATCTATGGCTGGGCACAGTGGCTCATGCCTATAATCCCAGCATTTTGGGAGGCCGAGGCAGGTGGATTGCTTGAGCTCAGGAGTTTGAGACCAGACTGGACAACACGGTGAAACCTGTCTCTGCCAAAAATACAAAAAAATTAGCCAGGTGTGGTGGTGTGCATCTGTTGTCCCAGCTACTTGGGGGGCTGAGGTGGGAGAATCACTTGATCTTGGGAAGTGGAGGTTGCAATGAGCCAAGATTGTGACACTGCACTCCAGCCTGGGTGACCGAGTGAGACTATTTCAACAAACAAACAAAAACAAAAAAAAGTAGTATCTGCCTTATAGCATTGTTCAGAGGATTAACCATGGTCTTAGAACTATTTTTGGCATATAGTAAGCACTCAATTTACAAATAAAGTGGTATACCAGCTCTATTCAGGGTTGGATTTGGACCATGACGAAACGGAATGGTCAGGGTCCTAATGAACTTTACATCACTCCAAAAAGCAAAATTTATCCCTAATAGCGCTCAAAGATTTAAAGATGACAAAGTCCCCAACGCCTTTGCTCCATCCCCCTTGAGTACTGTGCTTGAGCAGACTCACTGGCTGTGTATCAACAGAGCAGGAGGCAGTGAAGACACTGGGGTGTGCATGCTCTGGGAACTCAGAAATGAACTATCTACAAAAAGCAACCACTGGCCAGAGGCAACGATCTTCTAGAACGTTATCCTAGGCCTTGTTCAATGTCAAGCTTTAGTCAGCAATTCAAAAAAAAATGTGTGCTGTGGAGATGCTAAAAGAAGAGGTTAGAAAATTCCAGGTAAAACAAAGTTAACAAGGTTTTAACATGCCAAAGAGAACCAGGAATATTTAAGGAAGGATGGAGCTTGGAACATTTTCTAAATCTCAGTTGTCCACAGAACCCATCACCCCCATTCTAGCTTTTGGTGAAGCATTTTGAAGGACTGATACTCTAAAGGACACACACCTAGGAGGACACAGCTCCACAATCTGGGATAGGAAGACTAGGACCTGTATTCATCTATACAGGCCTCCACAGGGCCCGTTGACAGCAGCCTAGCAACAGTTTTGGTCAACTTCATTCTCCGTCTTCCCCTCTTAACCAGGAGAGACATGAACAGTGTTCTTTGCTACTAGGTATGAGTGAGGGATGATTCCTGGGCTGTCTCTCAGCTTGAGATGCATTAATTCCATTCCATGCATCCACGGGAAAGGGCTGACAATCAGTCTGGGGTTGGCTTAGGACTAAGGGATTCCAAAAATGATGAATGACTTTTATTTACCTGTGGGGAGAAAGCAATTGTAGCTGAAACAGGCCATTCAAACCGTATCAAGTTCACTTGGCTGTGATTTGTGACTGTGAAGCTCGCATTATAGCTGTGTCCAATGTGGCAGTCCCCAAATTGGATGTGGTCCACCAGAGCAGCTAGGGATTAGAAGCAGAAGGCTGTGAGTCCTCCCTGGCCTCCCCTGAGGGCCTGCTGCCTTAAGGAGGCATAGTGCTTCACTCACATGCAGTCCTTCCATCCTTGGATGGCTATATTTGAGAAACCTAGAATCTCTGAGTAACAAGATTTCTATCCTCAAGGAATCTATCTATCCACCCATCCATCCATCTATCCATCCATCCATCCATCCATCCATCCATCATCCACCCACCCATCATCTACCCATCCATCATCTATCTATCCATCCATCCCTCTCATCCATCCATTATCCACCCATCCATCATCCACCTATCCATCACTCACCTATCCATCCATCCATCCATCATCCATTCATCCATCCACCATCCACCCTCCCCCATCCTGCCATCATCCATCCACCCACCCATCCAGCCATCATCCACCCACCCACCCATCATCCATCCACCCTCGCATCCATCCATCATCCACCCATCCACCATCCACCTATCCACCCATCCATCATCTCCCTACCCACCCATCCATCCATCCATCCATCCATTATCCACCCTCCCATCCATCCATCATCCACCTGCTCACCCACTCATCCATCCATCATCCACCCATCCATCATCCATCCATCCATGCATCCATCCATCCATATATCCATCCATCATCCACCCACCCACCCATCCATCCATCCATCATCCACCCATCCATCCATTAATTCATCTATCATCTACCTACCCACTCACCCATCATCCACCTACCCACTCACCTATCTACCCATCATCATCCACCCATCCATCCATCATCTACTCATCCATGCATGCATGCATGTATCCATCCACCCATTCATCTATCATCTACCCATCCATCCCTCTATCCCTTCATCCATCCATCCATCATCCATTCACCCACCTTAGCCCTCACCTCCATTTGTACAAGAGAAAACATAGGTCCCCAACTCCATTTGTTTGGTGAGAAAATATTATAAAGGATTGGGATTGCCAGATAAAATATAGGAGTCCTGGTTAAATTTGAATTACAGATAAGAAATGAATAATTTTTAGGATAAGTATGTCCCATGCCATGTTTGGGATATACATATACTAAAAATTATTCATAGTTTAACCAAAATTCCAATTTATTGAGGAGTCTTGTATTCTGATTTGCTAACTCTGGCAATCCTATTATGGGCATGAAATCTGAGTTCTGAACTTAGATTCACTGCTGGCTCCTGCTTGAGCCTTGGTAAGAGAGATGTCACCCTGTAGCCTCAAACAGGGCTGAAACACCAGGTATATGAGGAGTGTTGATTTCAACCCATGTTGTGTAGACCACCTAACGGTACATTCCAGGACTTTAATTAAGCTTCTAGGTAAACTATGGGACTCTGTTTATAACTCACTTTTTAGCAACCAACCACATAATTAGGGCGCTTAACCAATGCCTTCTGATGATAACAATTTGATGATAAATTTTTCCAATCCCCAAAAATGTCAACTAAATGAAGCTTTAGTGCTTGATAGATTGCAGCACAACATGTCTTAAGCTTTAGTATAAAAACACGTCACCTGGGGCCTTGTTAAAATGTGGTTTCTGATTCAGTAGGGCAGGGGGGTCTGAAACCCCCATTTCTAACAAGCTCCCAGGTGATGCTGATGCCATAGGATCTCAAACTGCTCATTGAGTAGTGGGGCTGTGCAGAGTGATGTTCTAGAAGTGCCCAAACCTATACTCTCTCTAATAAACAGACAATGCCAACACAAGCCAGCTAATAAATGCAGACAGGAAAAACTGCAAGGCATTTATTTGCTTATTAGTTGAACCAGAATTTGAATATCAAACTATAAGCTCCTTAAGAGTAGAGACTTCCTTGTTAATTTTGAAACTCCAGGGATCAGCATGCCTGGAACATGTACTTGGTGATCAATACATATTCATCGAGTGAACACATGAATAAATGGAAGGATGGATGCCATGACTGAGCCAGGCATGCCAGAGCATAGAGTAATGAAGAGGAGAGTCAGTCCTAAATTCTCAGGGAGCTAACCAACCTGTTATTTAAATTTACTCTCATTTAAAACAAATGACCCAGTAGCCAACACTTGCCAACACTTCACTGCTGTTTCTCCCACCTGCCACCAAGTCTTCCATATCATTGTCCTCGATGATCTCTGTGAACTCAGAGATACTTATGTCTTCCTGGCTGGTGGGGGCCACCAGTCCATGGATGTTGTCCAAGGTGATGTCATCCTCATAGCCCTCTCCCACCATGTGGATGGAGGTCTCCTCATATTGGTTGTTGATCACTGACAAGTGGATGATACCTCTCATCCTCCCAACCTTCTGGGAGTGGAAAACGACATCAAATTCAGCTGTATCTCCAGGAGAAACAACCAAGGAGGCTGTGTGAGCTTTCTTTGCTGCAAAGAGAAGAGAGAAGATATGATTTAGAACTAGTTTCAAGAAATGTGTATCTATAAAGACCCCTGTTGAAGGGAAAGTAACCCTAGAATGGGAACGAGCCTTAGCTAGAGGCCAGTGGTGACGAGACTGGGCATTCCCCTCTGGCTGGGCCTTGAGTGGTCCCCTAATGAAGCAGCTACTGAGACCCATTGCCCTCTAGAAGCACCCTCCCCACACTTACCTTTTACATGTGGTTTGTTTTCCTCTGTGATGTAGATATACGCGGTGGTGGGCCTCCCTTTCAGGGAGAAGACTCCTAGCTCATCCTGCAGGTCAACATGCAGCTGGCAGAAGGAAAGCAGGGATGAGTGCTAGGCTTACAGGCTGCTCATGGGCTTTGAGTCTGGGGTGAGATACTGTGCTGTGTTTGGGGCAGGACCCCAAAAAGGTATTATGCCTAGTATTCACTTTTTTGAATTTCTTATTAAGAGAGATAAATAATAAATATTAGACCTGGAGAGGACAGAAGAACATTCAGTCAGATCAGCCCTTGTTATCTGAGTGAGGAACTGGAGGTCCAAGGAGTATGCAGAACTTTCCAGATCACGTAGGTAGTGTCAAAATGTGGTTGCCAACACCTCTGTCATTAACAGAGGCAGTTATAAAATATACGCTAGGCCAATAAAATGCAAATGAATACTTGTAATTCTATAAGGGCCTGCATTGATGTCAATTCCTAAAAACCAGTATCTCCTAGGTGCTATGCATTAGTTTAGTTGCCTGATAGTGTCATGTTGAGCATCCTACCACAATAAGAGAAAAAACAAGGTGGGCATTTGACCTACTTGGAGAAAGTGGTGGTTTCTGGCCCATTATAAGGAAGATAAGACTAAAGCCATGCATCTGATTTCGGATATGAGACATCAGCAGGCATTGTTAGAAGACAGTAATGTTGGCACCATCATGAAAAAGATTGAATAATACAAAATATGAGGCATGGAGAAGGCAGAAATAGTGATATCACACGGGAAGCTTCTGAGATAAAAAATTATGTATTTAGAAACAACTTTAATAAGAAGCTATATGGAAGAATTATATGTAAGAATATTGACATAAAAGATCTAAATAAATGGGTGGAAATCCTAAATGTTCCTGGTGGAGAGTCTAAATACTCCGCAAGCAGAAATTCTACCAGATTCAGAGGCTTCCCGATGGGATTTTTAAAGGAACGTTATAAAATAATTATAAAGCTTATTTGAGAGATTAATAGGTGAAAATTGTTAAGAAAAATGGCAAAAACAGGGAATGGGTGGATAGGAATTCACTGAACCAGATGCTAAAACATATTATAAAGCCACAATAATGGAAACGATGCAGGGTAATGGTAAACTAGGTAACCTGAGCTCAAGGCAACAACAATTGCTAGACTAAATATATAAAAAAAAATTTTTTTTAAGCATAACAGAGCTACGAAGAGAATGAGGAGTAAATAGACCAGGATCTGTGAGAGTATAGAAATCCAGCAAGGTCAGTCTCACTTTCTGGGCAGTTTTTGTCCGCCCAGAGCATTTGCCAGTCAGGAAAAGGTAGACAGGAGGCTTGTCTGCACATTTTTTTTTTTTTAAATTTTGATACGGAATCTCACTCTGTCACCCAGGCCGGAGCGCAGTGGTGAAATCTTGGCTCACTGCAACCTTTGTCTCCCGGGTTCTGGCGATTCTCCTGCCTCAGCCTCCAGAGTAGCTAGGATTACAGGCGCGAGTCACCATGCCCAGCTAATTTTTGTATGTTTTTAGTAAAGATGGGATTTTACCAGGTTGTCCAGGCTGGTCTCAAAATCCTGATCTGCCCACCTCAGCCTCTCAAGTTGCTGGGATTACAGGCGTTGTCTGTACTTTTTATGGTCTTTTGGTGCTAAGAGGGCAAAAGTTCAAGGCCTGTGGAAGGTGACAATGCTTTCTTCTGGGCTGGGACCTCAAAAGATGAAAGGTGAGCTGGATATAAACCAGCTTTCCCAAGGGTGGCAATCCTGCTCTGAGTCATCTGGGTAATCCAGAAAATCTCAAACCCTAACACTGGCTTAAAGTGATCCTGAATTTCTAGTGCCCCCAAGTGTTGGGCAGAAGCAAATGAAAATTGCCTCTGAAGAAAAATATGATCCTTAGTTTAATGATTTCTAAATAACTTTTACAATA
The DNA here is from genome assembly GCF_000001405.40 of Homo sapiens. Taxonomy (NCBI): domain Eukaryota; kingdom Metazoa; phylum Chordata; class Mammalia; order Primates; family Hominidae; genus Homo; species Homo sapiens. The sequence continues at coordinate 146,838,797 of NC_000001.11, read as the reverse complement.
TAATACCCAACACATGAACAGAAGATAACCAGGCACATGAGGAGGCAGGGCCACATGGGCAAAGATGAGTAGAAATAGTAGAAAAAGATGAGTAGAAATACCAGAAAGAGCCACAATGACTGTGGATTTTGGAATTATCTGGTATAGACTGTAAAATGCCTATGATTACTGTGTTCAAGAAATAAAAGTCATGTCTGACAATTTCAGCTAGAAACTAGAAACAGTAAACATGAATTATTCAGATTTTTAAAACAGCCTAATAGAAATTCTAAGACTGAAAAATATAATAACTTAAGGACTTAATGGAAACTTTAACAGTAGATTCAATACAGCTAAAGGGAGAGTTAATAAACTGAAGACAGGTCAAAAGAAATTATGCAGAATGAAGCCCAGAGGAAAAGTGAGTGGAAAATATAGTGAGACTAGAGACACAGAAGATATAGTGAGAAGGTCTTCTATATATTTAATTATCATCCCAGAAGTAGAGATTAGAGAGAATGAAATAGAAACAATATTTAAAGACATGTCTAGAAATTTTCCAAAATTGACTTAATTTTAATCCACAGAATCAAGAAGTCTAGTGAATTCTAACAAGGATAAATTAAAAGAACTCCACACCTGGACATATCATAGTAAAACTGTAGAAAACAAAGTGAAAATGTAAAAGGCAGTCAGAAAAAAAGAATGCCTTAAAGTAGCAGTCCCCAACCTTTTTGGCACCAGGAACTGGTTTCATGGAAGACAATTTTTCCATGGACCAGGCAATGGGGAATGGTTTTGGGTTGAAACTGTTCCACTTCAGATAATCAGGCATTAGATTCTTATAAGGAGCACGCAGCCTGGATCCCTCACACGTGCAGTTCAAAATAGGGTTTGCACTCCTATGAGAATCTAATGCCGCTGCTGATCTGAGAGGAAGGGAGCTCAGGTGGTAATGTGAGTGATGGGGTGTGGCTGTAAATACAGATGAGCTTTTGCTCATGAGTCTGTGGCCTGGGGGTTGGGGACCCCTCTCTTAAAACATTTTAGGCTTATAGCTGACAAGTCAGCAGTTAACAACGGAAACCGGAATACAGTGGAATAATATCTCCCATTTGCTGAAAGAAAACAACTGCCAAACCAGAACTCTATAGCCAGTAAAAACGATGTTTAAAATGAAGGAGAAATAGAGACTTCACCACCAGCAGACCCCCATTAAGGAAATACTGAAGAGTATTCTTCAGTTGGTAGGAAAAGGGTCCAAGATGGAGATATGGTTTGGCTGTGTCCCCATCCAAGTCTCATCTTGAATTGTAGCTCCCATAACTCCCATGTGTTGCGGGAGGGACCTGGTGGGAGGTAAATGAATCATGGGGGCGGGTCTTTCCCAGGCTGTTCTCGTGATAGTGAATAAGTCTCACAAGATCTGATGGTTTTATAAATGGGAGTTCCCCTGCACAAGCTCTCTTGCCTGCCACCACGTAAGACATGTCTTTCTCCTCCTTTGCCTTCCACTGTGATAGTGAGGCCTCCCCAGCCATGTGGAACTGTGAGTCCTATTTTTTCTTTATAAATTACCCAGTCTCAGGTATGTCTTTATTGGTAGCATGAGAACTGACAAATACAGATGGAAAATTGGAGACCCAGGAATAAAGAGCAATAAAAATGATTAATAAATGAGTAAACCTAAATGGGCCATAAATGTATAAACAATAACAACAACAGCAGCAAGAACAATAGTGGCAATGTCTTGTAGGGTTTAAAATATTTAGAGAATCCCAAGCCTTCCACAAGTTGCTCCATTACTGTATCCTTTCATTTTTATCTTCCTTGCTCTTCTACCTATACCTATGCTCTCATGAAGCTGGGTGCTTACTAGCTCCTGTAGTAGTGTGCACGTTTTGTTTTGTTTTGTTTTGTTTTTTGGCTTCTGCACCTTTGAAGCTTTCTCTCTATTTCTGGTTTGCATGGACTGCCAAATGCCCACTGAAGGCATTGCTGAAACCCAACTCCTACAATGAGCCCTGTTCAAACGTCATTTACAGTGAATTTTCCCTTCATTGTCTAGATGGGAATAGATCTTTTTCAAAAGTCCTACAGTCCCTTGTAGAGCACAATACATCACATTTTGTAAAATAAAACCATAATTTAATCATTGAATCAAAATACATTTGAATGCTGTATTTTTCACCCCTCCTGAAGTTTCTTTTATCGTCTTATCCTCATTGCAAATGCAATGTTCATTACAGAAAACAATTAAAAAAATAAAGAAGATATTAAGAACACCCATAATCCTACCCACTCAGCTTGGTGCACATCACTGCACACTACCTTGGACAGTAGTTAATGATATATTGTGGAATCTGGTTTCTTACTTTCCTTGAGGACAAATGTCATGCCAGATTCCCCTCTGCATGTCCCTGACACATAGGTTAATGTATGTGGATCAACAGAGAAGTCCTCATACATTAGGCATGGCAGAGGACCCAGTGGCAGAAGTGTAACTTCTGGATTCTTCTCCCTTTCAGCCTCATGCTTCACCCTCGAGTATTACCTGGGCAGGGAGGACACCATTGTTCTTGAGGATGAGAGGCAGCTTCTCTGAATGACCAAGGAGAAGCCTCTTAAAGAGGAGCAAGGGGTTTCCATATTGGTTATGAAGAACTGGCCGCACAACCGTCACTCGAGGGAGGTTCCCCTCACCAGCGATGTCAAACACGAGGCCTCGGCTCTTGGCCAGAGTGCTGTAGGGGACAGGAAGATTGTAGCCTGTCAGCCTGGCATGGTGGGAATGACACTCCCTACAGAGTGTGGCCTGCAGCCCTGCTGCAGGAGAGGGAGCTGGGAGCTGGGAGCTGGTACCTGGGCAAGCCATCCAAGGTAGCCTCAAAGATGCACTGGTAGTTCTGCATGATCTGCGGGGTGAAGGACACCGTGGCAAAGGCATGGGAATGACTGGCAATGCACATCTTGCTGGGTTCCACTTCAAAAATGTCGACGATGCGGGCAAAGGGCTGGTGATGGGGGCAGAGACCAGAGTGTGTCAGTGCCTTTGTATTCTCACCAGGCTTACTCCTTATTTTCAGGAGTCCCCCACCTCTCATCTAAGTGCTGTGGTGGACATGCTCCACTGCCTGCAGGGTGAGGGGCTCTGGAGGGAACAGCCTGGGACCCACCCCTGAATGATGCCTGGCTAGATTTGGCTAGACCTATGATTTTTGACTCAAATTGATGAACTAAGCCAGGAATCCAGATATTCTCCCTGCTACCCCACCCCTGTCAACTAAATTGGGATGCCCAAAGATTGGTGTTGGTTGGTTTTTAAATTCTTTCTGTGACAGGATCTTGCTCTGTCACTCATGTTGGAGTGCAGTGGCATGATCATGGTTCACTGCAGCCTCGACCTCCTGGACCCAGGCAATCCTCCCACCTCAGCCTCCCGAGTAGCTGGGACTACAGGAGTGTGCCACTATGCCCAGCTAATTTTTTTTTTTTTTTTTGTACATATGGGGTTTCATCATGTTTCCCAGGCTGGTCTCAAACTCCTGGGCTCAAGTAATCTGCCTGCCTCGGCCTCCCATAGTGCTGGGATTACAGGTGTAAGCCGCCGTGCCGGGCCGGTGCTGGTTGTTAAAATGTGGAGCTGAGCTGGGAGCTGGCTGAATCACATGCAAGATGAGAAAGCTGGATGAGAGAATGGAGCAGTGGAAACCCTGTGAGAGAGACATGTGGCTCTTGAGAGATGGACAGAGCATCCGCTGGTCTTCTAAAGGGCGGACTTCAGGTGATGGTGCCAGTCCCAAGAAGTCCCGGCCACGTGATGTGTTCTGACCTGTGCCTGAGGTGTCTGATTCACTGCAGTAAGCCTTGCTTTGTCTGGGCTAATCTGAGAGGGTTTCTGCTCCTTGTAACTCCAAGAGCCTTGGCTAGAACAACCTCCCACAGCACTTTATCTGTTCCCAACTTGTGGCAGTGTTTTGGGACTGTAAGGAGCCCTGGCATGGCCTTAAAAGGATTTTTCATTCTCATGGGAAGTAGGTGGGATTCAAGACTGACTATTCCCTCTTGTTCTTAAACTGAGGGCACTCAGGTTTCTTTTTGCTTTTTCCAAAGGAAAGCCTTCAAGTCTGCAAACTAGGGTGGAGGAGAACATGTGATATCTGCAAATCCTCTTATAAAGTCTCTCTTTAGAAATAAGACTTGTGGCTGGGTGTGGTGGCTCACTCTTGTAATCCTAGCACTTTGGGAGGCTGAGGCGGGAGGATCGCTTGAGCCCAGGAGTTCGAGACCAACCTGGTCAACATGGTGAAACCCTGTCTCTACAAAAAATACAAAAACTAGCCAAGCATGGTGGTGCGTGCCTGTAGTCCCAGCTACTCAGGAGGCTGAGGTGGGAGGATCACTTGAGCCCAGGAAGTCGAGGCTGCAGTGAGCCATGATGGCGCCATTGCACTCCAGCCTGGGCAACGAGAGTGAGACTGTCTCAAAAAAAAAAAAAAAAAATCAGTCTTCCTCACTTTTTATGTTTTTAGTACAGAAGAGGAAGAAAGCTGCCCCTTAGTATCCCAAATAAGATTAGAGAATAGGCCGGGTGCGGTGGCTCATGCCCGTAATCCCAGCACTTTGGGAGGCCGAGGCGGGTGGATCACGAGGTCAGGAGATCGTGACCATCCTGGCTAACACGGTGAAACCCCGTCTCTACTAAAAATACAAAAAATTAGCCGGGCATGGTGGTGGGTGCCTGTAGTCCCAGCTACTTGGGAGGCTGAGGCAGGAGAATGGCGTGAACCTGGGAGGCAGAGCTTGCAGTGAGCTGAGATTGCACCACTGCACTCCAGCCTGGGCGACAGAGCAAGACTCCGTCTCAAAAAAAAAAAAAAAAAAAAAAAATCAGAGAATAATGACTGGGAGTCACCAGGGCCTGAAGGAAGTCATAAAACGGATTATGTAGTCTCCCCAACCATACCTCTCTGCATTGACATTCCCCAGGAATGCACACTCCATATGTAGCTCTAGGCTGATACCAAAACCCTTGGTGACCTCCCCACCACCCTCAACTGTGAACAATGCCAGCTCTGGGGCCTGAGGACCTCCTGGGCCCAGATTCTACTTTCAGGCAGAGAACTGAAGCAGCCTTCATAAAACTAGAGTATTTGCCGCACATTGGATTGGAAATTAAGGGTGACGGAAACCCACTGATTAAGACCTCTCTTGGTATCCTGAATTTTCTGTTCTGCTGTGAAAAAATGTATGATCTGACTCAGAGAGAAAAGGCAGTTTCGAGCCTGGCAGCCCCCTGAGATGGGCAATTATTTCATCTTGTATGTGGATGAAGCTTGGCTTTAAGCCCAGCCCTATATTCTCAAGCTCTGGGACCTAGGGGAAGGATTTAGCTTTTTAAGCCTCAGTTTCCCTAACTGTAGAATCGGGATAATAATACAAAGTCGGAAGAGTTGTTGTGAGGGCAAAAGGAGGCAGTAAATATAAATCACTTAGCACAGTGCTTGTCACATGGGAAGGGCTAAAACATGCTCATCATTTCACCTTATCCTCAGAATCTGATGCCCCCAAATCTCCCTTACCAGCAGAATATGCAGCTGGAGGTAGGCCTGTCTGGAGCTGGCACTCACCTTAGCCTCTCCCCACCATGCTTTGTCTATTTTAGGCACATAGTGAGCATTCAATGGAGGAATGCGGTTTGCTGGTCCATGCGTACTTATCACAAAGGTACCCGGAGGAGACACCCACTGGGACAAATGTATCACCACTGGCCTAGGGGAAAGCCCCCGGTTACTTCACATAACTTCCAGCAGGGCCAGATAATTTCCACTCACGCATACAGGCTCCAGAGCAGAGGATGCTGAGAGCCCTTTTTCCAGCTTTATGTGAACCATGCTGGGCCAGGGGCCATTGGGAGCGTCTTACCTTATTGGAGATAGGCCTGACTACAATGTTGACATCACAGGTGATCTTTCCCACGTTGCTGATCTTGAAACGAGCCTTGGCTTGGCGGCCCACCAGGACATTGCAGAAGATGAACTTGTTCTCATCCTCGACGAACAGCCCCCCGCTCTCTATGGTCTGCAGGATGTGGTGCAGGTTGGCACTGGTACATATCTGGTGCTCTTCAAATATCAAGGCATTGTTTTCGGTCACGAAGGCTGGGGAGTGAAGGGGAAACTATGAGATGCTGCCTGATTGCTGGATTCCCGCTCTGTGATTCCTAATTTGGAACTCTGGATTCTCACAAAGGAGAATCGTGGAGGACACATAGGGGAAGTCATGCAAGGGGGTGTGAGGGATGGGAAACATTCTGTCTTGTCTTCCTCTTTTGTACAGTCCTTGCTGGTTGCCACACTCCAGTGAGCGTTTTTCTCCCAATGGTAAGATCCAAGATCTGGGGTGTGCTATGGAGGGAAGGAGGCAACTGGCCCACTATGCTTCAAGGCTCCAGGGATCCTATCGTCAAAGCATGAGGCATTCTCTTTGCACCTCATCTGCCCTCCTGCTGGGTTACAGATTTTGCATGCTCAGTAACTGAACATTGTTCTCTGTGGACATGTTGCCCACCGGGAGTGGCCTGGCCATGAGCGGGACTCAGTGCTCCTGGGTCCTGTGCCACAGCCCATCCCATCATGATTCTCAGATAACACTATTCATCTGGGAATCCAGGACCAGCCTCCTGGGAGTGTGAAGCTGCACCTCCTCCCTTAGGTATATGCCCTGGAAAAATACAACTGAAGACACTAGAGGAAGTTCTAGGACCCTGAAGGAAGCATCCCAGCCATGTCTGCCAGAAATCTTTGGAAAAACTTGCAAGAAAGAAGGTAGAAGTGTTACAGATGAAGGTCTTTTATTTATGTATTTGTTTTTTTGAGACAGACTCTCACTCTGTTGTGGAGTACAGTGGCGTGATCTCGGCTCACTGCAAACTCCACCTCCTGGGTTCAAATGCCTCCTGAGTAGCTGGGATTACAGGCATGTGCCACCACACCCAGCTAATTTTTTGTATTTTTAGTAGAGACGGGGTTTTGCCATGTTGGCCAGGCTGGTCTCAAACTCCTGACTTTAGGTGATCTGCCCGCCTTGGCCTCCCAAAGTGCTGGGATCACAAGCGTGAGCCACTGCACCAGGTCTCAGATGAACATCTTTTAAGTGGTGCTGTCCAATGTGAGTGGTCAGTACCTGGTAGACAGGCTTCAGCTAGCAAAGTGTAAGGAATGCCGGCAGGGTGGACTGCAGGGTCTCGGCCGGAGATATCGATGGCTATAAACTCCTCACACTTTCCCATGGGGTCAGCCACACAGTCAACGTTGATGACCTGCTGTCCTCCGGAAGGAATGGAGCCAAACCCAGGGTACACGGTGAACATGCCATGGGCGAAGCGGGCCTGCAGGACAAGGGTGGGAGGGATAGGAGGCTTGGAGGCAGAGTGAGTGACAGCCAGACTATGGGGGCTGTTAGATGGTGTGGAGAGGGGGAGGGACACGTGGGGCTTCTTCTCACAGGCACTCTCTGGGCCCTCTTTCCTCTCCTCCTGGAGGGACAGAGGGCCAGGGATGGGAAGGGGGTCTTCAGTGATAGGTTGCTCTCTCAGTGCTTCCTTCTATGCAAATTCATTTAGACCAATCATGTTTGAACTAAGGGTTTAAAGGAACAGATAGACTCCACATCATATAGCACTTATTCAGCTGGGCATCTTGAAGCAGAGGGGTGCAGAATGGCGTAGTGGGTGAGGTTATGGGCCTTTGAGTGACACACACCTGGGTTTGAATCCCAGCCCTGCTAAATATTGACTGTTTGACCTTAAACAAATGACTTCTCTGAGTCTCAGTTTATTTATCTATAAAATGGGGCTAAAGCCCCGACCCCAGAGATTGCTGGAGGTTTAAATGAAAGAACAGGTGTGAAGCATGTAGCATAGCATCTGGTATGGAATTAGTGCTAAAACAAAACAAAACAAAACAAAACAAAACAAAACAAAACAGGATGTTGGTGCAATCCTTAGATGTCCCGGCTCTTCTCTCTCCTGCTTGTAGTTTTCCGGATGACCGTAGAATGTGCTGACAATGCAGTGGCCTGAGATAAGGGAAGGGTCTGGAACAGCCCAGGATCTGTTCTCATCCTTCCTTGAACAGAATGTCCTGCAGTGCTTCAGCTCAGAGATCCACATTTCCTCTGGAGCACAAAATCCAGGGCAGAATGCTTTTGGTGTGCTTCAGCTGCAGTGTGAAGTGGGGCATGCATTGACAGGACTTCATCTATCCAAGGCAGCTTTCTTGAGCCTTGGGGGACCAGCTGTCCATGAATATGAGTCTTCTGTTGGTTCTTGCTACCTATCCGTGAGTGATAACTTGCTTTGCGTGACTTGTGTGAGTGTTCTGCTGCACTGGACTCATACCCTGGCAGTTGGATTTGTGCAAAACCTCTGGCAGCTGGGGTTTGTGAAGGACATCCTGCCAGATCTAGGAACCACAGCAGAAATCAGTGCTGAGTCTAGTGGCACTCTTCACACAGGCATCTGTGTGGATGCAGCCCCTAGCATTGTGCAGTGTGACTGCACAGACATACACGGAAGCTGCTATTAACTGACTTGGTCACTATTTACAGAATACCTACTATGTGCTAGGAGATGTCCTGGGCACTGGTGATTCCCAGATAAACCATCCTGACAGAAGAGAAGGTTGGAGAATAGTAGAAAATGGCATGATGTTGTCTCAAAGGAGCAAGGTCATAGTGAGGGCAAAGAACAGCTGAAATGAGTGGAACTGAGGCAGCAGAAAGCTAGAAGAGATGGAAGCAGTCAGAGAAAGAGGTCTTGGAAATCAAGGATTCAGAAGCACCTCAGTTTCTTGTGATGTAAGATCCAGGCTCTGACCATTAAAATAAGTTGCCAATGTAGAGGAGAGGATAAGTTCATTGCAACTGAAAGGCAGAGTGCTGGAGAGGCTGTTTCACTGAAGTCTGAGAAGATATGGTAGGCAAAGAAGGAAAAAAAAATCTGTAGAAGAGATGAGAGTTATAGAAACATATGTAGAAAATTATGTTTGTTAATGAAATAGAAGCCTTTGCTTGACAAGTGGAAACCATTTGAAAAGACATAAAAACCAACATGTAGAAAACCCAGTTCACTTCAATCAATAATTATTGCTGTTCATAGAGTGCAGAATACCTGCTTCTCTCATTGCCTTCAATGCAGAGGTGGTGGCTGGAGTTGCAGAGGCCACCTTGCAACCATGAGGGAAAGGCCAAGAGAATCACAAGCAACAATAAACTATTAAACCAACATCAGCAATTGCCTACCCCATTTAAATATGCCATATTTGTTTAAACCACTAATGTTGGATTTTCTGCTATCTGCAGCCAAACGTGATTCTGATACACAAATCAAGCACCTCCTCCTCTGTGAAGCCTTCAATGACTCTTCACAGCTACCCGGAACAGCAAGACTTCATTCTTCAATTTTTCTAGAGTCTATCCATGTACATGCACCTCAGTTATAGTACACGCACCTCAATTATAGTATTTACCATCTTGCTTAACAACTGCTCATTCACCTGCTTTTTATAAAGAATTCCTATTGTCTGTCTTCAAGTTCACTGATTCTTTCCCCGCTCTGTCTAAAATATTTCCTCTACATCCATTTAAAACCATATCAGACAGTATTATATAGTTTTGCTTCCATTGACAAACATAATTTAGAAAACCCAGGAAGAGAAGTAAGGTCTACTGAATTTACCTACATTATTGCTTACCATGTTTTTTTCTTCCTTGTTGATGTCCCATGATTTTATCTTCTGTTATTTACTTTCTGTTTTGAGAACTTCCTTTAGCCATTCTTATAGGGTAAGTCTACTGGTGACAAATTCTTTTAGCTTTGTTTCATTTGAGAAAGTCGATTTTCCATTTATCCCTGAGAAATATTTTTGCTGGATATAAGATTCTGGGTTCACAGTTATTGGTTCTCTACACTTGAAAATATTGTGCCACTTTCTTTTGGGTCTCTACGGTTTTTGTAAGAAATCTGCTGTCATTCAAGGTTCATTTCTCTCTTGATGTGTTCAAGACATTTTTTTTCTTTTCTTTAATTTTCAGAAGTTTGACTATGATGTGTGTTGGTAAGGATTTCTTTTGGTTTCTCCTATTTGGGTTTGCTCAGATTCTTGAGTCTGTAGGTTTACATCTTTTGCCAAATTTGAAAAGTTTTCTGTCATTATTCCTTTGAGTATATTTTCAGTCCCACCCTCTTTTGTAACTCTTTCTGGAACTCCAATGACAAGCGCATTAGATCTTTTGTTATGGTTCCACAGATCCCTGAGCATCAATTCATTTTTTCTCATTAGACTTAAATAGACTTTCAAGGGACTCAAAACAGAGTCTACTTTCTCTCTTTTGTTTAGACTGGGCAGAATAATGGCCTCCGAAAGATGTCCACATCCTAATCTCTGGAACCTGTGAATATGTTACCTTATACAGCAAAAGGACTTGGTTGACATGATTACATTAAGAACCTTGTGATGAGGAGATTATTCTGGATTATAATGGGCCCAATGTAATCACAAGGGTCCTTAGAAATGGAAGAGAGTTAGAAGGAGATATGACTATGGAGGAGGTTGGAGTAATGTGATGTGAGAAGGATTCGATCCTCTGTTGCTGGCTTTGAGGATGATAGAAGGGGACTACAAGCCAAGGAATGTGGGCTGCCTCCAGAAGCTAAAAAAACAATGAAAAGGATTCTTTCCTGGTGTCTCCAGAAAAGAATACAGCCCTTCCAACACCTTGATTTTAGCACTTCTGACCTACAGAACTGTAAGATAAAAAATGTGTAATACTTTAAGCTTCTAAATTTGAGGTAATTTGTTGTGAGAACAATAAGAAACAAACACAGGAATCCCTATTGTCTGTCTTCAAGTTCACTGATTCTTTTCTTTTCTTTTTTTTTTTGAGGTGGAGTCTCACTCTGTTGCCCCAGCTGGAGTGCAGTGGTGCGATCTCAGCTCACTGCAAACTCTGCCTCCCGGGTTCATGCCATTCTCCTGCCTCAGCCTCTCGAGTAGCTGGGACTACAGGCACCTGCCACCATGCCTGGCTATTTTTTTGTATTTTTAGTAGAGACAGGGTTTCACTGTGTTATCCAGGATGGTCTCGACCCCCTGACCTCGTGATCCGCCTGCCTCGGCCTCCCAAAGTGCTGGGATTACAGGCACGAGCTACGGCGCCTGGCCCAAGTTCACTGATTCTTTTCCTCTGTTCCCTCTGTGTTGTTGAGCCCATCCATTGAGTTCTAAATTTGTTTATTTATCTTCAATTCCAGAATCTCCATTTGCTTCTTCTCTACATCTTCTGTCTTTGCTGAGACATATTATTTTAAAAATTTTCCAAGCATGCTTATAATTGCTCGTTGAAACATTTTCAGATAATTCTAACACCTCTCTCATCTCAGTGTTGTCATCTAGCATTTATCTATTTTCCTTCAGTTTCAGTTCTTCCTGGTTCTTGGTGTGATGAGTGATTTTCAACTGAAACCTGGACATTTTGGGTGTTATGCTATGAGACTTGGGATCTGATTTAAATCTTCTGTTTGGGCTGGCTTTCTTTTGGCACTGCCCTGGCAGGGGAAGGTAGTATACTGCCTTGCTACTGCCAGATGGGGGCAGTAGTCCAGATTCCCCACTCAGACCCATCATTCCTGCTGGGCAGGGGTGGGTGTCCCAGCTCTCCACTAGTCCTCAACTGATACGTGCCTGGTGGGGATTGGTGAGTGCCTGTTACTGTTCTGTTGATGCCATGGGAGATGGAGGGGTCCTCTGACACCATTCCAGCAGGGGATGGGGGAATGTCTCATTACCACTAGGTTGGGGTGGACGTCATGGTTCCCCATGTGGTATCTCCACAAACAGCACAGGAGGTGGTGGGGGACACTTGTTACCACCCATGGGAATGAAAGTCTCGGCTTGGTATTCGACCTTCTCTGACGCCACCCTGGCAAGGGGGTGGGGCACCTCATGACAGCTTGGAGAGGGTGGAGTCTAGACTCTCTATTTGGCCTTTGCTAGCAGAGGTGGCGTGGGACCAAATATTTTTCTTTGGTGTTTGGCTGTGGTAGAACAGTTATTATATAGAAGTTTTCTGTCTTTCTAGGTTAACTATTGTCTTTTGGTTACTGTCTAGAAGTTTTCTGTCTTTCTAGGGGCAACCTAGAAAGGCAGAAAGAAAGTAGGAGTAGGCTTCTGTTGGGGCTTTCTTTTTGTCTGTGTCTGTTGATGTTTTAGGGTTGCTGGCTGCTTCAGCACCCAGTCTGGGAGATATGAGGCAAAAAGAAAACTTGGGAACTCACCACCTTGATCTTCCTTGGGTCCCAAAGTCCCTGGGGCTGGTCTGGTTTCTTCTCTCTACCTTTCAGAGTCTGAAGTCTGTTTTATACATGATGCCCAGGGTTTTTAGTTGTACTTAGTTGGGAAGAATAGGGAAAAGTACATCTAGTTGATCTTACCAGAAGCAGAAATCCTTGAATCTCCTTTTATTTAAGCCTGTTTGAATGGGCTTCTCTTTCTTATAAGCAAATTATTCTTGATTAAAATACATATGAAGAGTAGAAACAATTTTAAGGCAGTGGCAAGCCAATGAAGGTTTTAAAGCAAAAGAGGATATCCAAATTAAAGGTCATAACATCTTAGCTTAAAATGAAAGTGACATTTCAGTATAATTATTTCATATTCCTGCCATGATGGATTCAAATCCTGTTATCCTAGGGAGGTATTTGGTGTCAAGAGCTAATTGGGAGTTGGCCTTACTGGGTATCTGTAAGAACAGGGAAAAGGACACGCACCTGGCCTGTGGTGGTTACTTCTTTCTGAATCGTGTCAGAGAACTTGGCTGCTCTGGAAGAGCCAGTTTTGTAGAAGCTCTCACTTTCTCGGGATCTTGCATGTCTGACGTGGCTGGCTCTGATTAAAGAAGCAAGAGTATACCCTTAGATTGTGGGGTCGGGGGTAACATTAGACACCACCTGTCTGTTTTCTTGCAAGGGCCCTTCTCCCAGGAATGGGGGAACGGGCCCTTCTTTGCCCAAGAGGACACTGGAGTGGCATAGTTAGCTAGTTAATCACTGACCAGACTCATTTAGCAACTGTAAGGAAACTAGGCGGTAATTATACTTATTAAATATGATTTATAGGGACACCAAAAATTACTGCAAGAAGATAGTAAGTTTTAAATGCCTACTTGAGTTCGCTGGAAAGCAGTGGGCAGAAAATTACTTGTGGATGTCAAATGTTTTACTTAATCTGATTTTAAAAAATGAAATGGCAAATAAATTAAGCTCTTTTCTGTATCTTCACATTTATAGTTGTGATGTTTTTAAGGTTTAGTATAAGCAGTAGTTCAAATGTAGGTCTTGGTAGTTGTTCACTTGCCTTGAAACTAGTTTATCCAATAATTAGTTTGCCTAGAGACCAGTTCACCTAAAATATTCAAATGTATCTGAAATGCATCTTAAGCTTTTGAGAATTTTATATATTCAAGCATTCACTTGCTTAATGACCAGAACACCTGAAGTTCAACCCCCTTTCGTGTGTTTTGTATGAACTTGTGCATGCTAAAATAAAAAATAAATAAAAACCAATGTAAAGCAAAACAGAATTAAGTCATAATCATTATAGACATTACATTGTTATAAATTGTAAAAAAATTCAGTTGAAATTAAACTAGGAAGAAAGAGACTTTACACAATTCAACTCTACATTTTAAAAAATGTTCAAATTTTGTCAAATCAGAAAAGAATAGCTACAGAAATATAAAACAACTACAATGTAAAGCCATACATCTTATTTAAAAGAATTAACTAGAAAGTCAAAATTAAATCAGAAGTGCCTCAGGAATCGGTAAAAACCATCCTTAATTTGCCCGAAAAAGAGTATGGCAGCCCAGTAGAAGCCAAAAGCACTCAAAAGACAAATTGTTTTGGGTGAATTGATTGACAGCCTCCTTTTGAAGAACATGGAGTTTTGCTGTTGGAACAACTATTAAGGTAGCTTTGTGAAGGTGTTTTCATGGGGAGAAGGCAATAATAGTAACAGGCAATAACAATAATAGTCCCTGGTAGGCTGAAGGCATCACCGCACTTCCTCTCTTCCACGCTTCCAGAGCAGCCCCACCATGAAGCACTGCTACGATTTCTTTTGATTTAGCTTCCTATGATAATAATTTCTTGGCGTTGTACAGAATGACACATAGGACAATGATCTAACAAGTCCTTCAGCACGCCAGGAGCACCAGGACAACAGACAAAATTCCAGGCAGAAGACTGTGTTTGTTCAACTAAAATTTATGATATATTCTACAGGAAATCTATGAAACCTGGAGTCAGAAGATGTGGGCTCACACCAAGTTCTACTGGTGATTTCGTGTATAATATTTAAAAAAATATTTTTTATTTTTTATTTTTTTGAGACGGAGTCTCGTTCTGTCGCCCAGACTGGAGTGCAGTGGCGCGATCTCGGCTCACTGCAACCTCCGCCTCTCAGGTTCAAGCGATTCTCCTGCCTCAGCCTCCCGAGTAGCTGGGATTACAGGCATGTGCCACCACACTCGGCTAATTTTTGTATTGTTAGTAGAGATGGGGTTTCACCACATTGGCCAGGCTGGTCTCGACCTCCTGATCTCAGGTGATCTGCCCGCCTTGGCCTCCCAAAGCGCTGCGATTACAGGTGTGAGCCACTGCACCCAGCTTTTGTGCATAATCTAAATGAGCCATTTCTAAATCTTACTGATCTCACCCACAAAACGGGATTGGGTGAATTTAAGTAAGATATACGAAAGCTCTTTATAAAATATAAAGCATAAATTAAAGAGGGAATGGAATGAGTTAAGTAAATATTTGTCTTACGCTTTCTTTTGATGAATGGGGCTCTCCCCTGTCAGCTTATAAAGGGCGAACTTGAAGTCAGTAACACCTTGATTTTCTATGGTGAAGGTGGTGCTTTTACGAGTGCCACAGATCAAAGCTCCAAAGTTGATGACAGAGGAGGGGGTGATGTTGTATTTGGAATATACTGCATTCGCGGAAAACTTAATTGGGATGCTGGCAATGATCTCACCTCCTTCTGAAATATTGGGCTCAATAATCTAAAACGGGAAGAAGAATGAGCAAGTCAGCCACTGCTGTAGCTACAGAATTCCCATGATTATCTACCCCATTCCCTATTTTCATCATTGACATGAAGCCATGTTCTTTATTTCACTGTCTTCGTATTATTGCGAACACTAAAACAGAGCTTACTGTGTACCAGCCAAGGGTCAACATAGCCAACTTTTCCTCATGTTTTCAGTTCCCTGCTCATCCTTTGCACTTGATGATGGGACTCAGCTTCCCTGCCTCTGATGCTCCCCAAAGACCTGGGGGCACATTTCCTCACTGGATCTAATTCTGATGACTTTGCCTGATAGTTAGGACAGAACCCCGGTGTATCCTATCTGGTTGCCACCCAGGCCAGCCCTCCCCTTTTCTCCCTGGAGCATGGATTAGGTCATGTATCCTTCTTTGCAACAGGAATCGTACGATCCTGCCATTGAGGCAGCCCCTCCCTTTGGAGCTCTCTTACCTGACAGCGCAGAACAGGCTGGTGCTCAATCTTCACTTCCTTTTTTGCATGGAAGAAAACTTGGACATTTGTGGGTTTTTCTGTTGGGGTCAGTGAACCCTTTTTGGGTTGGACTGAGATCATGGAATTTATATTAGGTGTTGAAATCCCTACAGAGTCCACGGAAAAGCTGAAAGACAAGTATAAGAAGTCAGCCTAGGTCATTATCGCGGGAACTCAAGATCCCAGAGAGGAGACTCTAGATGGTTGAGTGCCTGCTGTGTTTCCAGCCCTGTTTAGCCACTACGTCCGGCGGAGTCCACTGTGCTTTGTACATCGTGATCGCCTCTCCTTAGCCAGGATTGACCAGGCTAGGAATTGATGCTTACGGCAAAGACAGCCATACTCTATCCCATGGTCAAGAGAGGCCATTGCAGGAGATCTCTGTCCAACAGGGACATTGGATACTGAAAAAGGACCAACTAAATTAATTCTCTCTTTCTCTGTTTGTGTCTGTCTGGCTTTTAGCACATGCAGAGCGAACAGTGACACAGAAACCAGAGAACCTGGGGAGAGAGACAGCAGGGAGGGGGCAGGGGTCCTGTAACAGAGGTACTGGGGAGGGAAGCCCATGGCCTACTGGAGGTGAGGCAAGAACCACAGGAAGAAGCTGGCTCATGAGACCGACAGAGGGACTGCCGTAGGCTCAAGATGTATCCCACCTAGGCAGAGGTGGGATGCCCGGAGTTGCTGTGGGGCTCTGAATGTCACCGCCATGCTCCAGGAGACCCTGGCTGCCCAATTACCTGCACCCCTGTGCTTCCTTGCTTCCCTGCACATTCTTTCAACAAACCCTCTATCACCTGTTCCAACCTGAGAGTGACTCCATTCCATGCAACCTCAAAGAGCACAGCTAATGCCCCTGTCTTAATCTAAAAGAAAACTCACCAACAGGCAAGATTCCACTTAGCACTAATTCCAAACTGACAGGGGAAAAGTCTCTTTGTCATCTGTGAATTCTTGGGGAAGGAGAACTTTCCATGGAATGAAAAGTGTGGGCACTGCCATGAAGGGCTGTGTGGCCCTGTCTGAGGGGTGTTTCCCTGCCTCCTCCCGTGTGCCACCCTTTCCTTGCTGAGGAGCCTCCCTGATTTTGTGTTACTTTTTCTTTTCTTTTCTTTTCTTTTCTTTTTTTTTTTTTTTGAGACAGGGTCTCGCTCTGTTGCTGAGGCTGGAGTGCAGTGGCACGATCACGGCTCACTGCAGCCTTGACCTCTCTGGGCTCAAGCGATCCTCCCATTCCAGTCTCCCAAGTAGATGGGACTACAAGTGATATGACCACCACGCCTAGCTAACTTTTTTTGTATTTTGTAGAGGCAGGGGGGTCTTGCCACTTTGCTCAGGCTGGTCTCCAACTCCTGGGCTCAAGCAATCTGCCTGCCTTCACCTCCTACAGTGCTGGGATTACAGGCATGAGCCATCACACCCAGCCTCTGTGTTTCATTTTTTATCTCTGGGGATGAGCACAAGCCAGAGCTCTATTCTACCAAGCTACTATTTGGATTGTACAATATCGTGATTCTTAGAATGTAATGAAAAAGGAAAGCCCTTTCTTCACATGAAATCTGCTGAAGAAGGTCTCCTTGTAAAGCAGATAAGAGCTGGCAGAAGGCAGGACAGCTTGAGGCCAGGTCGCCCATCTCCAGTCTCTCCCTCCACCCTGGGACCTCTTCTCACCCCTAGAATCTCCCCCTCCCGGCCTCTTCCCCTAAGTCTCTTCCTCCATTCCCAGACACCTATGGTTCCAACTGGCCAGGTACATCCGGGCCACTTAAAGGGCCCTGTTAAGCTGCAGAGTTGAGAGCAGTGTGAGAATCTCTGCTTCCTTAGCAGGTGGAATTCCATTCTTTTGAAGCCAAGGGAGGCAAAAAAGCAGAGACGGTTCTTATGATTTCCTTGACTGACTGATAAGTTTCCCAGACACGCTATTCCCCACGGTGGACTTGACGGCCGCAAACCCTATGGGATTCAGGTTACCTGAACACGATCTCATATTTCCCCACATTCCTCCACACGGCGGACTTGATGGCCTTACATCTGATGGGATTCCAGTTACCTGAACGCGATCTCATATTTCCCACGGTTCTTCAATTGCAGGGGCTGCTTCGCCTCCTCTGTGACCCTGACAATCCCAAAATCCAGTCCCCCTTCAGCTCCTGCAGAGACCAGGGGCCAGGGCAGAGAGGGGTGAATGGGCATGAGAGTGGGAAGCAGGGGAAGTGCCTGTTGAAATTCACATGGAAAACGCATGGTGACAGTTTAAGAGAATTTGTTTTCTGAAAGTACTGTGGCTAGAAAAGCCTCTTATAATTGAATCTGGGCAAACAAACAACAGATGCTGCTCTTGATGCACTCTACAGGGCTGGTCCCTCTGGATTCCCTCCATCCTAGGATCATTGCCTTTCATGTCTACCATCAGCTAAAACTTTCAGTATTTAAAAAAGTCTTGCATAAAGTTGGGATATTACACATATATTTATGTTGTTTTACTTAGTATTACTTCATAAGCATTTCCCCCAAATAATTAAAAACTCCTCATAAGTGTGTTCTTTGGGGCTGCATAATATCCCACGATATGGTGGTTCCATAATTCATGATATTATTCCTACAATACTATTATTTCATTATTGATGGGCATTTAGGTTTTTCCAACTTTTCATTGTTATAAAAAATGCTGCAATAAAAGATCTTTGTACATGAGACTCATGACATCTAAACACGTGGCTCTAACATTCTATGAGTTTTGCTGAGGAGACCTCTTGGGGAAAGGAGGGAAATGCAGAGCTGTAGGCTAAAGGGAGAGCTGAAACTCGGGTGTTAGGGCAGTGCAGGGACAGATAACAGCCTCAGCCCCACCTCCCAATTCCTGGAATCTGTGAGTATGCTACCTTACATGGCACAGGGGAATTAAAGAAGCAGATGGAATTAATTCACTGACCTACAAATACAGAGATTAATTTGGAATATCTTGGTCAGCTCAATATAATCACAAGGGGGCTTAAGAGCAAAAGAGGAAGGCAGGGTGGGAGAACCAGAGAAAAGGCAACGTGAGATGGAGTTGGCCCAACCTTGCTGTCTTTGAATGTGGAGGAAGGGGACCATGTGGGCGGCCTCTAGGAGTTGGAAACGGTATGGAAATGGATTCTCCCCCAGAGCTTCCAGAAGGGAAGGCAGCCCTGCTGACACCTTGATTTTAGCCCAGTGAGACCCATTTTGCACTTGTGACTTCCAGAACTGTAGGGCAATATGTTTGTGTTGTTTTAAGCCAGAAAGCTTATGGGGACATTTTATGGCAGTGATAGAAAACTAATACAGGAAAGAGGAGAGGTGTTTACTGTAAATGACTGCTCTGAAAAGAGCTCTGCAAATTTTACATCTATGACCACCCGCTTTCTACCTCTGGTTGGAGAAATTACGATTTGTAGTCATGTTGCTAATATCACTCTGGGGCTCACATTATTATTTATTAAAATTGCCCCACCCCCAATCCCTGCAATACTAACAACACACTAGCCTTTCTCTACACAGAAATACACTATACAAAAGACCCAACTTCCAAACATCCTGTCCTTGAAGGGCCCAACAGACCTTTGGGGAAGGTGATGTCCAAGGCGATGTCGTATGCCTCTGCAAAGACCATGATATTTTCAATCTGAACAACACCAAGAAGATTTTCTGCATCTAAAACCTGGCAGGGAAAGGGAAATTCTTCAGTAAAAGCAAGACCTATAGGTGCTTGGAGCCTGAAACATGTAATATCCTAAAGGGGATACGGCAGGGAACGTTTTGAAGTGTATTCCCCTGTAGGTATTTTATCTTCGCCAAGCATTTGGTAGGATTTGTGCTCCTCTTAATACTCTGGGGAATGCTGGTACAAAGAATACAAGAATGGGGAAAAGGGACTGACTTTTTTATTGTTGCTACATTACTGAAGTTTGGGCTTGGGGTAGACATTACAGGAAAGTGGTTTTCTTTTTTGAGGCAGGCTCTCACTCTGTCACCCAGGCTGGAGTGCAGTGGCGCAATCTCGGCTCACTGCAGCCTCGACCTCCTGGGCTCAAGCCATCCTCCCATCTCAGCCTCCCGAGTAGCTGGGACTACAGGAGTGCATCATCATGCTCGGCTAATTTTTGTATTGTTTTTTATAGAGATGGGATTTCACCATGTTGCCTAGGCTGGTCTTGAACTCTTGAACTCAAACAATCCTCCCGTCTCAGCCTCCAAAAGTGTTGGGGTTATAGATGTGAGCCATCATGCCCAACTGTTTTTTTTTTGTTTTTTTTTTAACTTCTAAATCAAATGAACCTAGTGAGCACTGCCCTGACAGTTGAAATGGAAAACCTTTATGCTCCAGGTCATCCTTGCTCTACTCATTTTATAAATTTGAATCGTTCTGTTCTTTGTTTGTGGCTCAGCCTGTGGGGAAAGTGCTAGACTTTTCGTAGAAAGCAAGTGTTTAATGTTTGGAAATACCCAATGTTTTATTTCTGTGAATATCGTGGACCCCTCTGTTGTCATGCCTGGGGATGGTCCCTCCCTCATTGTTCTCTGGCACCTCTAAACTGCTGCAGCTGTCAGCCTGACCTGATTGCTGACTCTTTTTTTCCCTCTTCTTTATATATACATATATTTTATTTTGATAGCTTTTGGGGGTACAAATGGTTAGACTGACAACCCACAGAATGGCAGAAAATATTTGCAAACTATGCATCTGACAAAGGACTAATATCCAGAATATACAAGGAACTCAATCAAATCAACAAAAAAATCCCCAGATAATCCCATCAAAAAGTGGGTAAATGACATGAACCAACTGTTGCCTCTTGAGGCTAACTAGGAGGCGGTAAAGGGTCCATCTGTCCAGGAAAAGAACTGGGGGGCAGTGGGGGAAGCTCTCCTGGGTCTGCTCTGGGGAGTCCACCTCTGTCTTTGCTCCAGTTGAAAGCCCAAGCCACCCACTCCCTATTGCATGTGCTTTGGGTGCCAGGAGGAAATTTGCAGCTGTCACCAAACTCAAGTTTTAATTCAGAATTTCCATCTTCTCTTTCATTAGATGCTTGCCAATGTTTCACAGAGCAAACTGGACCGACTTGAGTTTCGCCTTCTTTCTCTGACTGCTTGCCCTCTGACAGATGACAAGATGGGCTGACAGGATGTGTGTAGTGCCTCCCTCTTGAGGGATGCCAAGTGCCTGGAGCCTTCTATTTCTTGGCTTCCCCAGGGTGGGTCGGAGGCAGTGGGGAGGCTGAATTTTGAATTGAGGAAAATAGGAAGGACAATTGAAGAGTTATACAGATGAAATAAAACAAGTTCACCAAAGGCTTTCAAAAGGGACTGGAGATGAAGGCATTTCCTTCTGTGGATGTGGAAGTGAATATAAGTTCACTTCGCGGGGCTCTACGGAGGTCCACGCTGCTTTGTTCAGAGCCCTAATCAGGCTGCTGTTTGGCTGGGACACATGGAGATGGTCACAACAGTTGTGAAAATACAAAAATGTGGCCGGTTGCAGTGGCTCACGCCTATAATCCCAGCACTTTGGGAGGACAAGGGGGGCAGATCGCTTGAGCTCAGGAGTTTGGGACCTGCCTGGGCAACATGGCAAGACCTCATCTCTACAAAAAATACAAAAATTAGCTGGGTGTGGTGGTGCACGCCTGTGGTCCTAGCTACTCAGGAGGCTGAGGTGGGAGGATTGCTTGAGCCCAGGAGGTGGAAGTTGCAGTGAGCTGAGATTGCACCACTGCACTCCAGCCTGAGCAACAGAGTAAGACCCTGTGTCAAGAAAAATAAAACAAAATAATAATAAAAACAAAAGCCTTTCTGTACCAGTTGGTAAGCAGCTGTCATGATGACCTCTCCAATATCCCCTTGCTGCCTGCCTCCTGTGCATCCCCACCACAGGAACCCCTGGACTCCCCATGATCCAGCAACTAAAGGACGAAGCTGGCACAGCTGTGGGACTCCAGGCCCTACACCAGCCAGGGGTCTGGGTACCTGGTGCAGAGCTCTGTGCCTGTGCAGAGGCTGGTGCTAAAAGCGTTGACCAGAACCTCTGGGCTTCTACACATTCATGGAGTGAATGAATCTATCAATATCTGTTTTCAGCCCTTTCAGTGAAGGGCTGTCATTGATAAGGGATAAGAGAGATTAGATCCACTGAGTGGCCCCAAAAGGTAGAAACATGATTCATGCATGTAATTGACAGGAAGAATTCTGAGCTCAACCCAAAGAAGAATTGACAGACCTGTTTAAAGGCAGAACAGGCTGCTTTAAGCGGTAGTGGTAAATTTTCTGTTCCTGGAAGCATTCAAAGAGAAGCTGGGATGATCCCGTGAATGTCAAAGAATCAGTTCAAGTATTTTTTTTTTTTTTTTTTTGAGACAGAGTCTTGCTCTCTTGCCCAGGCTGGAGTGCAGTGGTGCGAACTTGGCTCATTGCAACCTCCGCCTCCAGGGTTCAAGTGATTCTCCTGCCTCAGCCTCCCGAGTAGCTGGGGTTACAGGCGTGCGCCACCACATCCGGCTAATTTTTGTAATTTGTAATTTTTGTAATTTTGTATTTTTGTATTTTTGTATTTAGAGGCGCAATTTCACCATGTTGGCCAGGGTGGTCTTGAACTCCTGACCTCAAGTGATCTACCCACCTAGGCCTCCCAAAATGATGGGATTACAGGCGTTAGCCACCATGCCCGGCCTAGTTCAAGTACTAAAACTCAATGGCATTCATTCATTCATTAGATTCTGCTGAGTGCCTACTTCATCCAATCCCATGCTAGACACTGGGAATATGATGGTATGGGGGGTTGAACTGTGGTCCCCCAAAAAGTATGTCTACTTCTTAACTCCTGGAGCCTGTGAATATGACCTTATTTGGAAAAAAGGGTATTTGTGGATTTAATTAAGTCAAAGATCTAGAGATGAGATCGTCTTAGATTATCTGAGTGTGCCTTAAATCCAATGATAAATATTCTTATAAGAGACGGAAGAGAAGACACAGACAGAAGAGGTGTTGTGATGATGACAGAGGCAGAGACTGGAGTGATGCAGCCACAAGCTGAGAACACTCGCAGGAGACCCCAGAAGCTGAAGGGGAGAGAGAGGAAGGGTTCTTCCCTGGAGCCTTCAGAGAGAGCATGGCCCTGCCGGCACCTTGATTTTGGACATCTCGCCTCCAGAACGGTGAGAGAGGAATGTCTGTTTTTTAGTCACCCAGTATATGCTAATTTGTTGTAGCAGCCTTGGGGAACTAAGACAGATGTTAAGTCAGGTGAGATCCTGCCCTGATGCAGTTCATATAAGAAAGTAAAGAAAGAAGCAGGATAATGTTAGGAAGAGGTGGTGCTCTGAAGGATGGAAGACGGGGTGGGTTATTGCACATAAGAGGGATTCTCTCAAAGGGATGATTAGAGAAGCCCAGTTGAAACAGCAATGTTGGGGGACCCTAAAGCTGGAGCCTAAGGGCAGATTCCCAGCAGGGTTGCAACAAGGTCAGTGGCTTGAACCAAGAAAGAGCCAAGACAGTGCGTGGGAGCCAATGATTGAGGGCGAGGGTGGAGCAAGTTGCGATGTGGAGGCAGGCATTGTCTCAGAGGCAGGTGAGGACCCCGGGCTTTATTCCTACTGCAGTGGGAAGCCAGGAGAGTGCGTTAGGTGGGGCATAACCTGTCTGAATGACATTGTAAAGATCCCTCTGGACACTGTGGCGAATGCCAACAGGGAAGCCAGTTAGGAAACCTCTGTAGAAGTCCAGGTGAGAGAAGCTGCAGGTGGCCTGGACAAGGTGGTGGCAACAGCGAGGAGAAAGAAGTGGATGGGAAAGATACATCGTGAGGCACCATGCCTGTAATCCCAGCACTTTGGGAGGCCGAGGCAGGAGGATCACTTGAGGTCAGGAGTTTGAGGCCAGCCTGGCCAACATGGTGAAACCCCGTCTCTACTAAAAATACAAAAAGTTAGCTGGGTGTAGTGGCGCGTGCCTGTAGTCCCAGCTACTCTGGAGGCTGAGGCAGAAGAATTGCTTGAACCCTGGAGGTGGAGGTTGCAGTGAGCCGAGATCACACCACTGCACTCCAGCCAGGGTGACAGAGCGAGACTCCATCTCAAAAAAAAAAAAAAAAAGATACATTGGGAGGTAAAATTAGCAACCTTTGTTGGAGGCCTGCGTCGGAAGGGAGGCCATTAAGAAAAGGGGGAATTAAGGCTGATCCCCAGGTGTCTGTTGGGAGCAACAGGGTGGAGGGTGACATTTCCCCAGATAGGAATCCGATAGGTGACTGGGTTTAGGAGTGTGAAATCAGGACTCTGATGCTTACCTAGGTATAGCAACACCATTTGTTCATTTGTTCATTCATTCATTCATTCATTCATTTATTTGTTCCTTCCTTCCACATTGATTGCTCTGTTCCTGGCACTGGGGAATCAGCCATAAGCAATATTGCCTCTATGGAGCTTGCAGTTGTGTGCACAGCAAGAGATTGTGGACTGGGGATATCGAAAGGGGATCAGATAGGAGCATGTAACAGGGAGACCTCTGTGTGTGTGTGTGTGTGT
Organism: Homo sapiens; assembly: GCF_000001405.40. Classification (NCBI taxonomy): domain Eukaryota; kingdom Metazoa; phylum Chordata; class Mammalia; order Primates; family Hominidae; genus Homo; species Homo sapiens. Next base: position 146,814,628 of record NC_000001.11, on the reverse strand, counting down.
GTGTGTGTGTGTGTGTGTGTGTGTGTGTGTACATGCTTTGATAACCAAGTCTGTGGATGTGTGAAGCCTCACCTCCAACCGAATAGCCTTCTTGATGTTGACAGGCTTGGTGGGCTGAAAGTACAGGTGCAGGCCGTACTCAGCCTCAGGGGGGATGGTCCCCTGCATCAGGGATACAGTGAAATCATCACCCAAGTGCTCCAGGCTGGTGATCCGCCAGGCCACAGGCAGGAGCGTGACATTGCGGAGAAGAACTACCCTGGATTCCTGTCTGCAGAGACAAAAGGAAAGTTGCAATTTCATTTCAAATTTTGTAGTTTCATATGTTTTTTTTTTAACTTTTGTTTTAGGTTCAGGGGTTCATGTGCAGGTTTGTTGTAGAGGTAAACTCATGTCATGGGGGTTTGCTGTACAGATTATTCCATCACCCAGGTCCTAAGCCTAGTACCCAATAGTTATTTTTTCTCCTCTTCTCCCTCCTCCCACCCTCCACCCGCAAGCATCCTCAAGTGTCTGTTGCTCCCCATTTTGTGCCCACTGGTTCTCATCACTTAGCTCCCACTTCCAAGTGAGAACATGGGGTATTTGGTTTTCCGTTCCTGCATTAGTTTGCTAAGGATAATGGCCATAATCCTTAGCATATAGTTTTTTTTTCTTTCTTTTTTTTTTTTTTTTTTGGAGACGGAGTCTTGCTCTGTCATCCAGTCTGGAGTGCAGTGGTGTGATCTCGGCTCACTGCAACCTCTGCCTCCCAGGCTCAAGCAATTCTCCTGCCTCAGCCTCCTGAGTAGCTGGGATTATAGGCACCCGCCACCATGCCTGGCTAATTTTTGTATTTTTAGTACAGACGGGGTTTCACTGTGTTAGCCAGGCTGGTCTGGAACTCCTGACCTCGTGATCTGCCCGTCTCGGCCTCCCAAAGTGCTGGGATTATAGGCGTGAGCCACTGCACCAGGCCAAGCATATGATTTTTAAAAATTGCAGTTTCTCTTTCATGTGTGGGTGCTGAACAACATTTCTTAACCCTTTTTCGAATTGTTTTATTTAGGTCTACCATATTTTTTTTTTTTTTTTTGAGACAGCGTCTGGCTCTGTCGCCCAGGCTGGAGTGCAGTGGCGCGATCTCGGCTCACTGCAAGCTCCGCCTCCTGGGTTCACGCCATTCTCCTGCCTCAGCCTCTCAAGTAGCTGGGACTACAGGAGCCCGCCACCGCTCCCGGCTAATTTTTTGTATTTTTAGTAGAGACGGGGTTTCACTGTGTTAGCCAGGATGGTCTCGATCTCCTGACCTCATGATCCACCCGCCTCGGCCTCCCAAAGTGCTGGGATTACAGGCGTGAGCCACCACGCCCGGCCCATATTTTTACTTTGTGTTTCATTGAAAAAAAAATTCACATATAAGCAGACCCACCCAGTTCAAACCTGCATTGTTCAAAGGTCAACCGTATTTTCCTTTAGCACATTAAAAATGCCATTCTATTGTCTTCCAGCTTCCTTTGTTACTGATGAAGCGTCAGTCATATTGTATTTCATTTTATCCTGGCTGCTTTCAAGATTTTCTCTTAATTTCTGCTTTTAAGTAGTTGGACTAAACTTTGACTTAATGTGTTGACTTAATGTGTTATTTCTTGGTTATTAATCTATTATATAAAATAGGTGGAGTTGATATTATTAACCCCAGATGACCTATAAAAAACCTGAAACATCCAGGCACAGTGGCTCAGCCTGTAATCCCAGCACTTCAGGAGGTTGGGATGGGTGAATTACCGGAGCTCAGGAGTTGAGACCAGCCTGGGCAACATGGCAAAACCCTGTCTCTACTAAAAAAAAAAATACAAAAAGTTAGCTGGGTGTGGTGGCACATGCCCACCCATAATCCCAGCTACTCAGGAGGCTGAGGCAGGAGAATCGCTTGAATCCGGGAGGCAGAGGTTGCAGCAAGCCGAGATCGCACCACTGTACTCCAGCCTGGGCGACAGAGTGAGACTCTGTCTCGAAACAAAAAAAATCCCTGAAGCTTAGAGAGGTTAATTGATGGCCCCGAAGTCACAGATTTAGTGGCAAGACTTGGGCTATAACTATATTTATCCAGCTTAAGGTTTGCTAAGCTTCTTGGAACTATACGTTTTTGCTTTTTCACCAAATTTGGGAAAGTTCCATCTACTCTTTAAATATATATATATATATATATATATATTTTTGTCCCACTCTCTCTCTTTTCCTTCTGGGATTCCAATCACAAATATGTTAGTTATACTGCTTGATGTTGTCCCACTATTTACTGGGGTTCTGCTCATTTTTACCAATATTTTTCTCTCTATGCTTTTTTTTTTTTCGAGACAAGGTTTCACTCTATCACCCAGGCTAGAGTGTAGTGGCATGATCATGACTCACTGGAGGTAAGAAAAAGCACTTTTGGTTACTTCAGTTATTACTTAGTTCTTTAATTAGTATTTATCAGGAAATGGGGCTGGTGGTGGTGATTAAAGAATGCAGGACACGTATCATAACAATATTCTCTCCCAGAAGCCCCAGAAATAAACATTTTTCTATTTAGAATAATAATACCAATTCCAATAATAATTCCAATTAATGAATATGTAAGTTCTAGTTTCGGTCTAATGTTCTGCTTCTACTCTAACTTCTAGAGCAAAGATTCTTAACCTCTTGGGCAATAGACTGCTTTGAGAATCTGAAGAAAGCTGGTCCTTCTGCAGAAACACAGACATACGCATATTTTGGTAGTTGATCTTAGGGGGGTCCTTGGCCCTGCTGAAGTTCATCCACTGAACCCAAGTTAACAATCTGTTAATTAAATAGGTTTACTAACCATCCTGGTTTGCATAGGACCAAGGAGTTTCCCAGGGTGCAGAACTTTCAGTGCTAAAACCAGGAGAGTCTGGAGTAAATCAGGATGAGTTGGTTACCCTAGAACTAAACGCTCTTTAAATTCCCTTCCAGTCCTGACATGATCTAGAACTCTGACCTGTGCAGCAAGAGCCGGTCAAAATGTAATTGCCTGGGTTCCAGCTCTAGTTCCGGGCGGATCCCCTGGCAGCTTAATTGGAAGATGGCTGGCTCTGGGTTGTCATTGATGCAGCAGACAATGCTGTCTTCAAAGACACCAACTGAAGTAGGGTAGGCCCATACGTTTAATATCTGATGGAAGGAAAAGTCAAAAGAAAGTACATTTACACCAAGGATGCCAAGGCCTCAAATTTCCCAAGAAAGCCTTGCCCTGGTGACTTGTGTCCACATGACCGTACCTGCTTCTCATTGGGTTTCAGGACCATGGTGTTGGGTTCCAGGAAGTACGTGTTTGCTTTGACATCATTCTGAAAATAGAAGGATGCCTCCACCACCATTAAGGAAGTGTTCAGGATTGTTAGCGTCTCCATGTTGCCTGGGAATAAGGATGACTTGTACCTGGGGATGAACAAGAATGGGGTTAAGGGTATGAAGACTGAATGAGAATGCAGGTGGAAAAGAAGGCTGTGATGAGAAAGGCAATTCAGAGGGACAGTGTGGCTGCATGGAGGCAGTGGCATGGTGGCTAAGAACATGAGATCTGTAGTTGTGCAGACTTGCCTTGGAGAATAAATGCTACACTGTGACTTGACTCCCTCAAGCCTTGGTCTCCTTATCTCTAAAATGAGGTGATAATACCACTTAGGACTGCTGAGTAGGAAGTGAGATCACACATCTAAAGCTCTCAGGACAGCTGTGGATAGCAAATGCCCAGTGAATGTTAGCTATGATTATTGCAAAGAATCCTGAGAAATATGTAGATCTATCCTTACACCTGCTTATATCCCTGAGAGAGATTATCACTTGAGTAACTTTTTTTTTTTTTTTTGTGAGGGAGTTTCGTTCTTGTTGCCCAAGTTGGAGTGCAGTGGCGCAATCTCAGCTCACTGCAACCTCCACCTCCTGGGTTCAAGCAATTCTCCTGCTTCAGCCTCCCAAGTAGCTGGGATTACAGGTGCATGCCACCACACCTGGCTAATTTTTTGTATTTTTAGTAGAAACGGGGTTTCACCATGTTAGCCAGGCTGGTCTCGAACTGCTGACCTCAGATGATCCGCCTGCCTGGGCCTCCCAAAGTGCTGGGATTACAGGCATGAGCCACCGTGCCCGGCCTCACTTGAGTAATTTTTTATTTCACATCTGTTTTAGAGATGACCTCATTCACCTCCTTCTCCCAAACCCTCAGAGAATGTTACTGTTCTGACATGAATTCATTTGGCCTTGTTCACTGTTAGGAGGCAGTTTCTGTTCCTTAGTACCTTAAGGAGAGATCTGCAGAGTTGAGCACTGTGGGCACTGAGGGAGACTCAGTTAATAGTAACAGAGCGAAGCAAACCAGAAGGCCCAAGGGAAAAAGAGGCACATCATCAGAGGTCATGGCACAGGCTAGGAAAGCAGAAACACTCTGAAAAAGGTTTTAGATAGGCCATGATGGAGGATGAAAGGAGAGAGAATGACAGAGACCAAATGAGAGTCAGAGAAACAGAGAACACTCCGTATGAATATCTGCCAAAGGGGTGCCGCCTTCTCACTTAACCGCTAATCACTTCCATCCGGCACTGTGCTAAAGGCTCCAGGTGCGTTACCCAGTTCAGTCCTCACGAATTTGTTGCTTTCCCATTTTGCAGATGAGGACACTGAGGCTCAGCACGGTTTAAAATAATAAGTGAACAGGCTTGGCACAGTGGCTCACGCCTGTAATCCAACACTTTGAGAGGCTGAGGTGGGCAGATTGCTTGAGCTCGGAGTTCGAGACCAGCCTGGGCAACATGGTGAAACCCCATCTCTACAAAAATTAGCCAGGTGTGGTTGCACACACCTGTAGTCCCAGCTACTGGGGAGGCAGAGGTGGGAGGATTGCTTGAGCCTGGGAGCTCAAGGCTGCAGTGAGCTGAGATTGCACCACTGCATTCCAGCCTGGGTGACGGAGTAAGACCCTATCTTAAAAAAAAAAAAAAAAAAAAGACAAGAAAAGAAAAGAATGAGTGAATAATACCCAGTTGTACTGGAACTTATTTTGGATTACCGTAGTCACTGTCCTTCCCACATCAGTGTCATCTCGCCCAACATCCTGGTTAATTCCAATGCTGCCCCAAACATGTGCCTCTTTGAACAACCATCATTTCCCTGACTCCCACTCCCAGACTGTTCTGTACCTCATGTCCATCAACCTGACCATACTTTTCCCTCCTAAGCCCTCCTGTCCGGCTTTGAAGATCTTCTCCATCATCAGCAAATTCCCTTCATCTTCAATTTTTAATCCAGCATCTCAGGGAATAAAGTGGAGGTGATAAGGGAATGGAGGACAAAGATGGCCCATAAGCTGCACCGAGAAAGCCCAGAAATTAACACCCTCTACTTAGCACAAGAAACATTGTATTGAATGAAGACATGGTGGAGACCTTGGTTCCAGTTTTGGTTTCACTCCCTGCCTATATGATAAGAAATTTGTATATAACTGAAAAAAACTAGTATCGCTAAGAATGGCTGATCATCAGTCTCACCTGTGGGTCCCCAATTCTGCCTAAAAATCTCAGTCTGTTTCTCTAACATGCTCCCTCTCCTACTTTCCACAAAAACTGTTTTTCATACCCCCTCTATTTCCTCAAGATTTTAAACTTTCGCCACTCCCCTCACTTGCAAGGGATGACCACACATCATTTGTCAAGGAGAAAAAGACATGATTGCGTAGGAGTCTCCTCACCCTTCCAATCAAATTGTAAACCTACCTTCTGCAATGCCATCTCGCCTTTCTCCCCGTTGGCATGCAGTGACAGTCCCTCTTCCTGGCACAAGCCAGCCTCCCCACATCCCACTGTGTTGTCTCAAGGAGCTATGCCATTGATGGCCCTTCCCATCTCCTGAAATTCCAACCTCTTCCTTCCATTTCCTCTCGGCATGCAAGCCTCATAAGAATAACAGCGCACGAACAGCCTGCCCTGCGCTCCAGGCTTTCCTCCCATCTCCCTTCAGAGCCAAGCTTCTCCAAAGAGTTATCTTCTTCACATCTGACTTCTCACTTCACTTTGCTTGGGCACAGAACTCTTGCTAAGGCCCCTAGTGACCTCCATGTTGTTGAACCCTGTGGACATCTATGCCCTCATCCTTCTGCCCTCTCCTCAGTATTCAATGTAGCAACCATGTCCTCTCTTCATGGCTCCATAACACTGGTCTTTTTGGTTTCCCCAATAGCGCTAGCTCTCTTTCTCATCTCCTTGCTCCTCCTTTTGTGCATATTGGAGTTATTCAGGGCTTCTTTTCTTCTTACCTGTACAGCCCTCTCTCAGGCAATCTCATCTACGTCTGTGGCTTTTGTTGCCTTGAAGAGTGATCTCTCCTTTGAGAACCAAAGCTGTATAACCTATTCTCTGCTTCATGTAACTACAGAAATATCTTCCCAGCCTCTTAAACTGAACATAAGCTAAAGCAAACTCTTGATCCTACCCTGATCAAGCCTGAAACCTCTCCTAGGCCTTCCCATATGGGAACATGGCACCCTTATTCCTCTGGGTGTCCAGCAGGGAGTTGGGACACAAGAACCCAGTTCTCCTGATTTGTGGTTGGGGCTAAGAGAGGCAGCATTAGTAAAAGCTACATCTATGTACACAGGAATCCTACTTGCACTGTTCATGAGCCCAACCCAGCAGTCTGAAATCTGCTTTAAAATAATGGAACACTTACTTATCTCTTGATTTTCCACAAAGTAGTGGCCCAAAGTAGTACGTCTCCGTGCTCATAACATACTTCTTAAAGATGACCTCATTTGTCTTCATGTCCATCTTCCGCTGAGGAAATACCACTCTGAACACAGGAGGGGAAAAGGTGAGGAGAGGCTGCCTGAACAGAAGTTTGATGCTGCCACGTGATGTTTACATAAACCCAATATTCCCTGCTCAACACGGGATCCGGGCATCTGGAGACAGAGTGACTCTTCTTTGTCCCAGCTCCTTCCCACCACCAGAGAAGACAGTATGAAATGAACTTGAAAAAAAAAGACTCCCAGTGGTGTCTTCTATAATGAGGAGCGGTGACAGAGCTGAGTCAGATATTCTGTCCCAGTGCACCCAGCTGAAAACATTCCTGAGAATCCCTATGGAAAATTGGTTCTGGGAGATATGAATTAGCTTCTGAGTCCCTTGGTCTAATATGGCCAGTTGCTCAGCCAGGTGCTTTTCTGTAGTGTAGGAGCTCTACAGTGGTGTTCAGTAGCTTGGAAAAATTTCACCCATGCAGAGTCACACATGGTTTCTATACTACAGGATAGAACTGCTTTAAATTTGCTTAATAGTTAAATAAGCAAACTAATTTGCCAAAGGAAGACTTTTTTCCTCCCCCTTTGCACCTATGATCATTCTCTTTATTGCAGTCTGGGAATCCTGGTAGTATCATGTCCTCCCTGTGGCTCTTGGTCAATATTCAAGACATGGAAGCTGATACGACAAGAGGGGCTGGGGTGCTGCCCCAGCTCCACGTTATGGTAAGAGCCACCTTGTTCAAAGTGCCATGGAGTAAAATGAAAACACATCTGTCAACCTTTTCTTTTAAAATGAAACACACTTACTTTGGGTCTTGGCAAATGTATGGGTAAGTGCAGATGCCTCGGCAGTAGAGCTGGTACTGGCAGCAAGTTCCTAGGATCTCAAAGTTAAAGGTTTGGTCAAAGTTCCCGAACTCATCAGAAGAGAAGTGCACCTGCAACGTTACCTCGCCATTGGCTGGCACGATCCACCGGAAGTGATTCAGTCTGCAAATGACCACACAGGTTTATAAAGTGAGAGTGCTCCCCTCTGGCCAAGAGAAGACAGGAGAGCTGCCTGGAAGTCCTGTCCTGTTGGGGTAGGCATGGTGGCCCCTGGAGCCCCACAGGCAGGACAGCTCTGTTCCCCTCCAGTGCTGTGACAGTCACACCCTCAGTGTGGGCTTTGGCCCAGATTCCCCTCCCTGGGTTGCTGGAAGGCCCACCTGGTGAATTTCTCCTGGGAGTGCTGCCCGTTGAAGTTGTCCAGGTCTGTATCTGACAGCTGGGAAATGGTTCCAGCAGGTTCCCCAGAAAGGACCTTCCTGTTTAAGGCCATGTGACGCTTGTCTTTCTGACTCTCGAAGACTTGGTCTATCTTTTCTTTCATTTTCTGTTTGCCCCCCTTAGATGAGCTGGTCTGCTCCTCTTGAGCCTTAATTAAAAACGAGCATGAGGTCTTAAATATTCACTTTTTGTACACACACACAGAAGACAGAGATGGCCACATGTCTGTCATCTGGGGAGATGGTGCTGCAGGGTCAGGAAGGCTAGAGCAGGGCAGGGTCTAGTCTTGGGTAGTGACAAGACCAGTGCATTCCTTGGCACCCTAGTCCCTCAGAAGGAGGATGAAACCCTAGAGAAAGCTGGAAGCTGGAGGGTGTGCGTGGAACTCAAGTCTTAGCTCCTGGCAGAACCCACAATGGACAGCGGGGATTGTAGCCTTCTTGGTACCACTAAGCCAGTTATCCCCATCTGCTTGCTGTCTACTTCCTAATATTTTGTTGGCATATACCCCTCACCACCAGCTCTCTCTCCTTCTCTTTATTCTTAGAATTATACGCGAAAAGAAAATCTTACTGTTTTGGGAGAGGTAGAGATAAACATGTGTTTAATCTGCTGTGTTTAATAAGAAGTTCCCATTTTTCTAGTGGTATTTTCATGTTTCCTGATCAAAAAAAATTTTTTGCCTTTAATTTATTTATCATTTCCACCATCTTTTAAAAAAGAAAACTTTAAGAGTTGAAGGCCTGGTACAGTAATAACTAGTTTTAACAGTTGCCACTTTTTCTCCTGAGCCATTTGAAGATACCTTGCAGACATGATGACTCCTTGCCTCTAAATACACCTCCTCAAGAAAGGACTTTCTCCTGCAATCCTGCACAATACTGTCATCACACCTAAGAAAATGAACAATAATTCCACACTATCGTTCTGGCACACAGTCTATATTAAAATTTTCCTATTTGTCTCAGGCATGTCTTTTTTTTTTTTTTTTTTTTTTTTTTTTGAGATAGCGTCTCGCTTTGTCGCCCAGGCTGCAGTGCAGTGGTGCCATCTCAGCTCACTGCAAGCTCCGCCTCCTGGGTTCACGCCATTTTCCTGCCTCAGCCTCCGAAGTAGCTGGGACTACAGGCGCCTGCCACCACGCCTGACTAATTTTGTGTATTTTTAGTAGAGACGGGGTTTCACCATGTTAGCCAGGATGGTCTCGATCTGACCTCGCGATCCACCTGCCTCAGCCTCCCAAAGTGCTGGGATTACAGGCGTGAGCCACCGCGCCTGGCCTCAGGCATGTCTTTATTTATAGACATTGTTTCCCAAATAAGTATTAATCAAAGTTCCTATATTGTGTTTTGTTATGTTTCTTTTTTAATTTTTTATTATTTTTCTATTTTTTATAGGTTATTGGGGTACAGGTGGTATTTGGTTACATGAGTAAGTTTTCTGGTGGCGATTTGTGAGATTTTGGTGCACCCATCACCCGAGCAGTATACACTGCACCCTATTTGTAGTCTTTTATCTCTTGCCCTCTCCCACCCTTCCCCCCAAGTCCCAAAGTCCATTGTATCATTCTTATGCCTTTGTGTCCCCATAGCTTGGCTACCACATATCAGTGAGAACATACGATGTTTCCCATTCCTGAGTTACTTCACTTAGAATAATAGTCTCCGATATCATTCAGGTAGCTGTGAATGCCGTTAATTCATTCCTTCTTATGGCTGAGTAGTATTCCTTTGTGTATACATATACCACAGTTTCTTTATCCACTTGTTGACTGATGGGCATTTGGGATGGTACCACCATTTTGCAATTGTGAATTGTGCTGCTATAAACATGTGTGTGCAAGTATCTTTTTCGTATAATGACTTCTTTTCCTCTGGGTAGATATGCAGTATCTAGATCCAGATCTGCTGGATCAAATTGCAGTTCTACTTTTAGTTCTTTAAGGAATGTCCACATTGTTTTCCATAGTGGTTGTACTAGTTTACATTCCCATCAGCAGTGTAGAAGGGTGTTTCTTGATGCACCGCATCCATGCCAACAGCTACTGTTTTTATTTATTTATTTATTTTTTATTTTTTGATTATGGTCATTCTTGCAGGAGTAAGGTGGTATCACATTGTGGTTTTGATTTGCATTTCCCTGATCATTAGTGATGTTGAGCATTTTTTCATATGCTTGTTGGCCATTTGTATATCTTCTTTTGTGAATTGTCTATTCATGTCTTTAGCCCACTTTTTGATGGGATTATTTGTTTTTTTCTTGCTGATTTGTTTCAGTTCATTGTAGATTCTGGATATTAGTCCTTTGTCAGATGTACAGATTGTGAAGATTTTCTCCCACTCTGTAGGTTGTCTGTTTACTCTGCTGACTGCTACCTTTGCCATGCAAAAGCTCTTTAGTTTAATTAAGTTCCAGCTAATTATCTTTGTTTTAATTGCATTTGCTTTTGGGTTCTTGGTGATAAAATCCTTGCCTAAGCCAATGTCTAGAAGGGTTTTTCCAATGTTATCTTCTAGAATTTTTATAGTTTCAGGTCTTAGATTTAAGTCCTTAATCCATCTTGAGTTGATTTTTGTATAAGGTGAGAGATGAGGATCCAGTTTCATTCTCCTACATGTGGCTAGCCAATTATCCCAGCACCATTTGTTGAAAAGGATGTCCTTTCCCCACTTTATGTTTTTGTTTGCTTTGTCGAAGACCAGTTGGCTGTAAGTATTTGGGTTTCTTTCTGGGTTCTCTATTCTGTTCCATTGGTCTATATGCCTATTTTTATATCAGTAACATGCTGTTTTGGTGACTATGGCCTTATAGTATAGTTTGAAATCAGGTAGTGTGATGCCTCCAGATTTGTTCTTTTTGCTTAGTCTTGCTTTGGCTATGTGGGCTCTTTTTTGGTTCCATATGAATTTTATAATTTTTTCCTAATTCTGTGAAGAATGATGGTGGTATTTTGATGGAAATTGCGTTGAATTTGTAGATTGCTTTTGGCAGTAAGGTCATTTTCACAATATTGATTCTACCCATCCATGAGCATGAGATGTTTCCATTTGTTTGTGTCATCTATGATTTCTTTCAGCAGTGTTTTGTAGTTTTCCTTGCAGAGGTCTTTCACCTCCTTGGTTAGGTATATTCCTAAGTATTTTATTTGTTTTTTTGCAGCTATTGTAAAAGAGGTTGAGTTATTGATTTGATTCTCTGCTTGGTCATTGTTGGTGTATAGAAGAGCTACTGATTTGTGTACATTAATTTTGTATCCAGAAACTGCTGAATTCTTTTGTCAGTTCTAGGATCTTTCTAGGGAGTCTTCAGGGTTTTCAAAGTAAATGACCATGTCATCAGCAAACAGTGAGAGTCTGACTTCCTCTTTGCTGATTTGGATACCCTTTATTGCTCTCTCTTGTCTGATTGTTATGGCGAGGATTTCCAGTACAATGTTGAAGAGGAGTGATGAGAGTGGGCATCCTTGTCTTGTTCCAGTCCTTGGAGGGAACACTTTCAACTTTTCCTCATTCAGTATTATGTTGGCTTTGGGTTTGTCACAGATGGCTTTTTTTACATTGAGGTGTGTTCCTTGTATGCTGATTTTGCTGAGAGTTTTAATCATAAAGGGATGTTGGATTTTGTCAAAGGCTTTTTCTGCATCTATTGAAATGATCATGTGATTTTTGTTTTTAATTCTGTTAATGTGGTATATCACATTTATTGACTTGCATATGTTAAACCATCCCTGAATCCCTGGTATGAAACCCACTTGATCATTGTGGATTAACTTTTTGATATGCTGTTGGATTTGATTAGCTAAATGTTAAGGATTTTGGTTAGCTAAATGTTAAGGATTTTAGCATCTATGTTCATCAGGCATATCGGCCTGCAGTTTTCTTTTTTTGGTTGTGTCCCTTCCTGGTTTTGGAATTAGGGTGATGCTGGCTTCGTAGAATGAATTAGGGAGGGTTCCCTCTTTCTCTATCTTGTGGAATAGTGTCAATAGGATGGGTATCCATTCTTCTTTGAATGTCTGGTAGAATTCTGCTGTGAATCCATCTGGTCCTGGACTTTTTTTTGGTGGTAATTTTTAAATTACCATTTCAATCTCACTGCTTGTTACTGGTCAGTTCAGGGTATCTAGTTCTTCCTGATTTAAGCTAGGAGGGTTGTATTTTTCCAGGAGTTTATCCATCTCTTCCAGGTTTCCTAGTTTGTGAGTGTAAAGGTGTTCATAGTAGCCTTGAATGATCTTTTGTATTTCTGTGGTGTCAGTTGTAATATCTCCTGTTTGTTTCTTATTGAGGTTATTTGGATTTTTCTCTCTTCTTTTCTTGGTTAATCTTGCTAACGGTCTATCAATTTTATTTATCTTTTCAAAGAACCAGCTTTTTGTTTCATTTATCTTTCGTATTGCTTTTTTTTTTGTTTCAATTTCATTTAGTTCTGCTCTGACCTTGGTTATTTCCTTTCTTCTGCTGGGTTTGGGTTTGATTTGTTCTTGTTTCTCTAGTTCCTTGAGGTGTGACCTTAGATTGGCAGTTAGTGCTCTTTCAGTCTTTTTGATGCGGGCATTTGGGGCTATGAGCTTTCTGCTTAGCATCACCTTTGCTGTATCCCAGAGATTTTGATAGCTTGTGTCATTCAGTTCCATGAAGTTTTAAATTTCCATCTTGATTTTGTTTTTGACCCACTGATCATTCGGGAGCAGGTTATTTAATTTTCATGTATTTGCATGGCTTTGAAGGTTCCTTCTGGAGTTGATTTCCAGTTTTATTCCACTGTGGTCTGAGAGAGTGCTTGATATAATTTCAATTTTCTTAAATTTATTGAGGCTCATTTTGCGGCCTATCATATGGTCTATCTTGGAGAAAGTTCCATGAACTGTTGAGTAGCATGTGTATTCTGTGGCTGTTGGATGGAATGTTCTGTATGTATCTGTTAAGTCCATTTGTTCCAAGTTATAGTTTAAATTCATGTTTCTTTGTTGACTTTCTGTCTTGATGGCCTGTCTTGTGCTGTCAGTGGAGTACTGAAGTCCCCCACTATTATTGTGTTGCTGTCTATCTCATTTCTTAGGTCTATTAGTAATTGTTTTACAAATTTGGGAGCTCCAGTGTTAGGTGCATCTGTGTTTAGGACTGTGGTATTTTCTGGTTGGACAGGGCTTTTACCATTATATAATGTCCCTCTTTGTCTTTTTAAACTGCTGTTGCTTTAAAGCTCATTTTGTCTGATATAAGAATAGCTGTCCCTGCTCTCTTTTGGTGTCCATTTGCATGAAAGCCTTTTTCCACCCTTTTACTTTATGTGAGTCCTTATATGTTAGGTGAGTCTCTTGAAGGCAGCAGATAGTTGGTTGGTGAATTCTTATCCATTCTGCAGTTCTGTATCTTTTAAGTAAAGCATTCAGGCATTTACATTCAATGTTAGTATTGAGATGTGAGGTACCATTCCATTAATTGTGCTATTTGTTGCCTGTGTACCTTGGTTTTTTGCTTTTTTGTTTTTTTTTAATTGTATTTTTGTTTTATAGGTCCTGTGAGGTTTATGCTTTAAAGAAGCTCTGTTTTGATGTGTTTCCAGGATTTGTTTCAAGATTTAGAGCTCCTTTTAGCAGTTCTTATAATACTGGCTTGGTAGTGGCAAATTCTCTCAGCATTTGTTTGTCCAAAAAAGACTGTATCTTTCCTTCATATACGATGCTTAGTTTTGCTGGATACAAAATTCTTGGCTGATACTTCTTTTGTTTGAGGAGTCTGAAGATAGGGCCCCAATCCCTTCTATCTTGTAGGGTTTCTGCTGAGAAATCTGCTGTTAATCTGATAGGTTTTCCTTTGTTGATTATGTTGTTTTTGTCTCACAGCTCTTAAGATTCTTTCCTTCGTCTTAACTTTAAATAAGCTGATGACAATGTGCCTAGGTGATGATCTTTCTGTGATGAATTTTCCAGGTGTTCTTTGTGCTTCTTGTATTTGGATGTCTAGGTCTCTAGCAAGGCTGGGGAAGTTTTCCTCGATTATTCCCCCAGATATGTTTTCCAAACTTTTAGATTTCTCTTCTTCCTCAGGAACACTGATTATTCTTAGGTTTGGTCATTTAACATAATCCCAGACTTCTTGGAGGCTTTGTTCATATTTTCTTATTCTTTCTTCTTTGTCTTTGTTGGATTGGGTTAATTAGAAGATCTTGTCTTTGAGCTCTGAATTTCTTTCTTCTACTTGTTCAATTCTATTGTTGAGACTTTCCAGAGCATTTTGCATTTCTCTAAGTGTGTTCAATATTTCCTGAAGTTTTGATTGTTTTTTATTTATGCTGTGTATTTCATTGAATATTTCTCCCTTCACTTCTTCTATCATTTTTTGGATTTTCTGGAACTGGGCTTCACCTTTCTCTGGTTACTCTCTGATTGGCTTAATAACTAACCTCCTGAATTCTTTTTCAGGTAAATCAGGGATTTCTTCTTGGTTTGAATCCATTGCTAGTGAGCTACTGTGATTTTGGGGGGCTACTAAAGGGTCTTGTTTTGTCATATTATCAGAGTTGGTTTTCTGGTTCCTTCTTATTTGGGTAGGCTCTGTCAGAGGGAAAGTCTATGGCTGAAGGCTGTTGTTCAGATTCTTTTGTCCCACAGGGTGTTCCCTTGATGTAGTATGCTCCCCCTTTTCCTATGGATGTGGCTTCCTGAGAGCCGAGCTGTGCTGATGGTTATCTCTCTTCTGGGTCTAGCCACCCAGCAAGTCTACCAGGCTCTGGGCTTGTACGGGGGTTGTCTGCACAGAGTCCTGTGATGTGAAACATCTATGGGTCTCTCAGTCATGGACACCAGCACCTCTTCTGGCGGAGGTGGCAGGGGGGTGAAATGAACTCTGTGAGGATTCTTAGCTTTGGTGGTTTAATGCTCTATTTCTGTGCTGGTTGGCTTCCTGATGGGAGGGGGCACTTTCCAGAGACCATCAGCTGTGGTAATATGGAGAGGAAGGAACCAGTGGTGGGTAGTGCCCTAGAACTCCCAAGAATATATGCCCTTTGTGTTCAGGTACCAGGGTGGGTAGGGAAGGACCATCAGTTGGGGACAGGGCTAGGCATGTCTGAGCTCAGACTCTCTTTGGGCTGGTCTTGCTGTGGCTGCTGTGGAGGATGGGGGTGAGGTTCCTAGGTCAATGGAGTTATGTACCTAGGAGGATTATGCCTCCCTCTGCTGAGTCGTGCAGGTTGTCAGGGAAGTGGGCAAAAGCCAGCAGTTACAGGCCTCACGCAGCTCCCATGCAATCCAAAGGGCTGGTCTTACTCCCACCATGCCCCCACCAACAGCATTGAGTCTGTTTCCAGGCAGTGGGCAAGCAGGGCTGAGAACTTGCCCCAGGCTACCCACCACCCAGCTGTGAAAGCAAGTATGGCTTTAGTTCTTCCCCTGCCTGTGGAGTCTGCATGCTGGATTTGTGCCCTTCCCAGAGTCCTGGCCAGGAGGCTTCTCGTCCAGTTCAAATTGTTACAAAGTTCAGCTGGAGACTTCCTTCTCCCTGTGGCATTTTCCCTGGGCCTCTGGCTGTCCTCCTGAAAGATCCCTGTGATGCCAGACAGGAATGGCCTGCTTGGGGACCTAGGGAGCTCCCAGGGCCTTTCCTGCTGCTTCCTCTAACCCTGTATTTTGCTCAACTCTCTAAATTGACTCAGCTCCAGGTAAGGTTGGAATCTTCTCCTTTAAACTAGACCTTCAGTTTCCCCAGTTGGGGTGTGTATCCAGGGGCGGAGGATCTTCCTTTCCCACTTCTGCAGTTTGGGCACTCACAGTATTTGGGGTGTCTCCTGGGTCCTGCAGGAGCAGTCTGCTGCTTGCTTCAGAGGGTCTGTGGTTCCCTTCAGGTTTCTTGATTTATTCCTGCAGTTGTTCTGGAGCTAAAATTCACAATGCGAGACTTGCTGCTCTGTCCACCCGAGTTGGAGTTGCATCCAGTCCTGCCTCCTGTCTGCCATGATCTCTTATGTTTCTTTAGTATCTTTCAATCTAGACCCTCCTGCCCCCTCTCCCAATCACACTGCCTTTTTAGAGAGACCAGATTTGTGTTCTTACAAAATACTCCATAGTCTGAATTCTTCTGAGCATTCTTACGTGCCATTTCTTTTTCTTTTCTTTTTCTCTTTCTCTCTTTTTCCTTCCTTCCTTCCTTGCTTCCTTCCTCTGTTTTTCTTTCTTTCTTTCCCCTCTCTCTCTTCTATTCCTTCCGTCTTTCTTTTCTTTTTCTTTTGAGACAGGATCTCACTCTATTGCCCAGGCTGGAGTGCAGTGGTGCCATCTCAACTCACTATAACTCTGACTCCAGGGCTCAAGCGATCCTCCCACCTCAGCCTCCTGAGTAGCTGGGACTACAGGTGCATGCCACCATGCCCGGCTAATTTTTGTATTTTTTGTAGAGATGGGGTTTCACCATATTCCCAGGGTGGTCTCAAACATCTGGGCTCAAGCAATCTGCCCACCTCAACCTCCCAAAGTGTGGGGATTACAGGCGTGAGCCACAGTGCCCAGCCGGCTGATTTTCACAATAAGGGGTTGATGGCAAGTTTTTCTTCTTTATCTTTTCAATTTGAAATGTCACCAGGGACTCTCTGCTTGGGTGAGGCATGCCCACCGACGCTACTGATCTCAGATGTTGATTTCCTTCTTCCTTGTAAACTGAGGTTTGGAGTAGTCTCTATCCCCAATTTACATGTAAGCAGGACTTATAGGTGAAGTTACGAGCTCTCTTTGCTGATGTGCATGGTTTATAGAAGGCTGTGTGCAGAGATTCAAATTGTGGACCACCCTTCTCCTCTGGGAATAAAAAAACCTTCTATAATTTTAAATATACACACTTGCTGCATATTATTGGTCAAATTTATTTTTCTTGTGATTTATTCTATTAATTGCATATATTTTCTTCTATTTCTGCACAATTTTATTTTGATTATTTATATTTTAACCCAGCTGGAATGTATTTTACTGTATTGTGTCACAAACAGTGACTTTACCCCAAACATCCAATCTTCCCATCCTAATTTCTTTAATAATTTATCCTTTCTGCAGTGGCGCATGTCCCCTTAACTTGTGTGTGTTGATTCTTATATTCTTACACACTATGCGAATCACCTTAGCTTCAAAACACATTTTTATGTTTTAAAAAAGATTAGATATCTTTTTAAGAGTGCTAGTTTTGCTTATTTTCTTACTGTGGATGTGCTGCAGAGTAACTTGACAAGTTCCCTAAACCCTCCAATGGGGACTGCAAAGGTTGTTAGGTGAGAATCAATCATTATCCGTTTCCTCTTAGGAGGTAGGACAAGTCAGAGCCAGGGAAGGTGCAGTCCAGGGATGCTCACATGAGGTTTTCAGGTAGGATCCCCAACGAGTCAAGGGAAAATAACCCAGTGAGCAGAACACCTCATGCCAGGCTCCATTTTTGGTCTGGTGGAGGGTGACCTTCTCTCCCTGCCTGCTGAAGTCCTGCCAAGGTTAGGAGAATAAACTGCTCATGTGTTACCTTTGTAGTGTTTGTGGTGGCCAAAAAGTCTGATTCTATTTCCATTTCTTTTTTTTCATCCAGAGATATATCTTCGGATGGTGGGATCACAAATACAAAATGCTCCAGGTCGTCTGTCATGGTCAAAGGTGGCCGCTTCACCGGGTAGGAGACGATTGAGAATAAGGCGGGAGGCGGGATGGGTGGTCCGGAGGCACCCAGACCCAAGATGTCTAGGATCTAAAGGAAAGGCCCATTGTGAATTTCCTGTGCAAAACCCTATGCCTCTCTTACCATAGCCTTTGTTACACTTTATGGCAATTGTTTAATTGTCTGCCTTTGCAACTGGGCTGTAAACTCCATTAGGATGGTTAGCAGGTGGATATGGCACACAGCCTAGCACATAGCAGGCAATCAATAAATCTCTGTTTAATATGAAGAGGCCAGCTCTTAACGTTCTAATATCTAGAGTACAGAGTTTTTCCATCTATTTTCAGATTCCATGTTAATTTTTCTTTTTGCGTTAAATGTTCCTTCCTTCCAAGGTGAAAGAAAGTTGGGATAGGAGCAAGTCAAATGCAGCAAAGAAAATAATAAAGCAAAGGTTCTGGGACTGGGGATGAGAATGGGAATGAAGAGAGAAGTGAAAAATAACCTGAGAGAGAAAACATTTATTCCTCCAGCATTTTCCCATCCTGCTCTCATATATAATGAATGAGCAATTTCCAGAGCAAATGGTTTGAAAATTTAACAGCTACTTCCTGCCTCAGAATAAGCATGTTGCCTCTAGACTAATAGCCATTATCACAACAGTAAAGGTTACAGCCCACCTGAGGGCCCAGCCTGTGGACCACTGGGCCTGTGAGGCCCAGCAAGTAACTAAATATCTTCATGTAATCCTGTGCTTCTCATCCTGTGTGTCAAGGAGCTAAAGGCATTTCCTGACAAATACGCAGCTGAGTTAACTCCCAGGATTTAGAATGTCTATGAGGAAAGGCAAGAATGATTTGTAGCAATTGTTGAATTACCAGAGCCAGGGAGTTCTTCAAGCAGCAGTCTAACCTATGATTTGGAAGGTGGAGAGTACAAAACAAGGCAAGAAGATGTTCTTGTTATAGTCCTTTTTTTAAAAAAAAAAAAACATTTCCAGGGAAAAAATCACAATTCCTTAGCTAAGGCTGGCCTGAGGTGAAACTGGGAAGGGCGTAGAGCTGATGTTGTGTGTCCCCCAGCAGTCCTTCCCGCCTGTGGTGCCACCCGGGACCACTGTGGCAAGGCTTCTACTGTGGGCCGCGGCACATGGAAGTCACATGGATTGCAGGGATGACTCTGATCCTCCCATCATCCCTGACCTGCCACATATCCCTCCCAGGCTCTAGTCTCTACTTTTAAAAGTTGACTCATGCCTGTAATCCCAGCACTTTGGGAGGCTGAGGCTGATCATTTAAGGTCAGGAGTTTAAGACCAGCCTGACCAACATGGTGAAACCCTGTCTCTACTAAAGATCCAAAAAAATTAGCTGGTCGTGCTGGTGCATGCCTATAGTCCCAGCTACTTAGGAGGCTGAGGCAGGAGAATCGCTTGAACACCAGAGGCAGAGGTTGCAGTGAGCTGATATTGTGCCACTGCACTCCAGCCTGGGCAACAGAGTGAGACTCCATCTCAAAAAAAAAAAAAAGAAAAAAAGAAAAAAAGTTGCATCTAGTTTGTCATGAACGAAACCAGAGGGCAGCAAACTGTGGTGCCCTGGCTGAATCTGGCCTGCTACTTTTTCTAAATAAACTTGAATTGGAACACGGCCATGCCCATTCATTTACATGTTGCTGGTGGTCACTTTTACCCTCTGAAGGCCAAGTGGAGTAGTTTTGATAGAAGTGGTATCACCCGCAGCCTAAAATGCTTACTTTCTGGTCCTTTACAGAAAAAACCTGTCCCTGGAGAAAAGGCTATAATAAGCCTCTCCTCCAAACTGCTAGCAAAGGTGGCTTTTGGATACACAATACTTTTGTTTATAGGAAAGAAGAGCTGTCTTATAGGATAATTTCTGTCACTGTGGGAGGTCTGTGGGAAGATTTTGGAGTGGATGGGTCTCCTGCTTCACCCCAAAGCCTCACCTGCCTTGCCATTCTGTAGCACCCATATTATCAATATTAAAAACCAACCATTACAGGTGGCTTCCCATAAGGTTGGATGGACTAATCTAGATGTGTGACATTTCCTATGAATTTTCTCTTGCCAAGTAGAAAAGGTCCTTTAGTCATTATTGTCTTAATTCCAAGGGGGCATCAGAGATGCATGCAGTTGAGGGGATATGGGTTTCAGGTAGGGAGAAGCACCCCTGATGATCTTAGCACAGCGCCTGCCGCCTGACTTGAGACTTCCCCACCCTGGAGGAGAGTCCATACCTGCTCTCCTTTGGGAAGCCTGTCGCTCTCTAGGGCCTGCTTCCAGCTCAAGCCTTCAAAGTCTGGTGTCTGGATGTTAAGGAAGGGTACGCCCAGGTCCTTCTCCTTCTTCTCTTCGTGGTCCTCCTCCCCTTCCCCCTCCCAGTCGCTCCGCTCCTCCAGGGCTCGCAGCTTCTCCAGGCGCTCCCGCTCCGCCTTCTCCCTCTCCAGGCGCTCCTTCTCCAGGCGCTCTCTCTCCCGGTCCTTGCGGCCCCTGCGCCCACCCGAGGGGACCTGGCGCTGGTCGTCGGGCTCATGGGGAGCTTCCTCCATCCCTGCAGGAGGCAGCTGGACTCCTTGCTTCCGGTCCCAGTACATGAGGATGTTCTGGACATCCTTCAGTGTCAATTCATAGGTCTTAAACTTCTGGGCCAGTTGCTTGTCGGGGTCCTTTGAGATGTCCCCTTCACTGTCCTCTTGGTCCTGGACAAGAGGAAGCCCATGCATGCTGACATCGCCCATGTTCCTTTTCTTCTTATTTAGCTCTTCCTTCTCAGACATTGTTTGTTCCCTAACAGATATTTTCCTTTCGATTGTCTCCATCTTGACATCCACTTTGGTGAGCGGAGGAACCTAGAAGGCATGACACAGAAAAGATGCGTCAAACAGTTTTTTACGGGGTAGTAAATTGCATAAGGAGGAGCGAAAGGACATTTTGTCTCATGAGAAGGTCTCCGAGGATCTGGGCACCTCCCCTGCACGCTAAGGTTGTGCCTGGGAATCATCTTGGGGGTTTTAATCTAAATATCTATTCCATGGTCCCTCTCTGTTTGAGATCTGGCTGGATTGTGCATTTTGGAAAAGGTGCAGAGTGACTTTGATGTGTACTCCTGGTTGAGAGCTGCTGTTCTGCAGGATCAAGGGGAAAAGACTAGCAGATGCAAGCCATATGCACCTGCCTCAGGTGCCCTGGTATAGGCCACAGCGTGTAGTGGTCCAATCCCAGCTGCACTGCTTGGTAGCTGTGACCCTGGGAGAGGACTCAGCCTCTCTCTGCCTCATCTGTATAACGGAGATAGCAACATTAATACCTACTCCAGAGGACTCCTGAAGATTAAATGTGTGAATGCATGTAAAAAGCTTACAACAGTGCCTTTTCAGTTATTAAAACCACACATGTATTGTATACAATGGATATTGTTGGGAACAAATGGGGGTTTAGAATTTGGCTGCACCTCAGGCTTTTAAAATATGTATTTATTTAATGCTCTGAGCATAGAGAAACCAATTTTATTCTTTTTCTTACTGCACTTTTAAACTTGTTTTGTGGACTCTGATTTTCTCCTCCCCTGGATAAAATCCTCGGGTAGGCTCCATCGTTTTTTGGGTCATTCTTTGATGATATTATGCAAAGTCCATTCCAGTCTAGTGACTGCTATCTGCAGTGCAGCCAGTGTCTCCTTTCCCAGGTCTAGCTCTCCTCCTCTCTAAGTTCAGGCCAGCATCAGGCTTGGAGACATGAACGACCAGGGGCTGGCTTTTCCCCTCATCTTGCTGCCCTTCCTCCTTCTTTGCTTCTCCATCTCCAACACAGCCTGGGGAGGCAGCAACACTGCAGGCTGGCACGGTGCCTCATGTGGGGGAGGCAGGGACTTGGCTCCTATTCCTTCATGCTCTGCCAAGACACCTGGGTTTGCATGGAAGATGGGGCCCAGTGAGGGAAGGACTTGTACTTGCAAGACTGTGGGAGCCCAGCGTAGAGCAGCTGGAGGCTAACAGTAAACTATGAAGAATATGGACAATTTTAACAATATGATTAATGGACTTGGGCAAATAGATGCAGAAAGAAAATACACACACTATTCAAACACACGTGGAACATTAACAGAAACCAGTCACCGATGAGGCCACACAGCAAGGCTCCACAGATGCAAAAGATCAATATGACATAGAGCATGTACTCTGCGGATAGTTATCAAAATCAGGACTAAAAAGAGAAGGCAAAATGAAGCTGTTCATTTGGAAATTAGAAAATATACTTGGAAATAATTCATGGATTAAAGAAGCAGCCATAAAGGAGAGTAGAAAATATTTAGAATTGAACAATGAAAACACTGAATATCAACAAATGAGGACTATATCTAAAACAGTTTGGAAGTTTATATGTCTTTAAATGCTTTTATAACCTATTTTTTTTTTTTTTTAGACAAGCTGGAGTGTAGTGGTATGATCACAGCTTACTGTGGCCTCAATTTTCTGGGCTCGGTAATTCTCCCACCTCAGCCTCCCAAGTAGCTTGGGACTACAGGCATGTGCCACCATGCCTGGCTAATTTTTAATTTTTTTGTAGAGACACAGTTTTGCCATGTTGCCCAGGCTGGTCTTGAACCCCTGAGTTCAATTGATCTGCCTGTCTCAACCTCCCAAAGTGTTGGGATTACAGGCATAAGCCACTATGCCTGGCCCCTTTTATAACTTTTCATAAATTGCAAAAGAAAAACGATTGAAAATTAATAAGATAAGCATCACTTCAAGAAGTTAGAAAAAGAACGGAATAATAACACAAATAAAGTAGAAAGAAGGGGCCAGGCACGGTGGCTTACAACTGTAATCCCAGCACTTTGGGAGGCCGAGGTGGGCAGATCACCTGAGGTCAGGAGTTCTAGACCAGCCTGGCCAACATGACGAAAGCCCATTTCTACTAAAAACACAAAAATTAGCCAGGCATGGTGGTGGGCACCTGTAATCTCAGCTACTTGGGAGGGTGAGGCAGGAGAATTGCTTGAACCCGGGAGGTGGAGGTTGCAGTAAGCTGAGATTGCACCACTGCACTCCAGCCTCGGCAACAAGAGTGAAACTCCATCTCCAAAAAAAAAAAAAAAAAAAGAAAGAAGGATATTATTAAAAAATAAGAACAGGCCAGGTGTGGTGGCTCAAGCCTGTAATCCCAGCACTTTGGGAGGCCGAGGTGGGCGGATCACGAGGTCAGGAGATCTAGACCATCCTGGCTAACACGGTGAAACCCCGTCTCTACTAAAAAATACAAAAAAAAAAAAAAAAATTAGCTGGGTGTGGTGGCAGGTGCCTGTAGTCCCAGCTACTCGGGAGGCTGAAGCAGGAGAATGGCATGAACCAGGGAGGCAGAGCTTGCAGTGAGCCGAGATCATGCCACTGCACTCCGGCCTGGGCGACAGAGCAAGACTCTGTCTCAAAAAAAAAAAAAAAAAGAACAGAAACTAATGAAACAGAAAACATAAAATGAAGATAATCCACAAAGGCAAAAGTTGTTTCTTTGGAAAGATAATAAAAATGACAAACTTCTAGTAAGGTTGATTGAGGAAAAACAAAGAGAAAGGTACAAATAAACAACGTGTGAAATGTCCGAGAGGACATAATAGAAATAATACAAGTATAACAGAAATAATGGAAGAGGTTAAAAAGATAGTAAGACAAAACCATTAATTTCCTCATGCCAATAAATGTGAAAATCTGATAAAAAATTAATACTTTTTCAGAAAATCATGAATGACCAAATTAACTCGGAAAGCAAAAGGTAAAAGCTGAATAAACATTTAAGCCCCAAACAAACTGATTCAATAATGTAATATGTAACCCACTGTGTGGTCCTACCAAAGAAGAAAAAGAAATACAATCATGTCAATGGATGCAGAAAAATCACTTGATAAAATTCCACACCCACAAGTAGAAAATCTTTACAAAACGTTTTGAAAACCTATGTGTCTGAAAGCACTGGAGAGCCACAAAGGCAGTCATGAGTTGCAGGCTAAGATCTGGGAGAGGAGACAAATACAGAGAAGTGGGCCCAGCATTTGGGGCTGCTCTTCCCTCGAGGGTATTTGTAGCTGACAGTGTGGTTGAGAAGCTGAGCAAAACTTCTGACAGACTCATGGGGCTGGGGTTCAAAAATTAAGACTCCAGGCCTGCCAAGGAAAAGAGGTCCTGGTAAATCCCCTGGCCTTTGGGTTAGGTCTCCGAAAGGCTCCATATTAGGAATAAGGGTCAACCTGTCCTTTGCAGGGACATGGATGAAGCTGGAAGGCTATTATCCTCAGCAAACTAATGCAGGAACAGAAAACCAAATATTACGTGTTCTGCCTTATAAGTGGGAGCTGAATGATGAGGACACATGGACACATGGGTCAGGGGACAATACACACTGTGGTCTGTCAGGGGTTGGGGGGCAGGACGAGGGAGAGCATCAGGAAGAATAGTTAATAAACGCTGGGCCTAACATCTAGGTGATGGGATGATCTGTGCAGCAAACCATGGCGGCACACGTTTACCTATGTAACAAACCTGCACATCCTGCACGTGTACCCCCGTACTTAAAATAACAGTGGAAAAAAGAAAAAGAAAAAGAAAAAAAAGGTCCACCTGAAATAGCCCCGCCCTCCCAGGGACTGAAGCTCAGTTTAAAATGATCTCAGTCCTGATTGAGTCAAGGTTTCTAGTGCTCCTAGCCTAGCTGACTGCCAGCATCAAACAGTGATTCTCTCTGGAGGGAGACAACATCTTCCAGAGCCTCAAAACGTTTTTTCTGTTCAATATCTGGCCCTTGATAAAAACCTGGGGTGGGCATGGTGGCTCATGCCTGTAATCTCAGCAGTTTGGGAGGCTGAGATGGGAGGATTGCTTGAGGCCAGCAGTCCTAGACCAGCCTGGGCAAGCAAGACCCCTATCTTTAAAAAAAACACTTGGCATCTTTCTACATATGGTTAGCCAGTTTTCCCAGCACCATTTATTAAATAGGGAATCCTTTCCCCATTGCTTGTTTTTCTCAGGTTTGTCAACTGGATCCCTTCCTTACACCTTATACAAAAATCAATTCAAGATGGATTAAAGACTTAAACATTAGACCCAAAACCATAAAAACCCTAGGAGAAAACCTAGGCATTACCATTCAGGACATAGGCATGGGCAAGGGCTTCATGTCTAAAACACCAAAAGCAATGGCAACAAAAGCCAAAATTGACAAATGGGATCTAATTAAACTAAAGAGCTTCTGCACAGCAAAAGAAACTACCATCAGAGTGAACAGGCAACCCACAAAATGGGAGAAAATTTTCGCAACCTACTCATCTGACAAAGGGCTAATATCCAGAATCTACAATGAACTCAAACAAATTTACAAGAAAAAAACAAACAACCCCATAAAAAGTGGGCGAAGGACATGAACAGACACTTCTCAAAAGAAGACATTTATGCAGTCAAAAAACACATGAAAAAATGCTCATCATCACTGGCCATCAGAGAAATGCAAATCAAAACCACAGTGAGATATCATCTCACACCAGTTAGAATGGCAATCATTAAAAAGTCAGGAAACAACAGGTGCTGGAGAGGATGTGGAGAAATAGGAACACTTTTACACTGTTGGTGGGACTGTAAACTAGTTCAACCATTGTGGAAGTCAGTGTGGCGATTCCTCAGGGATCTAGAACTAGAAATACCATTTGACCCAGCCATCCCATTACTGGGTATATACCCAAAGGACTATAAATCATACTGCTATAAAGACACATGCACACGTATGTTTATTGCGGCACTATTCACAATAGCAAAGACTTGGAACCAACCCAAATGTCCAACAATGATAGACTGGATTAAGAAAATGTGGCACATATACACCATGGAATACTATGCAGCCATAAAAAATGATGAGCTCATGTCCTTTGTAGGGACATGGATGAAATTGGAAATCATCATTCTCAGTAAACTATTGCAAGGACAAAAAACCAAACACCGCATGTTCTCACTCATAGGTGGGAATTGAACAATGAGAACACATGGACACAGGAAGGGGAACCTCACACTCTGGGGACTGTTGTGGGGTGGGGGGAGAGGGGAGGGATAGCATTAGGAGATATACCTAATGCTAAATGACGAGTTAATGGGTGCAGCACACCAGCACGGCACAGGTATACATATGTAACTAACCTGCACATTGTACACATGTACCCTAAAACTTAAAGTATAATAATAAAAAAAAAATACTTGGCATCTAAAGAGACAAAACCATGTGACCATAAAGCAAGAGCAAAAGACAGACGGGAGACCAGACTGCTGGGGATCTACGTATGGCACTATAAGACAAGGACTTTAAAACATATTTAATATGCTGAGGGAATTAAGACACTATTGAGAAGTGAGAATTTTAAAGAGAACTAGAAATAGTAAGAAAAGAATTAATGGCTTTTTAATGCAATAACAAAATGAAAAACTGAAAGGAAGTTTGAATAGCAGGTTAGACCTCACTGAAAAAAAGACAGTGAACTAGACCGTATGTCAGAAGAAAATATTCAGTATAAAGAGAGGACAAAAGTATGTAGAACATAGAAAAAGCACAACGGACATATATTACTGTGAAAGGTTTGCAAAAAGGCCTAGCACATTTATGATTGGAATCCTAGATGGAGAGGAGAGAAAGAATGGAGAAGAAATCTGGAAGAGTTAGTGGCTAATGGTTCCCAGCCCACATATTCAAGAATCACTATAAACCCCAAGTAGGATAAAATACAAAGAAAACCACACCTAGGCAAATCATAGTAAATTACTGAATGAAGACTCGACATCTTAAAGGTGTTGAGACCTTAAAAACAAAGAGAAACATCTTAAAGGCAGTTAGAGTCAGAATGAGGTAGGAGGCGGGGCTCAGACACTGGACCAGATTGAGGACTCGCTAAAACAGGGTGGGGGTGGAAACAGCTTTCCAATCAGACATGCCCACCAGTGTGCCATGTCAATATATCACTGCCATGGCAACACCCAGGAGTTACCACCCCTTTCAGGGCAATGACTCAATGACCCAAAAGACCTCTTCCCTAGAAATTTCTGCTATACTGCCCCTTCATCTGCATGCAACTACAGTCGTATAAATACTACTGTAAACTGTCCTGGGCTGCTACTCTCTGCCTACAGGGTAGCCCTGCTGGGCAGGAGCAGTCAAAGTGCTGGGCAGGAGCAGTCACAGAACGGTCACACTGCCTCTTCAATAAAGCTGTTTTCTTCTACCTCCAGCTTGCCCTTGAATACTTTCCTGGGCAAAGCCAAGAACCCTCCGGGCTAAGCCCCACTGTGGGGCTCACCTGCCCTGCATCAAGGCTAACACAGAAGGAGCACAATCATGCTGACAGCCGACATCTCAACAGCCACATGGAAGACAAAGATAGAAAAATAATATCATCAAAGTGCTGAAGAAAAATGGCTGGCAACCTAGAGGCCTGCCTAGAAAAAAACACCCTCGAAACATCAAGGTGAAGTAAAGACATTTCGGACAAGCAAAACTTGAGTAATTTGTTGCCAAAGAACCTGTACCTAAAAAAAAAAACAGACACCCAGGAATGTTCTTTAGGTAAAAGAAAACAGACACAAGAGATGTAGAAAGCAGTTAAAGAGTGTTTAGGAGGGTGCTGAGAAATGCATATTGATAAATATTGATAAATGGGCATTTAGGTAAAAATAAATGCAAATTGATTGTTTTAATCAATAATGTTTGTGCATTAAAAAATATATAGTGAGAATTCAAATACATAACTACATTAGCATATAATTTAGAAGAGGGTAGCACTTTGGGAGGCCGAGGCGGGTGGACTGCTTGAGCCCGGGAGTTTGAGAACAGCTTGGGCGACATGGCAAAACCACATTTCTACAAAAAAATTAGCCAGACGTGGTGGTGCACGCCTGCAGTCCCAGCTACTCGGGAGGCTGAGGTGGGAAGATCACCTGAGCCTGGGGGAGATCAAGGCTGCAGTGAGTGGTGATCACGCCAAGCACTCCAGCCTAAAAAAAAAACAAAAAACAAAAAACAGGGTCAATGGGTCCATGTGGTTAAATGAGGTTAAATTATTCTAAGACTCTTGCATCTTCAACAGAAACACTTGAAGGTGATGGCTGAGGAAAATAAGACTCTTTCTAGTCTATTAACACACTATTTAGTCAAGTGATTACATGGATCAAATTTCCACTAGGCTTTGTTCAATTGTACTTTAGTAAATAACAGCCAATACAAAAGAAACCATTGATCCAAAATATAAACATAAAGGTAAACTTTCTTTTTAAGGAATAACATTTGGGAGAAATTTGCTTTTATAGATTTGGAGTAAGAAATGATGGCTGGCAAGGGCTTATTTGAGGGAGGAAGGCAAATTGAGAGGGATGGAATTGGGTTTAAGATTGAGCTGGAGGATAGAGAGGAAGATTTTTGACAGAAAAGAGAAAGAAGAAGGAAGCAAAGGAAAGTTCAAAGTAGAAACAAGGACGATGGCCAGATGCAAGGCTTTCTTCTTCTTCAGTGAGAAATCATCATCCATTTGTTTAAAACAGGATTATTTTTGTTGGGCGCGGTGGCTCACGCCTGTAATCCCAGCCCTTTGGGAGGCCAAGGCAGGTGGATCACCTGAGGTCAGGAGTTTGAGACCAGGCTGATCAACATGGTGAAACCTTGTCTCTACTAAAAATACAAAAATTAGCTGGGCGTGGTGGTGCATGCCTGTAATCCCAGCTACTCGGGAGGCTGAGGCAGGAGAATAGCTTGAACCTGGGAGGTAGAGGTTGCAGTGAGCAGAGATTGTGCCATTGCACCCCAGCCTGGGCGACAAGAGTGAAACTCCATCTGAAGAAACAAAACAAAACAACAACAACAACAACGAGGATCAGATTTAGTTGAAGTGCACTTTTTTGGTTAGATTTCTGAAACAAAAATTTTAAGAGATAACAGGCTTTTCAAGAGGACAGAGAAGACTGGAGCAGGAAGGGAACTTAGAGATCATCTAGGGATGAGATAAGGAAACTTTGGCCCAGAGGGTATATGACAAATTCATAGCTTCACAGATTAGTCTTTGAGTTTCCAGACTGACAGGTGTATTTCTCACTTCCTTTCCTGTCTCCCATTATAGCTGGTTCTGTGATGTTTTTTTCTTTTCCAACATCCCTTTATTTTCCCATCCTTGATTCTTGCTCTGTGCAATACCTCTTCCTCCAGGAGCAAGCAGATTCAGAACTGACCAGTCACAGAATGGCATCCCCCTGGCCAAGGGGACTGGTTCAGAGCAGGCACATGGCACTCTCCAGTGAGAGTGAAAGCCAGCACTGTGGCCAAAATGGTGTTTAACGAAGCACTCCTTTCCAGCTGGGTTTGGATTTAGGCGAATCTAAGCCAGAACTTTCGGGGGCTCTCACGTGGAGGGCATCAGTCAGAGACTGGAACCAGCACAGGTGAGCCAAGAGATGCAGGCAAAGAACTCTGCATGGGGGTTTATGGTTCTCATGCGTGGAAATGAACAACCAGCAAACTGATTGTCCCATACATAACAGCTACAGACTGAATGAAATAGAAACATAACTCCCTGAGAGCTCTAGAGACTAAAAACAAATTAGGCAGTTTTTAAAGGGGCTGTTGAAACTCGGAATAAGAGAGTTGCATAAAGTAAGTCCTCTTCC
Source organism: Homo sapiens (assembly GCF_000001405.40). Taxonomy (NCBI): domain Eukaryota; kingdom Metazoa; phylum Chordata; class Mammalia; order Primates; family Hominidae; genus Homo; species Homo sapiens. The sequence continues at coordinate 146,785,256 of NC_000001.11, read as the reverse complement.
TCCTTTTTCATGGCTTTACACTGAAGATAGTCATGGCAGTGTAGTGGCTGGTGGCCACACCACAATAGAAAAAACCACCAACCGGGCTGGGCACAGTGGCTCATGCCTGTAATCCCAGCACTTTCAGAGGCCGAGGTGGGAGGGTCACCTGAGGTCAGGAGTTCCACACCATCTTGGCCAACATGGCGAAACCCCGTCTCTACTAAAAATACAAAAATTAGCCGGGCATGGTGGCACACATCTGCAGTCCCAGCTACTTGGGAGGCTGAGGCAGGAGAATGGCTTGAACCTGGGAGGCGGAGGTTGCAGTGAGCCAAGATTGCGCCACTGCACTCCAGCCTAGGCGACTGAGTGAGACTCTGTCTCAAAAGAAAAAAAAAAGAAAGACCCACCAATCTTCATTCTAGAGGAGCCACAGAAAGAAGTCCTGGAGCATTCAGAGCCTCCAGAGAGTGAAGGGGAAACCCCAGAAAGGAGAGAGAGCCAAAGAAGAGGAACCCCGCATTTTCTGTATAAGCAGCCTAAATCTCTGGCTGGCTGACTCTTGAACTATGTGTGTGGGGGGCAAACTGGAAGCAATTTGTAATTAAGGTCTAAAGAATGGAACTGACATCTTAGTCACTGACCACTGCAGATGCAAAAGACCAAAACTTGATCCAACCAAGCTTAATTGTCTGTTAAACCTAAAATATCAACATTCTTTGGAGAATTATAATACAATACAGAGTCTGCAACATAACATTAAAAAATTCCAGGATGTGATACAAAATTACTTGTCATATGAAGAGTCAGGAAACTGTGACAAATTCTCAAAGGAAAAGACAGTCAACTATGCCAACCCTGAGATGACTCAGATGGAGGAACTGTCAGACAAGAACTATATGCAGCTATTATAACTATGATCAGTAAGGCAGAAGGAAATTCAAGCAGATAAATTGAAAAATTTAAAAAGAACCAAGTGGAAATTTTAGAAGTGAAAAATACAGTATCTGAAATAAGAATTCAGGAAGGAACAAGCCATGAATTTTCATACATGTGAGCAAATACATTTTTTTTAACGTTTTTTGAATTGGGTTTTCTGTCTCTCTTTCTTCTGTTTTTTTTTTTTTTTTTTTTTTTTTTTTTTTTTTTTTTTTTAATACAGGGTCTTGCTGTGTTGTCCAGGCTGGATTCAAATTCCTGAGCTCATGCAATCCTCCTGTTTCAGCCTCCTGAGTGGCTGGGACTACAGGTGCACACCACCACAGATGGCCTGAATTGAGTCTTCTATTTCTTGCAGTTTAAAGATTCCTGACAATATATCCACTTGAGACTGTGCTTTTGCTAACGTTAGTGTTGGCTGCTAGGCAACTGCTTAGAGCCTTGCTACTCAGAGTGTGACCCAAGAGCCAGCAGCATGAATGTGACCTGGGACTTGTTAGAAATATAGTCTCATGCCCCAGCCCAGACCTACGGAATCGGAACCTCTCTGCATATTAACAGGATCCCTAGGTGATTTGCGTGCATATTCAGATTTGAAAAGCTGATATAGAGAAAATCAGAATCACCAGCAGATTTCATTTTATAGGATAAACATTTAAAGAGCAGTAGGCTATTAGATGGAAGGAAATCTTCCGATTAGAAAGGTAAAAACAGGCTGGGTGTGGTGGCTCATGCCTGTAATCCCAGCACTTTGGGAGGCCAAGGTGGATGGATCACTTGAGGTCAGGAGTTCAAAACCAGCCTGGCCAATATGGTGAAATCCTGTCTCTACAAAAAATACTAAAATTAGCCAGGCATGGTGGTGGGTGCCTATAATCCCAGCTACTTGGGAAGCTGAGACAGGAGAAGCGCTTGAACCCAGGAGGTGGAGGTTGCGGCCGAGATCCCACCACTGCACTGTAGCCTGGGCGACAGAGCGAGACTTGTATCAAAAAAAAAAAAAAAAAAAAAAAAGGTAAAAACAATCCACAAAATAAAAAAAAAAAGTGATTGGCCAGGCGCAGTGGCTCACACCTGTAATCCCAGCACTTTGGGAGGCTGAGGTGGGTGGATCACCTGAGGTCAGGAGTTCGAGACCAGCCTAGCCAACATGGTGAAAGCCTGTCTCTACTAAAAATATAAAAATTAGCCGAGTGTGGTGGCGGGCGCCTGTAATCCCAGCTACCCGGGACGCTGAGGCAGGAGAATCACTTGAACATGGGAAGCGGAGGTTGCAGTGAGCCGAGATCAAGCCACTGCATTCCAGCTTAGACGACAGAGCAAGATTCTGTCTCAAAAAATAAAGAAATAAAAAATAAACAAAAACATACCCACACATAAAACAAATATTTTTGAGCACCTTTCTGCCAGGTGGGAGACTCATTAAGTGATCAAAACAGACAAAAGCCTCAGCCTTCATGAGGCTTATATTTTGCAGGGGCAGGTAGGCAGACAAAATCACATAAAAATCTATGGTATGTGAGATGGTGATGAGTGCTAAGAAGACAGGGAAGGGGCTAAGAAGTGGGGTTTTTTTTTGTTGGTTTTCATTTGTTTGTTTTGTTTTTGCTTTTGTCTTATTCAATTTTAAATAGAGTGGCCAGGGAAGGCCTTGCTGGGATGTTTAAATAAAATCCTGAAGAGGAGTTCAGTGGCCAACCAGCATGTTTTTTTTTAAAGGTTCACCTAATTAACAATTCAAGAAATGCAAATCCAAGCAATAAAAATATTCAGTTGTTCACCCATCGAATCTAATCAGCAAGGATTAAAAGGAATGCTAAAACCTATAGCCTGTGAGGTCAGGGGTAAAATACACACCTTTCAACCCTGGAATGACATGTTTAGAAATGTATCCTAAGGAAGTAAGCATGGATATGTACAAAGATTCCGCTCTAAGTGAGACACTTTTGGTCTCTCCACTATGATTTCCTTCCATGGATATTAAACTAATTTGGCAACAAGCAAGAAAAACAGAAAAATACACTTTATGTTTCTGCAAACTGTGTCCTCTTCCCCATCCTGTTTCCAGAACCAGAAAACCAGGGGGTGTGATGATGGAATTACCATGTAGCTACACAGTACCACAGCAAAGACGGGTGAGACAGCTGGGGACGGGGAAGAAAGGAGAGCCCTAGTCTGGGACGGGCTTGAGAACAATTTAGGAGGGGGACTCCCTCACAGGGCTCCTGGTGGGTCTTGGGGTGAAGGTGCAGAAGTGACAGGGTCAGGGTGACTCTGGGATTTGGGCCTGGGAGCTGAAAGAAGGGTTGGGGAGGAATATAGGGCCAGGAAGAGGTCTGGAAGAAAGGCAGCATAGATGATGAGCTTGGTGTGGGCCGTGTTGAGTTACCAGTGTCCGAGGGACAACCTGAAGAAGTGTCAGGAGCCATGGATGGACTAAGGGCTTGGGAGGCAGTGCAAGAACCAGGAAAAGGAGTGCCTGCTTTGGAGTTGGACAAATTGGGCCTGCCCCCACCGCCTTCTGGCCATGTGACCTTGGGTGCATCACTTAACTGTGCTGCATTCCAGCTTCCTCATCTCCAAAATGATGGTGATGATCATATCTCCCTCAGCGGGTGTTGTGGAGACTGGAGATAGATGGTGATGGGATCTATTCACAGTTCCCAGCAGGGAGTGTCACATAGCAGGAATTCAGCACACAGTAGCTATAAGTTGTTAAAACATTGGTTTAGCTCTTTTTCATGTGGCTCCTGCCTTTCTCTCCTCCCTCTTTTGGGCTGTCCCTCTGCCTGGAATGCCCTTCACTTCGTTTTGGAATTTGCAAGCTTTTCCTGACTCCCCTCCTCTCTTCCTCCAACCCATTATGTATGATCAGGTAGCACTGAAGTCATGCATGGGATGGGGGTCAGCCTTAGACCAAGCAGGAAGAGACAAAGGCTGACGCTGGAAACCTGCAGAGTGACTAAGGATGGATGGAGGCGGGTCCAGAAAGAAACCAGGGAGAAGGAGGAAAGCCAGAAAGGGCGGACCAGGATGCTAGGAAACAAGAGCGATCCAAGGAGGGTACGATCCACAGTGTGAAGCTCATGGAGGAGGACGTCAAGCAAGTCAAGGCCTAACCCATGCCCATTAGATCTGGAAATGGAGAGGCTGGAGCCTTGGATTCGAGGGAGTGGTGGAGACAGGAATCAGGGTAGGAAACGGGGAGGCAGAAATGAGGGGTGACGAGGCAAAGCCAGCAAGTGGAGACAAGCATGAAGGGAAGGAGAGAAATGGGGTGCTCGTCGGGGGCACCAGGGTTGAAGAAAACTTTTTTTTTTTTTCATTTTAAAGGTGGGTGATTCTTGAGAACATCTTCAAAGCCTGTGAGAAGAGCTGAAGCCAGAGCAGAGAGGAAAACAGGTGTGCTGACGGTCCAAGAAATAGAGCAGTCCTTTTGATGAGGAAGCAGGAAGGTCTTTAGTCATTCCCTTTCACCTTGGCACTCCCCCTGGAATTTTCTTTCACTTCCTGAGAATGCATCTAGTCTCAGAAGTTTTTCTTCAGCTTAAGTGTTTTCAGACCAGGCAACCGCATTAGTCCAAGAGTCTCAAGAAGTCCCCCTAGGGAACATGATTGATTGTGTTTTGTACTAAGCTCAAGTGATACACAAGCCTGTCTCCAAATGGATGACTGTCATAAGGTCCTTATCACCTCCATCCAAGGTCAACAGAGCACATACAAAAGTACCTGCCCTGAATCTGGTAGTGGGGTCTGGGGTCGGGGGCTGGGGGTGGGTGGTCAGGTGACAGCAACTTGAACTGACACTAAAATAGGAAAATCCACATGCTCCTACTTAAAACAGATTCCAGATGGAGACACCAATGATGGAGTCAGTGGGTATAATTTGAGGTTAATTGTGCTGCAAATAGTCTTTCTTTTAATGATGAATGAAATGTTGTCTTTTAAAAGCAAGCTTGGTAGATAACTTCTGCATAGATTATCCTGAACTTATGCCACATAAGAAATTGACTTTGTTTAATGGCAAAAATAATGGCTGAAACACACAGGTACACAAATTCTCCCTGCTGGCTTCATGTACAAAATCACCGGGGAGAGGCAGGGATCAGTCCTGGTAATTTTTTCTTAGGGACCCCCTTTTGTTCTCAGCCTGAGATGTCATAGATTTCCTTCAGGTCAGTATCAGGCATCCCAAATCTGTGCCTAGTTCTGTATGCTTAGATCCTGCTCCTTCCTGAGCACTCCCTGGTTGAGACCGCTGCACACTAATTTCTCTGCCCACCCACTGTCACTGTCTTTCACTCACCTACTTGGACCAGTCTGTACCCTGTCTGGAGACTGGTTATAGCTTCACCCTCAGGACTCGTGGCTGCCCACACCAGCTGGTCACAACCTTCAGCCAGGATCATCACTCTGGGGGCTCCTCTAGCCACTCTGCCCTTCCAGTGCCACAGGGAGCAGGGAGGTGACTGCTGTGCTTGGCAGGCTGATAAACTACTGGCACTTGCCTGCGAGGATAGGCTCATGCCGAAGCATCTCCTTGACGGTTGCCAAGGGTATGCTCCTGATTGGACACATGGGCTCACTGGCTTTGTGGCTTCCTGGGAACACATCTTTAATAGTAGCCTATTTGGCACCATCCTGGGCCCTGCAGGGGGCAGTGGAAGGAGCAAGGGCTGTGGCCAGACCCAACTGGGTGAGGACCTGGATCTGCATCTTCATATCTCTGAACCTCACAGGGTGAGAGGATTATGTATGACACAGGCACAACACTTCACATACAATCAACATTCAACAAACGTTGGTCCCTTTCCTCCTGCCTTCTGCCCCACCACAAAATCCCAACATGATCAGGCTAATTTCCTGGAAGGGGAATGCACCAGGCTGCCCTCTGCTTCTGTCTCCTGGCAAGGAGTAAGTGAGGCTGTTACCTGCTTGTTTGCTGCTTGAGATTTCTTCATGGGGGGCTCCTCCTTAATGGGTCCCTGCTTTCCTTTTTTGACCCTCCGTTTCAGCTCATCCTCTTCCTTTTGTCGCTCCAGCTCCTGCTGTAGCTTCTTTTCTTGCATTTCCTTTGCCAGCCTCTCCTGCTCCCTTCATCAAACCAGGCAGAGAAAAAACAGTTCAGGGGCCCCCATGCCTCACCCCTCTGCTGCCTGGGATTTCCAGGTGGAGGGACATTGGGCAGAGCTTTCTTGGGCATAAAAAGAAAGAACAAAGTAAGCTGGATATGTGGAAGGAAAGGAGAAAGGAAGAGAAGGAAAGAAAGAAAAAATGACTACCATCTATGTTTGAATGGTCATTCATCAAGACTCTGATTTATTGAAACTCAACTAGGAGGAATTCTCCATTAATCTGTATTTTGAGTCCAATCTCCTCTCATGGGAGAGTGAGAAAAAGGCTGAAAATAAGCTTGATATTAGCACTTAAAAAAAGCAACTTTCAAAGATTGTTCTGGTATTAGTGCAGATGAGGCCCGCCTCCCATAGCTGAGCATGTTTGCTGTTCAGAAAATAAGAATTTTTTTTTTTTTTTTGACAGAGTCTCGCTCTGTCACCCAGGCTGGAGTGCAGTGGTGTGATCAGCTCACTGCAACCTCCACCTCCCGGGTTCAAGCAGTTCTCCTGCCTAAGCCTCCTGAGTAGCTAGGATTACAGGTGTGCACCAACATGCCCGGCTAACTTGTATTTTTAGTAGAGACGGGGTTTCGCCATGTTGGCCAGGCTGGTCTCGAACTCATGACCTCAGGTGATCCTCCTACCTTGACCTCCCAAAGTGCTAGTATTACAGGCATGAGCCACTGCGCCCAGCCAGAAACGGTATTTTCAAAGCAGTTTCTATGGTGGCTAGCTCAGAGCCATGGTGCTCAGTCTGAAAGCCGTGTTCCCCTCCTCCACCCTCTCTTTCCCTTTCCGCTGTCATTCAACTGCTCCTGCCCCTGCTGCTGACAGCAGAGAGTGGACCAAAGCCAAGCACCAAGCACAAACAAGTGAGGGAATGGTACTTCTGAAAATAGTTAACCCAGCTATTTTCATCCAGGAATTCCTAATTGTTTCCGGTTGCCATGGCTCTCTGCCCACTGAAGCAAACTCATTTACTTCATGGTGTGTGTGTGTGCGTGTGTGTGTGTGTGTGCGTGTGTGGTGTGACACAAACAAGTTGTTGCTGCACTTTGAGAATCAAATTTGCATTTTCCAAGTCCACCATGAGATGAATGCCTGAAAGCAACAGCCCTGGTGAAAAACGAGTTTCCTCTAAAATCTCAAAGCAAGGCTTTCTGTAACTCTGGAGGACTGGGCATTTCTATAGTGGACCATGCCACAGAAAGATCAGGGCACACCCAGCTGGGCGCTGTGGCTCACGCCTGTAATCTCAGCACACTGGGAGGCTGAGGCAGGCAGATCACTTGATCCCAGGAGTTCAGTTCGAGATCAGCCTGGCCAACATGATGAAAACCCGTCTCTACTAAAAATACAAAAAAATTGGCCGGGCATGGTGGTACATGCCTGTAATCCTAGCTACTTGGGAGAGTGAGGCAGGAGAATTGCTTGAACCCAGGAGGTGGAGGTTGCAGTGAACTGAGATTGTGCCACTCAAGGCGTGATGGAGGAACTCCAGCCTGGATGACAGAGCAAGAGTCTGTCTCAAAAAAAAAAAAAAAAAAAAAAAAAAAAAGATTAGGACATACTGTAGCAGCAGGGAGGGCAAAAGCTGTTTCAGGTCAGTGGGAGAAGTGTGGAGCTGGAGGAGAGAACAGGGTAAATAGTAGGTGAGTATCTAGGCTCTGTACCTCCAGCGCCTGAAATCCCAGGGAGGAGGTAGGAAATAGAACCACTGCCCCCCACCCCATCCCTGCAATCTTTGAAGATCTGAGGGCAGAAAGGACACATGTCCCACTGTTCCCATCCCTCTGAGATAGCCCGAGGTGGCAGTCCTAAGTATCCTGGGCACTAGGAGGCATTGGGGGATCGAGTAGTTTCTGTGTGGTTCCCAGTGAGGGGCAGAGAAAGTGGCTGAGGGTGCTGGCTTGTGAGTCTGCCCACAGTCCCAGGATTGAGGATCTGCCCAGGCTGAGGATCCCATGGCAGCTAGACCTCAGGGGATGGGCAGCACCACCCAAGGCCAAGAAGGGGACCCAGGCAGGGGGAGGAAGGGCTGAGATTTGGGGAGCAGTCACTATGCCCAGGTCAATAGAGTGGACCCTGTATCACCAGCTGTGGACATTGAAGCACCGAGGCAGTGAGCACAGAGGCTGATAAGCCACACGCGGGGGTGCTGGTCGGGGGGGCCAGCAGGGGCCCCAGGGCAGCACAGAGGCCAGTGGCCCCTCTCCCAGGGCCACCCATGACATTACAGCCTGGTCCCAAATGCCCGCCAGTGAGAAATAAGGAGAGTGGGAGAAACCCTGAATGGTGCAGCAGCCAGCACCCTCGATGGGCGGGATGCATCTTTCTGCTCCTTGCAGGTCACCTTCCAGGGCCTTCTGCAGCTCCTGCTGCCTGCCTGGAAGATGGCTTGGGCTCACACCCCGGTCCTGGTCACTCTGTGGGGACGGTCCCGGGGGAATGGCTTCTGCTCTGGCCAGCCCTTGGCCCTGACCTCTTCTTCCGCTCGCGGAGCGCCTGCTGAATCCCCCGATCGAATGTGAGTTTCTCCTCCTCAGTCAGGGCATCATATTCTTCCTCATCCATGTTTTGGAGACCCTCCTTCTCTTTCTCAAGAGCTCCCTTGTGCTTGCGTTCTGTGAGGGGAACAGAGACGGGAAGGTGAGGAAAAGTCCTTCCCAGTCTCGCTAGCAGCCTAAGCAGGCGGAGTAGGGTCTTAGTGTGGGGCAGCTGGTGCGGCGCCTGGTCTGCCTCATCCCTGGTTGCAGGGGTGGGGGGGTCCCTTCATCCATGCACTTCCACATTTGGGCTCTGTCTGCAGGTGGCTGAACAGTGGCCCCCAAAGATGCCCATATCAGATTACTCAGAACCTGTGACCGTGTTGTCTTCCATAGCAGAGGGACTCTGCAGATGTGATTAAATTTAAGGATCTTGAGGTGGGCAGATTATTTTGGGGGGCCCAGTCTAATTATAAGGGTCCTTTCGAGGGATGCAGGAGAGTCAGTCAGAGATAGTGATGATGTGATAGTAGGAGCAGGGGTCAGAGGGCTGCAAGGAAGGGGCCAGGAGCCAAGGAGTGCAGAAGGCCTCTAGAAGCCAGAAAAGACAAGAAAAAGGGGCTACCTAACAGCCAAAAAAGGAACGTGGCCCTGCTGAGAAAAGTCTGGAGCAATGACCAGGCATCCCTCAGCAGTCATCAAGCCTCCAGCTGCCTCGTTTTCCAGAAAGTTCATTTCTCCATAATGATCCACTTGAAAATAATTACCACTTCTCATTTTCCCCGTTATCTTTGGAATGAAATTTCTCCTGGTTAAATTGTGGGCTCTTCTCCCCTAAATCATCTGCATTTGAAATGTCCTAAGGTAGCATACTGTCATACTACTATTACATTAAAATCTCATGTTTGTTAACATGTATGAACATGCCAGGCACTGGGGAAGGCACTTTACATGATTGCTTATTTAATCTCCACAACAGCCCTAGGAGGGAGGAGTTATCATTCTTATCTGTGATTATCCCTTAATAAGTGGCAGGGAAAGATGTTAGGACTTCTGACCCCGGAAGTGTAAGACAATACATTTCTATGTTGTGTTAAGTAACCAAGTTTGTGGTTGCTATGGTGTAAATGTTTGTGCCCCCTCGAAATTCCTATGTTGAAACTGAATTCCCCAAGGGGATGGTATTAAGAAGGGCCTTAGGGAGGTGACTAGGTCACAAGGATAGAGTCCTCATGGCTGGGATTAGTGTCCTTATAAGAGGCCTGAGGGAGCTTGTTTCAGGACTTAGTGAGAAGATGCTTTCTGTGACCAGAAGGTGACACTGTTTCTGTTGGCACCTTGATCTTGGACTTGCCAGCCTCCAGAACTGTGAGAAATAAATGTCTGTTGCTGATAAGCGACCCAATCTATGGAATTTTGTTATGGCAGTCTGAAAAGACTAAGACAGTGGTCATTTGTCACAGCAATGATAGAAGACTCATATACCACCCACTGACTTGACTCATTATGAGCATATGCCACTAACGGGTTCATGGTGACAGGGCCATTTGCACACCAAGGGAAATTCCCTGCCCTGCCCTACGGATTCCAGGTCTAGGCATGTGATTCACACTTAGGACAAAGGCACCAGCTCCTTCCTCACACCTCCCTAGCACAGCATTCTCACCGTCATCCTCGCAAGTTTGAGCTGTGGACTCAGACACCTGCATTTGAGCTCCTTCCCGGCCACTTATCAAGAGATAATCACAGATAAGAATAAAAACATACGGCCGTTGTAGAGATTAAATAAGCGATCATGTAAAGTGCTTTCCCCAGTGCCTGGCATGTTCATAGATGTTCGACAAACATGAGATTTTAGTGTAATAATAGTTTGACCGTATACCATCTTAGGACATTTCAATTTAGATGATTTAGGGGAGAGGAGCCCACAGTTTAACTGGGAGAAATTTCATTCTGAAGATAAGTGGGAAAAGGAGAAGTGGTAATTATTTTCAAGTGGATCAGTATGGAGAAATGAGCTTTCTGGAAAACCAGGCAGCTGGAGGCTGGATGACTGCTGAGGGATGCCTGGTCACTGCTCCAGATTTTTCTCAGGATGAGACTATAAAGAAGCTGACTTTGAGTTCTGTTCAAGGACTTCGACAGCCCAGTGTTTGTAAGTATTTCCTTAATTGGAAAAGCATTATGATTTGAGTAGATAGTGTTAGAAGGGAGCGGTAAGCCGGAGTGAGGAAGGGCAGTCGTGTGGCTGGAGCCGAAGCTCCTGGGAGGTGGGGCTCTGACTCCCGTGGACAGCGCCACCAGCCTCTGTCCTTCAACCCCTGCCCTGGGGGGCCAAGATTTGCTGGGGCTGCTTCTGACTACATTGGGAACTTAAGCTAACATTACTTGTGTGTGTGTGTACCTATCTTTCAATCAAACCTTTCAGTTATTAAAATTTTTCTCAGGCCATTGGCATAAGGATAGGAAAAGCAAAGGGTTTAGAATTACATGCACCCGGTTCTCCTACTAATTGGCAATGTGATTTGGCACAAGACTTTTGCTATCTCTGAGCTACATTCTCCTTTAGTGTAAAATGGGGACAAGATTCACAGGGTAATTGTGAGGATTAAATGTCCCAAAGTATACAAAATATCTGCTACGGTGCCTGGTGTGCAGCAGGCTAAGGTGTAAATGTTTTGGAAAATGTATTAGCACCGTGAGTTTTATGAGAAATGCACAGTTGGCTTAAACAAAACCAACAAGGAAATCAGTTGCCTGAGTCAGGATGGGACCCAAAATGGCTGTAATTGCAGAAAGGATGGAGGGGTACAGTGTGATGGGAGGGAAGCAGGAATGCACCTGCTGTCAGCAAAGCGTTCATCATAGAACTTCCCAGCCAGCCACTCGCGTCCCAGTTCCCTCCTAGCAAAGCAGAAATACAACTCCTGGCCACCTTACAGGGCAGAGGTGAGGCGCCAACGGAATAGCAAATGTCAAAGTTTCACTTAAGCCCAATGGAAAGGTAGGAGGCCTTGCCTTCTTGCTCCTTTTTGGCTTTCTCCCGGGCCTTCATGGCTGCGTAATCCTGGGCCATGTTGAGAATGTATATATGCTCCCGGCTGCCAATGGCCTTCAGCAGGCAGAGGAGGGCGGCTGCAGCATTCCGAGCAAAGAGAGTGTCGAGGCCATCAAACACCACTCCTCGGTAGCAGTCACTCAGCTGAAACCAGAGAGAGCAAAGACAGTTACTATGGCCACAACCTCATTTGTTCTGTTTATGCTTTTACTGGGGCTGCAAAGGGTTCTGCAGACCTACTGGGCCCCAATGCAAACACCATGCCTTTCTGCTTGCTAAATCCAAGGTGCTGTCATAAAATAAAAGAAAAGAATAAAAATGTTTAATCAGCCCGTCTTTTTTTTTTTTTTTTTTTTTTTTTTTGAGACAGAGTCTCCCTCGGTCACTCCAGCGCCCAGGCTGGAGTGCAGTGGTGCAATCTCGGCTCACTGCAACCTCTGTCTCCCAGGTTCAGGTGATTCTCCTGCCTCAGCCTCCCAAGTAGCTGGGATTACAGGTGCCCACCACCAGGCCCGGCTAATTTTTGTATTTTTAGTAGAGACAGGGTTTCACCATGTTGACCAGATTAGTCTCGAACTCCTGACCTCAGGTGATCCACCTGCCTCGGCCTCCCAAAGTGCTGGAATTACAGGCATGAGACACTGCGCCCAGCCAGATGGTCTTTATTACAATAATAAGGGTTTATTCTGTCTGTAGAAATAAATGAACAAACAAAAATGTTAAAGGGCCGATCTGGGAAGATCCATGAGGTACACAAAAATGAGATGGAAAGGGAAAGATGCTCCCAAGCACAGAGTCACAAGCAGCAGGGGGAGCAGCTGGGCCTTTCGTATTTTTCTTATTAGTCTTACTGCCTTGGAGCGTAATGATTTTGGTAACAGTAACCATTGAAGAACAGCCTCTGCCTTACTCAGTGTTACTCAAAGTATAGCCCATAGACTGGCCACCAGTGAATGAGCGTTAGGTTTTTGATGAGACAAGAAGCTTGTGTCAGAATGTAAATGACCTGTATCACTAAACACACTATTTGGTTCAGCTGGCAACTGAACAGGTACCGTGGCCACATCATTCCTTCTCTGCAGCTAAACTTTGTAGCAAGACTTTGTTGATGAAAGAAGCCCTGTAAGCTCCACGTGTCATCAGAGACCAGCATTTTGAGTAGCACAGCTCCACTGGCTTACTTCGGGGCCTTACCAGTGTTTCTCAGCCTTTACTCTGGGTATCTAAAACATTGGCACACTTATGGGAACACCTTGTTCAAATCAGTTGAAAGTGATGTACCTTTAATGTAGTAGCAGTGCAAATCTTAACATAAAAACTTTCTTGTGATGATATTCCTCCTCTTCTGGGAACGTCAAGTTAATTTTGTTGTATTTAAATCTGCAATTAATATTGTGGCCCTAGTTGAAAACACAAAGCAAACACCCAGCTCCAGGACCTGGTAAGCAATGTAGCTGTGTCTGCAAACCATGAGCAGAAACAGGCTTAAGTGATACCCTCCTCAATCCTGCTGATCTTATTTTCTTGTCTTTAACTGTAGAATTCTTATGGAAAAAAAATTAAAAATTAGAAAGAGCGTTACTGTTTTTCTGACTTTAAAAGCAATATGTCATTGTAAAATAATTCAGAAATGTATAAAGAAGACTAAAATTCTATAATCCTGCTACCCAAAGATAACAATGGTTAACATGTATTTTAAAAGTTTTTACTACGTGTGTAGTATACATTTCTAAATATTTATATAGAATGTTATTATGTTTTAACCAGTATTTCCTAGTTACTTCTTTTTCACTTAATAACATTGAAAATGTGTTTTTGAAGCAATTAACATAGCTCCAAATTCTAACTTTTAGAATGGCTCCACATTGTAATTTTTAACACATCACTCTCTTTCTGGTCATTAAAAAAACTTTTGTGTAGTCTTCTGCTCTCTGGTCCTTTAAGAAGGTGAATGGCTTCAGGCTGTAGACTGGGCCAGCGTCGGGGGTTGACAAGAGCTGTCAAAAAGACAAGCAAATGACTGCCCTCCGGGCTGCCGAGCTGCCGTGGGTGGCTGATGGCCCAGAACCTCCGTCCAGGGTGTGGGGATGGTGCGTGAATGCCAAGCCCTGCAGCTCTGCGCAGGTGGCATGGACCCACCTGTATCCGCTCTGCCAGGATCTGCACGAGAAGTTCATCCGGGAGCACACAGCTCATCAGCCCGGTCTCGCCTCCGACACTGGGATGTGGGGTCACGGGAAAGCATTTTTAATGATGCGAATAATAATACAGCATGCATAGATGCTGACAGAAGTAGAGTAGGGGGAAAGTGGGAGAGAGGGGACAACTGCAGGAATTTAGCCATTGGATAAGAGAAGGGGTGGGGCTGGGTGCCCATGTGCAGGGATCAGCCCTGGGTGAAGGCAGGGCAGACACTCAGCTGTCGAGAAGGCACAGCCCTGTGTGTGGATGGAGGCTGCTGGAAGACTTGGTGGCCGGAAGATGAGGTCATTGTCTTCTGATTGCTGCAGCTTTCTTGGTGAAATCAGAATAGAGATCATCGGCTGAGAATGAGGAAGAGGAAAATATTTTGGAGGCTAGGAGAGTGATGAGAGCAATAAAGCAGTCATCTTGAATAGATGCAGAGCTGAGCCAGACCAAAGGGCCCATTGGAGACCTGTGGTCTTAAATTTAAATTAAGATCCTTCAGGAGAGGTGAGAGTCTTCCCCAGCTATGCTCAGCTGGTCTGCATGGAGTAGGTGGAGGATTAGGTTTGCCAGGGTTGAAGCTTTGCTTGAGAGTGTGGTGAAGGGCAAGTTGCAAGGGGGTGCTATGGTGGCAGACCATGGCATCCAGACTGGATAGGGAGGGCACGAGGTGGGTGCTAGGTAGTGAGGATGAGGACTGGAGGTTTCGATGGGGCCAGGTGCTTACCAGAGTTAGTCATCTGTAAAGTGAGAAGATGGCTGTGGGAAAGCAGGATTGTGATAGAGAGATCTTGGAGTTTATGGGTAGTGGTGAACAATGTCTAGGATGTGGTCAGGGAGGTAAGTAGCTGAGGAGGCCATGAAATTGAGAAGCAAGAGTGTTGGATTAAATATCACTCAAAAGATCAGGATTGTGATTTTTGTACATTGATTTTGTATCCTGAGACTTTGCTGAAGTTGCTTATCAGCTTAAGGAGATTTTGGGCTGAGACAGTGGGGTTTTCTAGATATACAATCATGTCGTCTACAAACAGGGACAATTTGACTTCCTCTTTTCCCAATTGAATACCCTTTATTTCCTTCTCCTGCCTAATTGCCCTGGCCAGAACTTCCAACACTATGTTGAATAGGAGTGGTGAGAGAGGGCATCCCTGTCTTGTGCCAGTTTTCAAAGGGAATGCTTCCAGTTTTTGCCCATTCAGTATGATATTGGCTGTGGGTTTGTCGTAGATAGCTCTTATTATTTTGAGATACGTCCCATCAATACCTAATTTATTGAGAGTTTTTAGCATGAAGCGTTGTTGAATTTTGTCAAAGGCCTTTTCTGCATCTATTGAGATAATCATGTGGTTTTTGTCTTTGGTTCTGTTTATATGCTGTATTACATTTACTGATTTGCGTATATTGAACCAGCCTTGCATCCCAGGGATGAAGCCCACTTGATCATGGTGGATAAGCTTTTTGATGTGCTGCTGGATTCGGTTTGCCAGTATTTTACTGAGGATTTTTGCATCAATGTTCATCAAGGATATTGGTCTAAAATTCTCTTTTTTGGTTGTGTCTCTGCCCGGCTTTGGTATCAGGATGATGCTGGCCTCATAAAATGAGTTAGGGAGGATTCCCTCTTTTTCTATTGATTGGAATAGTTTCAGAAGGAATGGTACCAGTTCCTCTTTGTACCTCTGGTAGCATTCTTATACACCAATAACAGACAAACAGAGAGCCAAACCATGAGGGAACTCCCATTCACAATTGCTTCAAAGAGAATAAAATACCTAGGAATCCACCTTACAAGGGATGTGAAGGACCTCTTCAAGGAGAACTACAAACCACTGCTCAAGGAAATTAAAGAGGATACAAACAAATGGAAGAACATTCCATGCTCATGGGTAGGAAGAATCAATATCGTGAAAATGGCCATACTGCCCAAGGTAATTTATAGATTCAATGCCATCCCCATCAAGCTACCAATGACTTTCTTCACAGAATTGGAAAAAACTACTTTAAAGTTCATATGGAACCAAAAAAGAGCCCGCATCGCCAAGTCAATCCTAAGCCAAAAGAACAAAGCTGGAGGCATCATGCTACCCGACTTCAAACTATACTACAAGGCTACAGTAACCAAAACAGCATGGTACTGGTACCAAAACAGAGATATAGATCAATGGAACAGAACAGAGCCCTCAGAAATAACACCGCGTATCTACAACTATCTGATCTTTGACAAACCTGAGAAAAACAAGCAATGGGGAAAGGATTCCCTATTTAATAAATGGTGCTGGGAAAACTGGCTAGCCATATGTAGAAAGCTGAAACTGGATCCCTTCCTTACACCTTATACAAAAATCAATTCAAGATGGATTAAAGACTTCAATGTTAGACCTAAAACCATAACAACCCTAGAAAAAAACCTAGGCATTACCATTCAGGACATAGGCATGGGCAAGGACTTCATATCTAAAACACCAAAAGCAATGGCAACAAAAGCCAAAATTGACAAATGGGATCTAATTAAACTAAAGAGCTTCTGCACAGCAAAAGAAACTACCATCAGAGTGAACAGGCAACCTACAAAATGGGAGAAAATTTTTGCAACCTACTCATCTGACAAAGGGCTAATATTCAGAATCTACAATGAACTCAAACAAATTTACAAGAAAAAAACAAACAACCCCATCAAAAAGTGGGTGAAGGACATGAACAGACACTTCTCAAAAGAAGACATTTATGCAGCCAAAAAACACATGAAAAAATGCTCACCATCACTGGCCATCAGAGAAATGCAAATCAAAACCACAGTGAGATATCATCTCACACCAGTTAGAATGGCAATCATTAAAAAGTCAGGAAACAACAGGTGCTGGAGAGGATGTGGAGAAATAGGAACACTTTTACACTGTTGGTGGGACTGTAAACTAGTTCAACCATTGTGGAAGTCAGTGTGGCGATTCCTCAGGGATCTAGAACTAGAAATACCATTTGACCCAGCCATCCCATTACTGGGTATATACCCAAAGGACTATAAATCATGCTGCTATAACGACACATGCACATGTATGTTTATTGCGGCACTACTCACAATAGCAAAGACTTGGAACCAACCCAAATGTCCAACAATGATAGACTGGATTAAGAAAATGTGGCACATATACACCATGGAATACTATGCAGCCAAAAAAATGATGAGTTCATGTCCTTTGTAGGGACATGGATGAAATTGGAAATCATCATTCTCAGTAAACTATCGCAAGAACAAAAAAACAAACACCGCATATTCTCACTCATAGGTGGGAATTGAACAATGAAAACACATGGACACAGGAAGGGGAACATCACACTCTGGGGACTGTTGTGGGGTGGGGGGAGGGGGGAGGGATAGCACTGGGAGATATACCTAATGTTAGATGACGAGTTAGTGGGTGCAGCACACCAGCATGTCACATGTATACATATGTAACTAACCTGCACATTGTGCACATGTACCCTAAAACTTAAAGTATAATAATAAAAAAAACAAAAACAAAAACAAAAAAACCCAAAAGATCAGGATTTCTAACTGGTGCTTTCCTGGATAGAGGTGATTCATAAATAAATGAGCTTATGGGCCACATCTTCATTATGTAATATACTTACACATTTTTTCCCATTTGCAACATGACTGAAATATCAGTCATTGGAAAACTCATGCTTTATGAGAGCTTCAAGAAGACCAATCGCCATCTCCCTGGGTAAGTGCTTTCACAGGGGGACACTGTTGTCCAGATCATTTGAGTCTTGTCACACTGGGGCAGTGCAGGCAGCCACATATGGGGTCTATGAGCTCTGATTTCTACTGTGATCTTTAGGTTACCTTACTGAAAGGAGTTTGGAGTCAGAATTGGGATGTTCTGCCTTTGAAGAATTCTAAAAAGCTTTATTTCCCTGTCCAGATGGACAGAACAAAACCCAAGGAAATGAGTTTTGATAACACCCTATATGGTAACAGAGAAATAAGTTTTAGTTCATCCATAAACGTTTGGGTAAAGAACACCATACTGGATCCTGGAAAAGAGGGTGAAAAGGATAGTGCTCCAGAAGAAAATGAATCAATGGTTTCTGTTTTCACGGTGTCAGAAGAACGTAAGACTGAAGTGACAATCAGATATCACCTGGCACAAGTTCAGCCCTGTGGGCTGTTCCATCCAACCTGCAGGTCTCCTCTCCCTTGAAGACCTTTGCCTCTGCTCCATCCTCTTACCTGATCTAACATGTGGGCCTCCTCTCCTACAAGAACCTACATCATTAATTTTATTTTTTATGTACTTTTTTTGAGATGGAGTCTTACTCTGTTGCCTAGGCTGGAGTGCAGTGGTGCCATCTTGGCTCACTGCAACCTCCACCTTCTGGGTTCAAGTGATTCTCGTGCTTCATCCTCTTGAGAAGCTGGGATTACAGGTGTGCACCACTAAGCCCAGCTAATTTTTTTATTTTTTATTTTTAGTAGAGATGGGGTTTCATCACGTTGGCCAGGCTGGCCTTGAACTCCTGGCCTAAAGTGATCCACCCACCTCAGCCTCCCGAAGTGCTGGGATTACAGGTGTAAGCCACTGCACCCGGCCTAAGGACCTACATCTTTATTCCACCCACCTGCTCTATCCAATACACAGGTCTCATTTCCCATGAAGACCTACAACTCTTCTCCATCCATCTGCTCTTCCCAGTGGATGGGCCTCCTCTCCTACCAGTACTTTCACTTCTGCTCCATCCACCTCCCCCACTGTCCCTATAGCACTCTCAGGCTATAACGAGATCCACCCTTAACCCTTCCTGCTTCTCCCATTCTACGTTCTCTTCTTAATTCCTTCTCTACTGAGGCTGGGCTTCCCATACTGATGGCACCCTCAGCTCTCTTGCCCCTCGTTATAAGAGCACACCCCCTCTCCTCAATGATGACATTCTTCTCTCTCCACTCCTGAATGGGAGCCGCCAGTTCCACTTAGAGAAATCTTGCCAGGTGTGGTGGTTCATGCCTGTAATCCTAGTGCTTTGGGAGGCAGAGGCAGAGCCAGGAGGATCGCTTGAGGCCAAGAGTTCAAGACCAGCCTGGGCAACACAGCGAGATCCCATCCCTACAAAAATTAAAAAAATTAGCCAGGCATGGTGGGACATACCTGTAGTCCCAGCTACTTGGGAGGCTGGGGTGGAAGGATTGCTTGAGCCCAGGAGCTCAAGGCCGTAGTGAACAAAGACTGTGCCACTGCACTCCAGCCTGGGTGACACAGTGAGACCCTGACTCTAGGGAAAAGAGACAGAGAGAGAGAGAGAGAGAGGGAGAGAGAGAGAAACTTCACAACTATGAAGTTGTAGTTTCCAGTCTTGGTTGGGCCATGATCATTCCCAACTATTTATTCCTTGTCCATCACCAATTTCTGCTTCTATACACCATAGTGGAAGCAGTGCTCTGCCACTCCCCTCGAGCATGCTCTGCAGCCCCAGCCTCCTCGTTGCTTCCCTCAAAAGACCATGCCTCCTACATGCATTACAGCACCATTCAACAAGGCCTTCTCCAACCTCCATTCTCCACTTGGCTTCTCCCACCCTTAGCTGTGTCTGTTTTTTACCTTTACTGACCCCAAAGGAAGCCGGTTCTCTTCTCCTTTAATTGTGCTGAATTCTGCCCTTCCTACTACCTCCCAAGATCTCATTCCCTCTTGAGTGGATCGCCACATGACACTTCTCCAGGGGTTCCATTCTTTATAGACCTGCTTCTACTTCTTTTCTGAGAATGGACTCTCCTGACCCTGGCTTTGCCCCTCTACTACTCTCTCATTTTTTTCCCTTCACTTTCAAACATCATAAAAGCCTACACTCACTTGATTTCACTTCTCCACCTACAACTCACTACTCACTGCACCCACTGTCTCTGGCTTCAGCAGCACCGGCCAGTTGGCTGAGACTGCTAAGTTCCTTGGCGCATTGCTCAAATGCTGCAACTTCTTTCTGACGTTCCAGGACTCCCCCTGCAGCCCTCCCACAACTTAGATTAATGGTTTCATCCTTAACTTCCTTTAGAATTTAGGTTGAGCCATAGGAAATTGCTGTTATGGAGTTCTAAAAGGATTGAATTTTGGCAATTTTCTGTGGCTCAGCCTAATTCCCTTTTCACACTTCTTTTGTAACTAATTTCACTTTATTGCAAATGTTTGCAAATGTGGTTATCTCCTTCATCAGACTCTTAGTGCAGGGATTCTGCTTTCTTTATTTGCACTTTGCCAGTGCCTACAGCATAAAAGATGCTTGCTGAGCACCAGCTGGGTGAATGCCCCTTTCAGAAGGAGGGGCGCAGGGACAGTGCTCAGGCTGGCCTGGCGAGAACACTGCAGGGATGAAGAGCACTGATCTGGCTGCAGGATGCTGGGGAGGAGGAAGATCCCAGCCCTTCTGCGGTAGAGCCCTGATTTGTACCTGTGGTGTTTCAGACTGGTGTGAGTGATGCTGCTTCTGTGACCCGGAGCCATGGCTGTCTGCCTTGCTTTTGGTGATCACCACGCTCCCACGAACACTCTTTCCAGGTTTAATTTCTGGGGCCACCAGAGTCATCTCGGAGGCTAACTTGCCCAAAGTGTCAGTGCTCAGTCGTCCTTGCCCTATGACGTTTTGACCCACAGCTGCCTCCTGGGCTATAAGGAGAGGGTGAATTTTTATTAAAAGTCACCTTAGAATCACAAAAAATGACAGTGGGGATGGCACTCTGAAGTCCGTTCTGTCCAATAGACATATAATGTGAACCACATATGTATGTAATTTAAACATTTCTAGTTGCCACATTAAAAAGGTAAAAATTAATTTTAGGGACATATTTTAACCCAATATACACAAAATGTGATCATTTTAACATGTAATGTATAAAAATTGCTACTGTGTTATTTCCAAGTCTTTTCTTTATATCACATCTTCAGGGTTCCCATGGGTGCTGTACATTCACCGCACACCTCTGTTTGGACCAGCTGGGTTCATGTGCTCAGCAGCCCCTAGGGCCAGTGGCTACTGTATGGCACAGGCAGGTTCGGGTTCACTGCCACCACTTCATTCCAGCCTACCAACTCCACAGTGACAACAGATGCAGGAGAGATGTGAGGGCCTAACCCCTCCATTGCAAAGGCTCTATCCAAAGACCCCAGGGACCTCCCAACTGGGAAATTCAGCCACCTTCTACTCAGGGCTCATTCTATTTGGGCTTCTGGCAGTCTCTAATTCTGTTCATTTCTTGATTCAATGAATCCTTTATGAATCTTTATTATGTGTCAACTATGCCAGGCATTCTTCCAGGTGCTGGGACTACAGTGGGGAAAATTAACACAAGCCCCTGCCTCCAGAGCTTACATGGGGTTGGGGCAGACAATAAAGGAGGTAGATCAGTATTAGGTTAGCTAGACAAGTGGGCTGTGAGATTAGGCCAGCAGGAAGGCTCCCTGTCCAGCAGGGCTCTGAGGGACGTGAAACTCCTCCTCGCTTCTCCCTTTCCTAAGGCTCTGGGGCCCTTTCCTTGACTTCTCTGACAGTCCCTGTGGCCCTGGCTCTGCTGTCTCTACTTCCCGGCTTCCCCATGACCCCTCCTGAAATGTAGGTGTTCCCCATGGTCCTAACCTGCCTCGTCCAGCAAACATTCCTCCTGGCTCATTCTGGGCTTTTCTGGCTGCTTCATCTACCCTAGTGGTTTCATGGAGAAAGACTCTCCCAGCTGTGTCTCTAGCTTGATGTTATTTTCTCAGACCAGGAACTCAAATTCACCCTTAGGCACAGGACATAAACATGGCTCCACAGATCACTATGAAATGTAGACTATTTCACAGAAAAGGAAATAAAAAATTTAAGAGAACCAGCATTAGGGCATAGCCAGAGGTTCTCACTAAAGAGCTATTTCTCTTATCTTCCCAGCAAAGAATCTTCCATTTCCCTAAGTGTCCCACGCAGAGGTATTGAGGGGAGGGGACAACCCTGAAAGTCCCAGCCAGTTTTATCAACTAGCAGGCTGGAAGCATTCTTGGGATGACGTCATGCCATGGGCACTGACATAGGAATGCTTCCCCTCTGAGCAGGCGCTCTGCTTGGTGTTTAGTATATTTTCCCATCAAGCAGCTGCTCGCCTGCCCTGAAGGTCCTCAAATAACCTGATGGAGCCAGAATTCTCAACTTTTTGTAGGAAGGCCACACCAGACCTCCCCACTATGCGATTCCAAAACTCAATTCAGGCTAGGCACAGTGGCTCAATCTTGTAATCCCAGCACTTTGGGAGGATTGCTTGAGGCCAGGAGTTTGAGACCAGCCTGGACAACATAGCGAGACCCTAAAAATTAGCCAGGCATGGTGGTGCATGTCTGTAATCCCAGCTACTCTGGAGGCGAATGTGGGAGGATCGCTTGAGCCCAGGAGGCTGCAGTGAGCTATGATGGTGCCACTGTACTCCAGCTTGGGTGACAGAGAGATACCTTGTCTCAAAAAAAAAAAAAAAAGAAAAGAAAGAAAGAAAGAAAGAAAGAAAGAAAGAAAGAAAGAAAGAAAGAAAACAACCCCCCTCCCCCAAACCCAACCCAATTTATTTTCTTCTCCAGCAAACTTTTTCTTCCTCCTGTGTTCCCTATCTAGGTACATGACATCACTCTCTCCTGGTTTCTGTGGCTAGGAAGCTGGGCGTGGCCATCTTGAATCCCTCTTACTCCTTCAATTCTCCACCATGCAGGTGGCTGTCGGGTTGGCCGGCCCAGGCCCATTTGTCTGCAGCTTCACTATCGCTTCCTTTACATGATAGTCAAGGGCTACCTTCCTATTGTGATTTTCTGATCATTTCTCCATAGTGTGAAACTGTCCCAATAGCTCTTTTCCTTGAACATAAAACTCAAATTCCTCATCTTGGCATTCAAGGTGAACAATGATTGGCCTCAACCTGCCTTCCCACCCCTAATTTATGACCAGTTTCCCTGCTTTTTTGGTCTGGAATATCCTTGTCCCCATCTTTGCCTACTAATATTCTCTTGCTTCTTCAAACCCATTTCCTTGAAAACTTCCCACATCACCCTTGTTGGAACCCATTCATCCCAAAGTCGCTCTTTCAAAGAAGCTGGTATTTCTGTTGCAAAATTATTTTCCTCTGCTCTGAGTGACCGCATGTCTGCTTCCCTCACCAGATGTCAGACTACCAAAGGTGTGGGCTGTGTCTTATTCATTGTCCTGGTCCCCACAGTGGCAAGAGCACGCTGGCATTGGGCAGGGCAGGAGACCCAGGAATGCTTCGTGAAGAGAATTCTCCTCTGGGCTATGAAGTTGGCAGCATGCTGTAGGGCAGACTTCAACCAGGCTGTGGGAGGAGAGCTCAGTGGGGCACAGAGAAGATGGGTGTTGTCAGTGGGGGTGTTGGTGACTTGACCACAAAAACCCAAGAGAATGGGCTCTTACCAGCCTCCTCTCCTTCCTTCATGGACTGCTCTATGGCAGCCCTGATGCAGAGCTCACAGGCCCGGATCCCTGGGATGTTGTTGCTGTTGGCCACAGCTTCCAGCACAATGGAGTCGATGCTCAGGCAGGCTGCGTTGTAGTACTTGGCCACGCTAACGGCATTGGCTGACTTTCCTATTAAAAAGACCAGGGGGTTGAATTTCACGGTGCTCATTTGCTCAGTGTCCCAGAGAGAAAAGGTCTCAAGAGCAGAGGTCCCTGCAAAGTGATCTCTCTGAGTGCTCTGCCTCCTTCCCATGTGGCTGGAGGTGTTAGCAGCAAAGAGAAGGAAGACCTCAGCCTGGAGTCAGGGCTGTGGGTCTGATTCTAACCCTGCCACTGATGCGTGCGTGCTGTGGCAATCTGCATCCTCGCTGGGTTTTCCCTCAGTTTAAAAAACAGATTCTTTTTTTCTTTTTTTTTTGAGATGGAGTCTCACTCTGTCACCCAGGCTGGAGTGCAGTGGCGAGATCTCAG
Source organism: Homo sapiens (assembly GCF_000001405.40). Taxonomy (NCBI): domain Eukaryota; kingdom Metazoa; phylum Chordata; class Mammalia; order Primates; family Hominidae; genus Homo; species Homo sapiens. The sequence continues at coordinate 146,761,539 of NC_000001.11, read as the reverse complement.
CTCACTGTAACCTCCGCCTCCTGGTTTCAAGTGATTCTCCTGCCTCAGCCTCCCAAGTAGCTGGGATTACAGGCACCCACCACCATATCTGGTTAATTTTTTGTATTTTTAGTAGAGATGGGGTTTCACCATGTTGGCCAGGCTGGTCTCGAACTCCTAACCTCAAATGATCCACCTGCCTTGGCCTCCCAAAGTGCTGGGATTACAGGTGTCAGCCACTGCACAGGGTCTGTTTAAGAAACAGGTTCTATCAGATGATCTTTAAAATACTTTGTAGTTCCTCCTGTCTCTGATTCTAATAGGAAAACTTTTTATTTTAAAGAATAACTTGTGTTGATTTCTTTTCTCATTTCAAGGTACTTTCATTACAAAAAAAAAAAGCAGACAATTCAGATATAACAGACAAGAGAAAAGAAAAAAAATCCATCATCCACTCATTCAGGGATAGTACAGTTAGTTAGCCTATGGTCGCTAAGTACACATGTAACTGTATTTCTTATAAAAAAAGAAATAGGTTATGTGGTAGGCTGAATAATGGCTCCTCCAAAGATTTCCACCTGCAAATATGTTACCTTTTAGGGTAAAAGAGACTTTGCAGATGTGATTAATTTACAGATCTTGATATGGGGGGTTAGCCTGGATTATCCAACCGGGCGCAATGGGTCCCCATGAGAGGAGAGCAGGAGGGTTGGAGTCAGAGCAGGTCAATCAACCATGGAAGTAGCAGGAGAGACTGGGAGATGCTATGCTGATGGCTGGGAAGGAGGAAGAAGGGGCCAGGAACCAAGGGTTGCAGGCAACATTTCTAGAAGCTAGAAGAGATAAGGAAACGGATTGTCCCCCAGATCCTCCAAGAAGGAACACAGTCATGCTCACCCATTTTAGACTTCTGTCCTCCAGACCTATGGGAGTATAAATTTGCATTATGTGAAGCCATGAAGTCTGTGGTCACTTGTTATAGTAGCAACGGGGCACTAATACTAACTACACACCGTGAGTATGGCACCCTTTCTCATGTAAAATGATATATCATGAACAACTTTCCATTAATTCAATACACTTGTATGACACTGTTTTTATTTTGGTAAAATATACATAACAGTTGTCACTTAAATCATTTATAAGTATATGGTTTAGTGGTTCTAAGTACATTCACACTGCTGTGCCCCCATCACCACCATCCACCTCCAGAACGTTGTCATCTTCCCGAACTGAAACTCTGTACCCAGTAAACTATAACTCCCCAGTACCCACCACCCTCCCAGCCCCTTGGAAACCATCATTCTGTTTCTCTTTCTAGCTCTATGAATTTGACCAGTCTGGGTACCTCATCTAAGCGGAGTCATACAGTGTTTGTCCTTTTGTGACTGTCCTATTTCACCTTGCATAAGGTCCTCAAGGTTCTTCCGTGTTGTAGCATGTGTCAGAATTTCCTTCCTATATATTTTTTTTTTTTGAGATGGAGTCTCGCCCTGTAGCCCAGGCTGGAGTGCAATGGCACGATCTTGGCTCACTGCAACCTCCGCCTCCCGGGTTCAAATGATTCTCCTGCCTCAGCCTCCTAAGTAGCTGGGATTACAGGCGCCTGCTACCACGCCCGGCTAATTTTTGTATTTTTAGTAGAGACAGGGTTTCACCATGTTGGCCAGGCTGGTCTTGAACTCCTGACTTCATGATCTACCCACCTCAGCCTCCCAAAGTGCTGGGATTACAGGCGTGAGCCACCACACCCTGTCCATTTCCTTCCTTGTCAAGGCTGAATAGCATTGCATCATACCATATTTTGTTTTTTCCATTCAGCCACTGATGGCCATTTGGATTGTTTCCACCTTTTGGCTATTGTGATTAATGCTGCTATGAACATGGGTGTACAAGACACTGTTTTTAATGGCAATAAAATTCACCATATAAATGTACTGTGGCCTGATTAACCAGTTCCCCATATTGAATGTTGTAATTGCTCCCGAGTTTCTATTACAGCATACAGTGCTGCAGTGAACATTCAAGCAGTTCATCTTGTCCACATCATTAATTATTTTTCCTAAGAAAATTTTAGAAGTAACATTGTCAGGTCAGAGTCTGCACATATATTTCTTTCTCTTTTTAAATAATTTAATGTCTGGGATTTTTTTCTCTAATATTTTAATATTTTTAAATTACGGAAAGAATACAATTCAAACAATTCAGAGATGTATACGTTCCAAATGAGGTGTCTTCCCTCTCCTTCTTAATCCCCTCTCTGAGGTCAGCAATTTAATAGTTTGGGGATAATCCTTAATGATATGGATTATAAACAAAAGAGTCTCTTATTGCCTTCAAAAGTTGTATGTTCTAACTTCACCATAAACAAAAGGGGAAAAATAACTTATATTGATCAGTCTGATTTTGACATAGGCTGTTAAGCTGTTCTTCATGAAGATTCTGTGAAAGCTGTAAGGTTCCATAAAAATGTCAGGCTTGTTATTACTGTAGCTCACACTCTAATAGGCTTTTCACCTGCAGATGAGAAGTGACTGAGCCTCCACTAGAACAGGGCTGGTGGCTCTTTCCAGGTCAGTGCCTTTTTGGTGTTAACTCTCCAGCTGTCTGCAGTTTCTATGGATCCATCAACCATCCTTCTGACATTCCTTTTAGTGCAACACTAAAATGGCCTGAGCCTCTGCAGGTGTGTTTGTGTAGGGGGTCTTCAAAACATTTCCAGTTATGTTCTTACTTGCCTCGTTTGATTTCTGCCTCTTGCCCACACATCTGGCCTTCTACTTTTTAGGTCCTGATTTACAACTTCTCAAGGAAAGGTTCTTCAAAGGAAGGGGTAATGAATTGTGACATTTTTAGATTCCTGGACCTCTCAGTGATTAGAATATCAAAAATGCTCCATAAATGTTGTCTGTATGAATGATAGTAATTGGGTCAGAACAAGATTTCATGGCCCTTCGTCAAGTAAGCTGAAGCTAAGAGAGGTGGCAGGGCATCCTCCCAATATCCCTCTGCTCTGCCGCTTTCTAACTGGGTGACCTTGGGCAGATGTCCTTGAATTTCTCTGAACCTTAGCTTCCCATAAGGTAGGGGAAATCAAATTCTCTTTTCTGAGTGGTTACGAAGTTTAGATAGACAAATGGATGGGAAGGAGCTCTGTGAACTGCAAATTACTATACAAACAAGATTTTTTTTTTCCCAATGTAGGTGATTCTGCTCCTTTGGGTTTATGGTAAAGTTAGCACATGTAATTTTGGAGGTAATAAAGGATTCTCGTTAAAAAATCCTTTCTTTATCAAGGGCTCATCCCTTGACTGGTTTATGGTTAGGAAAATATTCCTTGAGAATATTTAGCATGTGATGGAAGTTTCTTTTCAAAGAGGATTCACACTGCAGGTATGGTTATAATTGTGAATGCCAACAGTCATCATAGTAATAACAATGATAACATCAACAGCTTTTCGTTTGAGTATTTACTATGTGCCAAGTATTGAGATAAGCATTTTATATAAATGTTCTCATTAAATTCTCATGACTACCCTATAAAATAGACAGCGTTAATACCACTTTACGGACAGGGAAACTGAGCACAGACAATTTAGTTAATTTTCCCAAAGGCACACAGCTATTAATGTATATTCACTACCCTATGCAGTTCCTCAAATAAAGTCATTAGTATTTGCCATGACCACACAGCTGATGTTGCCACTCTGGAAGCCGCAGAGTTTACAGAGAAGACATGGCACTGCTGGTCTTAACCTCCCCTCAGAACTGTTGCCTACCTGACAAGGGTGTCCCGTGAATGATAATGGCGATGCCTTTCCGGTTCTTGGCCAGGCGGCCTTCTGCAGAAATGTCAATGCCCAGGTGGCGAGCGATTGCTTTGCTCACTGGGTTGTTTTCCACCTCTCCAACTTCCTCCATGGAGTGGCTGTCAATGCTCTGAAGCTTGTCAGCTGCAAATTTAAAATATATGTGTGTGCACACATGGCATGCATGCTACACAGCCGGAATTTACATGGGTACTGATGGAAATGGGAATGGATATTTCTTTTTAAATGCTGTTTTTTTTAAATGGCAAATATTGCAGCAGTCCCCACTTGTAGTGTACGAGAAGGCCCTTTTGGGCTAATAATTTGTTTATAGCTACTAAAATAAAAAAACAGATTTTTTGACTCCACTTTCATTTTGGGGAATCTCTCTTGCTGAAAAGTAGAAAGGACATTTGTGTGGAGAGGAGGATGGCTTACAGTGCAAAATATTAGAAACTAGTGAAATCTGCAGCATTAAGGGAAATGGCTGAATAAATGATGGTAAATTCATATTATAGAACCAATACACAGCAGCTATTAAAATGATGACTTCGGTATCACAGACTAGTCAACTATAGCCCACAGGCCAAATCTGTCCTGCTGCTTGTTTTCGTAAATCAAGTTGTATTGGAACATAGCCACGTCCTTTGATTACATATTGTCTTTGTCATCACAGCCACCCTCCAAAGGCAGGGTTGAGTAGTTTTGGCAGAGACTGTATAGCCTTCAAAGCCCCAAATATTTACTATCTGGCCTTTTATGGGAAAAGTTTGCCAAACCTTGATTTATCAAATGCATTGGCCTAGAGGAACGTCTAGAAAAAAGCAAGCTGCAGGATCATATGTGTATTAATTGTAGAGTAGTGTGCAGCCAGATACATATAGTCATCCCAAATACATTCAGTGTTTTAATAACAAAACTAGGATGACACTCTGAATTTTGCTCTGTAACTTGCTTTTCACATAATATATCTTGGACATCTTTCCATTTACTTAAATACAGGTCTAGCTCATTCTGCTTTTCTTTTTTTTCTTGAGATGGCATCTCGCTCTGTTGCCAGGCTAGAGTGCAATGGCACAATCTTGGCTCACTGCAACCTCCGCCTCCCGGGTTCAAGTGATTCTCCTGCCTCAGCCTCCCAAGTAGCTGGGACTACAGGCATGTGCCACCATGCCCGGCTAATTTTTTGTATTTTTAGTACAGACAGGGTTTCATCGTGTTAGCCAGGATGGTCTCGAACTCCTGACCTCATGATCCGCCTGCCTTGGCCTCCCAAAGTGCTGGAATTACAGGCTTGAGCCACCTTGCCCGGCCTAGCTCATTCTTTTTAAATAGCTGCTAAATAACTCCCACTGTATGGCTTTGTCACAATTTCACTAGTTCCCTACTAATGGGCATTTAGATGGTTTTCATGTTTTTTCATCCTAAGCATTGTGGTATGCTTTCTTCTACGTGGGATGTCCAGGGTCAGCCCTGGAGGAGCCCAGGCATGGGGAGCAGAGTCAGGGTGTATGGGGTGGGGAGGGCTGCTCGGAGAGACCAGGAACCACTTGGGGGCCCATCAGCATAGCCAGGGTGGATTAAATGTGAGGCATGGAGCCAGAAATTTCTGTCTTTAATCTCAGTTTTGCCATTACATGTTCCTGACTTCATTTACTCACCTGGTTGATGAGGGCTATGAATGATGACTTAGCTCCCTAAAGATCTCCTGAGCCTCACCCATGATTCCTATTCTGGGGGTGGGCACAGGACAAGGTTGCTTATGCCTTATCATGGTTTATGATGACCAGCAAATGGCCCCCATGAACCCAGTTTCACTGAATCTAATTTTCTGAATATGGTTCCAACATCTTGCAAAACTTGGGGAAAATAAATGCCAGAAAATGGGGCCATAATGCTGGGAGGTCAAGAGAAGAGCTCTCTAATGGCCCAACTGGGGGGACACTGGGGAGAATGTCCCCCATCCCCATAATGTTTCTCTAAACACCTCCCAGTCTGCCAGAATCTTAGCAGGAAAGATTCAGGCCTTCATTTAGTCTAGTTGAAACACAAATTACTGTGCCAAGAATGTATTATATGCTAAGCTCATCAGCCAACTCTCAAGCTTGTATCCTACTGTGAGTGGCAGATCAGAGCTTCTCCGGAGGGCAGCTGTGGTGGGCAGGGCAGGATGGGCTAGGAGCCATACTAGGAGGCTTAGAGAAAGTGACAAGGTACTGAATATTGTCTTCCTATTTCTGCTTGGAGAGAACTAGTATCAAAACATTAAAATGCTCGGTTACTTTGGAAAATGATTTTTTCCAGGCTTTCCTCATCCTCCTCTTCCTCTAGGTAGGTTTTGGACTCGACCAACAGGGCGTGCCATTCTTCCAGGTTGGATGTGACAGAGATCCCTCGGCTCAGCGATGTCCTCTTTGTGCTATTGGAGGTTCCCTGATCTGATGAGGTTATATCTTCCTCTTCTGCCAGGTAGCAAAGGATGAAAACACCAGGGGAAGAGTTGGGAGGGGGACAAGGGAGATGGAGGCAGAAAAGGAAAAAAAAGATGAAGAAGAGATTCACCATACGGGCTCCCATCACCCTGGACCATTCAACCCAAATAAACAAGAACTGCAGTCAGTTGGCTATTCCTCAGTCTCTCTGTGCACAGTGTTTCTACATTTTAACATTTGTTTAGCAACTAAAATTATACATTTGCTTAGAAAATGTGGAAAACTCAGAAGAGCCAAAAATGATGGAATTCAGCTACAAAAAGAGTTGGAGATAGACAAAGAAATGGTGACAGAGAAATTGTACCAAATTTTATCATACCAGCACAGGAGAGCTGCAACCTCTCAGATTTTTAATTTTTAATTGTTTGAAACTAAGCTTGGGTTATATTGTACATACTGATGTGTAGCCTGCTTTCCCTTTTAATTTATCATGACCATTTCCTGTGTCATTGTTAGGGACAGCTATCCTTTCGTTGGCCCAACACCTTCCTCATTGATTGCCCATTGTTCTATAGCATTTCAGGGGTGCAGTGGGCTGTGACTGTATGAGGTGATCCCCCTCTACTACAGGGCAAGACATTCCCTTTGTCACACAAGGTAGAAATTGAGCCTGAGGGGTTGCAGCTCTCTCATGAATGGTGGTCCTGTGACTTGGGGCTGTGGGCCTTCCCTGGAAGGAAGGGAAGCAGAGAAGGATGATCTATAGCGTGAGAGCAGAGCGAGTAGACAAAGCTCATCAGAGAGGCACTGGTGAGAAGCAGGGCGTGTGCCTTTCTGGGTTCCCTCTGCACCCACTGATCCTGGCTTAGATCACCTTCCATTGGGCCAGATGGGTAAGGGAGCCCACAATCATGGTGTGTGAGGACAAGGGGAGCACCAAGGCCTTCTCTGCCTTTGGGAGGTCCTTTGTACATTGCAGCCCTTGCTGCCCTGCCTTGGGCTGCTGGGCAGTCTCTCTGATGGTGTGTCTCTCCTCACACTCTCTCCATGACTGTGAGCTCTCAAAGGTAAGGATTCATTGCATTTTCTGATTTTTTTTTCCCCGGCACTTTTTTCACTAATTTTGTTTTCCCACCACTTTAGCTCAGTGCTTGCAACACAGTGGGTCCTTGTGATGGGCTTAATGGTGTCCTTTCCCAATTCATATGTGGAAGTCCTAACACCCGAGTATCTCAGAATGTGACTGCATTTGGAGATAGGACCTTTGAAAAGGTAATTAAGGTAAGATGAGGTCACATGGGTGGGTCCCAATCCAGTAGGACTGGTGTCCTTATGAGGAGAGGAGATTAGGACACAGACACACACAGAAGGAAGACCAGGTGAAGACACAGGGAGAAGACAGCCAACTGCAAGATGGGATTCAGAAGAAAGCAACCCTGCTGCCACTCAGCCTTGGACTTCTAGCCTTCAGATTTGGGAGAAAAGAAACTTCTGTTGGTTAGGCCACCCAGTGTGTGGTACTTGCAATGGCAGCCCTAGCAAACTCAAGGAACGTGACTAGGAGACGGGGTGGGTGGCAGCTGTCTTCTCTCATCTTCTCCTTTTAAGCCAAACTAGTGGTCTCTGATTAGCTTCTATTTCCTGGACAATGAGACAGGTCCAAGGGCAGGAAAAATAACTTCATTCAATCCATTAATGCATTCACTCACATAGCACCCATTTATTGGGCACTATTGGGTCTACTGCTGTTCCATGCACTAGTTTTACACATGGGGAATATTTGATCAATGCCTTTACGGGGACTTCTTGGCTAGTGGTGGAGGCATTGTGAAGAAAATAATTACGTGTATGACTGTTACACAGATGAAAGCAAGTAAAAACAAGGTGGGTACATTTCTAGGATGAGGTTACAGAGAAGCAGGAAAGAGAAGATGCATCCTCATAAGTGACACAGTCCCACAAGTCAGCGAGGAACCTTTATGGCCAAGCACACAAGAGCCCCTGGGCAGATGATGGGATAACTCAGGGGTGGTGGGCCAGAAAGGGCACAATTCTGAGAGCACAGGACAGCTCTGCGATTGGAGTTTGGCCTGAGGACTATGGAGGGGCTCGTCTTCTGCTTGTGTGAATGACCACCCCCTGCTTTTAGGGCACCAGTTTCTACCTTGTGTGACACATTACTTTGCCTTACCTAGGTCTACCCATAGGAAGCAGTGGTTACCATCATGGACTCTGGAGTCAGAGAGCCCTGGGCTGGAATCCTGATTCTGCCACTTAAAACTGTGGACCTGGCCTCTCTGCGCTTCAGTTTCTCATCTGTACGTCCAAAGCCCTCAACGTGGTATCCAGCAAGTGTTCTTCCATCTGTATTAGCTGTTTTTAGGTCATACTACCCCAATTGGGCCCTAGTGACAGCAGAATGTGTTCCAGCCTCTGCATCCATAAAATGGGGATAACGCGACCCATTTTGTAAGGGTTAGAAATAAAATACACAAGGCAGGCAGCACCTGCCTGGCACCTGGCAGGTACTCAGAAACAGGTTGGTCCCAGAGCAGGGGTAATTCAGAGGGGCAAAGGCAATGGTTAGCACGAGGTGTTCTCCACATTGAGTTCTCACCATTCTCCTGTGCCAGATTCTCCAGATATTTCGCCCTCATCTGCTCCTCTTTTGACTTCTTTATCTCTTTGAAGTACTCGTACAGTTCTGGGGGCAGCTTCTCCCCAGGGTTGCGGGGAGGCAGCAGCAGGGTGTTGTAGGAATCATAGCCCTTCAGCTTCCGCAAGATCTGCTCGAAGGGAGAAAGAGAATCCTGTTGGTCTCACTAGAAATCTCCCTGCAGCTCTAAGTGGGTCTGCTCACTGATTTTATAAAACTCCTGCTCCTGCCTGAGGCTGAGACTTGTACAAATACTTTCTGGATTTCAAAGAGTGGGGCCCTTTGGAGAGGTGTCAGAAGTAGGGCTGAGCTCTGAGCCTGTGGGGATACATGATCTTTATTTTGCTCCATTTCAGCCTGGGCATTTCACCTGTGGAAATATGTTTTCTTCTTGTTTTAAAACTAATATACACTCTTTTCCTTTTTTCCCCATGACAAAATTTCAGAACTCCATTATCTACCTTGAGTGACAATTCATTCTTAAACAATATTGTGGTTAGCAATTTTACATTAAGCAAGGGTGTGGTCTCATAAACAGAGGATCCAGGGGAAAAAAAGAGGTAAAATAGTATTAAGTACGTGTATGTGTGCACATGTGTGTGAATGTGTATTAGGGCTGCCAGATAAAATACAAGATGCCTAGTTAAATTTGAGTTTCAGATAAACAATGAATAACTTTTTAGTATAAATATGTCCAGTGTAATATTTGAGACATACTAAAAAATATTTGTTATTTATCTGAAATTCAAATTTAACTAGACAGCCTGTATTTTTTTCTCCTAAATCTGGCAATCCTAGTGTGTATGTGTATTTACAAGACACAGCAAAATTAAGTTTTAAAAAGCATTTACTTCTTCTACAACCTGATTTATTGATATCAAAAATCTGTTTTGTTAGGTAACCCTTCTTCAGGATCCCCATTTTTAGTTATTTGAACACCACTGCTAATAAGCTCCATGTAAATATTTGAACACCACTGCTCATAAGCTCCATGTAAAATAAGATCCATGTAAATTTTAGAATTTACATGGAAGGGCAAAATTAAAGCATTAATGAAAAGGAATAAAAGAAGGCTATTGCCCTACCAGATGACAAGCCTTATCAGGAAGCTGTAGTAATAGACAGAGTGGCAATGATGCTGGGAAAGACACATTGACCACTGAAATAGAAGAGAAAGCTCAGAATTGACCCATTTATTTATGGAACTGTGATAAAGCATAGAGATGGCATAGAGAATCTGTGGGCAAAGGAGGCAATATGCCAAAGACTGGCTGATACAGGGCACAAAGGCCTGGCAAACAAGCAGCAACTGGGGCAACTCCAAAGGGCCAACCCAGCCCCAGAGCTTCCTGTGCGATTAGCTGAAGTCTCCATTGCCATCTCATCACAGTTCATCTCCCTCTGCCCAACTCTGCTGTCCTATTCTTCACAGATGTTCCTGAGAGTGCCCCCAAGAAACCTCCCACATGCAAATCTCAAGTCTTAGATTGTGCTTTCCACAGAGCCTGACTCTTGATAGAAGGTGCTGTGCCAACAGAAGCCACTAAGGATCTCATAAATTCCTAATGAAAAGACTCTCCCCAAAGGGGCAGATTCCCATTCTGAGAAAAACTTCTGGGAGCAGACTGCAAACTAAGCAGGCTATCAACACTGGAAGTAAAGAAGACAGAAGATTCAAAGGCTGAGTGGGGGAGGGTCCAGAGGAAGCAGAACCCCCACTCAGCTAAGCCACCTTCAAATTTCTGACCCACAGAAAGCACGAGATGACAAATGTTTATTGTTTTAAGTTGGTAAGTTTGGGGCTAATTTGTTATGCAGCAAAAGATAACAAATATAGCGTTGGGCTTCATGGACAAGAATACCTTATGAGGAAACAATGGAGCAATATATTTAAAATAGTCAAGTGAAGAAAATGTAAGCCAAGAATATTGTATCTGATCTTCAAAAGTCACAGATAAATGGTTACGAATGTTTGAATACTCAGAGAATATCATCCCCATGATCCCTGCCTGAGAAATCCACCAGAGAATGAGCTGTAGACAACCCAGAAGTGATTGGAGAAGCTCCACTGTAAGGATTGGTGTTGGGCATTCAATATGTCTTAGTGTAAAACTAAGACTCCATGATGGAAATTAAGTCCTGATACCTTAATACTATAAGCTCTGACAATATAGATAAAATACAAGTAGGAAATATGGGGGAAGGGTACATGAGATGACTACTCAGCTGGTATTAACTGGAAATAAAATCATTTTAAATTAGAGGATGGAAAGGGGAGAAGGAAAAAGAGATTACTAGCTAATTTTAATATTGCTCACAAGAGGGAATTAAGAGGCCGTTTCAAAGAGCAGGGCACTAAGGTTATTAGACAAAGGTGTAGCTCAAGGTAGGGCAGCAGGGTGGGAGCATGAGATGTGGATTTGGGGGAGCTGCTGGAACACAGCACAGAGGCCTCACCATGCTTACGGATAATATGACTCAGTAGCCTTACTGTTAGTAGGAATATTGATATTACTATTTTGAAGCTATTTTATTAATTTACTTATTTTATTTTATTTTGAGACAGGGTCTCACTCTGTCACCCAGGCTGGAGTGCAGTGGTATGATCTTGGTTTACTGCAGCCTCGACCTCCCAGGCTCAACTGAACTCCCACCTCAGCCCCTCGAGTAGCTGGAACTATAAGCATGTGTCACCATGTCCAGCTAAATTATTTTGTATTTTTTTTTTTTTTTGAGACAGAGTCTCGCTCTGTCGCCCAGGCTGGAGTGCAGTGGCGCGATCACAGCTCACTGCAACCTCCGCCTCCTGGGTTCATGCCATTCCCCCGCCTCAGCCTCCTGAGTAGCTGGGACTACAGGCGCCTTCCACCACACCTGGCTAATTTTTTTTTTGTATTTTTTAGTAGACACGGGGTTTCACCGTGTTAGCCAGGATGGTCTCAATCTCCTGACCTTGTGATCCACCCGCCTTGGCCTCCCAAAGAATTTTGTATTTTTTTTTGTAGAGATAGGGTTTTGCTATGTTGCCCAGGCTGGGCTCAAACTCAATCCTCAAGCAATCCTCCTGCCTTGGCCTCCCAAAATGCTAGGATTATAGGTGTGTACAACTGTGCCTGGCCAAATGTATATTTTATAAGATAAATTGATAAGTAAGTTTATATCCATGATTTTCAAGAGAAAGCAGAAACAAATGTATCATTGAAGAATTTAGATAAAATCCTATAATCTTAAATTGGAATTTGAAACATCATTATGTGTTATGATTTTTTTCCCCTCTTAAAAATCACATTTCCTAATTCTATTTACTAAAAAGACCTAGAAAGTCACAATCCAGTGGTCCAGACTGTGATCTCTAAATGCTATTTCATACTAAAAGGAACAAGGGCTCCTTGGAGAAATGATTGACTCCAGGTCTGGGCAGGAAATGAACCCGTCAAGTCTGGGACATCTTAGGAGTGTCCTCCCTGCCAGTGGGTAACAAGACTTCACCTCCCCCCAAATCTGTCAGTAAAGCCCATGTAGGGAGCCTGGACTTCCACGTCCATCTGGTGGTAAAGAAATGCCCCTCCTCCCCTCTGCTGGGGTGGTGTCAGCTGAGGTCTAGTGGGAGTCAGAACTTTTGTCATTACCCAGTGGTCCTGGGTAGTACGGCTACCCCTCTATTTTTCCATGCAGAGTCAGTGGAGTCCGTGTGGAGAGTAGTAACAAGGCACTCCTGCCCCTCCCAGCCAGGAAGGTATCAATGGAGGCCTTGCGGAGAGCCAGAAATACCACTCCTGCCCAGCAGTAGTGAAGAGCTCCTCCTACTGTTTGTCAAAGAAGGCCAAGGAGGGAACCTAGACTATTACCTGCATCTGGCAGTAAGAAGGCAGTGCCCCCTTCTCCTTGCCCAAGTCATTTCAGAAAAGGCCAGTTAAAACAAAATTTAAATAAGGTCCAGAGTCTCATAACATAATACCAAAAACACCCAGGTTTTAACTAAAAATCCTTCATCATAGTAACAACCAGGAAAACTTCAGCTTGAATGACAAAAGAAAATGAATAGATATCAACTTCAAGGTAATAGTGATATTAGTTATCTTTCAAAGATTCTAAAGGAGCCATGATTGTAATGCTTTAGTGAACAATTATGAACATACTTGAAGCAAATAAAAAAAAGAAAGTCTTAGCAAAGAAACACAAGATATAAAAAAGAACCAAATGAAAATTTTAGAACGTAAAAATATAGTTACCAAAATAAAAACTCAATATGTGGGCAGAATGAAATGGATGGAGAAGAAAATCAGCGAACTTGAAGATAAAATAATAGAAATTACTTACTCTGGATAACAGAGAAAATAGTCTTAAAAAAAAGAAAAGAGCCTCAAAGAACTGTAAAACTGTAACAAAACAAAATATGAGTGTCATTTGAGCCCTGGAAGGAGAGTAGAAAGAGCATGAGGCTGAAAAAGGTACTTGAATAATGCCTGAAAAATTTCCAAGTTGGAAAGAAGATAAAGATCAACAGATTCAAGAAACTCAGCAAATCCCAAAATCAATAAACCAAAGAAATTTATGCCAAGACACATTATAGTCAAACTTCTGTAAACTAAGACACAGAAAAATTCCTGAAAGCAGTGAGAGAGAGATGAAATCTCCCCTACAGAGGAAAAAAAATAATTCAAATGACATTGGATTTCTCATTAGACCATGGAGGCCAGAAGAAAGTGGCATATATTTCAAGGGATGAAAGAACTGTCAGCTCAGAATTCTATATCCAGTGAGCAAATCCTTCAAGGATGAGAGGGGAAGTCAAGGCATTCTCAGATGAAGGAAAACTAAGAAATTTCTATCAGCAGGCATACCCTAACAACAGAGCTAAAGGTACCTCTCTAAACAGAAAGTTAATAATAAAAGAAGAAATCTTGGCGTATCAGAAAAGAAGAAAGAACAGAAAGAGTAAAAAGAGAGACAAATGTAATACATTTTCTCTTTCCTCTGGGGTCTTCAAATGTATGTTTGACAGTTGAAACAATAATTATAGTGCTAGCTAATATAAGAAAAATATTTAAGACAGTTATATTAAAAATCGGAAGGCTGAAGGGAGTTAAATGGAGGAAAGTTTTCTAAATACACTAGAACTGCTAAAATGTCAATACCAGTGATTGACATTTAATCATTGACAGTCAATGATTATAATGTTATGTATAGATAATGTAATACCTACAGCAATAACTAAAGGAGCTATACAAAGAGATACACCCAAAAAACACTCTGGGTAAATAAAAATGGAATTTTAAATAATGTTGAAGCAACTGATAGGAAAGTAGGAAAAAGTAAACAAAAAATTCCTGAAAGCAAAAAATTCCAAAAAACAATAAAACATGCAATGGCAGACTTAAGTCCTGAAATAGCAATAACTACACTAAATGTAAACTAAATATATCAACTAAAGTCTAAATATATCAACTAAAGTTAGAGACTGATAGCATATTTTTTAAAATGACCCAATTACATGCTGTCTACAAGTAACTCAACTTCAAATACAATGATATTGACAAGTTGCTATATACGGTTCTTTACTGTTGGAATTTTAACCATGAACATGCATTAGCTTTTCAATTAGTTGCTTAAAATGTCTAGGATTTTACTCAGGTCAAGGGAAGTAGGTCAGAAAAGGCTATAGGGAAGTAATCACTAAATTGACAAGGAAGAATTCAAGGGGAAAAAGATGGGAAAGGCCAGGAGGATGTTATTGCATGCAGAGAAAAGAGCATGAGTACATAGCAGGGTCCAGCACGTGTAGAAAAACAGTTTGGTTTGACCTCTGCTCACCTTTTCTTCTATGAGATACTGCTGATCAAATTCTAAGGAATAAAACTCAATGGGGAAGTTGCAGGGATTCTTCACTATCACCTCGGCCTCGTCTCCAGGTGCACAAAGTAGCAGTGGCCCCAGATCCAGGACTGAAGGACTAAATTCCAGGCGTGGCTCTAGACCTTGCCCACGTGCCAGGAGGGTAAGCTTTTGAGCACTCTGGGCAATCTGAAACACCAGGGTTTGGCTGTAGAATTTCTGGAAAACATAAAAACAAAACAAGCATCTGAATTTATTTCCATTACATGTCATGTAAAACAAAACACCGCTGAGGGGAAAAAACTTATCTATTTAGATTAAGGGAGAAAACTTATTATAAAATTGCATAAGAGTAATTTTTATTACCAAATTAACATAAGTACTGGGTATTTAGCATGCCAAGCATTGTACCAAGTGCTAGATATCAAATAAATTCTGGGTATCTAGCATTCTAGCACTTGTATCAAGTGCTTCATCGTTTGTAGCAAGCCCTCTGAGTATCACTTTCACATCCCTCAAATCTTCCAGTGTGCTCAGACTTCCAGCTGCCACTGTCTGCATCTCTGGGCCTGAAGGTTCTCATTTCATGGACCCTGCTGTCCATGGGCAGGGGAGGGCAGGGCAAAAATGCCAGGGAAATGATACCATCTGGAATTAGTTATTAAGCAATGACTCTGGGGATTTACGGTAAAAAGACCCCAGCTCCCTTGCTCCTGAGGAGTGATGATTCTGAAGTGTGTACTTTGTGTATTTTCCCAGTTTGGCAGAATGCCAGAGCTGGGGCATTCAGTTCATCAGATACAATTACAACCAGATACTGGTTAATAGTTATATCATAACTACTCACATGTTTTCTCAAAATGGTACCCAAATCTACATTGCATCCCATAGTTCCTAGTCTGATTTCACTGGGGAACCTATTAAACATGCAGATCCTCAGATTCCATCCCTAGAAATCCTGACTCTGTAGGGGCAGAGTAAGGCTGGGATTCAGCATTTTTAACCAGATGCCTAGGTTATTCTGGTATAGCTGGACTTGTGGCTTGGTTTGAGAGGAAATTACGCAAATCACAATCTGAAGACCTCCTATCTTAGCTTGAAGGGGAAAAAGCAAATGGATGGAATGTATACAGACATACACACAGAAATATCTATTTCTGGACACAAAAAGATAAATTACTGGCTAAGAAGGGTTTCTCTATAGTTATGGGCTTAGTACCTTATGATTCAAACTTCTGTATTTTAATTGCTCCTTATGGAAATCTTTCTAAAACATTTCATTCATTTTCTTGAACATGTTATCATGCCTAAGAATTGTTGGTGTGGATGTCACTGATTTCTTGGTGCTGCTGATGTTGATGATGATGCAGATATATGGATCGTATGGGTTGCAAGCCTAACCAATTCCTTGTATACAGCTAATAAATTTCTCTCTTAATTGGTGGAAACATTTTACTAACTTTGACCAATTCCAACTCAACATTCATGAAACTGCTTGAACAAATCTATTTTTTTTTACTATATTTCCCTCATTAAGTAATGGAAAAAAAATCCACAATCTTGAGTAAACCCTTTGAAAATTTTAAGACTCTTTAAGAATGACAAACATATTACTAATTTTCTTTTAAATGGACTGGGAAGATTTTGATAATGATAAAAACATGGGTTTTATTTTAGAATGAGATAGGAAGTCATTTGCTTTTTCTCTTTCTCACTGAAGGTGCTTAAGCATTTCCTCAAAGCGATTACAAGGAAAATGGGAGTTAACCATAGCTCTTCTATAAAACACAAATCAATTTTTCTTTTAAAATAACAGAATAGAGAAAAATATATTTCCCAAGTGCCTTAGGCTTTGAATAAAAGTCTTTACAGTGCAACCTCTTGAGATTCTCTGGTTCGAGGATTTTATTAATTTTATTATGTTCCTGGTCAGAAGTAGCTTTGAGTTGATTATGTTCACAAAAGAAACATTTATGAGGCTCCGGGAGGCCATCTACTGGGACGTACTTTTCACGACTACTGATGATAATAGTTAATAGTTATTGAGAGATTTACTTACATAGAGCAGCACACTGTGTACTTTATTCAATACTGTGCATTTAATCTTCAAAATGACCTTAGGAGGTAGTCACTACAGGTTGACAATAAGTTATCTGAAACCCAGGGGCCAGATACTTTCAAATTCAGATTTTTCAAATAGTAAACACAGTGCATATACCCTATGTTACCTAATACCCTCAGCAGGGTCTGGGGCAGGTCCCCTGTAATCAAACACATTAACAGTTGTTGTCAATGTTTGACTCTGAAAACTAAGTTGTACAAATAAAAGTTAAATGGTGTCATGTCAGTTCAGATGAGATTTTTCTGCCAAATGAGTTTTAGTGCGAAGCTTATGAAATCTCAAACCCCCCACCCCCAGTTTTGGATCTTACTGGGTTTCAGAATTTCAATAAGGACTTCTGATATGCAACATTACTATTTTTTCTTTTATCTATGAGTGAACTGAGACTGAATGAGGCTAAGTAATTTCCTCAAAGACACACAGCATGTAAGTGTGCAGAGGCAGAAGGCTACTAACCCAGGCCTTCTGATAAAAATTGATGTGTTAGTCCAATGATTCCAGACCACCAGACCACACAGCTCCTATGTGAACCAGAAGTGCTTGAGATGCCATATTCAGAAAAGCAAGGCACAGGTCACTCGAAGCTTCCCTTGAGACCCAAACAAGCATGGACTTTGAGTAAAGCTCAAAGAGGTCCAGAGAATCTAAATGAAGCCATATTTCTTTAAAGCTCACCTCTTCTTTTGGCATGAATTTCACTTGCACGTTGGACTTCTCACCAGGATCCAAGACTCCAGAAATGGGCTGGATTTCGAAGATCCGTGTCTTTGGCTTTAATTCAGCGCGTAGTTTCTGTCTTAAGTACTTCGGCATGTGTTTCTCCAGCTGGTTTATAAATATTAGAGAATTAGATCATCTTCTATGGAAAATGAGCTCATTCACCTTCCACTCACACAACCCACATTTCCTGAGTACCTCTCAGGTGTCGGGGAATGTGTAGATACCAGAGGTGCAAAGATGAATAAGACATTCCACCCGACAGCATGGCCTGATAGGACCTCAAGCGCTGGGCTAAGGGCCCAGGTTTTATTCAGGAGGCAATGGTTGCCACTGAAAGTCTTTGAGCAGGAGATTGAAATGATGAGCACCAAGACCTAGAGTTACAAATCTGGCTGCAATGGAGATGGAGAAAGGAGGACCAATGGGCCACAGCTCATTTACCTTGTCAACAGGCTTTTGGCTCTGGACGAACCATTCACAAGGGACTTGGAGATGATTGGAAAGCTGAATAGTTTCCACCAGGCACTGTCCACACTGAATTGTGGCAAAGTCCACTTTTCCACGAGAGAGAGTCATGGTTGGAATGGTCACCTTGGCTTGGAGACAGATGTGAACTGTTGGCCCTCCAACCACCTAGAGAGGGTATAAACTGCAGTTATCATGTGTCATGGGGTTGGGGAAAGGAAGAATCATGGCTCTGACATAATAACTGGATTATCCCAGGGGCCATCAGCAAGCAGAGCTGGAAACCTGCAGGTCCGGGTGGGCCCAGCGGTGCCTTGTACCTTGATGGGCAGAATGACTTCTTTGCTTCCAACAGGAAGATTGGCCCCCTGTGGGTCAAATCTCACTTCAAATATTTCCGTTTCACAATGAGGCAGATTCTTTACACGATCTAGCTCAGTACTGAATCCTGGACCAAGACAAAAAAAAATTTCTTCATGGAAAAGAGAAACAGCAAACAAGAGCTGCTCTAGAGAAAGCCCCCACTGGGTCAGAATGACTGCTCAAAGGATCACTGAATAGCCCAAGAATCCTTTTAGCTGATCCCAGAGGCACAAAAGCTGCTCCAGGAGGACAGTACTGATGGGTTCCTTGCGAGAAATGACCAAGTGCAATAGGAAAGCGTCTCCCCAGCCTGGGTACCTGTCTCATGAAGGACACGCTTGTCTGCATGGAATGACACTGGAAAGTGACTGGTGTTGATGATCTTGATGATGTGGGTTCGGACTTCGCCAAGGATGATGTAGCCAAAGTCCAGGATGTACTCTGGTAGCTGGATTCTGAAATGGTTAATAGACCTTACTAGTCACTTTCAAACCTGGAAGGCTACTTTTCCAAAAGTGAGTGAGTCTGATTTTTTTTTTCTACCTCCTGTGCACAGTTTTATTCTCCAGAGTGGAGAACAACAAATGGCTACCCAAACGGAGACTAGAAACAACGTTAACTCCCCCAGAGATTCACACCACTGTTTTGGCCATTATCTCAGAACATGTTCAGCATGGCCCCTTATGGACCTGAAGTGAAGCCTGTCCATTAGACATAGCTGTAATGTTCTCACTCTAAGAGGCAGAAAGCTGCCCAGTTGGCTTGATGCTAGGGGATGGCGGATAAGTGAGGAGAGTGGATTTCATTGCGAGGTGATCAGCCAGTGTTTCCGGGAGTGTGCTGCACGAGGCAGCACTGCTTGCTCTGCTACACTCTGAAACAAGCACAGCACAGAAAGGCAGTCACTGGAAACCACTCACTTGGCCAGTTTGCGGCGACTCCGATGGCTGAAGCAGGGGTCATCCATAGGATCAGGGGTGGTTGTTTTCTGATGTTCTAGGACATAGCTTTGGACTATAAGTCTTTCTACCTCCATCTGGAGATGAGCACTTACCTGAAGCAAGAAGGAAGAGCAAGTCAGCAAATTCTTTAGGAACATGCATTCTCAACAGGGACAATACCACCCCTAAAGAGGCAAAAATTAGTTCTTGGAGGGTGGTGGAAAATATCTTAAATATTACAATGGTTTGCGGCCCCCAAAGAGCCACAGAACATAAACAGATACATGGTATGTTTAAAGCATTACATTTTTCCTGGGAAGGGCGTGGAAAGGGTAAGCAAATCGGTATATCCACACCATGGAATACTCAGCAGTAAAAGGGAATGAATTATTGAGGTGCATAACTTGAATGGATTACAAGGGCATTATGTGGAATGAAAAAAGCCAATCTCAAAAGGCGATGTGCTGTATGATTCCATTTATATAACATTCTTGAAATAACAAAAGGCTCAAGATGGAGAACAGATGAGTGGCTGCCAGAGGTAAGGGACAGGGAGAGAGGGGTGGATGTGGTTATAACCTGGGCACATGTAAGGCCAAACACAAATGGAAAATGAGGCTTAGTTCTCCTTGTTGAAAATAAGGGAAGAGACTTCTCTTCCTCCCCTTAGAGTATTTAGTTTAGAACATTTGTAATTTTAAGTTCTTTGAAATGTTATCGCTTTGAAATGTAGATAAATCTTTTTAAAAGTGAAATAAGCCTCTTGCCAGCTTTAGGAGCCAGAAGTGTCTTTCTCAAGGACCTGGGAACCATCTCTTTGACACGTAATCAACAAGAAAGGTGAAGTCCCTACTCCCAGTTTCTGTGAGAGGATGGGAGCCTAGCTTCCATGGGGCCCTGCTAGAAAGACAAGTTTGTTTTTCCTTTGGATAAAGCCAATTAGCTAACACAGTTGGTCACCTCAATTACCATGTCGATTTAGGATAAACTATGTGTGGCAAATGATGGTGTCAAGTCCTCTTACTTGAGACTAGCTACTTTTTACTCTGAGAACAGGAATGAAAAGGCTTGGATCTGGTTGGCTCTATAGGAGGGGCAGACTTCCTTCTGCCTTTGCAATCTCTCAGCAGATTGCCTGTGATGGGCATCACATTCTGGTTTAATGCTTATTCAATAATAAAATTGTTTTCTTTCTCTTCTACCTTTGTGGATAGATTTTCTGGGTTGGAGGGAGATTTTGTTTTTAATTTTATTTCCTCAAGAAGCACGAGGAATCTTGGTGGTAATGGAATAGTTCTGGATCTTAATTGCGGTGGTGGGTTCACAAATCTACATGTGATAAAATTGCACAGAACTACACCACACACATACACACATGCATGTAAAAGTGGTGAAATCTGAATAAGCTCTGTGGCTTGTACAAATGTCAATTTCATGGATTTGATGTTGTACTATAGTTATACGAGACGTTACTGCTGGGAAAACCCTTTTTTTTTCAATTCCCTGTAAATATATTATTTCAAAATAAAAAGTTAAAAAGTATGTCAAACTATTCAAGGAGATTCCATTTTGTATATAATAAATAAAAATATTTCATGGGGAATATTAGGAAAAAAGGTCTAAAATGGATTTTTAGGGAGTGATAATGGAAAAGGTTGAGAAACACTATTTGAAAAGGGCTAATCCTTAAGTCTAGGCCCAGCAGGGAAGGTTAATGTGTGCCATGGCCCACAGTGAGGCACAGGAGGTGAGAGTGGAAGTGTGACAAACTGGGAGAGGAGCAGCGTCTGCTGACAGCCTTCCCAGTTGTCTGGATTCTAGAGCAGCAAAGCCAACTCTGTGCTTGGCTCCTGAGCCATGAGTGGTCCACCCTGCCCTACTCAAGGGAACCAGCTTGGCTCTGCATGTACCATCATATTCACAGAAACCCCACCCCACTGCTCTCCTAGGCTTTGATAAGGTGCAGCCTGGGAACCCAATAAGCAGGTGGAGACACATCATTGCGTCCAGTGGGCAGCCCGGGGCTGGCAGGAGAAGGCAGAGGCTAAGGGCACCATCTTAGCAGCTGGGCAGGCCTGGTTTCAAATCCTAGCTCTGTGCTTGCCTTGGGACATGCACTTCACTTCTGTAAAACTAAAATTTAGATGACAGCAGCACCATTCTCCCCCCACCCTCATTGTGGGAGGATTTAACAAGATAACAGTACAGGTTAACAGTATGGCACAGGCTTAGTATAAGAGTCCAATAAATGGTAACTGATGTTATTAATTATGATCATCCTTGGTGCTAAGGTTCACTTTTAGCATCTTGTACTTGAACCAGCCTTCTGCAAAACAAATAATCCCCGGTGGGCTTTGGTGCTTCCTGTCTCCCCCATGACACCTTTCTGCCCCACATTAGAGCCCCCTCTTAACCAACCTAAGGGCTCTCTAGCCACATATATGATTCTTCCTTAGAACAATATTCGCATGCACATTTGCATTTGGAAAGAACAGCAGGGGGGTTGGCAGCTGTCAGGGTCAGGAATAGACTTTTAAAACAGGACTTTCAGGGGTGATGAGGGAGGATATATTGGGATTTTGTCTTCCTATCCCAGCCTTTATTTACAAGCTGAGAAGCTCTCTCCTCCAGAGACCCTCGCTTGGCTCCCACCTCTGTGGCACCACATGCTCCTGACTTTTCCAGAATCTTTTGGCCACCCCTCTCCCCCACTCAGAAGCTGGGGTATTTTGGGGCTACATTCTGAATCTGCCTTTTTTCCTGCTCACTAGACATACTTCCTAGGGAATCTCCCCATTTCCTGTGATTGCAATGATCATCTGATGACTCTCAAGTCACCTTCTCCAACCTCTCTCTCTCCCCGAGGTGCCCAGCAGTGGCTCCGGTTCCCTACTGGATGCTCTACGCAGATGATGCACAGAAATCTCACATTCGGTAGCCACGGGAAACAGCTGAACTCCTTTCCCTTCCCTCCCCTCCCACCAAGACCTCGCTTCTCCTCCTGAGTTGCCTGTCTCAGTCCCCCTCCTTACCTCGTCATCCAAGCAAGACTTAGAGGTCCCCTCCACCCCATGCCCATATCCAATCAATCCCTAAGTCTTGACCATTCCACTTCTGGAATATTCCTTGAACCCACCCAGTTCGCCCTGTCCCCACTGTCATCACCATTGCTTACAGCACCACCATCTCTCACCTAGAATTACTCCATCAGCTTAAAAAAACTGTAGAGATGGAGTTTCACCATGTTGTCCAGGCTGGTCTCAAATTCCTGGCCTCAGGCCATCCTTGGCTTCCCAAAGTACTGGGATTATAGGAATGGGCCACTGCACCTGGCCCTCCGTCAGCTTCTAAAAAAACTGATCTCTCGAATCTACTCTCATCATCCCCAAGTTCCTGTCCCCTCAAAGCTCCACATGGCAGCCAGAGGGATCTCTTAAAGTTGCAAAGTTGATTGGGCCACACCTCTCGTTGCCCTCAGGACGAAGTCCAAAAACCTTAATAGATTAGCCATCTGATACCTCACCTCCTGGGCTCATCTTGCCTCTCCTAGCTTCCTGATTCTTTGCCTTATCTCTGTCTTTCTCCTTTCTGTACCTCAGAGACCATGTCCTTGCCCCTGGGCTTCTGCACACAGTGCCCTTCTGCACACACACCCCACACACTGTGCACACAGTGCCCTCTGCACACAACTCCTATGCACTCTGCACGCACCACCCTCCTGCACAGGCGTCCCGTGCAGGCTGGAGCTGTCTTACCTCAGCAGGCTCGTCTTCTGGCACTTCCTCAGTTATTACGTCAAAGTGATCGAGCATTTCACATTTGTTATACTCTTTGTCTGTGTTTTTCCTGGCTTGATTCAAGAACATTTCATACTTTTCATTTGCTGTACCAGGGTGGGGAGTGGGGGTTGGAAGGAGAGCAGAATCAGGAAGGTCAGAAAAATATGAATGATGTCGCAAACACAGACCCTCAGCTCCTGGTAAGGTGGGAAGGGAAGTGGACTTTTGGATACTTTGTCTGCCCTGCTTTCCCTGCTTCAGAGGGTGAGGTGATTTGAGAGTTGAATCTGTATTAGAGACCTCACTGAGTTCAATGAGATTGTGCTTTAGTGAAGGACTGGCTGGTTCTCCAGAACTTGAAGTTAGTTACATTCGAAGACACTCATAGGGTGACCCACTTGATCCTGGCTTGCTTGGGGTTTTCTTGGTTCTAGCACTTAAACCCCTACACCCTGGAGCTCTCCCAGTGCTGGACAAACCCAGACAGCCGGTCACCCTTTAAGTAACTTTTTATGTTTATTAAATCTCAATTAACAAAAGATATGTTTGGGTCAAGTTGTTTTAATTAACACTAAATATGCCACATTATCCTGAATCAGGGAGGGTAGGTAATCGGTGGAGAGATTCCCACCCGAATTTACCACTACGCCAGTGCCAATTCAAATCCTTTGAAAGGCAAAGGTAGGAAAGTCATTTAAAATGCCTACTATAGGCCAGGTGTGGTGGCTCACGCCTGTAATCCTAGCACTTTGGGAGGTTGAGGGCGGGCAGATTGCCTGAGCTTAGGAGTTCAAGACCAGCCTGGGCAACATGACAAAACCCCGTCTCTACAAAAAATTAGCTGGGCATGGTGGTGTGTGGCTGTAATCCCAGCTACTGGGGAGCCTGAGGCATGAGAATCGCTTGAGCCCTGGAGGTGGAGGTTGCAGTGAGCTGAGACCCCGTCACTGAACTCCAGCCTGGGTGACAGAGCAAGACTCTGTATCAAAAAAACAAACAAACAAACAAACAAAAAAGCCTATTATAAAACAATAGGAAATGCTGTGAGTGTAGTGAACTGGAGAACAGAAGACCCAACTAATGGTGTTCAAATTTAAATTATTTTAAAGCCCTTACTGGCCAAACCATGTCTACTGCCCTGATGAGGCCAGCTGGGTGCCCAGTTTCAACCGTATAGCAAAGGTTTTCCTTCCTGAAATTATATGTAGAGCTGGAGTAACCCTCATCTGGCTGGAACTCTAGATACGAGAGTGTAACATGGTCTTAGCATTAGTGACATTTATTGCCAGGCATTGTGGCTCAACACCTGTAATCTTAGTGCTTTGGCAGGCTGAGATGGGAGGATCACTTGAGACCAGGAATGCAAGACTAGCCTGGGTAACAAAGTAAGATCCTATCATAAAAAAAAAAAATTAAAAAATTAGCCAGGCATGGCAGTGCACATCTGTAGTCCCAGCTACTCAAGAAGCTGAAGCGGGAGGATCCCTTGAGCCTAAGAGTTAAGATTACAGTGAGCTCTGATTGCACCACTGTATTTCAGCCTGGGTAACAGAGCGAGACCTTTTTAAAAAAGAGACAGGGTCTTGCCTATATATATATATAAATATAAATATAAATATAAATATAAATTATATATATATATATGCAAGTTTTCAGGGAGCAGACAATTAGAATTCAGTGGATGATTATGAACAGGAGAGTTAGTAACTTCAGGGAATGGGGTAACAGGAGAGGCTGGGTGGGAGGACTTAGTCTGAAGCTTTTTAGGGAAAGTAGATTTCAAGGAGCTTGAATAGAGATTCATAAAGAGTGAGAGGTTTCCCTGATCCATCGTCCTGTACCTGACGTCAGGAAGAAAGAGCCAGAGACAGTCTATGGCTAAAAAGGGCTGCTCAGCTGAGGTTCGGAATCTGCCAAGACAGAAATATTCTGGTACAAAAGGATAGTCCTGGGGGCCAGATGTAACTGGGAAATGTAAGTGGGAAGACAATTATTCAAGTCTAATTTAGCCTTCACCCTGTGTAATGCCAAAATAAGGGCTCAGAATCTGTGTCCGCCTTTCTGTGCAGTTTATACTTTGAGAATTCTACTCCTGGAAGCTCATTGGCTCTTACCTTCCCAGTGGCATCTAGGAGAATGTCACAGGGAAAGGACAGCTCGGGGAAAGACTGGGGCCAGAAGGAAAGTGCATGGGGGAGGAAAAGCTTTTGGAGGTAAATTTCCTGATCCCTCTGTCAGTAATTCAATAATGGCCAAATTGGCCAGGGTTCTTCATTTGGGGCTGCCATAGACGATTTCTTGTCGCAGTAAACTCAGGTCACCAATTTGGTAATTGCAGAATAATGTGGAAGAGAACCACAGGGGATTTCCAAGCAAATAAAGTAAGTAGCCAGCAATCTTCCAATAAGCAAAGCTAAAATGCTTGTTTTGTCCCCAGTGGGGAACTACTCCAGTGTGAAGTAGTACCTGTGAGGTTCCTGGGGAGATCGAGGCAGATTTGGGGAAAGATTCCCTCTCCGCTCAGAGTGATATTTTCTGGGTCCAGGTGGGCGATCTGTATCTGGAAACTCCTTTTAAAGACCTCAGGTACTCCAGGTAGGTAGTAAACTTTTAATACCTGCTCTTGATGTGAACTGATAAAGCCCTACGCGGTAAAAAGACCAGAAAAGGGAAAACGAATGTGCTACAGTACAGGTTCAACTCATTAAATTACTTAAAACAACAACACCAATGACAAAGTAAACCTAAAAAAAGAAGGAAAGGAGTAAGAGATTTAATGAAATGAGTGCAAAGAAACAGAAGAGGTTCATAAATCCACAAACTGGTTCTTTGAAAAAAGACGAATAAAATACACAAAACTGGCAAGACTGATTAAGAAGATAAGGAGAAAAGTCACTAAAAATGTAAAAAGAAAAATGGTTCGGCCGGGCCTGGTGGCTCACGCCTGTAATCCCAGCACTTTGGGAGGCTGAGGTGGGTGGATCACGAGGTCAGGAGATCGAGACTATCCTGGCTAACATTGTAAAACCCCGTCTCTGCTAAAAATACAAAAAATTAGCCAGGCATGGTGGTGGGCACCTGTAGTCCCAGCTACTCGGGAGGCTGAGGCAGGAGAATGGCGTGAACCCGGGAGGCAGAGCTTGCAGTGAGCCGAGATCGCGCCACTGCACTCCAACCTGAGCGACAGAGCAAGACTCCGTCTCAAAAAAAAAAAAAGAGAAAAAAAAAAGAAAAATCGTTCATAAATATATAGTAAAATAGTACATAAATCATATACAATTATGAGAAAACTTTACGTCAATATATTAAAACATTTTTGTGAAATTAACAATTTCCTAGAAAAATATGAATAACAAAACTCAAAAACCTTAGAGTGATCTGTATCCTATACAGAAGCTGAAAAATGAAGACAATTACCCTGACAAAGGAATATATGGCATTGGAAGCAAGGTCTGCTATTCCTTCAAAAACAGATAATCACTTCAGTTTATGACCCATTCAGGAAATAGAAGAGAGAGAAATGCCCATTTATTTATTCTGATATCCAAACTGATCAAATGCAGCATGAAGAAGGAAATTTATGAACCAACGATCACTTAACAAAGGTGCAAAAATTGTAAGTAAAATGTTAGCTGAGTGAATCCAGCAATATATATATATATATAATATTTAAATGCAGATGGTAGCATACAGAGTGTTTTTCGTCTTCCTTTTCTTTTCATTTTACCTAACAATATATTTTACGATTAATTCAATATTAGTACTTCTAGAGCTGCTCCATCCTTTTTAGTTGCTACATATTATTCCATTACATAGTTTTAACATATTTTTAAAAACTAGTTTCCTACTGATAGACATTTAGTTTGTTTCTGGTCTTTTGCTATTGCCATTACAGATTATATAGGAAATAATCTTATAAACACATCATTTTGCAAATGTGGGAACGTGTATGTAGAATAAATTCTTAGAAATGAAATTTCTAGGTCAAAGTGTAATTTTGATAGATAAGGCCAAATTATTCTCTATAGAGTTGTTATCAATTTACAATAACTGCAGCAATGTAAATTCAAATGCTTAAAAATCTTTAGAAAAAGGGCAAGGAAAACATAGCAATTATGATAAAAAGATCGAATAGAAAGAAAACACTGAGTAAATTTAAAAAATAGACAAGATACGATGAAAGAAATAATAGCAAGCATTTCAGTTTTGCTAATCATAAGAATGTGTTAAATGTTCCTATTGAAACTTAAGGACTCTCAGAGAAGATTAAAAAATAAAATCCAAATAAGTATGTTTTATGAATGATAAGCCTAAAACAAAATGAAATAAGACTATGGGCAAATTATGTAAGGCAAAAAGAAAGCAGCAATCACAATATTAAGACCAAACAAAGGGGAATTCAAAGAAGAGCATTCAAAGGGAACAAGAAGGCAATTGAAGGTAGACAGAACACACAGTCCATGATGAACACTTAATAGTCATGAGATCTTCTGTGTCAACACAGAAACGAAAGGGTATAAACAAAAAGGTGTATGTATTTGTAGAAAACAATAGAGAAATGGACAAAAGTTTTATATACCACTCTTGAGTCTTAGAAAAATTAAACAGAAAAAGATATAGAAGATTTTAATGTTATAATTATTTGGGTTAATTTAGTAGAGAATCCAGATATGATAATCTGGATTCTATAGCCCAGGTAACATTATTTTCAAACATTTATTAGTATTAAAAATTACTTTAGGTCACTAAAATATATTAATAAATTCACTAAGTAGGAATTTAGAGGGCCATATTATCTGATCGTGATTCAAAAAAACCTCAATATTGGTAACAATATAAGTAACAAAAGCAAAAATCATAATCATTTGGAAATTAAAAAAAGAAAAATAAATTTTAAATTACATTTGTAAGTAAAACTATAATTTAAGACGACTTAGAAAATAATGAAAATCATAATAGTAAATATTAACATGTATAAAACACACAAAAATTGTCATCTACTTTTTTATCTGTAATTTTCTTAAAATATAAGGGGTAAGGCTAAAGGTGTCCTTAGGCAAATGAATAGTCTTACATTTTTTCATTATTAACTAAGAAAAACAATAAAAGCAGGCATTCAAGTCACAAAATTAGAGAAACAAAACACAAGAGTGAATTTGGGCTGGGCGAGATGGGGCTCACGCCTGTAATCCCAGCACTTTGGGATGCCAAGGCAGGCAGACACCTTGAGTTCAGGAGTTCAAGACCAGCCTGGGCAACATGGCAAGACCCTGTCTCTAAAAAACAAAAAATAAATAAATAAAATAAACAATAAATACAAAAATTAGCTGGGTGTGGTGGTGCATGCCTGTGGTCCCAGCTATGTGGGAGGCTAAGGTGGGAGGATTGCTTGAGCCCAGGAGGCAGCGGTTGCAGTGAGTCGAGGTCTGCACTCCAGTCTAGGTGACAGAGCCAGACCTGGTCTTAAAAAAAAAAAAAAAAAAAAAAGTGAATTCAAAAGATTAGCTAAGACAAATTGGGAAAAAAAACCAAAAGGGGAGTTGACCTAACAGATATTAAGATGTATTTCTAAAGCCATAGCAGCTAAAATAGTACAGTATTAATGTAGGGACAAACAGAGCAATGAAGAATAAAGAGACCAGCAGTAAACCCAAATATGTGAGATGACTTAGGGGAAGAACAGACTTTATCATTAAAGATGATGGTGCTCATTATCTTTGGATTTACAAGATTATGAATAATTACACTTTAAAAATATTTTCCTTTTTTTATAACAATTATGTGCTATTTTCATAATGAGAAAAATTCAACAAATGTTCCTTAAAACTGGTAGATCAACATAATATGAACAAGGAACCACTTTCTCTGTTTGCTTCTGAAACCAGTTTGGCTCAGCGCAGTCTGCTAGTGTTTTCACACCTGCTGAAGTCAGTGGAGAGGAAGCCCTCGGGAATTACAAGGGCAGCGTGAAGACATCGGTGGAAATAAATTAGTCTCATTATCATGGAAAAAAAAATCCATGGGTTGCATCTGTCTTGTTGATTGCTGTATCCCTGGTGCCTGGAAACTGGTTACTGTGGGACTAAATAAATATTTGTTTAATAAATGAGCGAAGTGGCTTGGATTTATTTTTTTTTTTCTGCTTCTGAGAGTTCTTTAGTTTTAACAAAAAGAAAAAATCACACTTGTAATCCTGGTCGTGAATACTCACCTGCTTCGGAGTGGGGCTCGTAGGTTTGAATTCAGGCCCCTCCCACCATTTACTTACAGACACAGGCAGGATTAGTGGCACTCCAGGGAGAAGGTTGTCTGGAGAAGACTGGTGGTCAGTCAGAACCTTGAACTCAAAGCCAACTTTCCCCATGTTCGTCAGCGTGATTTCCCTCTCTGTGACATGGTCAAACAGCTTGAGAAGAGAAGGAGAAGAGTGACTCCATCTTGGGATGCGGCTTTGATAGTGACAAAGGTGCAGAAACATGCCTCATGGATAAGGGTGTGACAGCTCCTGATGTAAATACTGGTCAATCTACATCTCAGCATCACAACAAATGCCTACTGGGGCACTAGACTCCGGAAACCTGGCTCTTAGTTCTTCTAAGAACCGATTTAGTTTAGGTATGGCTGTGGGGCTGAGCATTTCACCTTCCTGGGTCTCAGTTTTTTCACTACAGGAACTTGTAATAGAGAATCTTAAAGTAAGCTTTCTACATTAAAAAGATTTGCCTAGTATTCCATGGTGTATATGTGCCACATTTTCTTAATCCAGTCTATCATTGTTGGACATTTGGGTTGGTTCCAAGTCTTTGCTATTGTGAATAGTGAGAAAGTAAGCTCGTAAGGCCCCAGCGAGATGCAGCCATAAAAAATGATGAGTTCATGTCTTTGTAGGGACATGGATGAAGCTGGAAACCATCATTCTCAGCAAACTATCGCAAGGACAAAAAAACCAAACACCGCATGTTCTCACTCATAGGTGGGAATTGAACAATGAGAACACTTGGACACAGGAAGGGGAACATCACACACCAGGGCCTGTTGTGGGGTCGGGGGGAGGGGGGAGGGATAGCATTAGGCGATATACCTAATGTAAATGACAAGTTAATGGGTGCAGCACACCAACATGGCACATGTATACATATGCAACAAACCTGCACGTTGTGCACATATACCCTAGAACTTAAAGTATAATAAAAAGAATTAAAATAAATAAATTAAAAAAAAAAAGATTTGCCTTCTGGATTCTGTCCTGTAAGAAAAACAAAAGATTTGAGTTTAGAATGTTCTAGAATGAACTTTTCCATTCAAATGGAGAACCATGGGTGTAACAGGCCAGTCATGTTCTTTTTCCTGGAATTTTGCTAACATAATTCACCAGCTGGGTTAGCAGGCCCAATAACCACAAACAGGCCACTTTGGGGGTCCTTAGGAAAAGCTAGGGTGAGGTCT
The DNA here is from genome assembly GCF_000001405.40 of Homo sapiens. Lineage (NCBI taxonomy): Eukaryota > Metazoa > Chordata > Mammalia > Primates > Hominidae > Homo > Homo sapiens. The sequence goes on along the minus strand of NC_000001.11, from coordinate 146,730,992 downwards.
GACTGCTTCAAAGACTATACTATACTCAGAGATGAGCCGAAACCAAGTGCCCAAAGGACCCTGGAGACGACGAAGGAAAGAGAATTCTATTTGGTCAGCATCATGGAGATGGTCTCAGTAGGTGTTGGGTGAATCAGATTTTAGGCACAATCTTTGATCTATAAACACACATGCATGCATACAATTCAGTAATGATACATGCAGGAGCTATGTAATGGAGATTCAATCCTCATTGAAATTTGGTAGGAGATATGGTCTCCGAGTGCATAACACAAAATCTGATTGGGAAGAGAATGTGTACTGATGGAATTAATTGACAATTATTCCAAAACAAAAATGGGAAAGTATATTATATTATGGCAAAGACTATCATTAAGTGCCAAGGGAATGTAAAGTAAAAGATAACCCTAGAAGGAGCTGAGCTGGGTCTTATAGGATGTAAAGGTTTGGGTTTGGCAGAGTGGAGGATGAGAGGGATAAGGTAAGACAAAGTGTAGCTGCATGAAGCGCTGGGGTGCACTGGGGCCGGTGGGTAGACCAGCTTGGCCACAGTGAAATGTATGGACTACAAGAGGGAATTATGGGAAGTGAAACTTCCAGTGTAAAGATCACCAGTTAATAGAGAGGCTTAGGATAGCCTCACCCAGGTGAGGAATGGGCTCTGACCCAAAGGAACTCATGACAATTGACAGCCAACTCTGACCCAGCACAGCACTGACCAGATAGATGCTTTAAGCAATGACAACTCCTGGTGGGATGGGCTTGCTACTCCGTTCCCACCTTATAGATGAGGGACACTGAGGCTTGGAGAGGTGATGTGCCCAAGGTCATGCAGTCGGGAGGAAGTAAAACTGGAATAGGAAGAGGAAGTAAAACCGGAATACAAAGAGGAAGTAAAACCGGAATACAAAACCACGCTCTTTGGTCAATATCACATTGCTTTGCCAAATGCTGCTGGGATTAATTGGTCAGGGACTGACAGGATGACAACACCATTTTGGAAAATGTCGCTGGACTTACTGAATCAGAATCTGCACTTGAACAAAACTCCCAGGTGATTCATAGGCACATTACAGTGTGGGAGGAACTGCTGTAATAATTTAGGCATGGCTCGATGAGACCCTGTAATGTGATATCAGTGGCAATGGGAAGAGAAAACTGACTCAGAGAGGGACGCTGGTGATGAGTCAGCAAACCCTGGAGGCTTAGAAGGATGTGGAGAGGTGAAGGAGAGAGTGCAGCGGAAAAGCCTTGGAGATTGTGAACCCAAGGGTGGAGAAAATGGTAATGCTATTGAAAGAAATGCAGAAGTTGGAACAGGCTCCTGGATTGAAAGGGAAGAAGTGACCTTGAGCATCTAACATGCTGAGTTTCAGGAGACGATAAGAAAAGCAAGTGTAAGTATCTGGCAAACAGTTGGCAGCAGGAGGATGGTCAGGGTTAGGGAGGCTGATGGGAGATCAAGGACGGGGTGATGGCGAGACTATGATGATTGGGGTTCAGGAGAGATTTGTTTAAGATGCTTAAGACAAAACCAGAAAATCTCTACCCGATGGTTTGTGATACCTGTAATCCGTAGTGAATATCCTTGGTGTCAAAGGAATAGTTGACCAGGGACGCCTCTCCCTTCAGTGTTATTTCGTAGGTGGGTCCTTCTTCCACTTCACACAGAGCTTTAGCTTGTGCAATGATGTTAGCGTGTCCATAGAAGGTGAACGATATTTGGTGGCTACTGTGTGGCTGCAACACTCCAAACAGGGGCAAAATATCAAACACCTGCAGAGAAAGTCATTCTGTAAGAGAGCAGCTGTTGGGATGAATGCCTGCCAAGGATAAGTGAAAGTTATGTCAATTTACACATTAATTCCAGTCTTTAACTCATTTGATAGAAGGTAGCCCAGCACCCTGAAAACACATAATGGTAATGATGGTAACAGTGCTCTGGTGAGATTTAAGTTTCTAATGTGGGGCAGCTGCTCAGTTAGAAAGTAAAGTTAGTGTCTGATAAGGTCAGGAATCACACGGTGTCACTTACTTCTTCTATCCCAATGGAAAGCATCTCATTCTGTTCACAGGTCTGTAGGGATTCCTGATCCTCCACCTGGCTCTGGCTTGAGTATATTCTTTCTATTTCAGTAGAGCTAATTTTTATTTCCTAGAAATTAAAGATGTGAGGAAAAGCTGGCAAGCATTCAAAATGGATCATCAATTGACAGAAAAATAAAGTATGTTGTATATGATTATAAAAATAGTACATTTTTTCCCAGGGAGATAATTGAGCAAGTGACTATAATGTACATACGAGGATGTTTACTGCAGCATTATTTATAACAGCAAAACTTTGGAAGCCAACTCAGTGCCCATCAATAGGGGGTCACTTTAAATGAAGTGTGTGTGGTACACCTATCCATGAAGGATAATGCATGTATATTTATGGATAGGGATGATGTGCACAACATATTATTGAGTGAAAAGCAGTTCTATTCATGTAAAATTACATATGCCTCATGTGTCTGAAGGTGTGTGTGTGTAAATTCCTTCAGAGATTTGCATTGGCAAATAGAAATATCTGGGAGGTTGTTTGCTAAGGATTTCGTAGCATTTTTCTCAGTGGGGTAGAAAGAAGATGGGAATTTTGAGGATGTTTGCTTTAATTTTTCTGTATTCTTGAGTTTATATGTACACATATGTACATATATATGTACATATATATTTTATTTTTGAGACAAGATGTCTGTCTCTGTCACCCAGGCTGGAATGCAGTGGCATGATCAGAGCTCACCGCAGCCTTGAATGCCTGGGCTCGAGTGACCTTCCCACCTCAGCCTCCCTAAAGTAGCCAGGACTGCAGGCGTGCACCACCACACACCCTGGAGTCTCGTTATGTTGCCCAGGCTGGTCTTGAACTCGTGGCCTCAAGCCATCCTCCTGCCTTGGCTCCCAAAGTACTGGGGTTACAGGCGTGAACCACTGTTTCTGGCCTATTCTTGAGTTTTCTATGACACGCATCTTTGAAAATAGAAAAAGAAGAATTAATATTTAAAAGACAAATATTTTATATACTCACAAATACTCATTCTAAAAAATTTTTAAAATATAGAAAGCTCCAAGGAAAGAAATAAAAGTCCATCTCAGGTTATACTGTAGATAAATATTATTATATATATGTGTGTATATATAGTGTATTATGTGTGCATATATATTTGTATTCTGATTTTTCAGTTGACCTAATATGAGTGCCATCTTCCCATATGACTGAATATTCTTCACAAACATCACTTAAAGTATTTTAGAAAGTTGATTGTACACGATACAAATTTAAAATATTCAAAAGGATATATGGTAAAAAGATAAAAAAAGACTTCTATCCCTACAGTTCTCTGGTTCTCCCCTCCTGAGGTACCCACTGTCCAGTTTCCTATATGTTGAATTTAGTTATTCCTCTTCATTCAGCTGATATTTACTGGGGACTTACTAAGAACCAGTTCTATATCCTGAGGATATGACGATGAACAAAACAGAAAAAAAATTCCTGCCCTCATGAAGATTAAATTCCAGAGATATTCCATGCACAAGCAAAGATATCTATGTAACTGTTTGAGAGGTAACACAGTAGCTAAGAGCAAGCAAGATGGTCGAGTCTTCCAGCTCCACTGCTTGATGGACGTGTCCCTGCATTGGTAAAATGGGGAAAGATAGTGGTATCCACCTCACAGGGGTGTTGGGAAAAGTAAAAGAGTTAATGTAAAAAATTGCTTAGCTGGGGGCGATGGCTCATGGCTGTAATCCCAGGACTTTGGGAGGCTGAGGCAGGTGGATTGCCTGAGCTCAGATGTTCAAGACCACCCCGGGCAACATGGTGAAACCCTGTCTCTACTGAAATACAAAAATTAGCCGGGCATGATGGCAAGTGCCTGTAATCCCAGCTATTTGGGAGGCTGAAGCACGAGAATTGCTTGAACCCAGGAGGTGGAGGTTGCAGTGGGTCAAGATGGTACCACTTCACTCTGGCCTGGGCAACAGAGTGAGACTCTGCCTCAAAAAAAAAAAAAAAAAAAAAAAAAAAAAAAAAAAAAAAAAGCTTAGGTCAGTGCTCAGTTAAGTGTTGGTTGCTTTCATAGACTTTTTTTCTTTATACAAATGGTAGCACACAGTGTACTTTGTTTTGCACTGGGTATTTTTTCTTAATATATCAAAGATTGTGCCAAATTAGTATGTAGAGAACTTTCTCATTTTTAAAAAAGAATTTCATAGTATTGCCTTGTGCAGATGTAATTTAGTTTATTCAGACGGTCTCCTATTGGTGGGATTAAGTTGTTTCCAATATTTCTTGCTTTTACAAACAAAGCTGCAGTGTACAAGGATGGTTACATGCTTTATGCAAGTGCAGAGGTGTATCTGGAGGATAATTTCTAGAAGGGGGGACAATGCATTTTAAATTTTGATCTACTTGCAAAGTTGTATGTTATAGAGGTTATGCCAATTCATACTCCTACCCACACCATAGGAAAATCCCACTCAACACTATTTTAAAAGATTGCATCACATCATGGACATACAGCAATTTATCTTCCATTTTTTTTTTTCATTTTTTGCTGTTTCTAAAATGTTGTAACAAGCATCTTTGTATGCACATCTTTGTATCTCCAATAGTTTACTTAGGCCATCATTCTAGAAGGAGAATTTAAAGGTATTAATTTTTAAGCCCCCTCTGCTTTTGCTACAGAATTATTAAGAAAATATTTTTCCTTTAGTATCCTCTATCTATGGTGTAGGAACATCACAAGTGTAGGCTCTCACTGAGTGTTGGCTCTGGGGTGTTTGGCTGGGAAGAAATGTGGGTAAAGCTGTACGGCTTTGTCCCAATTAAACCCAAGCATTGTACTGGCCACTCTGCTCCTGATTCTGCCTTTGTTTTATGGGAAGGACCCTTGACCTGCCTACCCTCCCCATGGAAAGGACACCGTACATCTGAGATCACACTGGAAGCTTTTGTTTTTCTTAGTTCTTTTTCTTCAGGCCTGGCATCTTCATCCACAAGGACAGTCCTAGGAAGTTTAATGAAATGCAGAGATTCACTCATTGGGCTGTCATCGCCACACAGTCTCAGGTGCATAACAGCCCTGTCTTCCTCTTCTCCCTTTACCACACCCCCAAACGTAAGGGGGATTCTCAATCAAGGGACACCTTTCTCAAGAGGTCAGCTGGTCAGGGCCCTGTTGCCCTATGCCCCCAAACATGTGGTCTAGGCCACTGAACTGGTCAATTTTTCACGGGGCTCAACCCTTTTTTACTGGCCCACCAAGCCCATGTTCAACTTACAAAAAGTCCTAGGAAGCTCCAGCAATTCTTCAGACAATGTGGGTGTTCTATGTGCTCAATGTTGTTTCCCTATTTATTGGAGCATTTTATTGTGAGGACATAATGTTTGGTGAATTGATATATCCTTTCCTGCTTGCTACCCTGGACCCAATCCTGACTGTAGACCTTGGACATACAGAGAGGACAATATGATAGGAAGGGCCCAGTCCCCCAGGACTCATGATGGTACCCTCTCCCTATCCCAGATGTCTAGTCTGGGGCCTACACATAGAAGACATTTATTAAACTGTTGACTGGGGACTGGATGAATGAACCAATGAGGGATGAGTATTGAGAATGTAAGTCCGTGTAAAGAAAAGAAAAGCTACTACAAAAAATCTATGTTGGCTTTGCACTTACTTAACAAAATCATTTAAATCCATCTCGGGGGACTCTACTGTAACTAGGATTGCTGGTGGGCTGGCAGCCTCTGAGGTTGCTGGGATGGACTCCATCTGGGACAGTGGGGCACTGTAGGGCTTCTTTGGCAATGTCACAAACCTACCAAAGCATGGGACAGGGAATAGGGGGAGACAGGAGACATCAGTTTTTGCAAATCAGTGTTCAGTGGGCTCTCAGTTTCTAAGGCCAAACTCCAAATCCTAGACCAGGCAGATCTAGTAGGGACCACCCTACACCCTCCCTTGAACTTGCCTTCTTCAAATCTCAGCTAAAGTTTCACTTGCTCTTAAAAAGTTTTCTGACTACCAGTCTAGGCCCAACTTCTTTCCTCTGAGTGTCCATAGCCCCCTGGGCTTCCCCTTTCACACTTATTTTTACCATCCCTGTTAGATGTGGACTCGCTGAGGACTGGTATCCAATATGGTGTCTAATCCAGTGCCTGGCCTGGAATAAGTAGTCGGCATGGTCATGAAGGAATGAGCCACTGGGGATCCTGCTCCCAGCTCACCAGAAAGCAGGGCTAAGACTCAGCTGAGGCCTGGGAAGCACTCTCTGTTAGGGGCCTGGAAGTGCAGGCTCGGGTTTCTTACATGACCTTGCCTCCTACAATGTGACCTCAGTGCCTTGCTCGCCACACCCTAGTCCTGGTCCCACCAATGAGCTGTGCTGCCACTCAAGTTCTCTGAGCAGAGGAACCCAGGGGAAAAGCAACTGTACCAGCTGGTGCTGAAGCCCATATGTCCAGGTTCCACTGATTAAAAAGGCCTTTGGATGTCACAAAGGCAAAGGTTGTGGGGTCACCCCCATTCTTCCTGTTTCCCCTTGGTGCATGGCTTTTTCTGGACCCCTCTCTGACCCTCCCCAACCTATCTCAAGCCCTTGATGTTAATTTCAATCTATTTCACTTATATACTCATTCTGGCCCCATCTGTACTCAGAGGCTCAGCACAAATGTCATCTATTATGTGAAGCTCCCACCACTGGCCTATCTTCCCACCGGAAGAAATTCTCCCTCCCTTGGAAGCTTCAGAGCACTTCATCTGCACTTCTTTTAGGACACTGTCCACTCTAACCATGTCCTAGAGTATCATTTCCTAAATTTCAGGGATCCTAGAGTATCATTTCCTAAATTTCAGGGATCCCACTACCATCTTCGTGATTTGTAAGCGCACAGTTTGATGAGTTGTATACACATCTGTGGAACTATCACCACATTAATAAACAGAATGTTTCCATCATCCTAAAAAGTTGCTTTGTGCAAACACTCATCTGCTTAATATCACTAGAGATTAATTTGCCCACACTTTCATAGAAATGAAATTGGAAACATGTACAAATTTGTGTCTGACTTCCTCTGTTTGGCATGATGTTTTTGAGATTTGTCCATGTTATTGCATGGAGCAATGATTCTGTTCTTTCTTTGGAGCAGTATTCCATAGTGTGGATGTTTTCCCATCTTTTTGTTGATGGACACCTTTACTATTTCTAGCTTTTAGATACTATGAATCAAGTTGCTATGAACATCTGTGTACAAGTCTTTTTGTAGACATATGTTTTCATTCTTCTTGGGTAAATTCCTTGGAAGCGAATTGCTGGGTTGTATGGTATATGTATATTTAACATTACAAGAAACTGCCAACCAGTTTTCCAAAATTGTTGTACCACTTTACACTACCACCTGCATTGTATGAGAGTTCTCGTTGGTCTGCATTCTCATCCACACTTGGTATTTAGTCTTTTACATTTTAGCCATTCAAATGAGCATACGGTGATATCACATTGTGGTATTCATTAATAGGCGTAGTTTAAAGGAAAATTCTATGTCATTTACTATATAATATAGTAAATGATATAGTCTATGTCTATTTCATTTACTATAAATGAAAACACAGGATTATCTAGCATATTTAGAAAAATCAACACAATGGAAAAAAATCAATGTAATTATTTTCTTGCCTGGTGAAGGCTCTGAGATGAGCTCTGGTTGCTCTTTTAAGAAGGGAAAACACGGGAGGGAGGAGCCAAGATGGCCGAATAGGAACAGCTCCGGTCTACAGCTCCCAGCGTGAGCGACGCAGAAGACGGGTGATTTCTGCATTTCCATCTGAGGTACCGGGTTCATCTCACTAGGGAGTGCCAGACAGTGGGCGCAGGCCAGTGTGTGCGCGCACCGTGCGCGAGCCGAAGCAGGGCGAGGCATTGCCTCACCTGGGAAGCGCAAGGGGTCAGGGAGTTCCCTTTCCGAGTCAAAGAAAGGGGTGACGGACGCACCTGGAAAATCGGGTCACTCCCACCCGAATATTGCGCTTTTCAGACCGGCTTAAGAAACGGCGCACCACGAGACGATATCCCACACCTGGCTCGGAGGGTCCTACGCCCACGGAATCTCGCTGATTGCTAGCACAGCAGTCTGAGATCAAACTGCAAGGCGGCAACGAGGCTGGGGGAGGGGCGCCCGCCATTGCCCAGGCTTGCTTAGGTAAACAAAGCAGCCAGGAAGCTCGAACTGGGTGGAGCCCACCACAGCTCAAGGAGGCCTGCCTGCCTCTGTAGGCTCCACCTCTGGGGGCAGGGCACAGACAAACAAAAAGACAGCAGTAACCTCTGCAGACTTAAGTGTCCCTGTCTGACAGCTTTGAAGAGAGCAGTGGTTCTCCCAGCACGCAGCTGGAGATCTGAGAACGGGCAGACTGCCTCCTCAAGTGGGTCCCTGACCCCTGACCCCCGAGCAGCCTAACTGGGAGGCACCCCCCAGCAGGGGCACACTGACACCTCACACGGCAGGGTATTCCAACAGACCTGCAGCTGAGGGTCCTGTCTGTTAGAAGGAAAACTAACAACCAGAAAGGACATCTACACCGAAAACCCATCTGTACATCACCATCATCAAAGACCAAAAGTAGATAAAACCGCAAAGATGGGGAAAAAACAGAACAGAAAAACTGGAAACTCTAAAACGCAGAGCGCCTCTCCTCCTCCAAAGGAACGCAGTTCCTCACCAGCAACAGAACAAAGCTGGATGGAGAATGATTTTGACGAGCTGAGAGAAGAAGGCTTCAGACGATCAAATTACTCTGAGCTACGGGAGGACATTCAAACCAAAGGCAAAGAAGTTGAAAACTTTGAAAAAAATTTAGAAGAATGTATAACTAGAATAACCAATACAGAGAAGTGCTTAAAGGAGCTGATGGAGCTGAAAACCAAGGCTCGAGAACTACGTGAAGAATGCAGAAGCCTCAGGAGCCGATGCGATCAACTGGAAGAAAGGGTATCAGCAATGGAAGATGAAATGAATGAAATGAAGCGAGAAGGGAAGTTTAGAGAAAAAAGAATAAAAAGAAATGAGCAAAGCCTCCAAGAAATATGGGACTATGTGAAAAGACCAAATCTACGTCTGATTGGTGTACCTGAAAGTGATGTGGAGAATGGAACCAAGTTGGAAAACACTCTGCAGGATATTATCCAGGAGAACTTCCCCAATCTAGCAAGGCAGGGCAACATTCAGATTCAGGAAATACAGAGAACGCCACAAAGATACTCCTAGAGAAGAGCAACTCCAAGACACATAATTGTCAGATTCACCAAAGTTGAAATGAAGGAAAAAATGTTAAGGGCAGCCAGAGAGAAAGGTCGGATTACCCTCAAAGGAAAGCCCATCAGACTAACAGCGGATCTCTCGGCAGAAACCCTACAAGCCAGAAGAGAGTGGGGGCCAATATTCAACATTCTTAAAGAAAAGAATTTTCAACCCAGAATTTCATATCCAGCCAAACTAAGCTTCATAAGTGAAGGAGAAATAAAATACTTTATAGACAAGCAAATGCTGAGAGATTCTGTCACCACCAGGCCGGCCCTAAAAGAGCTCCTGAAGGAAGCGCTAAACATGGAAAGGAACAACCGGTACCAGCCGCTGCAAAATCATGCCAAAATGTAAAGACCATCGAGACTAGGAAGAAACTGCATCAACTAATGAGCAAAATCACCAGCTAACATCATAATGACAGGATCAAATTCACACATAACAATATTAACTTTAAATATAAATGGACTAAATTCTGCAATTAAAAGACACAGACTGGCAAGTTGGATAAAGAGTCAAGACCCATCAGTGTGCTGTATTCAGGAAACCCATCTCACGTGCAGAGACACACATAGGCTCAAAATAAAAGGATGGAGGAAGATCTACCAAGCAAATGGAAAACAAAAAAAGGCAGGGGTTGCAATCCTAGTCTCTGATAAAACAGACTTTAAACCAACAAAGATCAAAAGAGACAAAGAAGGCCATTACATAATGGTAAAGGGATCAATTCAACAAGAGGAGCTAACTATCCTAAATATTTATGCACCCAATACAGGAGCACCCAGATTCATAAAGCAAGTCCTGAGTGACCTACAAAGAGACTTAGACTCCCACACATTAATAATGGGAGACTTTAACACCCCACTGTCAACATTAGACAGATCAACGAGACAGAAAGTCAACAAGGATACCCAGGAATTGAACTCAGCTCTGCACCAAGCAGACCTAATAGACATCTACAGAACTCTCCACCCCAAATCAACAGAATATACATTTTTTTCAGCACCACACCACACCTATTCCAAAATTGACCACATAGTTGGAAGTAAAGCTCTCCTCAGCAAATGTAAAAGAACAGAAATTATAACAAACTATCTCTCAGACCACAGTGCAATCAAACTAGAACTCAGGATTAAGAATCTCACTCAAAGCCGCTCAACTACATGGAAACTGAACAACCTGCTCCTGAATGACTACTGGGTACATAACGAAATGAAGGCAGAAATAAAGATGTTCTTTGAAACCAACGAGAACAAAGACACCACATACCAGAATCTCTGGGACGCATTCAAAGCAGTGTGTAGAGGGAAATTTATAGCACTAAATGCCTACAAGAGAAAGCAGGAAAGATCCAAAATTGACACCCTAACATCACAATTAAAAGAACTAGAAAAGCAAGAGCAAACACATTCAAAAGCTAGCAGAAGGCAAGAAATAACTAAAATCAGAGCAGAACTGAAGGAAATAGAGACATAAAAAACCCTTCAAAAAATCAATGAATCCAGGAGCTGGTTTTTTGAAAGGATCAACAAAATTGATAGACCGCTAGCAAGACTAATAAAGAAAAAAAGAGAGAAGAATCAAATAGACACAATAAAAAATGATAAAGGGGATATCACCACCGATCCCACAGAAATACAAACTACCATCAGAGAATACTACAAACACCTCTACGCAAATAAACTAGAAAATCTAGAAGAAATGGATACATTCCTCGACACATACACTCTCCCAAGACTAAACCAGGAAGAAGTTGAATCTCTGAATAGACCAATAACAGGCTCTGAAATTGTGGCAATAATCAATAGTTTACCAACCAAAAAGAGTCCAGGACCAGATGGATTCACAGCCGAATTCTACCAGAGGTACAAGGAGGAACTGGTACCATTCCTTCTGAAACTATTCCAATCAATAGAAAAAGAGGGAATCCTCCCTAACTCATTTTATGAGGCCAGCATCATGCTGATACCAAAGCCGGGCAGAGACACAACCAAAAAAGAGAATTTTAGACCAATATCCTTGATGAACATTGATGCAAAAATCCTCAATAAAATACTGGCAAATCGAATCCAGCAGCACATCAAAAAGCTTATCCACCATGATCAAGTGGGCTTCATCCCTGGGATGCAAGGCTGGTTCAATATATGCAAATCAATAAATGTAATCCAGCATATAAACAGAGCCAAAGACAAAAACCACATGATTATCTCAATAGATGCAGAAAAAGCCTTTGACAAAATTCAACAACCCTTCATGCTAAAAACTCTCAATAAATTAGGTATTGATGGGACGTATTTCAAAATAATAAGAGCTATCTATGACAAACCCACAGCCAATATCATACTGAATGGGCAAAAACTGGAAGCATTCCCTTTGAAAACTGGCACAAGACAGGGATGCCCTCTCTCACCGCTCCTATTCAACATAGTGTTGGAAGTTCTGGCCAGGGCAATCAGGCAGGAGAAGGAAATAAAGGGTATTCAATTAGGAAAAGAGGAAGTCAAATTGTCCCTGTTTGCAGACGACATGATTGTTTATCTAGAAAACCCCATCGTCTCAGCCCAAAATCTCCTTAAGCTGATCAGCAACTTCAGCAAAGTCTCAGGATACAAAATCAATGTACAAAAATCACAAGCATTCTTATACACCAACAACAGACAAACAGAGAGCCAAATCATGAGTGAACTCCCATTCACAATTGCTTCAAAGAGAATAAAATACCTAGGAATCCAACTTACAAGGGATGTGAAGGACCTCTTCAAGGAGAACTACAAACCACTGCTCAAGGAAATAAAAGAGGACACAAACAAATGGAAGAACATTCCATGCTCATGGGTAGGAGGAATCAATATCGTGAAAATGGCCATACTGCCCAAGGTAATTTACAGATTCAATGCCATCCCCATCAAGCTACCAATGACTTTCTTCACAGAATTGGAAAAAACTACTTTAAAGTTCATATGGAACCAAAAAAGAGCCCACATCGCCAAGTCAATCCTAAGCCAAAAGAACAAAGCTGGAGGCATCACACTACCTGACTTCAAACTATACTACAAGGCTACAGTAACCAAAACAGCATGGTACTGGTACCAAAACAGAGATATAGATCAATGGAACAGAACAGAGCCCCCAGAAATAATGCCGCATATCTACAACTATCTGATCTTTGACAAACCTGAGAAAAACAAGCAATGGGGAAAGGATTCCCTATTTAACAAATGGTGCTGGGAAAACTGGCTAGCCATATGTAGAAAGCTGAAACTGGATCCCTTCCTTACACCTTATACAAAAATCAATTCAAGATGGATTAAAGATTTAAACGTTAGACCTAAAACCATAAAAACCCTAGAAGAAAACCTAGGCATTACCATTCAGGACACAGGCGTGGGCAAGGACTTCATGTCCAAAACACCAAAAGCAATGGCAACAAAAGCCAAAATTGACAAATGGGATCTAATTAAACTAAAGAGCTTCTGCACAGCAAAAGAAACTACCATCAGAGTGAACAGGCAACCTACAACATGGGAGAAAATTTTCGCAACCTACTCATCTGACAAAGGGCTAATATCCAGAATCTACAATGAACTCAAACAAATTTACAAGAAAAAAACAACCCCATCAAAAAGTGGGTGAAGGACATGAACAGACACTTCTCAAAAGAAGACATTTATGCAGCCAAAAAACACATGAAGAAATGCTCATCATCACTGGCCATCAGAGAAATGCAAATCAAAACCACTATGAGATATCATCTCACACCAGTTAGAATGGCAATCATTAAAAAGTCAGGAAACAACAGGTGCTGGAGAGGATGTGGAGAAATAGGAACACTTTTACACTGTTGGTGGGACTGTAAACTAGTTCAACCATTGTGGAAGTCAGTGTGGCGATTCCTCAGGGATCTAGAACTAGAAATACCATTTGACCCAGCCATCCCATTACTGGGTATATACCCAAAGGACTATAAATCATGCTGCTATAAAGACACATGCACACGTATGTTTATTGCGGCACTATTCACAATAGCAAAGACTTGGAACCAACCCAAATGTCCAACAATGATAGACTGGATTAAGAAAATGTGGCACATATACACCATGGAATACTATGCAGCCATAAAAAATGATGAGTTCATGTCCTTTGTAGGGACATGGATGAAATTGGAAACCATCATTCTCAGTAAACTATCGCAAGAACAAAAAACCAAACACCGCATATTCTCACTCATAGGTGGGAATTGAACAATGAGATCACATGGACACAGGAAGGGGAATATCACACTCTGGGGACTGTGGTGGGGTCGGGGGAGGGGGGAGGGATAGCATTGGGAGATATACCTAATGCTAGATGACGAGTTAGTGGGTGCAGCGCACCAGCATGGCACATGTATACATATGTAACTAACCTGCACAATGTGCACATGTACCCTAAAACTTAGAGTATAATAAAAAAAAAAACATTAAAAAAAAAAAACATTTCACACAGACAGAAACATAAAAAAAAAAAAAAAAAAAAAAAAAGAAGGGAAAACACTGGGCTGGCATGATCTTGGCTGGGCTTATTACTGTATGGAAGGAGGATCCACGGTGTCCCCTCTTTACATACCCTATTGCACAGGGTCTTATACATGCAGCCCAAGCTCAACAGATGTTTGGTTGATTGAATGAATGGATGGATGCATGGATGGATGCATGGATGGATGGATGGATGGATGGATGGATGGGTGTGTGGAATGTTGAATGAGAACAGTTGAATAGCATAGAGGGTAATCTGACTATTCTGCACCTTGTCTGTCAACCTGGGATAAAGAGTGGCGATGGGAAAGCATGGAGAATTCACAGAGTATGGAAAAGCTCTTTTCATTTTTGGCTTGAGCTTCCATTTGACTTGTTCCAGACCAGATGTCTCTAGCTGACTTTACCTCTGGCTGAAACCACTCCATTAGGGGCAGAGAACGCATGTTGGGCTGGGTGCTAACAAATCTCCCGGGAAGCTCCTTAAAATAAAGATTCCTGAACCTTGTCCTCTGACAGATTACAATTCAGCAGGTCTCAGGAGTTAGATTTTTAACAGCCTTCCCAGGCAATTCTAATGGGCAGCCAGATTTAGGAGCTGCCGTGGGTAGGAATGGCAGCATGACAGCTGAGGATGGAGCTGATAATTAATATGGGGCTATCACTGCAGCCTTAACAGCTAGGGACAGTGAAAATCAGCCGAGGACAATTCTGAACACTTATGAAATCACTCCAGGTCAGCAGAGACGCCTGGCGAGGCTTTGCCGGCTCGCTGCCCCACATAATAGCACTCACCCATCCAGCCTTTGCACCCCTGTGGGATGTGCTGCATAAAGAGAAAACAAATGGGAATTTCTGTAATGGAAAAATACAAAGCTGTAGAGGGTCTTCATACCTGAGGAAAAACAACACCTCAGTTGACAATGCTACCTGGACAATTGGGAAGTAAGAGGTCTTTCTGGAAATCAATAGAGGAAGGCAGAGCCGCCCTCCGTGCTTGCCCCTTGAGCCACAGGAGACAGTGAAACATTTACTGTAATGAGGACTTTACGTTATTAAAACCAGAAAACCTGCTCCAAAATATGGAAATAGAACGCTGGTAGAGTTTTTTTGGATCAGATTTCCTTTTACCCTCAGGAACAGGTGATTACTTTCCTGGTATGCTGACCCAAACAGGAGTAGATTCAGTTATTTTGAAAAGGGAGTGCATAGCAAACAAGAACAATCGATACTGTTCCAATCCCAGAGCTCCCCGTATCAGAATCATGGGAGAAGCCAGGAAAGAAATGTTCCCTGTAGCTGCCAGAGAATCACATGCATGTCAGACACCTGCTCATCAGCAGCACTGGCTTTGGGGGCAGTGGTTTCCCTCCTCATGTTTTATTTTCAACTCTTGGGGAAGGATCGCCACAATCTTTTGTGCTACAAAGTTAAAAAAACAATCCACCATACTTCTTTCCTGTCCTTTCTTCACTGGAAGCAGTGTGGCGCTAAAATAAAACCCTGATGAACAAGCTTGTATTTCAGTTAATGTTCTGTGTTGCAGCTTCCATGATCTTTGCAGATGGGATGGTGGATGCTGGACACCCATTGAAGTCTGCGCAGTGTAGTCTTGTGGGAAAAGGTGGCAGGGGTGGGCAGCCCTGCAGGAGACACATTGATTTCTAATTCATTGATTCATTAGACTTGGCTTCTGGGAGTGTCCACTACAGAGGATGAAATCAGCTGGACAAGAAGGGCCTGCATATGCTGTTTAATATTTTTTTAAAACTGATGACTGCAGCAGATGCTGCCAGTGCACTTCATTAGGGTGATGCCCCCAGGTGCTGTGGGTGTGGCTGTACCTTCCTCTGGAGCATTGCCCTGGCCTGATGGGAGATGTCTCACTCACCCTGAGCTGCCTTCCCTCTCATTAGGGTATGACTTATAGGAAGGAGTGACTGATAGGGGTGGCAGCTATGAGAGCCCAGCCTCCTTGTCTCTGAGTGGGACAAACTGTGATGTAATTTACACTCCAAAGCTCCCCACGGGATCAGGCAGAGGTGAGACTTCTGAAATCACATCTTCCCCTAGTTTTCTTCTGGCCCTATCTTGCTTCCCTTAGTTTCTTATAGTTCTCCTGAGAGCCCTCCCTCAATAAATCACCTCAAGAACCACACTCTCCGGCTCTCCTAGGGAATCCACTACAGTGTTGTAGGATTCTAAAGATGAGAAACCCAACCCTTGCTTCAAGGAGCTAAGAGGCCAGTGGATCAGAGTCAGAGCCACAGGAGTGGCTGTGCTTTAGGGTAGAAGTGTTCCAGCAGGGAGCCAGGCAGTGCACAGGGGTTCTGAGCATGGCTGTGGGGTCAGAGGGCTTGGGTTTGAATTCCGGCTTCCCCACTTGTGCACTATGGGGCCTGGGGGCTGTGTTAGTAAGAGAACCCTCCGCATCTGATTGCTGTGAGCCATAGTTCACATAATGAGCCCCATGGTGCCAGGGTCATAGCAAATGTCCAATGAATGTGAGCTGCTCTTGTGTGGGGTTGGTGAGGATTACCATCATTTTTGGAATTCAAATGAGGGAGGTACTAACTCTTCTTGGATGCATACAGAAGTCTTCATGGAGGAGGATATGGTCTAACTATGCCTGGGAGAAAGAATGGAAGAAGAGTGGGGGAAACGTGCCTGCAAAGCAGCGGTCCCCAACCTTTTTGGCACCAGGGACTGGTTTCATGGAAGACAATTTTTCCATGGACTGGGTGGGGTGGTGGGGGGATGGTTTCAGGATGATTCAAGCACATTACACTTATTGTGCACTTTATTTCTATTATTATTACATTGTAATATATGATGAAACAATTATACAACTCACCATCATGTAGAATCAGTGGGAGCCCTGAGCTTGTTTTCCTGCAACTAGATGGTCCCATCAGGGGGTGATGGGAGACAGTGACAGATATCAGGCATTAGATCCTCATAAGGAGCATGCAACCGGGATCCCTTACATGTGCAGTTCACAATAGGGTTTGTGCTCCTGTGAGAATCTAATGCCGCTGGATACCTGACAGGAGGAAGAGCTCAGGTAGTAATGCGAGTGGTGGGGAGTGGCTGTAAATACAGATGAAGCTTCGCTTGCTCACCCGCCACTCACCTTCTGCCGTGTGGCTCAGTTCCTAACAGGCCACAAACTGGTACTGTTCCTTGGGGAGTTGAGAACCCCTGCTGTAAAGGAAATAGGATTCCCCAGGGACAGGGAAGAAGTCTGTTGTGGGAGCAGCGTATGTGTAGGTGCCAAACGGAAGCAGGTGATGGTGATGACAATGATGATGCAGAATACAGAAGCAATGAGGTGGGGCCAGTGATGGTCAGCACTGGGGGCAGGCATGACAGGAAGGGGGATAGTAGCCATGGGGACTAGCACTGACCCCAGCAGTCACTTTGACTGCTCTCATGCACCTCTTCCTCCTGGCAGTGAGCAGTTAACATCTACCTAATCTTTAAGCATTAGCTTAGATGTTACTTTCACCGGAACATCTTCCCTGACCCCCAGGTCCAGGTTCAGGGGTCATCTCCATGCTTCTACATCCCACACTGTAATTTACTCATCAGCAGGGGCAGAAGCCATGTCTGTCTGTCTCACCACGGTCTCCAGCACTGGGCACCATACCAAGCTTAGAGTCAAGCCTAACATTTGTTGAATGAAATTCTAGTCAAGAGTACTGTAGTTAACTCCCCGTAGTAAAAAGGGTTATAAAGATCTTGTTTTGCTCAAATGTTATATCAGATGGTCTACTATTTGTAAAAAAGTAATCTGTCCAATTCCAGTAAGCACAACTGTTTGTAATACAACTTTGCTTCTCCTCCCATCAACAGATGGAGTCTATTTTCTTCAGGCCTTGCATCTGGGCTTGGCTTGACTCCTTTGGCCAATGAGGCGTTCAAAAATGTGATGCAAACGGCAACTTGAAAACTACCTAGGCAATTCACAGATTCATGAGAACTAACACATATTTTCTGTTTAGACAATTATGTTTCGGGTACTTTGTTGCGTGATGAAAGCTAACATATACAGATTGGTTTTATTCTCCCTAGCACAGTGTCCTGCACAATTACCCTCAATAAACAACTACAGAATGAACAAGTGGAATGAAAACATTTCAAGTATATGGAAAGAAAATGTCAATATTCTTAGTGGTGCAAGCTGGTCATCACCCTTATAAATCACTGATATCAAAATGAGAAAATGATCCACAGTAGCCACTGGTGCCTTGCATGGTCAGAGGTCCAGTTATGAGAACATCCAGCACTTCAAAGGTCTGAGTGTGCGCTAGTGGCCTCTGTGAATTAATTTCATTGCTGAGATTATTTTCTCCTGCAGTTCCAATCTCATATTTCCATTGTTCCTAATTTATAATCTGATGCAAACCATGCATCTTTACTTGTCAGATCTTATCAGGTGGCTTCCCAAATTCCTATTCTTGCTCTCAGCTATCTAACTTTGCTTTTCTCATTTTGTAAACCCCCTGCCTCTCATCCATCCTTCCTTCCTTCCTCTGACTCTACACATCGCAAATCTGCTCCAGATTAGGCAAGCCCCTGACTGCTGTTTCTAAAGGGAGCAGATTATAATATTGCTTTAAATTATATTAAAAGTGGGCATATTTCTAAGCCCCTCTGGGTGCAGACACAAAGTCCCTGCCATGTTTCCATATTTATTGTCTAGATTTGTGGTCCTACACTTGCTGATCATCCTACATTGGGAAGCAAATGACAGATGGAAACAGATGGGCTGGCCCAGTGCCTTCTCTAGCAGCATGGTCTAGCTCTGCCACGTGAGAAGGGGAAGCCAACTAAAGACATGTCTCTATTATGGAAAGCAGCCTCCCCTAGCCCTCTGACATTATTATACCACAGAATACTTCCAACTGGTCACGTGTGCTAAGGTAGAAACTGACGAGAGATCGCTGAGAGGCTGAAACTCAAGTTACTCAGAGCTTAGGAGATGAAAACCATCTTTTTAAAAGGTTCTCAAAAGGAGTTGCAATTGGAGCCTCTAGAACAGTGGTTCTCAGTGTTGGCTGGCCATTGGGATCCTTCATGGACCTTAAGAAAGACCGAAGCCTGAATCCCAACCATAGAGATTCTGATTTACTTGGCTTCAATCTATTTGAAACTTCCCAAGGTGATTCTAATGTGCATTCATGGCTGAGAACCACTGACCTAGAAGATGGTAGTGAGAAGGTCATGAATAGTGGTAAAGCAACTGTATCAAGTAAGAGCCCCAATTAAGTAACTGCAGCTGACCTTATCATCACTATTCCCTACCAGGAACTATGAAGCACTTGATAAGCACTGCCTAATTTAATCTTCACAACAGATTGAGGAGGAAGCCATTATGATTATCCTGTCTTCAGATGACAAAACTGAGGCTCAGAGGACAGGTCAATGGCTGCGTTAGACCCACACCAAAGCTCATGCTCTTAGTGACTTTGCTGGAGAGTCTAGCCAATCCACAGGTGAGGGTTTCTCCCGGGTCCCTTCATGTCATGCCATACCCAGGGCAGCGACTCCCAAAGCAGGTCTTCTCATTCCAAAAGTAACTGGAACCCACAACGTAAGGAATATACAATGTGTTGTCTAGAACCTTTGGAAGAAGAGGAACCCATTCTGATTGTAATCTGAATGAGCAAAAGCAAGACACCATTGACCTTGCCCTTGAAGTAACTTTGCAGAAACAGTTTTGCTGTCAGGTGAGTAGTGGAGGAATGTGCCCAGAATCTACCTCGAAGCTCTCTAGTCTAGATGGATTTCTGTGTAAAAAGGCCACTTCTATAAAGCTCCAGAAGGTGTCCCCACTGCTACATGATCTTAGAAAGGCTGCCAAACAGGTAGGCTGTGAAATCTCCCTTATCAGCTTCATAGCTCTTTAGAAATACTTTCAAAACAGGTTGGTTTTTAAAGTCAATTTCTTTTAATGTCTGGCTTTCAGTAGATTGTAGCTAGCTTTGGGAGGATTTTAATTAATATGAACATGTAGACCAACCAAATGAGCCCTTTTTACGAACATCACTCCATGAACCAAGCGGACACAACCCTGACTTAGGCTCAGATATGTACTGATAGTTTCCGCTGATTTCATTAGAAGCTGGCTTAGCTCACATTGAATCTCTGGAAGTCTGATGCCCTCCACTGATACTGGAAACATCGGGAAAATGCCTTAAAAAGAAAGAAGCTATAATAAGGTGACTAGAGTTCTATAACAACACAAAAGCAGGAGAAAAAGTTTTATAACACTCACAATTGAAATGAAAAACAGTCCAATTCAGTTACCTATGGGGTAATGGATATGGTAACTCAGGAAATGAGACTAAGCTGAATTGCAAATAGAAGTAGACTGTATGGGCCCTAACATGGAGATAGCTTCAAATAGAAGTAGACTGTATGGGCCCCAACATGGAGATAGCTTTTAAGTTAAATATAAAGAGAGCTAAAGGCCTACCCCACTCCATAAGTTTCCCTGTGCTTGGCCCTGAGTCACTTGCAGGTCGACTACAAAGGCAGGAAACTTGTCTCTGGAAGCTCAGATTTCAGAGATGGCAGACAGTCCTCTCATTAGCCTCAGTGGGTAATTTGACCCCCCGGTCAGATAAATTAGCTGACCCACCGCAGCAGAAGAGGAGATTCTAGGTGAACAGGCTATAGGAGGCCTGGATGATGAAGGCCCTGGGAAGGTTCTGGGGACACCAGAGATGGAGTGTAAAGTGGTCTACTGCTCTCAGGGGACTTCAAATTTACTAACAGTATCGTATTTGTTATGGGGATCATGAGCGCGGACATTGATTATGCTTCTCAAACTATGTATCTATGTTACAAATACTTTTGCACATACAATGTAGTTTCATAATAAAATCATTGCTGACCTTCTGCAGGGGCAGTTTCAGTCAAGTGAGGAGCCAGTTTAAATTGGGTTGGGGAATGAATGGAGGCAACTAGGGTACTCTGTTTTCTTCCATTGCCTGGTAGAGAGTTGGTAATTAATGCAAGAGGATTAAGAGAAGGGCTTTCTAAGAGGTGAAGCACTTGTGCTGTAGGCAAAGGAATAGGAAGCTTGAAGATACTGAGAGTGAGAGGAGATTATTGCTAGAGAGGAGAACAGACAGAAAGCTTGGCCTGGAAAGGCAATAGATGCTTTTTTTCTGTACAGTCACTCTCTGCATCCGTGGGTACCGCATCCAGTGATTCAACCAACCAGGAATCAAAAACTTCTGAGAAAAGAAAAATGACAAAACCCAACAACACAACAATAAAAAAAAAAACACATAAAAAATGAATACAATACTGCAACTATTTACATAGATTTACATGAGCTATTATGGGTAATCTAGAGTATACAGGAGGGTGTTGGAAGGCTATAGGCAAATAGAACACCATTTTATATAAGAGACTAGAGCATCTGTGGATTTTGGTATTCTCAAGGGCCCCAACCTTCAGTGGATACCTGAAAGACAACTGTAGATTTGAAAACATTCATGTATTTCTAAAAAGTGAAAGGCTCATTTTCCTCTTGAGTCACAGGGAAGGAAATGGGGTGGTGAAAGCAACAGCTCAAAGAAAAGTAATCTCAGGTTGGTCTGCAGCCAGGGGAGACCAGAGGGAAGAAAGCCACCAGCAGAGTGAGGTAGGGAGCCTGGAGGGAGGATTCCTGGGAAAGATGATGAAAGGCAAGGCAGATCCAGGAAACACTGTGGAGGAAATGCTGGTGGAAACACTTGGTACGATCATATTTAATTTTGTCCAGTCTGGTGGTGTCTAGTTGTAAATGTTTTAATTTTCATTTACAAGATTACTAATGAGGTGGAACATCTTTTTATTCTTTATTGGCCATTCATATCTGTTCTTCTGTGAAATACCTGCTCATTCTTCTCTCCTGGGTTTTAGTTGATTTCTGTCTTTTCCTTCAAGGGCATTCTTTATGTAGTATGTAGACTGATCATCTGCAGGTGGTTTGTATGCCAAAACTGCTCTCTGTTGGTGCCTTGTCTTTGTACTCTTTTAATGGTATCTCTTGATGCAGAAAGTTCTCAAATTCAACACAGAGATTACGGATAGTTTCACTATGATTTTGTGCTTTTTGTATCTTGTTTAAGAAATTCTGAGGCTAGGCAAGGTGGCTGACACCTGTAATCCCAGTGCTTTGGGAGCCCAAGGTAGGAGGATTGCCTGAGGCTGGGAGTTTGAGACCAGCCTTGGCAACATAATGAGACCCCCATCTCTACAAAAAATTTAAAAAGAGCATTAGCCAGGTGTGGTGGTGTGTGTCTGTCATCCCAGCTAGTTGGAGGGCTGAGGCAGGAGAATCACTTGAGCCCAGGAGTTTGAGGTTGCAGTGGGCCATGATCATGTCACCACATTCCAGCCTGGACAGCAAAGTGAGACCCTGCCTGTTAAAAAAAAAAAAAATTCTTCCTTATTCAAGTCAGAGATCATCAAAGCATTACCCTACATTTTCTTCAAATTAAAAAAACTGACTTACACTTTTCACGTTTGTATCTTTAACCCATTTGGAATTAATTTTTTTTTTTTTTTTTGAGATAGAGTCTCACTCTGTTGCCCAGGCTGGAGTGCAGTGACACAATCTCGGCTCACTGCAACCTTTGCCTCCTGGGTTCAAGCAATTCTCCTGCCTCAGCCTCCCAAGTAGCTGGGATTACAGGCACATGCCACCATGCCCGGTTAATTTTTGTATTTTTAGTAGAGATGGAGTTTCACCATGTTGGCCAGGCTGGTCTCAAACTCCTGACCTTGTGTAACCTGCCTTGGCCTCCCAAAGTGCTGGGATTACAGGTGTGATTTTGTATAGTGTGAGTTTAAGGATCTGTTTATGCCTTTTTCTATACAGATGACATATTGTTTCTGGATCATTTACTGAATAGGCCATCCCTTCTCCTTTATTCAAATATTTCAATTTTGTCATGTTTCCATACATGTAAGGGCCTGTTTCTGGGGTCTTTGTTCTGTTCCTTTATTCTATTTGCCTATCTGTGCACAAATACCACACAGTAAACTTTATTATATTTTTACAATAAGGCTTGATATCTAGGAGCTTGGCTAGTCTTATCCCTCTTCTATATAAAGTTTAGGATCAACCTGTCAGGATTCTGATTGGAAGTACATTTAAACTATAGATCATTCTGGGGAAAAATGACATCTTTACTGAACTGAGCCTTTTAAATCAATGAAACAAGTATGTCTCACCATTTATTTAGGTCTTATTTAATGACTTTAAATAAAATTATCATTTATCCATAAATATTGTGTTTTTATGTTACATTTATTTCTAAGTACTTTTTTTTTTTTACTGCATTCTATTTTCTAGTTGTTGCTGCTATACAGAAATGCAATTGAGGTTGGGTGTGTTGGCTCATGCCTGCAAGCAATCCCAGCGCTTTGGGAGGCTGAGGTGGGTGGATCACCTGAGGTCAGCAATTTGAGACCAGCCTGACCAACATGGTAAAACCCTGTCTCTATTAAAAATACAAAATTAGCTGGGCGTGGTGGCAGGCACCTGTAATCCCAGCTACTCAGGAGGTTGAGGCAGGAGAATTGCTAGAACCCAGGAGGTGGAGGCTGCAGTGAGCCAAGATCACACCATTGCACTCCAGCCCAGGGGACAGGGCGAGACTCCATCTCAAAAAAAAAAAAATGCAATTAAATTTTATAACTTTATATCAATCCATCCTCCTCACTCGATTCTTTCATTAATTCTAGTAATTTGTCTGTTGATTATTTTGCGTTTTCCATGTAGATAATAATTACATGACTTTTGTTTCTTCCTTTCCAAATCTAGTCTCTTTTATTTACTTTCCTATCTTCCTACACTGGCTAGGATCTTTAGTAAATTGTTGAATAGAAATGGAACTCTTGGCTAGGTGCGGTGACTCACGCCTGTAATCCCAGCACTTTGGGAGGCTGAGGTGGGCAGATCACCTGAGGTCAGGAGTTCAGGACCAGCCTGACCAACATGGAGAAATCCCATCTCTACTGAAAATACAAAATTAGCCAGGTACGGTGGCGCATGCCTGTAATCTCAGCTACTCAGGAGGCTGAGGCAGAAGAATCGCTTGAACCTGGGAGGTGGAGGTTGTAGTGAGCCGAGATCATGCCATTGCACTCCATCCTGGGCAACAAGAGCGAAACTCCATTTCAAAAAAAAAAAAAAAAAAAGGAACTCTTGTCTTATTTTTGATTTTTAAAGGAAATGACTTTAACATGTCTTCATATTTTAAAAAGTTATCCTTGATCAGGTTAAGGAATTTTCACATGAATAGTTGTTTGGTTCTACTGAAATTTTTCCTGGATTTATTGAGATGATCATATGTTTTTTCTTCTTTAATGGGGTAGTATAGTAAATTGAATCACCGGATTTTGTAATGTTAAACCAACCTTGCATTCCTGGAATAAACTCAACCTCATTATATCTTATCTTTTTATGCTTTGCTGGATTCAGTTTGTTAATATTTTGGTGAATGTTTTACATTTATATTTTTGAATTAATGAGTGTGAAATGGCCTGAAATCTTTATGTTTGTGACCTGGTTTAATGGGTTTTGGTATAAAAATTAAGTTAGTTTTATAAAATAAGTTGGGTAATATTGTCTTTTATATTTTTCTCTGAAAAGAGTTTAAGTTTGAAATAATTTATTTCTTAAATCATTGGATGAACTCTTCTGTATCTATCAGGACTTAGTGGGTTCTTAAAAATGGGGATATTTGAAACTATTTCTTTAATGGTTATAAGACCATTTAGATTTCTTTTTTTATAAAAGTCAGTTTTGGCAAGTTGTATTTTTCTAAGAATTTGTCCATTTTATCTAAGGCTATTCAGAAGCATGTTTTAAAATGTCTAAGCCTGTGTTTTTGTTTACTTGTTTGTTTCTTGTTATCTATTTGCTATTGATTTCTGACAGAACAGATTCTTTGTTGAGATCTGCTTTAAGCCCTAGTATACAGTAATTTTTCGTAACTGTAGCATGGGGCCAGAAGATTTTTTTTAGTGCAGTGTTCTACATATGTCAATTATAGTAAGCCTATTAAATGCATTCAAATTGTCTATAATAGAGTTGTTTGCTAGAACTTTAAGCAATGATAGAAATATTCTCTATCTGTGCTGTCCAATACATAGCCACTAGCCACATGTGGCCAACTAGTACTTGAGAGGTAATTTGGTTTAGATGAGGTCATGAGGGTGAGACCAGCCTCACGGAATTAGTGCCCTTATAAGAAGAGACACCAGAGTGTTCTCTCTCTCCTTTTGCTATACGATCACATGGTGAGAAGGTGGCTGTCTACAAGTCAGGAGGATAGCCTTCATCAGAACTTGACTATGCTGGCACTGTGATCTCAGGCTACCAGTCTCCAGAACTGAGAAATAAATATCTCTTGTTTAAGTCACACACTCTATGATATTTTGTTACGGCAGCCTGAGCTCAGTAATATAGTATAATACATTACACTTAGGTGTAGAAATTTCAACATTGCTTTGTGATTTAATGTAATTCTTAAATAGTAATTAGGCATCAGCTAACTCAGCCCTAGCTACAGATGTGAGGGTTCCTTGGAGGAAGCCCAGGAACTAATGGGGCTGGGAAGAAGGAGAAAGAAGGACTCCTTTACACTTTCTTTCACTCAGCATGTCTGTTCTGAAGTGATTTACATAAAAAGTGTTCTGCTGTAAAAAGCCTGAACACAACTGTGTTAAATAATACATATATATGTTTGTGTGTCTATTTGAGAATTTGCTTTATAGCAAACCTGATTAATTTATATATCATATGTAATACACCTATTATATTTAATTATAATTATACATGTATTTCAAGTCTATTTAAATAAGTGATATTCCTTCTCAAGGAGCAAAGTAAACCTATAGATCTTAGATATTTGATATTGCCCCTCCCTCAATGACAGTGAACCAAACTGTAGGAATGATGTCTAGAAGAAAAAACAATTCCACCCCTATGACATGGGGCTGAACTTGAATTTCCAAACCTGTTAATAGAAGGACAGAGTCAGAGGTTTCAAGCCCTTCGGAACAGATGCAGGATGGCTTCTCCAAGAGCTACCTACTTCCTCCCCTAAAGGATGGTCAGTTAGAAGCTGGTGATGAACCTGTGGGCAGAATCCCATGGCAAGGCAACAGCCCCACAGGAACAGTCTACCCAGTCTGTGGCAACAAGTAGGGAATATTGCCCTCCTGTGATGGTATCGTGGCCTCAAAAGAGAGGGTCAATGGGAAAGAGTAGCAGGAAGCAGGCTTTGCTGCCAACATGCTCCCTGGTGGGGCCTCACCCAGTTAAGGCAAAAACTAAGAGGATCCCTGAGGTTCCTGATAACTCTGGTATGGAGCCAGCCAGGCCAAGGAAATCCTCAGTTCCTGCCTGAATCAGGAACCACTGGCTATCACAGACAGTTGGGGTATGATTATCACTAAAAATCCCCTGTAGGGCACAGTCTCAGGATGAGAGCTCCCACCTCTAGCAGCTCTCACATGTTGATTCAGGGACTCAGGATAAGGCTGGGAGCCACCACCCAGAGGATCCTTCCCTCCACCCTGCACTCAGCCCTCTAGGGGCAGCAGGCGTCTCTTCACCCTGCTGGGACTGATCATCTAGCCTGCCCCAGCAGACCCCGTCAGTATTCCCACCAGATTTCTTCACTGGGTAATATTTGCAAGGCTGAGGAGTAGAGGGCAAAGTGCTGAACTGTGGAACAAACAGTAGCTGTGGATTTTTATGAACCTCTTGTTTCCTCATTCAGCTTATAAACTCTTGATGGGAAAAGACTGTGCTTCCTACTTATCCTCACCCCACCCCTTTCTCTCCCTCTCTCCCTGTCTCTTCCCTCCCTCCCTCCCTCCCTTCCTCTATCCCTCTCTTCTCTCCTTCTTGCCCTTTTCCCTGCCTCCCTCCCTCCCTTCCTTCCTTCCTTCCCATTTTTATCTAGTGCTTATTTACTTCACTGTGCTGCCCTTCCCTTATTTGTAAAATCACAATAATAACAGTGTTTCCTAAACAGCTGCCATGTAAATCAGCTTACTGAGAATATGAAGTGAAGCCATCTTTGGAAATGTCTGGCACACAGTCAGTGCTTATCCACCCACCTTGTGCCCCATGAACGGTTTCCATGTTTGTCTTTGGGGGCTCATCAATTCCATGCACAGCAATAAGTCTTATTTATCTTTGTAGTCCCCATCACACATAGCACAATGTTCAGGTAGAGTGTTCAGAGAAGGTTCGTTTAAATATAAAATAGATACATAGTAATAAGATATACAGAAAAATTGGGCTTTGATATGTCAGTAGAAGACAGTGGTTAAAACAGGGGCTTTGCAGTCAGTGCAGAAATGGGGTCTTGGACTTCTCAAAAGAAGATATAGCAGTGACCAAGAAATATGGAAAAACGTTCATTGTCACTAATAATCAGAGAAATGCAAATCAAAACCACAATGAGATAATGTCTCATACCAGTCAGAATGGCGATTATTAAAAAAATAACACGCTGGTGAGGCAGAGGAAAAAAGGGAATGCTTATACATTGTTGGTGGGAATATAAATTACTTCAGCCATTGTGAAAGCAGTTTGGAGACTTCCCAAATAACTTAAAACAGGGCTACCATTTGACCCAGCAATTCCATTACTAGGTACAAACCCAAAGGAATATAAATTATTCTACCAAAAAGACACATGCACACATGCACTTATATGTTCATTGCAGTGCTAGTCACAAGAGCAAAGACATGGAATCAATCCAGGTGCCCATCAACAAAGGATTGGATAAAGAAAATGTGGTACATAAACACCATGAGTACTATGCAGCCATAAATCATACAGCAACATGGATGCAGCTGGAAGCCATAATCCTACATGAATTAATGCAGGAACAGAAAACCGAATACTACATGTTCTCACTTATAAGTGGGAGCTAAACACTGAGCACACATGGACATGAACAGGGGAACAACAGACACTATGAACTACTAGAGGGGGTAATAAGGGAGTGAGGCATGGGTTGAAAAACTACCTGTTGAGTAGTATGCTCAGTACCTGGGTGACGGGATCCATACCCCAAACTTTAGCCTCATGCAATATTGCCATGTAACAAATCTGCACATGTATCCCCTGAATTTAAAATCAAAGTTGAAATGAGTAACAAAAACAAATGGGGTCTGGGATCTGCTGTGTGGGCTCAGGTGCCTGGATCCCTAAAAGCGGGTATTCATCCTCACTCTCTGGGGTTGCTGTATGACACGTAATGAGTTAGAATGATGCCTGGCACATGGTGGGTACTCAATCATAGTTACTGCTATTGGTCAAGATTACGGCAGCTTCCTTTCATTGCTCCCAATAGCTCCATGTTGAAGATTTGGCCATATACATCTATCTACAGGAAATATTTCCTACTTGGACATATTCTTTGTGGTCTGGAAAGCTGTTAAAAGAGATTTTCCCAATGTAAAGATGTGAACTGTTCACACTGTACCGATGGTCTTACTCTAAGGCTTCAAAAATAGGCAGGTTGCCTTTCATACAGAAAACGGGAAGGTGCCTGCACAGCTGGTGCTTAGGGCTGCATGGTGACGGGGCTATTCTGGGAATGAAGTCTGGTTGTGAGTTGCTTTTCCACAGTGCCTGAGGAGTAAACCAGCTTATCAGGTCTCAGGGCATTGGTAAGGTGGTCTTGTTCCTCAAATACCCTTCCATGCAGGTGGTACCTAATTTCACAATTAGATGTCCATCTCTTTGGCTTAGGACTAGCAAGAGAAATGCAATGAGCCTGATCAGTCATGAAGGTGGAATCTTTGTTCTTTGCTGCCCAGCATCCATTCTCCCTTTCTTTGGTCAGGTACCTTCCATTTCCCTCTGGGAACTAGCCTATCTCTGACATTCAGCCTGGCTCAGGAGTAGCAGTGAGTTCCCCAGACCATAGTTGAGGGACACAGGATTCAACCAGTGCCAGTGAGTTACAGCAAAAAATTTCCTAGGACTCTACTTCCTCCCACCAGACTTGAACCTGGCATATGAAGAGCTGGAGCTGCTGAGTCATCTTGCAACCATGTGCGTATAGGACCCGACTGAGAATGGAGGTAATATGGCAGAGGGCAGAGCCGAGGGATGATGGAAGAGACACTAGGTGCAGGTGATGTTATTCAAGTCCTGGATCAAGCTGTGCCTGAAGCCTGAACCTAGACTTTCCAGATGCATGAACCAACAAATTCTGGTTTTCTTTTCTTTTTTTTTTTTGTAAGTTTGAGTCAGGATTACCGTTGCTTACAACCAAAGCTTCTAATGATATGGTCATTAATAGAGGATCCATTTTTAAAGAGAGTAAAGGGAGCACAAGAACTCAATGCCAGTAATGTTGGAGGCTCTGAATAGGTTGGATAAGGGACAGCCTCAAGATGTCCATGTTTGAATCCCTGGAACCTGTGAATGTTACCTTATATGGCAAAAGGGACTTTGCAGATGTGATTAAGTTGAGGATCTGGAGAAGGGGTGATTATCCTGGAGTATATGAGTCAGCCCAGTGATCTAACCACAGGTGCCCTTATATGAGGGAGGCAGAGGGCCATGTTCCTCCAGAGAGGGGAGAAGGGGATGGTATGCAGTCAGCTTTGAAGGTGGTGGAAGGGCCAGAGACTAGGAATGCAAACAGTGAAAGGAACAAAGCTCTGGAATTCAGCAAAGGCAGGGGATTTTCCCTGCAGCTTCCGGAGGGAGCAGAGGGAGAGTGGCCCTGTCCATACCTTGGTTCTGGCCCAGTGAAACTGATTTCAGACTTCCGGCCTCCAGAATGGGAAGAGAAGAGATCTGTGTTGTTCCAATACCCCCAGCTTGTGGTGACCTGTTACAGCAGCCACAGGAAGTTGCTAGGGGGAGGGACCCATTCCCACTGGGTTCACTCTTGGGGCTGTAAGTCTGTCATCCTAGCTCAGACACAGTAGGGAGAGAGTCGGGGAAGAAAGGGGGCTGAGGGGGCAGAAAATAGGCTGTGGCCCCTGATTCTGTTTCCCCTTCATGACCTTTTTGCCCCCTCCTCAGGCCTGTCTTCCCTCTGGCCCCAGGGCTAAATGCTTACTTTTGGCTCCAATCCAAACTTTTCCCTGGGAGGTGAAAAAGAAAAACGCAAATACTTGAGCTCACAGCGTTCTGAGAGGTACAAAACTGGTGAGGAAGACAGGATGTTTATGGAAGGGACAAAAGCTTAGATCAGTGAGAGGTACCTGCGGCCCTTGGACCCTGTGAGACCTCCCCACATCCTGAAATGGCCTCAGACTGATTGTGGGAGAAAATATCTCAAAGCTGCCTCTGGAGTGCTCAAATATGGCCTGGTATCAACATCAGAGAGGCACCCATCTCCTCAATTTCTTCAATAACAAAGCGGCCTTAGCATCCTCACCACATTCCTCTGTGGAAGGCACCATTATTAACCTCCTTCATTTCACACAAGAGCCGAGGCTCAGGGAGGCTCAGCCACCCAGCAGGGTCACATGGGGCAGGTGGCTGAGCCAAAGTCTGACTCGGACACCAGCATCCTGAGCTACCCAGGGACAGCTGTGGTTTAAGGGTACTTAGTGCCTGCCCTTGTGGGATTCAATAAAGTAATGCTTATTCTGAAAGAAAAAATAATCACATTTCCCCTAAACATTTTTATTTTCTTATTGGGCCCTTGGGCAGAACAAGGAACTGCCTCTAAGCCAAGGTCTGGGCTTATCTGGCTGCAGGGAGGAGTGACAGGTAGGGAGGGGAGGCCTGCCTGGCCCTGGCCCCCTTAAGCCACACACAGCCCACGGCGAAGCTTGGCTAAAGCCTGGCTTTGGCCTTGATGAATGCAGCCTGGTATAAGAAAAGGATTTTCTATCATTTGTTGGAAGTCAAAGGAATCTGGGTCCATCTGTGGTTGTCTAAGGACCCTAGAGCTCCTGTAGGAGGACCCGTAGGAGCCCTTATAGGATTCCGGGGCTGCTTCACTTAGCAGCATTTGGTACAAAGGAAGAGACCCTTAGAGAACCTAAAAACAGCCACCAATTTGGGAGTGCTTGGCATGTCTCAGGGACATATGCATGTTAAGATACACTTCATTTAATCCTCACAGC
The DNA here is from genome assembly GCF_000001405.40 of Homo sapiens. NCBI lineage: Eukaryota > Metazoa > Chordata > Mammalia > Primates > Hominidae > Homo > Homo sapiens. The sequence continues at coordinate 146,700,002 of NC_000001.11, read as the reverse complement.
AACTCTTTTAGACTACCATTTTACAGGTAAGTCAACTGCAGCACAAGGTCATATGGCTAGGAGGAGCACAGCGCTTGGATTCTAACCAGCCACATCTGATTCGGCAGCCCAGGACCCCAACTACCACTGACACACCACATCTTAGAAAAGTTCCACTTTTGGGCCAGGAACAGTGGCTCACACTTGTAATCCTAGCACTTCGGGAGACTGAGGTAGGAGGATCACTTGAGCCTAGGAGATTGAGACTAGCCTGGGAAACATAGAAAGACCCTGTCTCTACAAAAAAAACAAACAAACAAAAAACAACAAAAAAACCAGAAATTAGCCAGGTATAATGGTGCACGCCTGTAGTCCCAGCTACAGCAGTCCTTGGCTTGTGCCCAGGAGTTTAAGGGTGTGGTGAACTAAGATTGTGCCACTGCACTCCAGCCTGGGTGACAGAGTGAGACTTTGTTTAAAAAAAAAATCTACTTTTGAAGCAACAGAAATTGAGGAATGATGAAGACATAGATGGAAGCATCCAGAAAATGAGGCTCTTTCTCCAGCCTCCTTCCAGGCCTTCCACCCTCCTCTTCCAATCTCCATATTGGCTGGCTGGCGCTCATCATAGAAAAATCAGTGTGAGAATAACATGTTCCTTTGCTGCAGGACTTGGCTCCCTTTAGGCCCTTGTATTCGATTTATTTATAATCTGATTCACAAACGAAGAGCCAAAGCTGTCCGTGGAGACCACTTGGCCCACATGCTCTAAGTTCTAGTGCGGCCTCAGCTTCCCCGCTCTGAGACTGGGCAGAGATGCCAGCCAAGCCAGAGGCTGCTCGGCTCCCTGACGGTTGGCTCTCTAGTCTGGCCTCTTAAAGGTAAAAGCTGGTTCAAGTGCACCATTTCCTTGTGCTTCTCTTTCACACAGGTGCCATGAAGCATTGTGTTGTTATCAAGCTGATCAGTTAGACTGAAGAGATGGACCTAATAAAAGGGTGGCTCCTGCAGCGACAGCTGTGTGGTCATGAATGGCCAGCCCCGGCACTTCATGCCAGCTTTCTCATTACATGCAGATGTGGGAGGGGGAGAGACCACCATCCACCATGGTTGACCCAGGTTCCTGTCACGGGCACAAACTCACAGGCTTCAAAGGCAATGGCTGCCTTTTCCTCTTACCGAGGACTTATTTAGCATGCTTGTCCATTTTACTTCTTTCTTTTTTCTTAGATGTGACATGAGGGCCAACTTGGGGAAAAAATGTGTGCTCAAACAAGAGGGATGCTTTAAATAGATGAGTGAGAATTGCCTACAAAGTCACATGCACACATGTGCATGCACGCGCACCGCAGATGTACATGTGTTGTGAAGGAACATGAGAGTGTATAGGCGACCTCAGACCTATCTAATAAAAGAAAAAGAAAACCCTCTCTTACACTTCTGTGTCTTTTACTAACTGTAAGGCTTAGAAGAATCCTAACTGGATAAGAAAGGTTAGTGTTCGTGTATATCTGATAAAAGTGACCTTTAGCCAGAGTGGTTTATGTTTTTCAGACGTCCTACACAGAGACAGTCTGTCTGGAAACCAGGTGGCTTTTTTTTTTTTTTTTTTTTTTTGTCTATTCTAGGTGACATTTATGCCTGGAACCTTTCTCTTTGGCGGGTGCCAGGAAGCTGAGAGAGAGGAATCTCAAGCCAGGTATGAAATGATCTCCTTCTCTCTACAAATACCCAGGTGGGAGCAGCTGATTCACCAAGAAACACCCTTTGAGGATGTACTCTGTGCTGGGGACTGTGCTGGGCTCTGGGGCTCCAGAGGTGATAGGGCAGGTGTGCTTGCTGGCCTCACAGGGATTAAGAGATGCTGGGAAGATGGACACCAAGCCATAAGCAGAGGCGTGATGTGAATCACCAAGGAGATGGGAGTACCAATGTCCATGACAGGGGATCTGGCCTAAGGATGGATCTTGGAGAAGGCTTCCCTGCAGAAGGATGGTGAAGCTGAAGTCTGAAGAAGGGCCAGGGACAGCTAGGTGGGGCTGGGGAGGAGCTTCCAGCAAAGAAGGGGGCAGTTGGACAGGAACAGCACTGGGCAGGACAGAGGCCGGTGTGTTGGGTAAACAGAAAGGTCAGTGCCAGAAGCACAGAGCAAATCTGGAGAGGAACGCAGGGACCAGCACATGCTGAGCCTTGCAGAATAGAGTGAGTGCTCTGTACTTTATTCCAAGAAGCACAGGTAGTTACTAAAGGCTTAACGCCAGGGCAGTGGCATGGCTACTGAGGGGAGTAGGAGCTGTGGTGCATGCGTGGAAGCAGAAAGCCCAGGTAGGGCTGTGACCACAGTAACAGGCAATGGTGGCTTGAGCCAGGGTAACAGCAGTGGAAATGGGAATGAGGTTTTCAGAAGGCAGAATAGGTAGAAGTTGGTGGTGGATTTGATAGGGTGGGTGGGGTTAGAGAGAGGAAGAAATCCTAATGCCTCCCAGGAGAGCAGTGATGTCATTTACTGGGACAGGGTGCCCTGGAGGAGAGTCTGGGGGTGAGCAGGGAGGGAACAGAGCTTATGTGGAACACGCTAGGCATAAATCACCTGGGAGGCATCCAAGGGATGTCCAAGAGGAGACGTCAAGAAGGCAACAGACTTGGAACTCAGCAGAGGGGGCTCGGTGAAGACAGGCACTGGGAAGCCTTAGCAAAAGAAGCTGACTGGAGCTATGGGGGTGCATCAATTTCCAGGAAGAGGAGAAAGCCTAGGATGGAGCCCTCCATCCTTCTACTCCAGTGGAGTTGTTGCTGGCAGAGAACTGAGAAGTTGTTGAGGGGACAAGAGGAAAATCAGGAGAATACGGTGTTCTGCAAGGCGAGAAAGGAATGTATTTCAGGAAGGTGGGGTTGGTCGCTGTGCTGAATGCTGCTAAGCGTTACCTTTCTGCAAAAACCTTTGTCACCTTCTTGATTACAAATCCCACCACTGCCTCCAAGAAAGAGCGTTAATTCCTTCTGGAATATCAGGTCTCTCACACACTTCTGCCAACATACCTCTCCAGACTCACCTCCCACAACTTCTCCCACCCAGTGAGGTCTGCCCACCAGCCACGCTGACGTACCCTCCGCCAACATCATGGTAGAAGCGTGTCATTTGCTCTCCAGCATCGATTCTCCCTCTGTCAGTTTTTGTTTGGTGACCCCATTCCCACCCCCTCCAGTCCATCTGGTTCAGAGATCATGATCCACAGCCTTTGGTGGCGGGCATGTGACCAGGTCAACCATGATGAGTGCATCACCCTCCCCTGACAGTGAATGATGAGGAGTGGGGACAGAAATGTGACTCAGTTAGTTTGATCGGAGTGAATCTCCTGGAAGTTGTGGGAGAAAGACCTCATATTGTTTTCCAGTGGATCGGAGTGTAAAAGGACATGGCCCCAGCAGTGCTGGCAGCCACTGGGTGATTAGGAGAGAAAAGCTAATCTGGGAATGAGGTTAACACAAGAAACTGAGCAGAGCTGAGAGACAGAGAACCTGGCTCCAATGATGACATTGTATGATCCTTGCTTTAAGCCAGGCCAGAAGCCAAAGCGAATCTGGAATTTTGAGTCGTGAAAACCAATGAATTTCCTTTCCTTTAATTTTTGCTTAGGGTCAGGTTTTCAATGACTTGCCATAGAGTGAACCCATGAATTCTAACTAATAGATACATGCTATTCCTGTTACTCAGAATGTCTTCCTGCCTCTCCATCTGGAATATTTAACTGTGGCTCCTCAATGTAGCCTTTTCTGACTTCTCTGGGCACAGGCCTCCCACCCACAGAGCCCAGCATGGCCACATGTCCACTTTGGTACATGTCTGCTTTCTCCACTAGCCTGAGGACAAGGGTCACGTCTTGTTCACTTTTATAGTGCTGATTCCTCAATATGTGGCTCACAATAATCACTTATCAAATGTTTTCTGACTGACTCTCTGATTGAGTAAATGAATCAATAAACAAGTTATAAGCAGAGGCTCAATATTAAGAGATAGGAAGATGCCGAAGAAAGAGAAAAACGGTTAAATAAATGCTTAAACCAATGAAAAATTAAGTGTATCATCTTCAGTAGTGGCCAAGTACATTTTCAAAAGTTCATCACTTTAATTATGAAAGTAGCCTCTCAAAAATAAAAAAATAAATGAAGCATGTCCTTGCTCCCAGATGGAATAAACTCATTTAGCTATGTTACATCAGAATCACTTCACAAAATCTGGTATTTGAAGTGCATTAGGTCGGGTTGGCTGATTTTTCCATAATTATATTAAATGTTCACCATCTACAGAATTTCATTCCAAACCCAAACAGTCCCTGGCACTTAATGAGCAGACTCCAGTGCTCAGGCCCAGGACCGGCTGCCGGCTTCAGTGCTTCGCTAGGTCATCGTTAGATGTCTACGGAAAACATTCAGAGCGAGCCATCGTTACCGTGGTAACAAGTGCAGGAGAGAAGAGGGTGACTGTCATACATAAGATGAGGATTATGGACAGGAAGCACTGACAAGCCCCTAAGGAAACAACATGAGGTTTCCTCAGTTAAGAATGGCCGTCCAATATTCACATGCCAACAACTGAGTGTCACAACATCCAATAAGGAAATATACAAAGCCCATTAGTTCTGGTTGCCAACTAAGAAGAAAATGCAGCAATCGCTGCCTCCCACTATTTTATAATTATGTGTATGTCTATACATATACATAAATGAACCAGAACAGAAACCCATTGAAATATGTAAAGCAGGCAACATGGAGCTCAGTGCTACACATACTCAATGTAGGGTCCTACTCAGTCTGTGCTTTGAGTTTGAAATGCTTTTCAAGAAAATTCTGCAGCAACAAAACCAAAAGTAAACAAGTATGACCACATCAAACTAAAAAGCTTCTGCGCAGCAAAGGAAAGAATAGAATGAAAATTCAACCTATGGAAAGGGAGAAAATATTTGCAAACCATATATCTGATAAGGGGTTAATCTCCAAAATACATAAGAACTCCAACTCAATAGCAAAAAACCACTAATACCTAATTTAAAAATGGGCTAAGGACTTAAATAGACATTTCTCCAGAGAAGATCTACAAATGACAACAGGTATAGAAAAGATGCTCAACGTCATTAAATATCAGGGAAATTCAAATAAAAACCCCAATGAGATATCACCTCATACCTGTTAGGACGGCTGTTACTAAAGAAACAATAAACAAGTGTTGGTGAGGATGCGGAGAAACTGAAACCCTGGTGCACTGTTACTGGGAATGCAAAATGGTGCAGCCACTGTGAAAAACAGTATGGAAGTTCCTTAAAAAACTAAAAATAAAGCTACCATGTGATTCTGCAATCCCACTTCTGGGTATTTATCCAAGAATTGAAATCAGAATCTCAAAGTGATATTAGCACTCTCATGTTCATTGCAGCAATATTCACAATAGCCAAGATGTAGAAAAAAGCTAAATGTCCATCAACAGGTGGATGGATAAAGAAAATTTGTTATATACATACAAGGGGCTAGAATTTTGTTCAAACTTAAAAAAGAAGGAAATTCTGCAATATGTAATGACATGGATGAACCTTGAGGACATTATTCTCAATGAAATAAGCCAGTCACGGGAAGATACTGCATGACGTGGTTTGGCTCTCTGTCCTCATCCAAATCTCATCTCAAAATGTGTTCCCCACATGCTGAGGGAGGGACCTGATGAGAGGTGATTGGATCACGCAGGTGGTTTCCCCCATGCTGTTCTCGTGATTGTGAGTGAGTTCTCATGAGATCTGATGGTTTAAAAGTGTTTGGCAGGGCTGGGTATGGTGGCCCACACCTGTAATCCCAGCACCTTGGCAGGCCGAGGCGGGCGGATTACCTGAGGTCAAGAGTTCGAGACCAGCCTGGCCAACATGGTGAAACCCCATCTCTACTAAAAATACAAAAAAAAAAAAAAATTGCCAGGCGTGGTGGCAGGCACCTGTAATCCCAGCTACTTGGGAGGCTGAGGCAGGGGAATCGCTTGAACCTGGGAGGCAGAGGTTGCAGTGAGCCCAGATAGCGCCATTGCACTCCAGCCTGGGCGACAAGAGCGAAACTCTGTCTCAAAAAAAAAAAAAAAAAAGTGTTTGGCAGTTCCCCTCTCACTTGCTGTCTCTCCTGCTGTCATGAAAGATATGCCTTGCTTCCCCTTCACTTTCTGCCATGATTGTAAATTTCCTGAGGCCTCCCCAGCTATGTAGAACTGTGAGTCAAATAAAACTTTTTTCTTCATAAATTACTCATTCTCAGGCAGTTCTTTATAACAGTGTGAAAAAGACTAATATACTGCATGATTCCACTTATATGAGGTAGTTAAAATAGTTAAATTAATAAAATCAAAGAGTAGAATGGTGGTTGCGGGGGCTGGGGAGAAAGGAGAATGGGCAACAGGCATAAAGTTTCAGTGCAGCAAGATAAGTTCTAGAAATCTGGTTTACTTATAGTCAATAATACTGTATTGTACACTTAAAAATTTGTTAAGTTGTATATATATTACCACAATAAAATAATAATTTAAACAATTCTACAAAGACTTTATTTTTTAGTGATGAATTTCTAATGGTCTTATCACTAGACTCAAAAATAAAGTGGGCTTATGGATATTGCTTTGTTAATTCGGTGGTGATTGGGACTTTCAAAGATGTTTTATCTATGTTTCCTGTTAGGAAATCGAGGATGGATCGTGATTTTAAGCTCCTTGTTAATTCTGTCAATAATTAGTGGTCAAAATGGAAAATATTCATGAATGGCCAGTACATGGAATACAGAAAACCCCATGAAAAGCCTGAAAGAGAAAACAAATGAAAAGCAGAGTTCTGTGAGAGTTCTGTGCTGGGGGTACCTTATCTGATTTTCCTCATCATTCACCAAGAAGAACCAGCGAAACTTCACAACCAACGGACTGCAGTTGGTGATGGTAACGTAGCGAATGAGCTCAGTATCGTTCAGGATGCAGCCAAAATCCAGCTCCTTTGTCTCAAAGCTGAGGTTGGGGTAATGCACTTCTCCGCGCAGGTCCAGGCTGTCTATCTGAGGGTGTTCCACATACTTAATTGCTAGAATTTCTTCTGCCACCCAGTTGTTCAGATCGTTTCTGTAGGAAGGGTCAAACTTGATCAGCAGGTTTTTTTCTTCATCAATTTCCAGTTTAATAGGCTACAAACAAGATAATGGGGAAATTACTAACTTTTGTACTATGCATTTCCACCCTGGTACATGAAACAGGACAGCCAGGTATTTACACATACACATTACATGTATTTATGCACACACAGATACATGCATATTTGTGCATACACATATAAACACACATATTAGTATGAAAAACATACACATACACATTCATATGTAAACAGCTAGTACATCTAAGTATAGACACTTATGTATATGGATACACATTTTATTAGTTGAAAATGAAAGCAAGGAAAATCTGGAATTATTTAAAGGAAGAGATTTTGATAAGTGTTGTGTGGGTTTATAAGAATTGAGCAGTTGTAAAGGAAAAGTCTACAATGAATAACTATTATAAAATATTCTTAACTAAAAATAAATTTCGTTGTGAAATGCCCTTAGGCAAGTGGGAAAAATTCTTTGCTTAAGAAATTTTTAAAAGGGTTTTCTAAAGCACTGGGGGGTGGGGTTGGGGGTGGGGGGCTCTGTAGAGAGTGACCCAGAAAGGGACAGATTAGGTAATTTAATTTCTTTTCTAATGTCAGCAATCCTAACTTTTAAGCACAGTGTCATCCACTTTCTGCTGTTTTCTATTCAACTTAAAATGACAGTCCAGAGCTGAACAGCATTTGTTCAGTACATTTTATTTGTTCTTTTCTGTCTTTGATTCCAATCCCTATGTGTTCCTTGATGCCAGTGTCTGCAGTAACACCTTCCCGTAGAAAGGCTGGCTATGAGTTGGCTTTTTTAGGCATTGCTCAATTCCCACATTTAATGGGCATGAAAGCCACCTTGTGGTTTTGCAGCAAGTGCCCTAAGGCAGTTGGGAAGAATGGACACAGGAATGAATCTGTTTTCAGTGCACCTCATCTTTCCACTGGGCTTAAACGATTCTGGTATTTAACTGTGCATTTAATGACATGATTAGATGGTTTCGGTTGATAAAGCCACTCACCTGATTCAACAGTCAGAGAGAGTAATGACTCTTCAGCATTGGCCTAATCCCAGCTGAAAGCCAGGCCAGCCACTGGGCCTTTAATCTTACCACTGGCACAAGGGGCTGGGCATAAGTTAGGACCCACCCTTGTAGATCACGGCATCTGTAGCACTCGGTATCGCCATGCTTGGTGATTAAATGTTTTGAAGATTGACTTAACTTTTTTTTTTCCAGGAAAATGACATTATTGTTTTGTAGAAATGATACAAAAATTTACATTATATATAAAAGCACAAAGAAGAAACGAGAAATTTATCCCAAATTTCACAATACATTATTTCTCAGAGTTATCATTTGGTAGATGTTAGTCCAGACGTGAGAGAGGAATAATAGGATTTTACAAAAATGGAATTAGACTACATTATTTTCTAAAAAACACCATATTTGAATTTTTTCTCAAAAAAGACTTGAAGAAATGTTTCGTATACAAGGGATATTAATTTCTAAGATTAAAGGCTCTGGAGCCAGAGTAGTTAGGTCCAAATCCTGGTTCTGCCACTTACTAGCTGTGAGACCTTGGGCAAAATACTGGGCCTCAGTTTCTCCATCTGATTTACCACTCATTTTAAATTTTCTGTAGTCTTCCCTGTTTGCTTCCTGGATCCTTTACATCTTTCTGAGCTGAAGTTGGGTGGTGTATCATTACTCTTCTCTTCCTTTATCACACCCCACCCCACCCCAGACAGCTTGCCAGAACAGCCCCCTATTAAGGTACCTCAGGAGTTGCCGGCAGCAGGGATTTATCAGTCTCACATATAAAGAAGGGTCCAGATGTTGACAGCAACAAGTTCACGGGCAGGGTGGAAATGTTCTTTACGGCCAAGGGCTGGTAATCAGGTTTCAGGATACTGTTAGGTTTCTGCAAAAACAGAAAAAGAGGAAACAAATCAACTTATGGTAAATACAGTAAGCTTTTAGCAACAAGTCTCAGGTTCATTGTTTAGAACAAATTTAGCAATCTTTCTTTTTCTTTGTGTGTGTGTGTGTGTGTGTGTGTGTATATATATGCATATATATGTAGATGTATACATACATTTTTCTCCCTTGTAGAACTTTAGATTAATCATGTGGAGGCCGGGCGCAGAGGCTCATGCCTGTAATCCCAGCACTTTGGGAGGCCGAGGCCAGTGGACTACTTGAGGTCAGGAGTTTGAGACCAGCCTGGCCAACATGGTGAAACCCCGTCTCTGCTAAAAATACAAAAATTAGCCAGTCATGGTGGCAGGCACCTGTAATCCCAGCTACTTGGGAGGCTGAGGCATGAAGATCACTTGAACCCAGGAGGCAGAGGTGGCACTGAGTCGAGATCACACCACTGTACTCCAGCCTGGGTGATAGAGTAGGACTCAGTCTCAAGGAAAAAAAAAAAGATAAATCATGTGGAATGATGTGTAGTGGACTACTGAAAAGTGGACCTACATAACCCAGACAACACAGATTAGATTTTTTTACCCCCTTGGTGCCTAATTGAGAAAACCTACAGAAGCCATGTTTCTGGATAGAACTATTATTATAGGGCCTTCCACAGTGTCATAAGACAAAGTCTAAAAAGTTAGTTATATCTTATGCATAAATATAGCTATCATTATAATGAATAAAACATTTTTCCCTTGTATAATATTTTTCCAGGCTTAAAATACCTGATTTGCCTATATCTTGTTATACTGACAAATGATCAGACCTATTTCCTGTAAACTTTTCCTGATAATACCAGGATAGTTGATTTAGAAGTATCTTTTTACTCTGTTAGATAAATTAGATTTAATTTTTCTTTTTTTTTTTTTTTGAGACAGAGTCTTGCTCTGTCGCCCAGGCTGGAATGCAGTGGTGTGATCTCAGCTCACTGCAACCTCTGCCTCTCGAGTACAAGTGATTCTCTTGCCTCAGCCTCCCAAGTAGCTGGGATTACAGGCACGTGCCACCATGCCCAGCTAATTTTTGTATTTTTTGTAGAGATGGGGTTTCACTATGTTGGCCACGATGGTCTCGATATCTTGACCACATGATCCACCCGCCTCAGCCTCCCAAAGTGCTGGGATTACAGGTGTGAGCCACCGCGCCCGGCCCAGATTTAATTTTTCAACTAGAGAAGGCATCGGAAATGAATCTCGAGTTGAGAGTTTCTGGCCAGACTGGATTTTTCTCATTCTGATGTTGGGGCCCACATTATTTCTTGTATTCCCTAGAAAGAGGGTTCTTTAGTATCATCAGGGGGTGACCAGGAGCCTCAATCTTTGGCCTCCAAAAAGAACCTCCCTCCAATCATCCCCTGGGTCTTCTGACAATTCTAGTCTGTCTTTCCTAGGCCTCCTTGTTTTCATTTGCCTTTTCTCTTTGTGCCAATATCAGTTAAGCCCTCCTAATTTCATACTTTGATATGACTCTGTCTTCCAGTTCTATGCCTAGCACAGTCTTCCTTCCATTGTGGTTCCTGGGTGAGCTCAGGTGGCCAGTGTCCCTTGGCTCGAGCCTCATGCCTTGGTTGTACTCTATGAGTCTCCCTGTGCACTCCCAGGGTGACTTTAGGGATTAGGTCTGGAGTTTACCATGAGATACCAGCCTTTGTTTCCCTCCCTCTAATATGGGGTAGCATGGAAGCGGACTCACCTTGCCTCTGCGGGTTGTATACTATGGTTTAGGGAGGGATGAAGCAGTACTCTGGGCCCTACTAAGGCTGCATGGAGAACTGTCCACCCAGTGACCTTCCCTGAAGGCTGCTGTGTCACTGCAGATGGCTTTGAAGTACAGAAGCCACACTTGGTTGGTTTTGGCAAGAGGCCATTTAGAGGCTACTGATGAGAAGGAGTCAAGTACAGAGAGGCCATTCTATTTTAAAATGACCCCTTCTCTTTGAGTTGTTCGTCTCCCCAAATATCAGCAGACAGAATGTGCTGCTGGAACTTCATGAAGAAAAGTGGCTGCTAGTTTCAATTGACCTTTTCAATCCCACAGAGATGTGGTTTCATCTCCGTGGCTTATGAATGGTACAATAGTTATATAAAGTAGACCAAATCTGAGGAAACAGCTATAGAAAAATTCTTCCCATAGACAGGGTTGGTACCATTATATTCTAATGTACCAAATCAGATCCACTGCCCTTGAGCTGAAATCAGGGAGACAGAACAGATAATTGGATGTTATACAATTAAATCTGAATACTGAGACCTAACAAGTCTCTTGCATATGCTGGGTAATGAAGTTGCATTTCTTCATTGTCCCTGATGTGGATTAAATGTGAGCAGGAAATGAAAATGAAAAATACAGTAATAGGACAGATTTCAAACTTCTCATCTTTGTGGGGAAGGAGAGAAGGGTGGAAAAAAATAAGCAGGGAACTGTAGCTCAATTCACTTTTTGATTGAATAAGAAGTTACCGCCATATTCCAAATATGTACATATTTTAATCTAGTAATAAATTCAAACAGTAGACATTTAAATAAAAACATGCCCCCCGCAAAAGGCATAAGGATATAAAGAGAAGAAAAAGAGCACTACCCACACATTTTTATTAGTGTTTATGGGCTTAGAGAAATCTAATAAGAAACTAGGCTGCATATTTAACATATATTACGTCTTGCCCAGAATAGCTATTCAATAAATATTCACTGAGTTTTCTCCCAATAATGGCATTCAGGGAAAATACAATGCCACCAACTTCAGTGCAGCTGTTGCCAATAAATATCTTTCCTGATTACTGAAAAATGAAGAATTTAAAATAGAGCAATAAAGCTTAATAACTGTAGCAGGAACTCTTGTCGTATTTTCCTTTTACATGTCTCATGGAGCTTGTTGGCTTCGGGTTTAGCTTGGGTTTCAGTGACGGGAAGCTAAACTAACAATGTCCACCTTCCCCACTCATCTATTAAGCCAAGCCATGGATATTTTATTTTATTTTATTTTAAGTCCTGGGATACATGTGCAGAACGTGCAGGTTTGTTATATGGGTATACATGTGCCATGGTGGTTTGCTGCACCTATCAACCCATCATCTAGGTTTTAAGCCCCACATGCATTAGGTATTTGTCCTAATGCTCTCCCTCCTCTTGCCCCTGACCCCACGACAGGCCCCAGTGTGTGATGTTCCCCTCCCTGTGTCCACGTATTCTCACTGTTCAACTCTCACTTATGAGTGAGAACACGCAGTGTTTGGTTTTCTGTTCCTGTGTAAGTTTCCTGAGACTGATAAACCATGGTCTTTGCTGTGTCTTTTCTGCCTTATATATTGTAGGTGACCGATACACCTGCTCAAAAGTTACTTGTTGATTTGAATTGAACTTGTACCTCTCACCTCTCCTACTGGACCACAAGCTCTTTTTTTCATCTCCTAGCAGAACATCTTTCCCATGGTGATAATCAACAGATACTAATTTGTTTTAATGAACAAAATATGATGGAATCCACTACCAAAATAAATGGTCTTGAACATTCTTCTGCAAACCTCCAGGTAATGAAAGGAACCCCAGTTGATACCTCATGACTGGTTAGGCACTACCACACCCAATGTTTTTGTGTGACAGCAAAGATCACACTGTGGGGCAGTGACTTACTTAATGCTTGGTCTTCCCAGCAGGCTGTGAAATTTATCAGGGAGGACTGTTCTGACTGTTGTATCTCTAGCCCCCAACACTGTGCCTAGCACATGATAGGCCTTAATAAACATTCCATTCAGTGGCCAGCATGATGGTTTCAGTGAATCTGACCATGTCACTCCCTTCCTGGAAGCCCTCCAATGGCCATCCAGAACAAAACCCAAAGTTCAGATAATGCCTTCCAGGCAGACTGCACGTCTCCAGATGGACTTTTGCCATCCTTGGCACATTCTCTGTCCAAGGTGGCCTTTCCTAACTCGAGCCCTTCGTGTGAGCTAGTCCCTCTGCCTACAATTCTCTCCCCCTCCCTTGTCACCAGACTAGCTTCTATTTTTACTTGTAGTCTCAACTTGAGGCACTTGCTCAAGAAAGTCATTCATGACCACATGGACGAACAAGATCATGTCTCCTAATACATGCCCTCCCAGCACCTTGCACCTCTTCTTAATAGCAATGTTTATAATGGTGACTTCAACAATTAAATTTTAATAATTTGTTTAAAGTCAGCCAGCTTAGCTTTGGTTATGTTTGTCTGGTTCACTAGATTTCCAGTACCAGCTCAATCCCCAACTCAGAACAGACATTCCTTACATGTCTTGAATGGTAATTAATTCTGGATGGAAGCCTATCTAGGGGCAGGTCAAGCCTATTGTGATATCTCCTCCACCCCATCTCTTCACTATCCTGACCCCCCGCCCTGAGCAGCAGCCACTACCTTCTCTCCCTTGTCCCCTGACTCTGACATTTACTGTCTACCCTTACGTAGAGCCATTTAAGTTAAAGAGTGTGAATCTAATACTTTAAGTTGATTATTCTCCAGCTTAACCTGTATCTCAGTTTCCTCGTGTGCATCACATCACACATCATTTCCTCGTGTGATAACAGAACCTGCTGCATATGGTTGTTGTGAGGGACTACTGGGTAAATGTACGTAATGAACATGGCTCCATGTCTAGCACGTACTAATCAATCAGTGGTAGATACTCTTACTGATAATTATAATTATCAATAATTCTACTCCAATCCTTCCTCTGCCTTGGGTTTATTTTACCTGATTAAAGTAAGATGATTGACTAAAATGCATATTCAGTGCACTGGAATGCCACTTCCTTAGGTCTTAGACATCAGGAATGATGGAAATAGAATTTCCACAGCAACTTACATGTCAAAGGATTGTAGGTTTAGATTCAGAATTTTTAGTTGAATGTGTACTGGCCTCTGAAGCTTAAAAAACATGGGCTGAGTAATGGGTGGAAAAGGATGCCCATTAATTCAGCTTTCAAAATGAAAATGTAAACATGCTGACCCTAGTCGAAGCACCCAGCCCTCGCCAGCACACCTCACTGACCTTCTCCAGTCGGTAGATGAGCTGCTTGGTGGAGAGCTGGATGAGAGGTGCGACGAACTCACAGGTGATGTTCACAGCCATCACCAAGCTCTTCCCCTTCTGTGCCCCGATGATGGCGTGGCACACCAGCTTCTCTTTCACTATCTGCCAGTGAGATAAGCCAGCATTTGGGGAACAACTATAACTTAATACTTACTCAGAATACTTATTTACCCACTGAGAGAAAATGGATTTCCGACTACCTGCCTGGGGACACAAGGAAGAGCACACTTTTCTGAACAGCACGTTTCAGGGACTGCTCTTTGTCACATGATTATGTTTTTGTTAGTTACACATGGCCTTGATGGATTCTGTATTTATTTCTGACTGCCCTGAGGCAGTTGATTTACATTCAGTTCTGGGAGTAAAAACATTGATGAACAAGACAGATAAAATCTTTCATGGGGCTTATAGTTCAAAGGTGGTTACATGATTTCTTAATCAACTATTGAAAACTGTAGTTGGAAAGTTTTTGTCTTTTTCTTCCTTTTTTTTTTCAGATGGAGTTTGCTCTTGTCGCCCAGGCTGGAGTGCAATGGTGCAATCTCAGCTCACTGCAACCTCTGCCTCCCCGGTTCAAGCGATTCTCCTGCCTCAGCCTCCCAAGTAGCTGCGATTACAGGCATGTGCCACCACGCCTGGCTAATTTTGTATTTTTAGTAGACACGGGGTTTCTCCATGTTGGTCAGGCTGGTCTCGAACTCCCGACCACAGGTGACCCACCCACCTCGGCCTCCCAAAGTGCTGGGATTACAGGCGTGAGCCACTGTGCCCGGCCAAATTTTTGCCTTTTATACTTAAACATTTAAAAATCATGCATTAGGAATTAATATTTCTTTGGACTCAAAAAGCCTAGATTTTTATAAAGCAGAAAGGATCAAAAGTGAATTTACAGCATGAATAGGTTATATAGAAGAGTGCTCAGGTTAGGGATGTTAATGCATTCCAGTCTCTTCTCAATTATGTAGCATGATTTAGAAGAACATTCGGGGAGGCCGGGCGCGGTGGCTCACGCCTGTAATCCCAGCACTTTGGGAGGCCGAGGCGGGCGGATCACGAGGTCAGGAGATCGAGACCATCCTGGCTAACACGGTGAAACCCCGTCTCTACTAAAAATACAAAAAATTAGCCGGGCGTGGTAGCGGGCGCCTGTAGTCCCAGCTACTCGGGAGGCTGAGGCAGGAGAATGGCGTGAACCCGGGAGGCGGAGCTTGCAGTGAGCCGAGATCGCGCCACTGCACTCCAGCCTGGGCGACAGAGCGAGACTCCGTCTAAAAAAAAAAAAAAAAAAAAAAAAAAAAAGAACATTCGGGGATGCTTTTAGTAAAGCTTAAGCTGAGTTTAGTCCCCCAGCAGCTCAGAATTAATGCCTTCAAAAATATGGACAACTCTTGATAACCACATTATAAATATGCTCTTCCAACAGCTGTCAGTGTCTTGAGATAAGGGCCTGTGTTCTATTCATCTTTACATCCTCAGTGCCTAGCACAGTATTTGTCACATGGTATACACACAATAAAAGTTGGCTGATCACCTGAATAACAGAGAGAAGGAACACATTACCTTTTCCACAATGAGAGATAACCCCCCCTTTTGTTGAACTGAGGATGCGTTTTACCTGAAAATGCTCTATGAAGAAATAATCTAATGAAATAAAGTGGAATCTGTGACCTTAGAGAAGCTAAGCAAGGGACTAGCTTTCCAGCTGTGTCTACTGGGAGACAAAGTTCTTTTTGCTTCCTATTTAATGTGGGGAAAAGTCAGTATCACCTCCAAATTTGGCAACACAAGCAGGATCTTAAGCAAGCATCATTTCTCATCTACAAGGTCTGCATTTTGTCGGGAGGGAGAGACTCTTAAGTGACTTTGAAAGCCTTTCCTTTAGGTTTTTAATGGTTTCCACACTCTGTGAGAGAATAGGGATAAAGAAACACACATGATTTGGATCTACTGAAACGTTTTACGTAGAGTGTATGGAGATCATGTAAATAAAAGCAGGGAATCAGAGTTGCTGAAGATAAATGTGGCTCTTTTATTAATGCATAAAAAGAAGGTGTTTTGAAATGTGAGTTGCAGTCAGGCTGGAAAGAAAGGAACAGGGATGTCCCAATACCTGAACAGGAGAGGCAGCCCAGAGTGTCGATATAAACACCCTTTTTGAATGAATATTAAATTCATCCTGCTAAGTGTTAATAGGAGAATTTGCTTTGGCTAAAAACTGGGTGTTTTTCTACCAGAGACTTGCTGGCTGGTCACTGTGGACCCTGGGCATGAGAACCTCCTTTAAGACTGGGTTCACAGTAGCTACAGAAACAAATCGAAGACTGAGCAGAGCTGCACCCCGAAAGCAACGGATGCTACCATGGTAACTCAGGATTGTACACAATCCTTGAGAAACCATATCCTTCCTCAGATAAATGTCAAGGGACTTTCCTAAGAAATAGATACAGTAGAGATTTATTTAGGAAAAAACAATAGCTTCCAAATGTGCTGTCCCCTTACCCTGGGAGTAGCAGAATAGCCTTCGAGTATCACATCAATTGCCTGGCCTGGGTACAGCTCCATGCTGGCGGGGTGGAGATGAAACACGGGGCTCTGTGGATCCCTGGGCTCCTGAGAGCCACTGGGCTGGGGTTGGACATGAGCATGTCCCTTCTTAACCCGGCCCTTCTTACTCAGCTTGGCCTGGGGTCGGAAGCTATCATTCATCCAGAACAACTGTTGGATCCGACGTCCCTTGTTGATCAACTTAAAGTGGTAATAGTGGGTATCCAGGCTGGAAAAGACGAGGCAGGTGTTGAGAGGATTCCATTTAGGGATGTTCTGTTCAGCTCTACACCCTTGGGATTTACTCTTCTGGAAGTATTTAAAATGGTGAGCAACAATATAAGACTTTTTTTTTTTTTTTAAATGTAGGAAGACTAAGTCACGATGCCACTAGGAACTAACACAGAGTTGGCATCACCAGGTAAGGGGCTGTGGAAAATCTCCACTCCCCGTAAGTCTTCCCCAGCAGGCCCCACACACTGCAGGACACACACAGTTCATGTGAAAAGCAATCCCATTTAGAAAAATAGCTCTGAGGAGTGAAAGGAAAGCAAAATACCTACTGGAGGAGAAGCGAGTTTCAAGCTGTGCTGAGAAAATTACTAGTGACTGAGTGGAATGTCCCATAATAATGGGCTCAATTTGAAGGAAGCTTTGAAGAAAAACCATGCATATTCTCTAAGCTTTAACAGAGGCCAGGGGGACTGCAATGGGCCAGAACACCACCGGGATTGGTCACCCATCTCAGACTAATGTGCTTTAAAGATGTTGCAATTTCATGTATTCATTTGTTCATCATGCATTCATATATTCCACAAATATTTACTAAGAACGTCCCGACTGCCTGGCTATTTGCTAAAAAAAAACTGGGATTTCTAAGATCTCGGATATGGTTCAAATGTGTTTTTGTTTGTTTGGGATTTTTTTTTTTTTCCCACAGGCTTACTTTAAAATATTTTCTTAGGGAAAAACTCATCTCGGGACTGTTTTTTATTTTTTAAATTTTACTAGGCTTTGAGATTTCATCCCATCTGTTCCTCCTTAGGAAATGACATCATGCCTGGTAAGTTGAACCATGAAATAAACAATCAGAAGGAATATTTGCTAGTTGTCAGGTATAACCATTTCTAGCTACATATGTTGTGAATCTGTGTCCACGGGGCACGCTCAAGGGAGCTTCTTTACTTGGTAGTTTATGGCTAACAGTAGGCTTTTGGGGGAAATAATAAACAACATATACTGTTTATAAAAACCATATACTGTTTATAAAAAACACATACTGTTTATAAAGACTAGGCAGGATGTCTGTTACTTATTCACAGTATATCTTTCAATCATCACAGCAATCCAGTCATGATAAGTATATTTACTACCATTTTATAGATCAAGAAATGGAAGCTCTGAAAACCTAAGGGAGTTGTCTAAAAATATGCAATTAGAAGCGGCAGCGTATGGCTATTTCTTTAGACCAGACGTTGGCAAACTTTTTCTTTAAAGGGCTAAATAACAAATATTTTAGGCTTTTTGGGCCACACGGTCTCTGTAACAGCTACTCAACTTTCCCTTGTAGTGTGAAAGCAGCCATAGACAATATGTTAAGAAATGGGCATGGCTGTGTTCCAATAAAACTTTATTTACAAAAGCAGGCAGAGGGTTGTAGTTTACCCAGCCCTGCTTTTGACAATTCTTCTGGAGACTGCAGGCATAGTGATTTTATGTCAAAAAGTTTAGGCAGAGGGCAAATTAGCAACTAAAGCTACAGTTTGCTTTTATATTCATAGAAAACTGTTAGCTAACCCTCCAATTCCATATGTCAGAATATCCTTTGAAGGCTACTTGACACTATTTGTAGATTTAAAAGAACATGTAATTAGGTCTGGTTTGCCACATATTGTTTTCTACAATTATATTTGAGTGCACGAAAAGAAATTTGAAACTAGAAGCACTGGTATGCAATGACAAACTACCCTCGCTTACGGCCAATAGACAGGCAGAGAGGACAATTCTTATATTTAGTCGACTTGAAAAATATAATTGGATACTTGTCTAAAAGCATGCAATTCAACCATGTGACTTGCTTTTTACTTAATTTTCTACTAGTTTATGGTATTTTCAATCAAGTCCCATATTTTGTAGATGGAGCAGAGGGAAGGATTCTGGGGAGGGCTCCTAACTGATTAATGTCAGTCACATCTCCAAGCACAGCATATATGACTTGATTTCAGGGCCTGTGAGCCCAGAAGTCAGGGGGAATACCTTCTGAGATCTGTTCACAGTACTGCAACGGATAAGTTCAAATTCAACTGGCCCCCAAGAGCCAACTAGTGATGGCGACATGACTCTCCTGAGGAATCAAGAATCCCCACACATACCCTCTGCGCTTAGCACTCAAACCTCATATATATATTTATTCACTTAATTTGAGATGAAGTCTTGCTCTGTTGCCCATGCTGGAGTTGCAGTGGTGTGATCCTGGTTCACTGTAGCCTCAACCTCCTGGGTACAAGCAATCCTCTCACCTCAGCCTCCCAAGTAGGTAGGACAACAGGCATGTGACATCATGCGAGGCTAATTTTTTTATTTTGTAGAGATGGGGGGTCTCCCTATGTTGCCCAGGCTGGTCTCCAATTCCTGGGCTCAAGCAATCCTCCCACCTCAGCCTCCCAAAGTAAAGTGCTGGGATCATAGGCATAAACCACTGCTCCCAGCCCAAACCTTATATATGTGTGTGTATACATATATATGTGTGTGTGTATATGTATATGTGTGTGTTGTTCTTCTTTTCTTTCTTTCTTTTTTTTTTTTTTTTTAAGACAGGGTCTCACTCTGTCACCCAGGCTGGAGTGCAGTGGTACGACCTTGGCTCACTGCAACCTCTGCCTCTTGGGCTCAAGTGATTCTCCCACCTCAGCCTCCTGAGTAGCTGGGACTACACGCACCCGCCACCATGCCCAGAATTTTTTGTACTTTTGTAGAGATGGGGTTTTACCATGTTGTCCAGGCTGGTCTTGAATTCCTGAACTCAAGTGATCCTCCTGCCTTGGCCTCCCAAACTGCTAGGATTATAGGCGTGGGCTGCTGTGCCTGGTCCAAACCTGATTTTTATGTCCACATTTAGATTGTTCTGCTCAGAGGTGTCTATACTGTACCACAGCTTATTTAAATATTTAGACCCTCTAGCTTTTCCTGGGTAATCAGGCAAAGCCAATGGAAACCATCTCAGTTGTCGGTACTATGGGAGTCAAGTAGAGGACATAAGCTTTGCAAAAGCTGCTAGTGACCGGGCATGGTGGCTCATGCCTGTAATCCTAGCACTTTGGGAGGCCGAGGCAGGTGGATCATGAGGTCAGGAGATCGAGACCATCCTGGCTAACACGGTGAAACCCCGTCTCTACTAAAAATACAAAAAATTAGCCAGGCGTGGTGGTGGGCACCTGTAGTCCCAGCTACTTGGGAGGCTGAGGCAGGAGAATGGCGTGAACCCGGGAGGCGGAGCTTGCAGTGAGCAGAGATCACGCCACTGCACTCCAGCCTAGGCCACAGAGCAAGACTCCGTCTCAAAAAAAAAAAAAAAAAAAAAAAAAAAAAAAAAAAGCTGCTGGCTCTGCAATAGCTGATAAAATACACTTGCAATAAATTTTTACCTTCCTAGGTATGTTCTGCTTAGGTTACCACTAAGCTGTATCTGTATTTTCTACATTTGTGGAGAGGGATTAACAGTGTATTGGAATCAAAGAGGAGAAATTACGGTTGAGAGTCTAAATTAATCACAGAGTGGCCAGTTTGAGAAAAGAATGCATTTCCTACAAACCATATTCTTCTCACATGTAGAGGGACACGGATTAGAGAATGCAACCAAGTTATGGCTAGAAAATGTCTTCTTGTTGCTGACATACACATCAGGAGGTGGAAGAGTGAGGATGGGAAAGGAGAGGGACTGAGGTGGCTAGTTTTAATTACTTAAAATAATTTTCTAAAGTAGAGGTGATGCTCAGCATATGTAACATATGTGATATCTATAAAAATTGGTCCATGAGATTTCCTTACCTAAAATGTGCCCCCAAATTGAGTTCTGGAGCAAAGGGCTTATCTGAAACAATAGTGGAACCAGTTCCGGAAGCCTGAACAGGAATCCGATAGGTACTGCTATTTTCAATGTCCAAAATAACACAGTCCTTGAATGTCAGTGTGTCATTCAGGTTGGCGGTCAGTGCCAGTTGAACATCAGTTTCTGGAGGAACCATGCCTTCATTGGGTTCAATCGTCCAAAGGGATTTTTTGTGTGCCTGCAACACAAGAGTACAAGTTAACAGGGAAGATATTCTTGGCTTTTCGTTCTATAGATGTCAAAGCCCTCTACACTTCAAATGGGTGGCATTGTGGAATTCAACATCAGAGACAAACATTATTTTTTGAATTAAAGCAGCTGGATGTTTGTTGGTTTTCCTTTTTTTCAAAAAGCAATCTGATTCTGAAGAGCAAACCTACGATTTTACTTTTGAATTCTCTGTGAAGATTCTTTACATCTCTTTCCCAAGATAACAGTCCAATTCTCAAACAAGCTTATAATTATTATCTACTATAATCTCCAGATTCTGAGATACCAACAGAAGGTACAATATTCTTTATGAAGTTTGAAATTTTTATTTTTTATTCTTATTTATTTTTCCTTTTTGTTTTTTTTTTTTTTTGGAGTTTGAAATTTTTAAAAGAAACGTTTTTCAAATGCAAAATTTCTAGTGTTATAGTGAGGATGAACCAATTTAATTAATACAATATAAGAAGTCATCTGGATTTCTACTAATTTATAACAATTAATAATTAGCCTCATCAGAATTTCATTAGCTAAAATTGCAAACTTATTTTGAAATACAGACATGTGTTACTTAATGACAGGGAAACATTCTAAGAAATGTGTCATTAGGTGATTTCGTTGCTGTGCAAACATTGTAGAGCGAGACAGTGGAGTCTACTACACACCTAGGCTATACGGTATAACCTGTTGCTCCTAGGCTGAAAACCCGTGCAGCATGTTTCTGTACTGAATACTGTAGGCAACTATAACACAGTAGTATTTGTATTTCTCAACCTGTCTCTGTTTCTGAGCCTCATCTGCATTTTCTGTTTGTTGTTTTCTGTGCTTCATTTTTGATGCTTTCTTTTGAGCTCTCTTCCAATTCACTAGCTCTCTCTTCAGCTATGTGTAATATGCTATTAAACACATCTATTCTCTCCTTAATTTTGATTTCTGTATTTTTGAATTCAGGTGTTGGTATTTTTGATTTTTATAAGGTTTTCATCTTTTGACAACTTTTATAATTCTGACTATGACATTCAACTTACTAGCTACTACAACTAATAATTAGGGACCACTCCTCCTAGCCCCTCCAAGTCTTCTACAAATTTAATGAGCAAATTGTTTTTGGACTTTTCAAGTAAATATAACAAATACATATTCAACGGCTCTGAGGTCCAGGTGTTGTGGGAAATACATAAACACCCCGAGGAGCTGACAGCAATGACATTAGTGAGACCAATATTTCAACAACAAAAATGGAATTCAGAAGGAGGCCAGAGTGAAACTACTTCAGGGGAATCTAAAGAACAAGAGCAAAGGATGTTGAAACCCTTGGAATGTCTGACAAATGCACCACACACATTTTCTTTTCCTTCCAAATATGAAATTGGGCTTAATTATCAGGTGATGTGATTCCTAATTATATTGCACTATATTATTAATACTACTAAAATTCTAATTTGTTTAATTGCCTATATAAACAATTATCTCAAAGTTAATAAAAAGCATCAAAGAAAAAACATCCTTTTGAATGAGGTCATGTCCTTTGCAGGGACATGGATGGAACTGGAAGCCATTATCCCCAGCAAACAAACACAGGAACATAAAACCAAACACTACATGTTCTCACTCATAAGTGGGAGCTGAACAATGAGAACACATGGACACAGGGAGGGGAACATCACACACCAGGGCGTGTCAGGGGTCGGGGGGCAGGGGGGCGGAGAGCATCAGGAAAAATAGCTAATGCATGCTGGGTTTAATACTTAGATGGTAGGTTGATAGGTGCAGCAAACTACCATGGCACATGTTTACCTATGCAACAAACCTGCACATCCTGCACAAGTACCCTAGAACTTAAAAGAAAATAAATCATTTCCCCATTTTGATTGCTTTGTCATTTAGATCAATTATGAAAGTCCTGTTTTATTTTGGGAAAGACATTACTCAGAAGTACTTATGTGGATTAATCTTTATAGAAAATATTTAGTTATTACCAATATGCACTGAGAAAAAGCTGCAAAAGAAGAGATGTGGAGAGTATTTAGATGCTTCCAGGATAATAACTGAGAGGAAAAGCCACACTCTCCAGTTCATCAGAAAAGAGTTTGATTATTCCTTCATGAATCTTCCTTGTGAATCTCCCAGGAAGCTTCGTGAAGCTCCCTGAGTTTGGTACCGCAGAAGAAGCCCTCCAAAGTAACGCATACAGTAGAAAACAATGGATTTGAAAACAAATGCAAATTTTACTATTTGAGCGGGGCTCTAGAGGACATTCCAGTCTAAGATTATCCTTTCATTTAATTCTATGATATACTTCTTCTAGCAAAAGGAGAAAAAAGAGAAATGTAAAAACACATGTAGCTCTATGGGGGCTCAGGTACAATGGACTGGAAACCTCCTGACAAACTTAGGTCAGAGTTGCACTGATGATCTCTGTAAGTGACATAAACGTACATTGCAGATTGCAAGCAAGAGTTAGAGATTTCAGCCAGGCAGAATCTCACAGGGTGGCAGTGCCTTGGAATGTCACCAAAATCCTGGTCTGGCGCCACTGCAGATTAAAAAAATAGATTCAGTCAGTGGGCCCGATGGTCACTCTCTTAGGAATAGGCTCACAGGTACTTAAATAAGGAAAATCTAATATTTAAAGCAAAATGTCAATTTCCCAATTTATAATTGAGGACAAATGTAAGACAGAGCAGAAAGCTAGTTATATTTCTTCCTGGTTTGAAAATCTACACGGGAAATAAGTAAATTGCATTTTAAAATTTAAATGAATTAAATAAAGGAAAGAAGAACATTTTTCAAGGTTTTAAATTGTATATAAATGAGGATGCAGATGAATGATAATGAGGAAATTTTAATTTTTGGTATTAATGGAAACTATAGATATAACTCTAAGTCAAGAGTCCTATTATTATTCATAATCTTCAAATATGGAAAATCCCAAAAAGACATAGAAATAGAAAAAAAAACAATTAAACATTAAATACCACACTAGATAAAGTAGGACCTGGATGGAGATGTTTGTATCATTGTCTGTATTCAAAGGATGCGCATGAAAAAAATGCTGAATCTTGCAAGAGGCATCTATTTTTCAAAATTTTCTCGATAACTTTCCTATTCGTAGTAACTTGGTTCTAGTAGAGTACTAAAATAATCAGAAAACAGTAAACAAAGTCTCTGTCTCTCCAGAGCATTAATCTGTATTTGTTTATAATTTTGTATTAAAATATTAGTAAAAGATAATAATCCTATTAAATTTAATTTTCAGGACTGTAGCTCAATTATTATTGCCAAGAGAAACTATAAGGATTGAATGTTACAATGTTCTATCCATACTTAGGTTCAAAGAAATAATTTCTGATGCATCTTCCTAATTTATCAAAAGAAACATTTTAACAGCCTTAAAGTGACAACACTAAAATCCTCTAACACATTAATCATAGAAAATGACATAAAATATGTTCTAAAAGAGCTATAAGTGCAAATTCAATTTTCTATAGACATTTTAAAATGGATCAAGGTAGCTTCATTTCATCTTGAATTTATATTACAGTAGATAGGAATCTTTGACTTTTATCATTTTCAGTTGGCATACACAATCAAAGCAATACATGGAAATGGATTTCTCATGCTTGAGTAACCAGACGTTCTCCTTTCTTAGAACTGTTTTCCCTACTTGCTGTTTTGAAATTCTAGGCTATTATTTTAGATAAGTTTATGGTAGCTGTTGTAACAGAAAGACCCCTGAAGCTCAATGGCTTTATACAACAGAAGCTTATTTTGGGCCCACATGAATTCCAACTGGTGACAGGTGTGAGGATGGGCTTCTGCTCCATTTAGTCATCCAAGAATCTCTACTAAACGGATTCTGACATATTTAACTCTTGGTTTCTAAGATATCCATATTGACATCCAGCTGGCCAGTAAGAGAAGAAAGAGAAAGGAGGGTTGTGTGCTAGGATTTCATGCACCATGCCTGGAAGTGGTGCACATCACTTCTGTTCACTTCCACTGGCCAGAACTGAGTCAATGCAGCCTAACCCCAATGGAGGTTAGGAAATGTAGTCTAGCCCTGGGTCTACAGTAAAGAGAGTTGAGTGTGCCGAGCTGCTAGCTGCTCTCTGCCAAAGTTTCCTTGTTGGTTCACTTTACTGCCACATCCTCGTATCTTCCCCCAACTCTCCCAGATCTCAGATTTTGAAAGGTGAAGAGCTTACTCCATCAGAACACAGATCCTATGGGAATTGCCTTTCAGATCCTTTGGGAACTGCAGGCTTAGAGTTCACATCCATCTGCTTTTAGGACAAATGGAGGGGCAGCTAGAGAGAAACTAAGAAAGTTCTGGGCAAGAAGATCTCACTTTGTTGACCCTTCTTCCCAAATTGGTGGCCTGTTAGCATCCTACATAGCTTTGCTCATTTATGAGACTCAGCTTACAACGAAAACATAAATCAATGCCATTTTTGTCATTTTATCAAAAAGCAAAATGCCTTGCAGAGAGAGTACTGTCAATGTCATCTTTCCTATTCCAATCATTTGTTTTCCTCCTCTAGCTGGTAGCACAGGCCAATCCTCTGTTCACGATGAAGTGAGGGTGTCATCAGCATAAGTGCTCTTTCAAGTCAGGGGACATTAGTTTTCAATGGATGTGTACCATTTCTCTTCTGTTTCCTGCTGACACAGGTTGGCTCTTCTGGAAAGACCTGAAGTTGTTCTTCAGGGCTGAATTGGTGAGTTTTCTGATGAAGCTTATTAATCAATGCTTGGCATAAAACCAGACAGCAAAATATATCATAGAATGCAAGACAAAGACACATTAAAATGCCAGATGTTAAGGCACTGGACTGCTCTTACCTTACACGAGTCAGGCTCGAAACTACTCTATCATCCTTGTGTCTCTTTGGTGGTTGACTTTTAGGGCTATCCTTTGCTTTTAGGGAGGGCTTGGTCATTGTGATATTTCCTGTTATTAAACGGAAAATTGACTAAAAAAGGAAAGGACGAATGATAATCATCATAGCTATGGAGGGCATTTCGTAACTCTTTCAAAACCACAATAGGGCAAAATAGCAGCTGACAGAAATAGGGTGGGAGGGAGGGCGCTGAAGGAAAGGGATGTGGGTTTGAGTCCCTGCTCTGCTGCTTTCCAGCTGTGGAACTTTGGGGATGTCTCCTAACTATGTATGCCTGGTCTCAGGTTTCTCATCTGTAGCTCAGGATATTGACTGTACCTTCCATATAGAGCTGTGGGGACGGATGAGTGAGAGAGTGCAGGTAAAATCTCAGCACAATGTTGGGCACAAAGCAAGTCCTCAAGAACGAAAGCTATCGTCATCATTTTCCCCAAATCTGAAATGCCCCACGTGACATACAATTATCAGCTCAAAACAGAAAACAAAGATGGATGCTAAGGAAGCATTTAACATACAAGACTCTTGCCAGAAAAGGAGCGGCTATGGGGTTGTGACAGGCAGAATTCTAAGTTGGCCCCCAGGATCTCCACCTCTTAGAGCACGATTATCCTCCCCCAGTTACTTAGTCAAACACAAATCCAGGTGTTGCTGTGAAGGGATTTAGCACATGTAGGTAAGGTCCCAAATCAGCTGACTTTCAGATAGGGAGATTATCCTCAGCGGTCGTGACTTAACCAGACTATACTCTTCCTGGTGAAAAGATTCCAAGCATAGAGGGCCTATGGGAGGGGCCACATGGCAAGGAACAGCGGCTCCAAAGTGGCTGAAAGCAGTCCCTGACCGAGGGCCACCAAAAAAACTGAGGGACTCTGTCATTGAACTGCAAGGAAAAAAATTCTGCCAATGACCTGGGGGGCCCAGTAGTGGATCTTTCCCTCACCAAGACTCCCGAAAGGAATGCAGCTCGGCTAACCTTGATCTCAGCCTCTTAAGATCCTAAGGAGAGGATCCAGCCTGACTATGGCTGGACCCCTTACCCACGGAAACTGAGATCATAAGTTAGCATTGCCTTAAGCCGCTATATTTGTGATAATTTGTTACCCAGCAAGAGAAACCTAATACAGGGTTCCATCTATTTGTTCCAAAGATGATAAAAAATGAGCCTTCCTAAGCTTTCCATGAAAATGTCAGCCATAGCTGCCTTTGCTTTTTCTGCAGTCTGGGGCCAGAAAGCCAGAGTCGTTTGAGCAGCTCGTAAACAACATGTACAGGAGGTATGTGCATGCCTGCAGGGAATATGACTGTGCGAAAGATGGAATATTTGCGATCTTTTGTAATTCAGAATTCCGTGACCACTGGTGATGAGTGTTAAGCCCCCCCCTCTGAGGTTTCATATATCTAAGGATAACATTTGCCTTTTATTTGACAA
Organism: Homo sapiens; assembly: GCF_000001405.40. NCBI lineage: Eukaryota > Metazoa > Chordata > Mammalia > Primates > Hominidae > Homo > Homo sapiens. Next base: position 146,672,646 of record NC_000001.11, on the reverse strand, counting down.
TACGGCAGCAGCACACTTATGCAGTGCTCAGCTCCCAAGGTAAAGCAGCCAGAGCTTTATAGGTTTCCTTATTGTGTGTTTAATATTTGCCACAAAAGGCAGAAGTGAACACCATTGTTTGCACATGTCACCGCAACAATCACCGGGAGTGTGGCTAATAACTAGGAAGCTTGAAGAAAATAGCACTGTGCACTTTTCTTCCAAATAACTCATTTGCCAGTTGAAATCTGCAAGAATCTCCTTCCATGAAATAAAGAGAGCAAATAACAATAGGAAGCAATGTGCAGAGTGAGGGATTTCTTTGGAGTTACACTATTATCTCAGCAGATGACCGGCACTATGTGGAACAAGAACAATGAAGGGTCACCAAGGCATTTCTCTTTTTTTAAAAAAATTTCTTTTGAGAAGTCTCACTCTGTCACCCAGGCTAGAGTGCAGTGGCGCCATCTCGGACCACTGCAACCTCCGCCTCCTGGGTCCAAGCAATTCTCCTGCCTCAGCCTCCAGAGTAGCTGATTACAGGCATGTGCCACCATGCCTGGCTTATTTTTATATTTTTTGTAGGGACAGGGTTTCATCCTGTTGGCCAGGCTGATCTCTAACTCCTGACCTCAAGTGAACTGCCCATCTCAGCCTCCCAAAGTGCTGGGATTACAGGCCCTTTCTCCTGTTCGTCTTCTAAATGGGGTCTCTGGTCACATAGTTCTTTTCCCCGAAGCAAGTCACTTTGCTGCTTAAGAAAGTTAACTGAAAATTAGGAGATGAGATGCAGAAGAAATGGTGTAGAGCTTTACACGGGAGGCAATTTAAGGTCATAATCAGAAGTGTGGGCTTGAGAGTCTCATGACCTGGTAGTCAACTATGGACTCTGCCATTCATAGCCAAGTGACCTTGCACTAATTTTAAAATCTAGGTTTCGGTTTCCTTTTATGTTAAATGTTAACTTGAAGATAAAATAAAAGGGTGCTAAGTATCTAGCACCTCGTCTATCATAGATTACACGCTCAGTCAGTGGTGATCATTACTAATGTTATTTTCTAAACTTCCCATCCAGTTCTCCTTCCTGCTGGTACCCTCCCCAGTCTACACTGTTGACAGTGATAGGGACGGGGGGCAGAGGAATTCTAGAAAAGGGTGGGTCCCTGGAGAAACCCTACCTTTAAGCTGAAAAGCCGGAACCTGTGGCCCAAAGTGAGAACTTATATCTCTGTTTTCCCACTTGAATGTTGCCTTTCCCTTAACCACCCATGGCCCCACCCCATGCCCCAGCCTGTGCCTATAAAGACTCCAGACTCAGCCAGCAGAGAGGAGAGGCAGCTGGATGTTGGGGATTACAGAGGGGACACTTTGATGGCATAACTTCAGAGAAGAAGCTGGCTGCAGATGGCCGGACTTCAGGGGAAGATCACCTACCTGCCTCATCTCCTTTTCAGCTCCCTTTCCCCCTGAAAGCCACTTTCATCGGCAATTAAATCTCCCACATTTACCATCCTTAAATTTGTTCATGTGACCTCATTTTTCCTGGCTGCAGGACCAGAGCTCGGGATCCCTGAGTGCAGATACAAAAGGCTGTCACGCTGGCCCTTTGCCCTCATTGGCAGAGGGCAGCTGCCCCATGAGACAAGGCAAAGGGCCCACTGAGCTGTTAACACCTAAGGTGTCCACAGACGGCAGAGCTAAAACAGCACTGTAACACACCCTCTGGGGCTTCAGGGATTGCAGGCACCGCCCCCGCCCACCGCCCCCAAGATGCTGCCACAGGGCTTGCATGTAGTTTGCTCCTGCTGGCACCCAGGAGTGCTCACTCTGGCTCCTGCACCCACTCACCTGTGCACTCCCACCTGTGAGGGGTGGAGTGCAGCAGGTCCCAGTAAGTGGAGTTTGATCTTGCTGGTGCCTATGCGGTTGGCTGGTTTCAGCACTCATGCATTCCAGTTCCCACCTCATTCGCTTGCGTGCTCCCTCCAGCAAGGTGTTGAGAGCAGCAGCTGAGTAAGGGACACACTCCCTTCGTGAGTCCCATGAAGGGGTCAGGGAAATATCCTGCTTCAACAGGTTTATCTTTCAGTGATCTGATCCTGCTGCTCTCCTGCTGGGGATTCTGCATGGCTCTCCAGTGTCTGGATCAGAGGCACTGAGTCTTTTTATCCTCTTTGAGAAAGCCAGGAACCCCTTCATCAAAAAATGCACATACCCACCCCCCCGCCCCCTCCCCCCGCCCAACACACAACTTTACATACAAGTTCCAGAGCTCAGGGATCCCAGTTTTTTCTGTTTGATCCATACGTGGACTCACTTTTTATATCTGGGGAATCCATGATTTTGTGTGAATCTCGGTAGGAGGCAGGCTCTCACTGCCATTTGAGAAGTCACCCAGACTCTCTGCAAACATGGCGGCCCACAATCCAGACTGGTGTACCAGATGAGCTTCTGGTCTGGAGGATCTACTCCCAAATCTTCATAAGACTTAGGGCCCCACTGCATTTTCTAGGCTTAGTTTCCGGGACACCAGGTCATTTACCTTTCCCAAGTGTCCCAAGTGTCATCTGCATTTAAATATGCTGCTCTCAGAAAGCGTATCCCCATTTCTCTGCTTTTTTCCTCCTTGGCCTTCAAGTCTCCACTCAAATGTTCCGACCCACGAAAAACTTAAATCTGACAGAAGAATGAATCACGTCCTCCTCTGCGCTTCACATTATAACCCAGCTGTATTGTTTGTTTATTTGTTTCTTTTATGAGATTATAAACTCTTTGAAGAAGGAAACTATTTTGTTTACCCTTTATCTCTCCCCTTAGTACCAGGTATAGGAAAAGGGCTCAAAAGTAGTATTTATTTGTTGGTCAGTAAATATATGGAAGGTGTCCAGCCTCACCAGTAAGCCAAATAAACACAAACTTAAATAACAACAAAATATTTTTTCATCTGTCAGACTTGGCCGAAAAAATCCACAAAAATGTTAGCAAGAATCTAGGAGTGATATTTTTCAACACTGCTAGGGGGTAGGACATAAACTGTACAAGTTCTCTGGGACAGAATTCACAAGATGTATCGAGACTTTTAGTTACATACATGTCATTTGACCCAGCAACTGCATTTCTAGAAATTTAGTCAAAGAAAACAATCACAGATGTCAGCAAAATTAAGACACAAGCATTACTTATAGTAGTAAAAAACTGGGAACAATCTATCAGTAGGGGATTAGTTAAATCAACTGTGGTAGAGTCAAATGATGCAATAAAACTAGCCAGTAAAAATGATCTGTAGACGAATATTCCTTAATAATTCATATTAAGTGACTACAATACATTGTTGAGTGAAAATAACTGGTAACAAAATAGTATTGTCCCATGGGAGGGGGTAGGAATACAGACAGACCACACACACCATAAAAAATTCAGAAGATACACACCAAAAATTTAATAGTGGTTATCTGCATGATGTGATGACAAGTGATTTTTTTTGTTATCTTTAACTTCTGTTTGTTCTATAAAGATAATGTTACTTGTGTAACAAGGAGACACACATATATATTTATTGAATAAATAACTCAACTTAAAAGGATATGGTCACTCTTTTTAGAGCTCACTTAATTTTAACTTTGTTTGCTCTCTTGTTGCAGTCTCATTCCCAGTTTGTTTCTTAGAAGCTTTTAAAAAAATAAATAATACATGTAGACAGTGTAACATTCAAATGGATTCAAAGGGTGAAGAGTTTTTCTTCTGCCAGTGCATGGTCACTAGTTACCATCCCCAGAGGTAGCCATTGTTACAGTTTTCTAAGGATCCTTCCAGATATACTTTATGATCAATATTTGCATACGTTGTTTCTTACATAAATGGTGCAATACTCTACAGACTGTTCTGCACTGTGATTTAAATTTTTAAAGTTTGTATCAAAGGTATACATACACACAATTTCAAAAGCCAAATGGTTCTGGAAAAGTTATATTGTAAAAAGCAGCAGCCCTTGGAATCCACTCTCTCATCTTCCCCATTGCACGAATCCTTGCCCGTCAACACAGTCCACCACTGTCAGTTCTTTTAGCCTTTGCTTTTTGGATTTGCCTCTATATTGCTAAGTACTCTACTGCTACTTCTTAAGTTTTCAGTTTGCACATTATTCATTTATTTTTCCCCATGGTAAATAATAATAGCTTTTTTCTTGCCCACTCTCCATGTCTCTCTTTCTCTCTCTCTTTCACTTTCTTCTCTTCATCCTCCCAATATAGTTAACATTTACTTTTTGGTGAGATAGATATTTGCATTTGCACCATCATGAGTATGCAAACACTAAACTCAGCTGAGCTATAAAAAAATGGTCTATGACGACGTTTCCCTTCTTATACAACGTTCAGGTTCCCAGGAATTGTTTTCATGTGGTTTTCATGTATCTATCATGGACATCACATTCATCACAAACTCATCCCCAAACTCTCAACCAAAGAGGCAAATTGCCTCTCAATACTTTCAGAAGCATCTTCTACACAGGTTCCATCTTCTTGGAGACAAATCTCTCCTGGGAGCTGCCTGTTCTCCAACTCCCATCTGGACAGGCTGCCCTCTGGGCCTGCAATGTGGCTGGCATCCTAGGACTGGCAGGCAGCAATATCCTGTGCACCCCTCAGCATTCTCTCCTGTGTTTGAGCCCCTGTTTGCTGAATCCGCGCCTTCCTAACTGTGGTACAGCACTCTTCAGCGGCCTCCTGACAAAAGGTATGTGGAGTGTAAATTTTTTGAGATTTTTTTATATCTGAAATGTATTTTATCCCCAGATTTTGTTAGTCTTTTGGCTAGATGATGAATTTAAGATTAGGATTTATTTTCCTTCAGAAAGTAATTTTTTTTTTCCTCTAGTGTTTCTGTGAAGAAGTCTGATGCCACTCTGGTTCATAATTTTTTTGGTTTTGACCATGATTTTTTTTTAATCTGGAAGTTTCTGCAGCCTTCTCTTTGTGTCCAGTGTTCTGGAACTTAGTTATGGTGTGCCTCGACATGGGCCTGTTTCCATCCACCGTGCAGCATATTTGATGAACCTTCTCCGTAAATTCCTTTCCTCTGTTCTGAAAACATTCCTTCAATTATTTCTTGGCTAACTTTTTCATCTGCATTTAAGAATCTGCTCTTTTGCAGCACATATTGCGTCTTAGAACTCCTGAACAAACTGCCTAATTTTCTCGTCTTTCTCCTAATCTTTTTCTTCTTTTTCTACTTTCTGATAGTTCCTCAATTTTATTTTCCAGATATTCTATCAAATTTTAAACTTCTGGCATTATATTTTTAGTATCTATGAGCTTACTTTTGTTCTTGTTCTTTTAAAAAATATCATTCTGCTCTTGTTCATGGATACAAAGTCATCTTTACTTTCCTGAGATTTTTAATTATCATTTTGTTTTATTTTAAACTTTCTTCTTGTATTGTATTTATTTTCTCCAAGTTCTCATTTTTATGTTTTTGGTTTCTTTCTTCTGCATTACAGGTTTTCTTGGTGGAGGCTGGTTAAGTATTTATGTTTAAGAGTAAAGCACTAAGGCTGAGTGCAGTGGCTCATGCCTGTAATCCCAGCACTTTGGGAGGCCAAGGTGGGAGGATTATTTCAGCCCAGGAGCTCAAGACCAGCCTGGGTAAAATAGTGAGACCTCATCTAAAAAAAAAAAGAAAGAAAGAGAGAGAGAGAGAGAGGGAGAGGGAGAGGTGGAGAGAGAGAGAGAAAAACAGAGAGAAAGCAAGCAAGCAAGCAAGCAAGGAAGCCTGCCTGCCTCTGTGTGCTTGGGTGCCAGCCCACCAAAGGCCACCAGACATTTTAGATGCCCAACTAACAGTTTATTTCTGCCCTTCCTTGTGGCTGGTCAAATTGCCCACAGAAGAACCTTCCAATTTTCTGGCCATATTCTGAGAATTGGGGGAGAAGGGCGCTGGAATTGTACCTTTCAGTGTGAAGACTTTTTTGTAGTTCATTTGTTTTCATAATGGTATCCTGCCCTCAGCAGTGTCTGTGAAATCAGCTCTCAGTTTAATATTATTCCTTTTAAGGGAAAAAACCTTTTTTCCCTGATGCTTTAAGATTTACTCTTTGGTCTTCAGCATCTTTACAAGAATGTGCCTAGATGTGGTTTTGTGGTTTTATCTTGCCTGGTTTTCATAATGCATTTTGATAGCTTGGTCTCAGCCTTTATCTATTCTTCCTCATCTCGCCTCTTCTCTGGTAACTCCAGTAACCATACCCCCCATGTTTGTTTGCTTTATCATCTATTCTGTATTTCTCATCCTTTTATCTCTGCAGGTTTCATTTTGGGTAGTTTCTTCAGACCTATCTTTGACTTCCACAAGACTCTACTCATCTGGGTCTAATATACAGTTTAATCCATCTATTGAGTCTTTAATTTCAATCATATTTTTCAGGTCTATAATTCTCATTTGTTCTTTTTTATAGTCTCCAGAACGCCATCGCATTTCTAAAATTTACTTTTTATTTCATTGAACATATTGAGCATATTTTAGTTTTCTACTAAGTTGTCTTGTCTCCTTATATGCCTGGTTATTTTAAGACTAACTATTGGATATTGTATATACAAATTGTAGAGGTATTTTGAGGCCTAGAATAAAGTTTTCTTCTTCCGGTGATGATACAGGTTTGCTTCTGGGAAAGCTGTTGGGGGAACTAGAATTTCCATCTTTCAGGCAGAGATTGGCATGATTTGAATTGAGGGTCTGTTCTAGTTTATCCTTGTTCCTAGTGTGCATCCTTTCAGAGTCCCAACCAAAAGTCCAGACATTTTACCAGAGCCCATCCTCTTCTAATTTTTATCTCTCTAGCCTGACTTGACTCCAATTTTTATCTCCCTGGACATGTAGGTCTTTAGAAAGCTACTTTTAACTTTTCAATGTCTTCTGGAGCCATATAGGAAAAGCAGTCCTAAATGCTGGGCATACATCTCTTGGTTTTTTCCTTTTGTGTTGTCACTAGCTTTGTTGTTCCCCAGTTTCTCAAACTCATGATTTTCTCATTTTGTCCAGCTTTTCTCCTTGTTCTTCGAGGGAAATAGTTTGGAATGACAGATTAAATAGAAAGGCCTTGAACCCTGATGTGCTAAGAGTCCCTTTCGGTCAAGCAATTGTTCTACTGCTTGATTTCTCTATTTCTTGAAAAAGTAGTCTGTAAAAATTAAGAGGTTAATGGACTTTGATTATTAGGGAGGCAAGTATATCTAATTCACATTGTTTTCAAGTAATATGTACCAATAATCTTTTAGGTTACTAGCTTAGCATCCTTGAACAAAGACCATCATCTTTTGAGAGTCATCACCTTCTCAAGACTCAGTGAAAGGTGTCAGATCAAATGCAAGGCATGATGGTTAAAATAAAAGGAAAGATGGTTAAATAAAAGGAAACAGGACAGCTCCTGAGCACACAGGCATGATTTACACAGTGCTAGGAAGCATCTTTACAAACAAGTAAGCTTCAAGATAGAAAATCAGAAAGTTAATGGACCTAAATTTTCTAAATAGCAAATTATTTCTTAATAAACCCATTTTCTTTGTTATGGAAGGACATATGTACACTCATCAATACAGATGTTTTATATTTTATAAGATGGCTTCACTGTCAAAAATTAAGAGAAACAAGTCAAGAGTATGGAAAAGACAGCATTAGAGCTCCCATTTCACAGACATCTGTACTACGTGGATCAGTTTGTTCTAAACCTTAAGGCCTCTCTGAGTGTCCCTTATTTCTTTTCCTTTTCCTTATCTGAGAAAAATAAAAGACCTTCAAATGTAGTGTCACAAAAAGTTATGTCTTTTCACAAGCCATTTCACTTGGCTCTTTTTGTCTGTCAACATTAATAATCAAAGCTACCATTTGTTGAATGCTTTTTTTCAACAGGTACTTTTTACATATATTTGCATATTTAATCTCCTAAATGCCATTATTAGTTCCATTTAAAGAGAAGGAACCAAAGGCTCAGAAAGGTTAAATAACTTGCCTAGAGTTAGTGAATGCAGAACCAGGACAATTTCAGATCTGTCTGAAAACAACATCCTCACTTTTGATGGTACAGTATACTATCTCAGTACTCATACACTGGATAACTGCTTGTTGAATGACTACATATGTAAGGCAACTGTGCATGGCACATGATCATGTCTGCCCTCATATAATGTTGCCCTTCCCTCCCGGATGCATCCCAATTCAATGTCCTAACACCCCAGAGGGAGATTTTTTCCTTCCAAAGCACAAAACTTATTGTTGCATGCAATTTCATTGCAACTGACATTAAAAGAAGACATACTCCAGGTGCCATCCTACAGAGAGTTTTATCATGTCACATACACTTCTTCAGTCTCTGCCCTTTCGTTTGTGACAGGGAAGAGAAAACGAAACAGAGGTAGAATAAAATTTTTTTCCTTGATAAACATCATATAATCTAGATGGATGTGTGTAGGGGATTTAATATCATTAATAAATCTCTATACTATGCTACTTAATGTATTTCTTCTTGTTTTTGTTCATTACATAAAAACATTTATTTGATTTTGTACTGGCTTAATGTTGAATATGACTGTATACTATCAGTGCACAAAACAGGAAGAGTCAATGCTTTAGGTGATAATGACCATGACAGCCATCTCTTAAAAGGGACATAAATCGAGTTGATGATGATGCTGGTAATGGGGAAGAAACATAAATTTTTATGGGGGAGAGAAGGTGGGATTTAAATAAAACCCACAACAGATCCATAAAAGGAAGTTTTACCTTAATTTCCTTTTGTAATGATAGGTGCTAGCTGTATAATTTAGTTAGAAAAAATATTTTTAAAAAACTAATTAAGAGCTGAGATGGACAAAATGAAGATGGACAGGCTTGCAAGGAATGCAGGAGACCAAGGTATTTTCCTTTTGTCTTCTGAACAGCCCTTAGTGACAAGGAAACCAAACTCCCTCCTTTAATTTTGGCTTCATATTATTCTCAGATGAATCATATTCAATCAGTAGAGCTTTCATTCTAAATTCAAGGAAGGTGCTGACCCATCATGTTAAGTAACACTCCATCAATAGCTTTCTTTCTCTCAGTGTGGTTTATAATCAATATAAACTGCTGGGATCTATCTTTTGGGTTTTACATTAAGCTTTGGCAAAATGAAAAAGGTCTCAGGTGGGGTTGGGGGTGGGGGTGAGGGGCTCACAGCTCTCTGTTAAGCACCAACCTTTGCTTCTGGAAGTCTCTTAATACTATTATTACTGTTATCACTGTTATCCTCTTTGGCACTAAACGGGTCACTTCAGATGGCTCAGGAAGAACCCAATCCATTTTGGAATGACCATGACTTTTATGTGGCAAAAGAATAGATGCCCACCAAGATAAACTAGAATTTTCTTCTCTTCTTATTCCCTTATTCCTGTCAGTTTCTTTTTTAAATGATATATTTTTCCTTTTTATTTGACATGTAATAATTGTGCATATTTATGGAGTACAGAGTGATACTTTGATACATGTATACAATGTGCAATGATCAAATCAGGGTAATTAGCATATCCAGCTCCTCAGACATTTATCATTCTTTGGGTTGACAACATTCACGTTCTAGCTATTTGAAAATATACGATACAATATTGTTAACCAGTCACCCCACAGTGCTACAGGACACTAGAGCTTATTCCTCTTATCTAGTTGTAATTTTGTATCTGTTAACCAACCTCTCCTTTCTCCACCTCCCCTCTACCCTTCTTATCCTCTGTGGCCACAATTTTACTCTCTACTTCTATGATCTCAATTTTCTTTTAGCTCCCACATATGAGTGAGAACATGTGGTATTTATCTTTCTGTGCCTGGCTTATTTCACTTAATGTAATATCCTCCAGGCTCATCTATGCTGCTGGAATTAACAGGATCTCATTTCTTTTTACGCCTGAGTAGTATTATACTGTATATATATATATCACATTTTCTTTATCCATTCATCTGTTGATGGACACTTAGGTTGGTTCCACATCTTGGCTTTTGTGAGTAGTGCTGCAGTAAGAATGTGGGTGCAGCCATCTCTACAACACTGATCTCCTTCCCTGTGGATAAGTACCCAGTAGTGGGATTGCTGGATCATAGGATAGTTCTATTTTTAGTTTTTTGAGCAGTCTCCATATTATTTTCAATAGTAGCTGTACTAATTTACATTCCTACTAACAGTGGATAAAAGCTCACTTTTCTCAGCATTATTGCCAGTATTTGCTATTTTTTGTCCTTTTAATAATAGACATCCTAACTGGGGTGAGATGCTATCTCACTGTTTTGATATGCATGTGAGTTTCTTTTATAGATGTTTCACTATTAAGGCAAAGATAAAAAATGTAGGAACAGAAAACCAAATACCACATGTAAGTGGGAGCTAAACATTGAGTACGCATGGACACAAAGAAGGGAACAAAAGATTCTGGAACCTACTTGAGGTGGAGGGTGGAAGGAGAGAGAAGGTCAAAAAACTATCTATTAGGTATTATTTTATTACCTGTGTGACAAAATAATCTGTACACCAAATCCCCACGACACATAATTTTCCTATATAACAAACCTGCACATGTACCCCTGAATCTAAAGTAAAAGTTAAAAAAAGAACTCTGCTCTCTTATGCCAACTGAAAACACATTTTACCATCCTTTTGTAAGTGTTCATGTGATAATACCCAAAACACTAAAAAGTAGTTAAGAGGGCTGACTATAAATCAACGAGTTGAAGCTTTAAAACATGTCCCTTACATAGAAAAAGAGGCGCAATTTTGAAAAAATGAAAAACTAGGTATAGCTTTCCTCAAACCAAGATAAACATCATATGGGCCACAAGTAGAACAGAAACAATAGAGAGGCCTGAACCTACAGACCTACTGGGCTCTAGGTTCTGAAACCAGTAGAGGCAGCTTGAGAAAGAAAAACAGGAACGAAAATGATCCTGCAGGAAGCAAGGAATGAGGCCTAATGTCCCCTGCTAAGACAGCCTCCCGGCATTTGAAAGAAGGCTGAACAAAGTTGTGATGTTCCTGAAGCTATACCTTATACACAGACTGTGCCAGTGGTGGTGGACGTGGTGGTGTTAAAGTAGAGACTGCTATGTAGACAAACCTGAGGCCAAGCCACTGGCCACTGCAGTGACTGAATCTGTGATTTCTCCAACATCCCCATGGGAGGAGAAGCCCAAATTTGATTCTGGATTAGTGGTCACTGTCTAGGCTGAAGGCAAATGTAAAAATGCTAGAAAAGAAGGTGTGATCACTGAGAAGGAGAAAGAAACATCCCCCATATCAGATTGATTTATAATTTAAAATTCCAAATGCTCAGAACAACAGCTGCAAACAATCAGGTAATGAATTCATTCTGGAACAATCAATAGTGCAAACTGAAATTGATTAGAAAATGCACCCGAGATTCTTAAAGAGATACAGAATAGGAGAATATACATAAAACAAAGATTGTGAAACCATAGCAGTGAGGTAAGACTCAAGAATAAGCGGCTATAACCAATTACAAATCTTGGAATTGAAAAATATAGTCATTAAAATTAAACTGCCAATGTAAATAGATGGAATAAACTTTAGACTTGCCAAAATCAGACAGGATTTGCAAATTGAAACATACTGAAGAGGCAACAGAGAGAGATGAAGAGGTGAAAAATATATATGAGAAGTAAAATAAAAACAGACATGTAGGATAGTACAAGAATATATATATATAATATATATATAATATACACTGGTTGGGGTGTGTGTGTGTGTGTGGGTGTGTGTGTGTGTGTTTTCTTAATGAAGGTAACAGAAAGAATGTCAGAGAAGAAACATTTGAAGAGATAATGGCTGAGACATTCCAGAATTTAAGGCTCAAATCCTCTGATATATTAAAGAGAAAATTTAAGAAAATCAAGGATAAAAACATAGTCTTAAGAGCAACTAGTGAGAAAAGACAAGTTACTTATAAAGGAACAATAATCAGACTAACAGTAAAATTTTTATCACCAACAATTAATGCCAGAGGTCAATCTTCAAAGAGTTGAAAGAAAAGAGAAAAACCATCAAATAGAATCATATGCTCAGCTAAACTAAGCATCGTAAACTACGGATCTCTAGCATTAGAAAGACATAATTTAGTAGAAAGAAACATAACCACAAAAAAGCACAGAAATACAAGAAATAAAACAAGAAAAAAATCAACCAACTATTTTGGTAACTAGTGAGTGATACAGAATAGACTCATAGCCCAAAAATTCCTCTGCGCTCTGCCTATTTATCCATCCCTCCCACTAATCCCTGGCAACCACTGATCTTTTTACTGTCTCCATAGTTTTGCCTTTTCTAGAACGTCATACAATTGGAATCATACATATGTAGCCTCTTCAGGTTGGCTTCTTTCAGTTGGTAATATGCATTTAAGTTTCCTCCATGTTTTTTAGCATTTAAAATCAAAAGACAATATTTGGAATAATTTTTTACCAATACATTTGCAAACTTTGATAAAATTAAAAATTCTAGAAAAATTTAAATCTGAATAGTCATTATAGAAAATGATTCATTAGTTACAATTTCCATACATTTCCATGCATCTCCTAACATCCATAGACACACCACGATCCTGAGACTAAATGGTTTTATCATTAAGCAATAGATCCTACTTTATATAATGATTATATAAGATCTTTTCCAAGGATTAAAAAAAGAGGTAAGGATAACTCACATTCTAAGAATGCAGTATTTTTGGTATCAAAACCAGAGAAATGCAACATAAAAAAAAGTAAAACAACAAATGCAAAAATATAATATGATAGCAATCATATCAACAGCATACTCAAATAATAGTATATTATAATTGGTTGGATTCATCCTAGGAATGTAAAAGTGATTCACAACCAGAGAATCTGTTAGTTTAATTTGTTATATTAACAGATAAGGAAAAAAATCATATAATCATCTGGATAGATACAGGAAATGCATTACATTTCAGCACGTGTTAATGATAACAAATAAGAAAGGATTAGAACTTTCTTAATGTGACATAGGCGTTTACCAAAAACCTATAAGAGATGTTATGCTTAAAATGAAACATTTGGCCGGGCGCAGTGGCTCACACCTGTAATCCCAGCACTTTGGGAGGCCGAGGCAGATGGACCACGAGGTCAGGAGATCGAGACCATCCTGGCTCACACGGTGAGACCCCGTCTCTACTAAAAATACAAAATATTAGCCGGACGTGGTGGCGGGCGCCTGTAGTCCCAGCTACTACGGAGGCTGAGGCAGGAGAATGGCATGAACCCAGGAGGCGGAGCTTGCAGTGAGCTGAGATCACGCTACTGCACTCCAGCCTGGGCGACACAGCGAGACTCTGTCTCAAAAAAAAAACAACAACAACAACAAAAAAAGAAACATTTGAGGCTTTTTCATTAATGTGAGGAATAAGAGCGTCTACTCTAACCTCTACTATTCAGCATTGCATTGAAAAGCCTATCTAATGCAATGAGTCAGGAAAAAGCAGCAAAGAATTAAGGATTGAAAAGGAAGCTTGCAGATAAAAGTCTACGAACAGAATTAATGAAGAGATGTGTGGCAAAATTGAAAGCTGATACAAGAAAATTCAATAGTGCTCCTATAAATTATTATCTAGTTAGAAAATTCAATGCAAAAAGGTACCATTCACCAAAAGGAACTTAGGAGAGATGACAAAGGAAGTGTAAGACCTTTATGAAGAAAATTATAAGCCTTAATTAAAGGATATAAAAGAAATCCCAGTAGATATTCATAGTAAAGCTCCAGTGTTTATTTTGTAGGTATGCAAATTTGAGCTACTTATTTATCATCCCTGTGCCTCATTTTCCACATTGGTAAAATAGACATAATAATAAAATCTACCTAATCAAGTTGTTGAGGATCTTGTAAAATAATACATACAAAAGGACTTAGAACAGTGCCTGATACATAACAAGTGTTATTGTTATCGTTAAGCTGTAGCTTTTAAGACAGTAAGGGTAGTGACACTGAGATAGATAAATGGAATATAACAGAAAGCTCAGAAACCCACCTAGGCACATATTAAGTCTGAAGTATAACAGAGGAAGCAATATCAATGCATGAAAAAAGGAAAGAGTATGCAAGAACTGGTGATAGGACGAATGGCTTTCTTCATGAAAAAATAGACTTTACTTGCATTAGATAAAAAAATAAACTTAGCTGGATTAAAGACATGAAAAATAGGAGTCTAAACCTATTCAAATAGAAGGACAGGGATTGATTTCCTAAACCATACACAGAAAACAGTTATGGCTGGCCGCAGTGGCTCACACGTGTAATCCCAGCACTGGCTGAGGCGGGTGGATTACTTGAACCCAAGAGTTTGAGACCAGCCGAGGCAACATGGTGAAACCCCATCTCTACAAAAATTACAAAACTTAGCAGGGTGTGGTGGCGTGTGCCTGTAGTCCCAGCTACTTGGTGGCTGAGGTGGGAGGATGGTTTGAACCTGGGAGGTGGAAGGCTGCAGTGAGCTGTGATTGTGCCACTGCACTCCAGCCTGGGTGACAGAGTAAGAACCTGAAAAAAAAAGACAGTAAGAAAAGAACAAAACAAAGAAAGAAAGAGAAAGAAGGAAAGAAAGAAAGAAAGAAAATGGATACAGTGAAGAAAATGATTCATAAAATTGACATCAAAACTAAAAACATCTTTAAAAAATCCAAAACTTCATTACAAAGAAAGGGCTAGTATCCACAATATATAACATCTATAAATAAATAATTGATAATAGATAATTGACAGAAGAGGACACCCGAATGAAAATTCTCAATCTCAATAGTAATAAGGGATATACAAATTAAAACTACATAAGATATCATTTCATGTTCAGACTGGCAAGAACTTGAGTTGGACCATACTAAGTTTTAGCCACTACATAAATAGATACCTCAAACACTCCTGGAAGGGCACATTGATATAATCACTTTGGAGAGTAATTTGGCAACATCTAATGAGGTTGAAAATGTACCTATCTGAAGAGTCAACAAATTCCACTCCTAGATATACTCCCTATTTGTATACACCCAAAAACTCTTGCCTATGTACACAAGGAGACAAGTATTCTGTTCACTGCAGCATTGTTATAATAACCCAATTGTCAACAAGTAGGCAAAGAAATAAACATAATAAATGGTAAATGGAGTATCCACAGCAATTAAAATGAAATAACTAGATTTATAGGCATTAACATGGATAGATGTTGGAAACGTAATTTTGAGCCTGAAAAATAAGTTGCAGAATGTCACATACAGTGATATGATTTATATACATTTTAGAAGCAACAACATGCCACAATATAGTATTTATGAATGCATATAATATATATTATGTAATAAATATAAAAACATGGTTTGGACACACATCAAATTCATGATACGGTTGCCTATGGGCAGAGAGAAAGGACATAGGACTGGCAAGGAGAATCTATGGAACTCCATAGACATTAACATTAATATATGATTTCTTTAAGTAAAGGATCTGAGGTAAATAAATGTGGGGAAAGATTAACATGTGTTAATTTTTGTATCAAGTATATCTCTTGATTTTTTTCTGTATTAAAATGTTCATATACATAGTGTCTGACCTCCAGAATTAAATACTTCTATGGTAGAACAGACAGAAAATAGACTAAAATGTAGAGAAGCTGAGTGATGGCTGACTTTTATCATGCAACCTTGGCCAGTTCTCTTAACCAAGAGAATCTCGGTTATCTGATCTGCTGAATGAGGACACTGCAAACCTTAAGGGGAGTGGGTATGTGTTGAGAACACAGCACGTGCTAGGCATGAATCACATTAACACAAGAGTTGAGCTGTGAGCTAAAAACTAAATAGTATATTGTAAATTCATCTTAGGAAACAAAGCTACTATTTTGTAAAACCCATCAGAAACAAAAAGAATATAAAGAGGCTTAACAACTGTAGTTGCTGTCTGATTCATGCACATTTCTTTCCTTTTTCCTCATCATTTCCCTCCACAGATGTAACAATTTAGAGGGCAGAGCTAATCTACTCATTGAAGCCTGAGAAACAGCCCATTCTATCTCCTCTTCACACACATTGTGGGGTGGAATAGCTTAATGATGTCATCTGTCAAAAGGCCCTGGAGTCATATTGTTTGTCTATTAGAAATGTCTGTAGCATGGAATCTTCTAATACAGTCAATTCCCCAAGGAGAAGACAGAGTTCCAGATCTACAGTGAGCCCCAGTATGCAGGGGTGATGCAGTGTACAAGGCATAGCTGCAGTTTTCTACGGACCAGTTGCTATAAGAAGTTTAAAATGAGCTCTCCGGTAATAGCCACAATTTTCACTCTCTCTGAAAATGGATAGAGTCCAGCACTGACAATCTCCCTTGATGTTAAATGCCTGCCAGCCAATTTCTTTCTGTTTGTCTATTTCTTTTGTTAAAGTAGGGGACACAACTTTGAATTTTAAACTTCTACTAGCTGTAGTAGTGAAGAATTTTTACACACATTTACATACATAACTAAATGCTCTATGTTATACTACAAAGGATAAAAAAGAAAGTGAAAAAGTAAATTATGTGTCTTTATTTCAGATATACAATTGAAGGCATTTTGGTTGGCGGAAAAATGGCATTGTGGAGATAATTTATATATGTACATTTCAACACCCCTCTGCATAAAATGAAGTACATACAGTCATTTTCTGTACTTCAGATATACTCCTTAATTTCTTCTCCTGCCCTTTTAACAAATCCTACTCCTCTAGGTGTGTCTACCTTAAAGGGTCATTTATGAACATGAAACCGTGCTCCTTTCACCATTTCCAAGTCCATTTTCATAAGCACTGCTGGGGTAAAATTAGGCGGTTCATTAGCGCAGAGGAAAAGAGAAGGAATCTGAAAGTCAGACCACTGGGGCCAGAACCAGGCCTTCCACTTACAAGTTGTGGCAATTAACTTAACCTATTTCTACCTAGTTAAAATGGGAATAATAACAGTATTTTCTCACAGAATTGTAGAAAATGAAATACTGTATAAAAAGTGGCAAATAGAATGAAATAGATGTTAGTCAGAATTAACTTAGTGTCACCATATTGCCATCATTATAATTGTTAAGCCAGCTGCTACGTGCTGGAAAGTCAGTGCAGAGACTACTGTCATTTAAAGGAGACAGACACATCAACAAATACATACAGAAAGGGGGTCCCTATTTAAATGAGGAAATAACCCAGTGGCTGAGGGTCTGAAGGAGCTTTGAAAGCCCAATAATTCTCCCTTGCTGCCATATCACTGTGTATGGCTGTGGCAAGTGATGAAGAAAAATAAATGTTTTAAAAGAACCATGCTTGGATGAGGCATCTGAATTCCTGTTTCCTGGATCCAGGAATTCTAAGTATCTCATTACAATGGCCTTTCTCTGCAGATCACGGAGGCAGAAGGCCACTACAAAGATGTCTTGGTGCCATCTGAGTCCCAAGGTGTCACTGACATCTGGACCCAAGGTTTGAGCTAAAGGTAGCCAAGGCTGAATTAGAGCCAAGAGCAAAAAGAAAATGATTCCAGATGCTTCCAAACAAGTGCCGAGCAAGGCACTTCCTCTGCCTAGCAAGGGGCACCCATTAAAAGGAGGCATCTGTCCTCCAGCCCAGTGCTGAGGTCCCTAGGGCCCTGGGGCACTGCTGCATCCTCACCCTTATTTCCGCTGCTCATAGGGAGGGGAAAGTCTCTCTTCCTGATAGAGCTCCCTGCATACAAGCAGAGCACGCATTCTCCTGCCAACAGGGCCTTTCCATTCTCCGTTCCCACATTCTGAGATTTTTTTTTTTTTTTTTTTTTACTCCTTCAAACCAGAGGTGCCTTATTTGATTGTTCCAAAGAAGTCAGCCTGCTGGGAACTGTTGGTGGAGGCTGATATTCCAGGCGCAGGCATTCCAAAGCAAAGGAGAGTCTACTGTTCCAGGTCACAGAACATTCTTCCTTGTACTAATCAACTTTTTTTACACTGAAAATAAATTAAGTTTTAATAGAATATAAAAAATATAATCTTCACTGTTTCTTCATTCCATACTATATGAAGAGGTCCCAGGTGTTTTTAAAAATCATTTTTTTGTATAGTATTTGTTTCTGAGGAATTCCAAATTGCTCTAAGTGTCATTTATCTTCCAATATCACTATGGAGGTAGGCTTCGGCTTCCCATCTCCTGACCCCTCTGGCTGATAACAAACAGCTGTTTCTTGCGAAGGGTAAATCTAATCACAGTGGTGCTGTGCTGTGTGGCCGCACATGAGGCTGAGTGTGACAGATGGCTGACAGTGAGTGCCACATCTGGGAAGGGCTGACATTCACCCTATGGCCAAAAGAGGACAGAGAATGGCCCCTCCTGTCACAGCATCCAACAAGAAAGAAGAACTTCCAGCACCTGAATTTGTAATAGGCTTGGGGAATAAACTATTAATTGAAGCTCTCTCCTAATGCTTAGTAATTCCTGTAAGAATGCATTTGAAGGTTTGGTACTGTACATCAAGTTGAAATTTTTCAGTTTCCTTCCACTGTAGTTAATTTCAAATTAGCATAGTTCAATTTTTATAACGTTAATACATATCATATTTACTAGGACATCCAACAAAAATCTCGGCTGAAATAAGCGTTTAATTTTCCCCTATGAGAACTACCTGAAGTTGAAACCACTTTTCTTTTCTTCTTTTGTTTTTTTTTGAGATGGAGTTTCGCTCTGTCACCCAGGCTGGAGTGCAGTGGTATGATCTCGGCTCACTGGACAGAGATTGACTCTTCCTCTCCCAGCATCAACTCGGTACTGAACCAGGAAGCAACACTTCCTAAGCAGTACCCTGTGCTTTCTACCAAACACATCAATTAACTAATTGGATAAAGACTAGTAAAAATGTCTTTTCTATAGGATTTTTCTTTAAACATTATGAAACAATATTCTTTACATGAGATCCACACAGTGCTAGAGCACGATTGGAGTTGTGTGAAAACCTCTATTAAAAAGACCAGTGACCATATGTGAATGTGGCTGCCTTCATAATGAGTAAAGATAAATGATAATAAAAATAAATAATGACGATAAATGGCTGCTAACTGGGACCAATGTCTCTGGTGAGCTGTCACAAGTCAGCAGAAAATGCCATTCCTTAAATTTTATGAAATTAATAATACTTGATTATTCAGAAATATCTGACAAATGCTGAAACTAAATGTTAGTTCTCATCCAAATGCAATAATTTGACGATAGGCAGAGGGCTATACAATTAAACATTTTATATTTAAATTTAGAAAACTATTTCTAAAATTAAGAATACTTTCAATTATTGAATTAGAAATTCCTACAAAATGGGAGAAAATTTTCGCAACCTACTCATCTGACAAAGGGCTAATATCCAGAATCTACAATGAACTCAAACAAATTTATAAGAAAAAAACAAACAACCCCATCAAAAAGTGGGCGAAGGACATGAACAGACACTTCTCAAAAGAAGACATTTATGCAGCCAAAAAACACATGAAAAAATGCTCATCATCACTGGCCATCAGAGAAATGCAAATCAAAACCACAATGAGATACCATCTCACACCAGTTAGAATGGCAATCATTAAAAAGTCAGGAAACAACAGGTGCTGGAGAGGATGTGGAGAAATAGGAACACTTTTACACTGTTGGTGGGACTGTAAACTAGTTCAACCATTGTGGAAGTCAGTGTGGCGATTCCTCAGGGATCTAGAACTAGAAATACCATTTGACCCAGCCATCCCATTACTGGGTATATACCCAAAGGACTATAAATCATGCTGCTATAAAGACACATGCACATGTATGTTTATTGCGGCATTATTCACAATAGCAAAGACTTGGAACCAACCCAAATGTCCAACAATGATAGACTGGATTAAGAAAATGTGGCACATAGACACCATGGAATACTATGAAGCCATAAAAAATGATGAGTTCATGTCCTTTGTAGGGACATGGATGAAATTGGAAATCATCATTCTCAGTAAACTATCGCAAGAACAAAAAACCAAACACCGCATATTCTCACTCATAGGTGGGAATTGAACAATGAGATCACATGGACACAGGAAGGGGAACATCACACTCTGGGGACTGTGGTGGGGTGGGGGGAGGGGGGAGGGATAGCATTGGGAGATATACCTAATGCTAGATGACGAGTTAGTGGGTGCAGTGCACCAGCATGGCACATGTATACATATGTAACTAACCTGCACAATGTGCACATGTACCCTAAAACTTAAAGTATAATAAAAAAATAAATAAATAAATAAAATTAAATTAAAAAAAAAAAGAAATTCCTAAACTCTACAAAACCCCCACCATTTCATGTCTGTTCTTGTGCAAAAATAAAATAAAAATTAGCTTATAGAAGACTAGCAGGTCTAAATGTCATTATTAAATACAGTTGACCCTTGAACAACATGAGTTTGAACGGCATCAGTCCACTTTTATGTGGATTTTCTTCCACCTCTGCCACCGATGGGACAGTAAGATCAACCCCTTCTCTCCCTCCTCCTCCTCAGCCTACTTAATGTGAAGATGATGAGGATGAAGATCTTTATGATGATTACCTGCACTTAATAACTAAGTATGTTTTTGCTTCCTTATGATTTTCTTAATAACATTTCTTTTCTCTAGCTTACTTTACTGTAAGATACAGTATGTGATACATATAACATAGAAAATATGCGTTAATCGACGGTTATTGGAAAGGCTTCTGGTCAACAGTAAGCTGTTAGCAGATAAGTTTTTGAGAGGTCAAAAGTTGTATGTTTCTTTTGCTGTGCTGAAGCTCTTTAGTTTAATTAGGACCCATTTGTCAATTTTTGTTTTTGTTGTAATTTCTTTTAGAATCTTTGTCATAAAATCTTTGCTAGGGTCCATGTGCAGAATGGTATTTTCTAGGTTATCTTCCAGGATTTTTATAGTTTTAGGTTTTACATGTAAGTCTTTCATCCATCTTATTTTTGCATATGGTGTGAGGAAGGGGTCTAGTTTCAATCTCCTGCATATGACTAGCCAGTTATGCAAATGCCATTTATTGACTAGAGAATCTTTTCCCCATTGCTTTTGTCAACTTTGTCAAAGATAAGACGGTTGTAAGCTGTGTGGCATTATTTCTGGGCTCTCTATTCTGTTGCATTGGTCTATGTGTCTGGAATGAAATCATGTCCTTTGCAGCAACATGGATGGAGCTGGAGGCCATTATCCTAAGCAAATTAACACAGGAACAGAAAACCAAATGTCACACAAAGAAGGGAACAAGAGACACTGGGGCCTACTTGAGGGTGAAGGATGGGAGGAAGAGAGAATATAAAAACTACCTATCGGATACTATGCTTATTACCTGTGTGATAAAATAATCTGCACACCAAACCTGTGACATACAATTTACCTGTGTAACAAACCTGCACATGTACCTCATGAAACTAAAATAAAAGTTTAAAAAAAAGTTATATGTGAATTTTCAACTGCATGGGGGTTTGGTGTCCCTAATCCTCACATTGTTCAAGGGTCAACTGTACATAGAAATGAGACAAATCCATTTCTAAAACCATTTTACATCTATTTTGTATCTGTCTTTGCTGTTCACTTTAATTTCTGTTTTTGGTGAATACTCTCCTGTATTTCAGACATCCTCACAAACTACCTTAAAATATTGCTAGAAGGAAGAGAGGAAAAAAAATAGAATAAACACACCAACATATGTATAGCCAAAAGGACTCAAATTAAAGGGAGCACTTCTAGTTAAAGAGACATCTAAAAAGTGTTTTTTTGAGGGCTGGGGCTGGGCTTAGGTACAGTTCAGTAGGGGAGCTTGTTGACCTCCGAAGCATCTTCCTGAACTGGGATTCTATTGACTGTACTTGCCTGTTTACCAAAAGACATGCACACTGTGTTTCTTAATCAACAAAAAGTATTATAATAGGCATCCCTTGAGCTAAGGCATACCTTAATCAACAAAATTATTAATTGATGCATACATTATTATGTTAATTTATTATAATAAAGAAGAATTGGGGATGGGAATGACGTGGTTTAATACAACAACATAACCATGCAAATCTCTGCTTCTGGTGATCATTTTCAAAGACATGTTGCAAAAATAGGGCCATTGCCTATAAGCCAAAGCTGTGTTTCATCATGTCCCATGACTTACCATGTGTGCCTGGAAAAATGCGGGAATGAAGGACTGGTTGCATAGGTTGAGAATCCTGGAAGAGTCTTTTAGGACGTAGATATTCCCGAAGTCCACTTGATTGGGATGGACGTAGATAACTGGGCCTTCTCCAGCGCTCTTTAAGTGACATACCTGAGTTCCGCCAGAGAGAAAGAACACAGGAACAGCTGGAAATGGCTAGCCACTTTTAGCCATTCCTTCAATAAAAAGCAAGGGCAAAAGAGGATGCTTATGAGAACTGGCACCCCTTCCCATTGGTGTGCTGTGGTCTCGGGAACACAGCGAGGGCCATGCTGGTCAGACCTGTGAATCCAGCCTGGATTTCCTCCCCGGAAAGAATGAGCAGCTTCCCCAGGTCAGCCCAGAGCCATGCATTGAGGGGAAACCAGAATCTGGGTCCCCTCCATCCCACACAGCACTCCAGCCTCAATGACACTTAGTACGGGGTTAAGGGTCAGCACTTCAAAGTCAGATGTGGCTGGGTTTGAGTTCCAGTTCTGTTGCTTTACAAGTGGTGTGGCAGGGCAGGGCCACTGCACATAGTTGTGAGGGTTGGAGATTGAAATCCACTTTGCTCTACTCTCTTCTTCCTGTCCCCGGAGCCAGGCACTGTGTCTGCCTGAGGAAGGTGGCCCTTTTCTTTCACAAAGTTCTGGCTGCTCAGCAAGCTACCCTCTCATGGGCTGCATCTGTGCAGGGGGGTAGGACAGCAGCACAGTGAGCCTCGTGGGGGACCTGAACTGGTGGCATGTTTTGGGGTCGGCCTGCCTTGGTGATGCTGCTTTATAAGTTAAGTGGCTTATTTACGGCATCTTATATGGAAGAGATAAAAGCAAAATCCTAGTGTTTTACGCTGTCTAAGCAATCAGAGTCACAACAAAGAAACGTAAGGCGACATCACTAGTTCCCAAGTAAACCACATGTCTAGGAATACAGAGCCTGTTGGGCAACCTCCTGTAGGATTCGATGTTTATCCTTCAACTCAGCCTAAGCAGTGGAGAGCTTTCCATGAATCCCTCTTCCTCTTCCTCTTGGAGAGAGACTATTTCTCTTAACAGCTTGAGTAGGCTGATGGCACATTAGCTTGAGTAGGCTAATATGAGCCATGAGTCAAGTTAATATACAAGAAAAGCTCAGGTGAGCAGTGAAGGAAACTGATCTCCCAGCCTACAGGTGACAAACCAGTGATACCCAAACCCAGCTTTGCACCAGGAACAACCAAGGAGCTTATTAAAAATACAGATGTGCTGGCTCCCGTACAGATGTGCTGGCTTCCTCCCCTCAGAGTTTCTGATTTCAAAGGACTGGAGAGGGGTCAGGCATGTGTGACAGTGTGTGTGTGTGTGTGTGTGTGTGTCAGAGAGAGAGAGAGAGAGAGAGAGAAACTCCTGGTATCCTGTTAGGTTTAAGGATGATTGCTATAAAACACTGCTTCTGTTAGATGTAGCCATAAACAGATTCTGTAAAGTCACATAGCACCGGTATTTTACCATTGCAGAGTAAAAACATAAAACCCTAGAACTCCAAGCAACTGGGGTGTATGTGAATACGGTGTGGGCCTCAAATGAGAAAGCTCAAAATGTTTGAGAAGAAGCACAGCAATTTCAATTGCAGTTCTGAAAATGGACTCTCACCAAAGGGGGGTCCTGGCTCCCAAAGATTGAGATGTAAACCGTGGATCTGTGTTCTCCAGTGACCTGGGTCTCCAGGACCAGTGGTATGTGGATGGTGCTGCTTGGGGAGATGACCCCGCTGGGGGTGGGGCTGGAAAACAGCACAGTAGGCACCTCCTCACACACCTGGGGGAGAGCAAACCAGAGGGGTAAGGACAGCACAGCATGGAACAAATAGCGTATTTGCTTATTTTGAAGCGTTTTCCTGAGTCCATAGAGGTGTTTTAGAAATGTCTTATTATTCAAGCAAGTAAATAGGGATGAGCACCCCAATTCGGCCAAAAGGAAGTTTGGTTAAGTGGGATGTGCATGAGGCCCAAAATTCAAAGTGCCCAGCACAGCAAGATGCAGAATTATCCGCAACACAAATAAGTTCAGGGCAACAGCTTTCCACTTTCCTTAGGAAAAGGAAAAGGTCCACTTTCCACTTTCCAAGTTCCTTAACCTGGCCCTCTGCACCCTCACGCATCATCCCCACTCCCTTGCCCTTTGTGCTCCATCAATAGAGGCTGCTGGTGTTTCCTGAATCCATGATGCTGCTTCTGACCTCCAGTCCTTTGCACTTGTGGTGACTCCTCCTAGAACGCCCATACCCATCAACCCATCTGGCACACTCATCCTGAATTCTCCCTCTGTTCCTCAAGTGCCCTAGGGTGGGAACCTTTCCTCTGTCCCCAGGGAGCATCCTGTGCAGTCCTTTTCCACAGCATGCACTGGACAGCACCATGCCACCTGCATCTCCCGCTGACAACTTCTTAGCATACAGCTGGGCCTCTCCTCTCTACATGACCACTTTCTGACCCAAAGCATATGCTCAGTTTTTAAAGTGAGGAATGAATGAATGAATGAACAACTGTCCAGTATTGACCAATTTGTGTTTCTCAGAACCCTGTTCTGCACCATATTACCAGCTTTTATGCATCAAGAACGCAAATAAAATTTTTAAAATGCTACTATATAACTCTGGGAACCATTTCTCAGAGCCTCTGCTGCTGGGGAGGACGACAGAGCATGCAGGTGTCACCTGCCTGGGGTACGCCACAGTCTCTCTGCATCTGGTCTGGCCTAACATGGCCCAGTCTAACTCCTCCCTGTGCCACAGTGCTCCGCCGAGCCTTATGACAGCCTGAGGTCGGACTGATCTCTTTACCTAGGTTTTGGTATCTTGTTTATTATGGATTTTTTGGAATTAATTTTGATTTCTTACAATATGTAATGGAAATACTAAGCATCTTGAGTGTTTGGCTTCCCCTTAAATTTTGTGCCCAAGGCAAGTGCCTCATCCTATGCCCAGTCCTGCTGTGCAGAAACAACTTCCCCTGACCCCAGATGCACACTCCACTCTGAGTTCTTGAAATGATCATGCACTGTGCAGGGCTGGCCCGGCCTGCTGTGGAGCATCTGAGTGTTAGACCTTGTCTCCTGTCACCCTAACCCTTGGCTTCTAGTTCTGTCTCAGAGAAACCCATAGAACCATTCTATTTCTCTGTTACGTAACAGCCCCGTGACTTGTGAAAGGTAGCTGTGTTATCCTAGCTAATTCTATTCTGTTTCAGATTAAACACACATATGATTGGATTTGCAGATGCCATGGATTGCCATTTTGGTTACTGTGCACATGGTGCTTTTTCTTCTTCAAGTTTCCATTAGAAAAATACAATGACAACATCTGAAGACAAAATTCTGGCTGTGTTCTGACCAGCAGCTATCACCTTCCTTTACCTAAAGGTGGTAATTCTCTGCGGCAGCCTAAACTTGCCTTGGTTCTGTGGCCTCCATATTGCTGTTTTAACTCCCATTGATCTTGTAGCCAAATAAACCCCCATATGACATTTTTGCATACATTTTAGTTAGAATATTGTACTTCTATAACTGAGTTTTATACCCAAATGCATTCTTGGTAAACTGCATCTCAGTAGTAACCTTCCATTACTCTAATCTGTACAGATTTTTAAAAAATTGTTTATCCATCTGTGTTTAACTCCTTAGTCTCCCACTTAGCTGGGTGTAGTGGCATATGGACAGACACATTTCATAAAACATGAAGAGATAATTCCTCCTTTCTTATTCCTGTATTGTCTCTAGCTTTCTGGTCCAACAAATCTACTTATAAATATTGCATTACTTACTGATGCCATTCAACTCACAGCCATGGACATAATGAAAACTCCTAGCTCATTTCCCATGCATGGTTAGTTCACAGGCAATTATTTGCAGATGCAATTCTGCATGTTGGCTTAATTGACACTTTCCCTTGTTTATCAAGGGTAATTTCTCTGGGAAATTAACAACGGTTTACACCTGCAGCTGCTCAGGCATGCAGCTAGCAATCCAACTGTGACTTTATAACCCGATCCTTAGACTATCTAAGGGTTAAAAATCAGCATTACTTAAGGTCATGTGTTCAGGAATGTGGCACTTCAGAGGGATTTCTCTTTCTCATCAAGGGAACTCAATGGAAGAATAATTAATACTGAAGAAGGAGAAAGGAACTCACCTGAGGCTGGACCTCATAGAATCCTGGGAGGTCATCTTGATCGGCAAGCTGGAGTGTTTTCTCATACGGGTACTTCAGGAAGCAGTGCCCAAAGTCCACCTCTGTATTGACCAGGTGGAGGGCAGGTACAACACACCTGCTCGGAGGAGCCCATCACACAATTCAAAACAGAGAGCTTGTTTACATACAGAACACGCAGAGCCCCAAGCAAGATACATTTGTCAGTGTCACATAGTAGTTTTTCTCTAATAACCACATTAGTCACTTTCAAAGCTTCTCTCCTCCTCTCTTCCCTGTCTCTTGGCCCCCAGTCACCACTTTTTAATCAAAAAAGGACTAGAAGCAGAACTCCTTGAAGAGCTGCCTGGTGGGTAATGACTCACATTTCCATTGTTTTATATATTTGCCCTTCTTTGGGCAAGGGGTCCCCATGGCGCAAGATCCATAGGGTAGTGAATCTGTTTCCATGCCAAACAGGGCCAATGCCACCAGCATGTGGTCCTAACTAGCTGTGACACTTTGGACCAGTCAGAAAGCCCCCCAAGGACTAGCGACAGCTCACATCATCTAAATAACAATAATAATGCTAATTCCTATGCAGAACAGCTGTCTTGGATGCAGAGGTTCAGGTGGCTGCTTGGTCCAGAACTGGCACTGTGACGGGGTTGTCACTGTGCCGACATGGCGGGGGTGAGGTGGGGGGAGAGGGAGGGAGGGTTGTATGCAGAAAAGAGGGGAGTTGAAGCCCTGTGTTTACCATTGGTCTATTATTAGGTGACTTGGATTTTATTTGCCGTCTGTGGCTCTCAATGTCTATCCTACCCTTTGCCATTGCTTCAGTATAGTGCAATGGTGAAGAGTACCAGCTTTTGAATTTGCAGAGCCAGCTTCAAAGACTGACCTTACTAAGTACAACCTGTGTAACCTTGGGCAAGCTGCTTTCTGTCTCAGAGTCCCATTTCTCTCATAGGTAAAATGAGGATAATTCTAGGGATTGATATTGGCATTATAAACTCTTCTTAGGGTGCTGGAAGGGCATAGCCCAGCACCAGGTAAGTGCCCAGTAAGAGGGAGTGAGCCTGTGGCAGAATCATGGCAGGCTGTCACTGCTGGCTCTCTGGAGAGAGTTACTTGAGGCTGCAGTTCTAAAAGCAATTCTTCTGTTAAGAGTCAGTGAGTAGTTCCTACAGATTACACCAAAAATAAGGACATGAAAGAGCCTTTCTTTAACCGCAAAGTTTGTGATTTTGCATGAGTGTTCATTTCTAGCTGGAATGGAAGTTGTCTGTTGACCCAGTGACTTTCTTAAAGCTAATCCTTTACTACCTGAAATACTGTGACTGAGAGGGCTTATACTACTTGACTTGGGTCACAGAATATAAGTAGAAAACTCATAGCCTCTTTAGACCTTTTTTTTTTTTTAATTTAGAATTTCCTATCGATAGCTGTAGGGAAAGGGGCTAGAAAGTATCTGAATAAGTCTGCATAGACAAGAAATGCAGGACTAGACTGAAAGGCAAATCTGGGCATAGAAAGGACCACATTAGGGTTTTTACTGTTTGTAAACAAAGGAAAAAATAGGTCTTGAAGGAATACTAAGTAGGTCACAGTGGGAACCCTAATTTAAGTTATTTCTGCACTGCTATTTATCTTCATCCAAGCCCAAGACACGTGAAATAGTGTCAGTTGCTAACTCCCCACCAACCAGCACATCTGCCCCATCTTTAAAGTGTATGTCTTCCTAAGATTCACAAGAGATCAGAATTCCAGAGATTGACATATTAGCATGATTATCAGTTTTCCTAAGTCATTTTCTCTATTTCCTATACGTAGCATTTGCATACATACAACTTAAAGTCCCAGATCTGGACACTGATTGCTTTGGGACGAGTGTGGCCCCAGGATTTTATTTGGGATCACATCATCATTAGTCGATGACACCACCACCCTCATCAGCAGTACTGCAATGACTGTAGCTTGGTCAAAAAGACACAGTCAACAAATGGCTGAGCCAGGATTTTAACCCAGCTGCCTCTCTCAAAAAGAGAGAGGAGTTGGAGATGGTTCTGAGGAGTATACCTTGTTAAAGATGAGCCTCATCTTGGGGGCCCACTCCTAGCCTGAAATTCAAGTCACAGCAACAGTGTCCCGGGGCAGGGACCTCTTGGCTCTATGGATCTTCCACTGCAGGACTGACAGCATCACCTTCCTATTGCATAACTCCGGAGCACTATGTTGAAAGATGAAAATAAAAATGAGCAGCTCTTCACCTCTTCCTGCTAAAACCTTTCTGGTTACATACTTTGAAAGTCAAACCCGTTAGAGAGGGTCTGACCCGTTTCTTCACTATTCTTAGGATTCTCTGCCTAAACTCTACAAAACACACACACTTCTTCTTATCTCCACCAAAGGTGCTTTAGAAACATTTGCTGCTTTGTCATTTGAATGTCAGATTCAACTTCCCTTCCCAGGAAGGCAGGACAAACTCAGTGTGCTTGGGTTGGCAGGCCAGCTGCCTTCTGGGAGGCAGCCCATTACTGGAGGCTCGGGGGCGACTCAGGAGAAGAGCAAGCTGGGGAGCAATACCTTGCTGCAATTAAGAGCGCCAGCACCTCTTCTCCGATGCCCTCCACGTCCACCACGAGTGCCAGCTCGTATTTCTGTACAGTGTTGGAGCATAATGTCACCTGGAAAGAAAAAGGTGACAAGTTGGTCTTCGAAAAAGCACGTTCTCTCTACACGGGGGAGGGGAGCCTCCGGAGGACTACGCTGATCAGAGTGGTTTCTAAGTGCTTTATGGATATATAGCATTTTACATTTTTAGCTGAACAAGTTACATTGTGGGGTCAGGGCATGCTGAGTGTTTTCAAAGGCCAGGGTAGAAACCAAATGGCTGTTAGTACAATGGCTTTGCTCATTTCTGAGGAGGTTTTGTCAAAGAAGCCACATACCTGCATAAGGGCAAAAATGAGCATGAACGATGAGCAACATCGAACCAACTTTAATTACTGCAATTTAAATTGTTCCCTACCTCTGGGCTATATGAATTATGAAAATGTAATATACAAGTAAAACACTATAGCACAAGTTCTCTTACAGTAAAATAAATGGAAATAACCATGTCAGTTCCAGAAAATGGTGTAAGAAATCAGTCTGCTTTACCAAAATCTTGCCCCCACCATCCCACATTCTTTATTACAGCAGAAAATAGAAAGTTCCAAAGAAAGGTCTATTTGAGGACAATAGAACATGGTCAAACCATAAACAGATTTCAGAACTCATTGGTACTTAGATTCCAATTCCAGCAAGTTGGAGTTAAGCAGTAATGAATTGCACAGACAATTCATTTAAGAAGTTTAGCAGTTGCTAGGAGAGATTGAGGGTCAAGGGAGGCTCTTGGGGGGCTCAGAACATTTTACCCTGTGTTTTTATTTCCTGCTGTGAAGCTGTACATTTAGGCTTTCAGAAGCCTTGTTACGATTTTTAATTGCTTCAAAATTGTATGTACTGGAAGAGATAGTTTCAAGTCTAGAAAACAGCTTCTGGCATGAGTTAAGGCTTTTCTATCTATAAATTATGCATCTGGTACTAATTAAAATGTTTTCAGTTGCAGAGGGAATCACTGGATGCAAATTTGAGTCCACACAGACCTGGCTGAAGTGCAGATCAGGAGGGAAAACTGGAGCTTGGAGAAAGCTTTTCCAAATATAAAGGAAAAATAAAGTGAAGATGAAGTCATTGATTTGGAAAGAAACAGAGAATCCTAGTGTGACTGTAACCCCTTGTTTATGTATCTGGGCTGTGGCTAGAAGGAAGAACAAGTGGTTTTGGCAGAAGGCTGCTAGCAAGACGCTGTGTCTTTTAAAATCTTCCTGAGATATCTGGGAAGCAACAACAACAACAAACAACAACAGCAAAAGAAAAGAGGGAAGACAGTTAAGGGTGAAATAATTCCACTGGTGGCACTGTGAGGCGATAACCAAGGCAAAGCACTATCCTGATTGCAAACAAAACATGGAAGGATGAGTATTCCTCAGGATGAGGAAGCTGAATTCTCATGGCTTTTCCTGCAGAACTCAAGATAAGGCGCTGTTAGTGATATCACATCCACATCCACCATGAATGAAGCCTGGATTCGGATTACAAAGCTGAATAAACCAGATATCATCTTTGGCATAAGTGTGGCTATTTATTGGTATCTAAAGGATCTGAGTCTGAAGGAAAGATAAACCTAAGTATCAATAAGTTGTGAAATCTGTTTATATTAGTACCGCTGGGAGTACTGTCTGGATAGCAGTGGCTTCACTAGAAATGCCTAGAACCCACTCTTCTGGTGAAGGCAATGCATCTAGATTAAGGTAAAGCCACTGGCACAGTGCCCATTGCTTTGCCCAATGTATTTGTGTCTGATTTATTTCCTTATAGGCCCACGTTTCCCTGTAAATTGACAGGCACCCCCTCCTGCTGACACTGGACATACTAGAGCAAACCCTAGATGAGGGCCCATGGCTATTTTGAAGGCTCAGCTGCTTAGCTGTGTGTGCAGGAAGGCCATGCACTTTACCCTGATAGCAGCAAATCCCTGGGGGCGAATGGTGCCACAGTCAGGAGAGATGGTGAATTCTTTTGGTTTCATTGAGGATATTTCTTCCTTGGTCCAAGACGGTCTTTTGTAGTCCACATGCTGCTCACAATATGAAATGCTTTTATGGCCAAGGCCATCCCCAGGGATACGCAGTTTGTAAGTCATGGGGATCAAAGAGGTATTATTGAGGGAACATATCAAGGTATGAGGAAACCCTGGAAAACAAAACATGATGTGAGAAATAAAAGCCCCCCCAACACCTCCCTTGACCCTCAATCTCCCCTAGAAACTGCTAAGCTTCTTGAATGAACTGTCTGTGCTATTCATTACTACTTAACTCCAACTTGCCCTAAATATTATTGTTTTATTCCATCAATAAATACATTTTCATTCATTAATGTATCTATTTTTTCATTTATGCATTCACTCAATGAATATTTACTATGCATTTACTATGTGGGAGATTAAACACCACATATAAAACAAGCCCCTTGATTGCCACTCAGGCCCTTCCGGGGAGGCAGCCTCTGTTAGTAGTTGGCTGAGTAGTCTTGCAGAAGTATATTTTGCATTTATTTCTTACACAAAAATATACATTTTTACATTGAATCATGCTTGCTGTTTTTATTTGCCAGTGTGTGAAAGAAAAAGCCTGCATGGTTTTGCCCGCTGGGTGACCCAGAGCTTGCCAAGACATGATAGTGTGTCCTAGACCTGTCTGGGTATCACGCTCTTAGGGCTGATGACACAGTATCAAAAAATAGCCTTTCCCAAGAGAGACTTTACAAACTGCTTTAGAGCCAGCCAGAGACTAACACCTGGCTTTTACCTCTCTTAGACAAAGCTGCTTTGTCATCGTATCCAGCTTCGTTCCGTGAGACTCCTCTCTTAAGAGGTGTGGACCTTTCTTGCTTGGCAAGCAATACACTAAGCTCTGATTTTCTTTCTTTTCTTTCTTTCTTTCTTTCTCTCTCCTTCCTTCCTTCCTTCCTTCCTTCCTTCCTTCCTTCCTCCTTCCTTCCTTCCTTCCTTTCTTTCTTTTTTTTTTTTTTTGAGACAGAGTCTTGCTCTGTCACCCAGGCTGGAGTGCAGTGGTACAATCTTAACTCACCTCAACCTCCACCTCCCAGGTTCAAGTGATTCTCCTGCCTCAGCCTCCTGAGTAGCTGGGATTACAGGTGTGCGCCACCATGCACCACCGCGCCCATCCAATTTTTGTATTTTTAGTAGAGACGGGGTTTCACCATGTTGGCCAGGCTGCTCTTGAACTCTTGACCTCAGGTGATCCACCTGCCTTGGCCTCCCAAAGTGCTGGGATTACAGGCGTGAGCAACAGTGCCCGGCCACTAAACTCTGATTTTCGATTCCCTAGGCAGCTATTGTATCTGATACCACTTTCAGAACAAGAAGAATAATCTATAGACACAGGAGAACAAAAATGCATATTTCTACTGGATGGAAATGCTACTCTTCTACCTTGAACTCTGCTGTAATAAAATGTACTTGGTCTCTTGGAGTAATGACTGTTGCTGTCGGGGCTATTTTGAGTTGATCTACTTCTGCCTCATGTCTCAGCTTTTGTCTACACATTAGGCCATTGGAGGAAACACATTCATGTATCCTTTGTGATAACACACCTGCCAACCTACTTGGAAGATATCTTTCATGGAAAAAGAACTGTGAGATTGAGTGCACTTAAAGGATTATTCTTGGAAATTCCAGAGGAACTGCTTGGAAGGCAGCTTCACAATCATGCTACATGTGACTTTCCTGGACTTACCAAATAATGACTCTGGAAACTGTAGATGGCTTAGCCTTATTTGATCTGACCATTTATGAGTTAGACGATCTGTGAATGTGGAGCGTATTATGGAAAGTGGGTATTATAAAGAGTCACGTGGTCTTCCAAACCATTGCCCAGACTGCTTCCTTAAAGCCAGAACTTTTTCACAGAATAAAGCCAATTATGACCTCCTAGTTACAACAATTTCTTGTACTAGTACCTGTAATATCCCATATTGCTTGTCAAGAAGCCTAAAGGAAGGGGATGCTGATTTGTTAAAGACTGAAGGTCATTAATAAGAATGTTACACCTAGGTTTCTAATTGCAACCAATCCTAATACTATTCTATCTACAGTTCCACCTGAATGCAAGTACTTTACAGTTGTAGACCTCTATGCTCCCTTTTATAGGGTCTAGTAGATAAAAAGTCAATATTTATTTGCCTTCTCTTCAAATAATTAACAACATAATTGCACAGAATGTCTCAAGGATTCACAGAGGCACCTGATCTTTCTCCCAATACTTGTATAATGTTTTAAAACACAACATTCTCAAGAGATTCAATTCTCCTTCAAGATGCTTATTTTCACCTGACCTAAAAAGCTCCTAAGAAGACTAGCAGAAACTAGCAGCGGAAGATCACAAGGCTGTAAAGGAAAAATTACAGTTCTTTAAAAATATGGTATATTATTTGGAACATGACGTCTCTACTAGAGAAAGGACCCTATCTAATGGGAGTATTAAATTGATTCATCAACATGCAGGACAAAATGCTAAATTATAATTGAGAGACTGGGGGATTCATGGAATATTTTAGACAATGGATTCTTTATTTTTCTAGTAAAGTAAAAATCTCCACAAAGCAAAGGGAACTGTGTTGGCAGATCATTATGCAAATCAGGTGGCATTTTTGTCATTGTCCATAGAAATAATTCAGAATATGGGAATCAATAAGCACATATATCCAACTCATTTTGGACATAGAAAATTTAGCCTCAGATTCAGAAAACAAACGTTGCCTAAAATTGGGAACCTCTGTTCATTCCAATGGTCTCTGGAATACCAACTATGCCCCCAAATCTAAGTGGTCTTTGACAAAAATGTTTTATCATACGTAAAACATCACCACCATAGAAGAGAGGAAATAATCTCTGAATAAGAATCAATGGGAAAATCTCTCCTCTGTAGCTGGGGATGTGGCTGGCTCCTGCCTCCCATCCTGATACCATATCCAGAAACATTGTACAAGTGGGATGTGAGTCTCTGGAATATATGTGGATTAGGCCCAGCTCACAAAGTTCAGAATATGTGCTTGTAACTGTAAATTCTTTGGATGGGTTTGAGCCTTTCTGTACAGAAAGACCAGTGCTGTGACTGTGACTAAGAAACTGTAGACTATAATTTTCCCACCTGGGGAATGTTACCTTACACTACAAGAGTTAAAAAGAATTTTATAGTGCGTTAGCCCTTTGATAAAAAATTTCACAATCTTTGGGAAATGTAGAGCATAAAAATAGTATTACTGATCTTAAGTTGGCCCAGTTCTCCGAGGTTCTGAGTTCCTTGATGAAGAGTTTTACCTTTAGCTCTGATGGCCATCAGATATGATTAGCTCCCTCTGTAACTCATAGGCTATTCACTTTATGAAATAATAACTAGAAGATCCATGTGATTACAAGTATTTCATCAATTTGGGTCAACCTTGCTTCATGCAGACATAACAAAATATTGTGAGAACCAGCTCATCTATAAGTTTAAAAAGTCTTCCCTAAAATACCACCCTCAGAAGCCCTCCCCTCTTTCTAACTGAAGAATGAGTACCCTGAAAAATACACCAATGAAGGTCTTCTTCAGAGCCTTCTAACAACTGACCTTGCAGTTAAATTATGAGGTGGACCTCTGAGGAAAAAGATGCCCATAGAAGCTAAATTATTGGCTGAAGACGTGTTGAAAAATACTCTCACTGGGGATCTTAAGTAGAGGTTTTCTAAAAAAACAGAAAAAACCTTTAGAAGCAGATGACCTTCAGAAATAGACTGCTATTTCAAGTCCCTCAGAACAAGCAGACTTTACCCACAGTAGACAGCTTCTGCTCAAGACTGATGGGATGAGATTTTGTTAGATGCCTGACGTTACTGATTCTCACACTCTCCCTTGCCTGCTTTTGTTTTTCATCATTTTGCCATATTACTCCTTGTTTCTTATCTTAAGGTTATACAATTTTGATACACCCTGTGATGTCTCCCTTACTGTTATTGACAACTTGTTTTGGGCATGCTTTGCTCACACCTACTATGATCTCTTCTGCCAACCCTTCTAAGATCATTCTGTGATCATTACAATCCGGTTTTGCTCCCGGCTCCCTACTTTACACCCTCCGAAGGTCAACTTAGATATTTCTCCTTCAGCTACATACTGCCAGTTTATATCAGTGCCATAGAAGAGACACTGGTAATGCATCTTTTGATGCTTTATTTGAACAACTCTGTCCCCAAATCCCAGACAGGTTATCATATTTTGCAATAACTTCTCTGTCCACATTATTCAATGGCCGAGTTCAATAAATGCTTGGAGGTTTTCAAACTCCTTATTCTCATTCAACACATCCTTGTATCTCCTGAAAAATAGTGGGTTTGCAGATATTTACCTGGGCCTTTAGTGTATCAGCTAGCATGCCAGTTGTTACTTGGTCCGTTTATTCTTTAACCCATCCAAGGATTCATCTATGCCTCAATGTTCCTTCAAGGACAATCACCACCCAATTCTATTATCTGACTCTCTCATGCTACTGCAGCTGTAGTCAACAGAACTAATTATTTCTGGGTAGGTCATCCAACATCCAATCCTACCATCAAAAATCTTTATAGCCATAGAAATTCTGGAAACCAACATATAGTACTATTACCCACCACCCATCTATCACAACATCATCAATTCCAACAGTCCCTGATGCAAAATCCATATCTTCACCACCAAGCAAATAAATGCCACATCTCCAACACTAATCTGTAACAGACTCCTTTTTAGGAATGGAACTTAAGTGTCAATACAGGGATAATACTGTCAACTTTAGTTAGCTTAATGTATTCCCCACTATATTAGCCTCTGCAAACCTTTTTAAACCCCACATAATATGTCCATCATTCTGAAATAACTAAAATATTCCTCCAATTCTTGGCTTATTCCTGGAATGATCAGTTTCACTTTTGCATCAGGAACTATACGCATCCCTATTAGTCTTTCATTCCTGAGCTAATAACAAGCTTATGCTCATCTGTCTCATTAACGCCTCCCTACTTGCATATGTGGGGTAATAATTAGAAAGTTTCAAATGTGGCCAGGCACGGTGGCTCACACCTGTAATCCCAGCACATGGGAGGCAGAGGCAGGTGGATCACCTGAGGTCAGGAGTTCGAGACCAGCCTGGCCAACATGGTGAAACCCCGTCTCTACAAAGAATATTAAAAAATTAGCCAGGTGTGGTGGTATGCACCTGTAATCCCAGCTACTCGGGAGGCTGAGGCAGGAGAATTGCTTGCTCCGGAGGCGGAGATTGCAGTGAGCCAACATGGTGCCACTGCACTCCAGCCTGGGCAACAGAGACTCTGTCTCAAAACAAAACAAAACAAAACAAAAAACACCAAAAAAAGAAAAGAAAAGAAAAGAAAGTTTCAAATGCCTCTCCACATCCTCCAGTGCCACCATGCTTCTTTGTGAAGAGTCTATTTGATGAGAGACCAATCCACCTGGGGAAATAATGGTACTTTGTTGGAGTCATGAGGCTTAAATTGTGGGGGTCATATAATTGGAAATTAACACAAAATTGCCCCTCGCTTTGGCTGATGCAGTACAGACTCCAGAAGCAAAGCAAAGTAGCCTAAACCCACTGACCCATGTGGTTTTGAAAACCAGATCGCCTTAGATTTCCTGTTGGCAAGCCCAAAAGGGATGTTATTGCTGACATTTCCTGCCACAATACAGAGAAGATTAAAGAATTTATAGCATTCATAGCTAAACTAAAAGAAAAGATAACTTGGGTTTTGAAGGTGGATTAAGTTGGTTTTTGAGATAAGTTTCCATGTCTCAGGTTTGGGAAATCTTGGGGGTCATGGTTCTGCAGTGTCTTCTGGCCTCTTGCATAGCTGCTGTATCATCAAATGGTTCAATAAGATATTAGACAACAAAAGAAAAGTAAATTGTTTCTAATTTTCAGCTAAGCTAATTACCAAAACTTTCAGCTGAACCAACTATGAGGAACAGCTGTTGATTTTTATTTCTATAGCTCAAGGAAACTATGGATAAATTACCCAATGATAATCTTTCCTGCGTCCTAATAAAGGAGGCCCAAATGGAAGATGGTTAAGGGAAAAACCTATCTAACCTTGGAGCATGCGTACCTGGTTTCGTGTGAGCCAGAGCTCCCTAACATCAAAAATCCCATTCTAGATCTGATGGAGAATAATGTTATCAGTGTCATTGTTTTGAGGATGAATAAGAGCCTTTAAATTGACACACAGGTTATTCTTTAAATGGACACACAGGTTATTTTCTTATTTGGCATACAGCATATAGGAAAAGGAGGCGATGATATGAGAGTTCTGGCAAACAGGAAGAGGAAGTGGAAAGGCTACTCCTTTTGTCTCAGTTGAGTATGGGAAGGGGAAGAATAACAGAGTGGCCACATGTGTACATCATGGCATCTGCCTTACAGGCCAGAATCTCAGGGATAGGGTGGCTAAATAGGTTGAGGGGATGTTGGAAGCAAAGGGACTTCTGCCTGGCTTTCTTGTTGGGAATCTCAGAGCAGACCACTTCACAGAATATTCTCATACCTGCCTGGGGCAGCTAACTCAGGATAAAAATGGTATGCTTACGCTGAAAGGGAATCAGTACTTGAGGATCTCTCAGTTCCTGTGTGGCTGGAGAAGGACACAGGCATTACACATGGATACATGGCACCCTTCCTCCCACTCATGGTTCTGGAAGGTAGTTGGGTTGAGAACAGTGAACTTGCCATGGGTCTGCAACAGGGCTGCCATAGCAAAAGGCCAGGCAACCATACCTCAATGGCTATGAAGGGAGAAGAGAGATTAGCTTCACACTGTCCAACGGAAATACAATGCAAAACACAAATAGGTGACATTAATTTTAACAACATAGTGCATTTAACCCAACATGTCAGAAATATTATTTCAACATGTAATCAATAGTATTTTACACTTACAGCACATCTCAGTGTGCTCAGTAGCTTCATGGGGGAAGCACAGGTCTAGCTCTAGGGAGAATGGAGTCAGTGGAAGCCAAGTCAGTGTTGGCTCTGCTGGAGCTGAAAGGACAAGCCATCAGTGTTCCCACAATACCTCAGTGGAAATGGGCGCCACGGGTAAGTGGTTAGCTAGATGAGGCACCCCCAGGCCAGTGCCTCAGTGCCCCCCAACTCCTGCCATGCTTGCTTGGTAGTGTGGGAACACATGAGAAATACTAGTTGGGTTATAAAAAAATACTTAAATTTTCTTCACAAAAAATATCTAAGATGATTGAGATTAAGCATCTTTTAATATGTCTTTCATAGACCTTCTATTCTGTTTAAACACTTACCAATTCATACATGTCTATTCATCTATTTGCCAATTTTTCTATTGGATAATTTCACTTTTCCTCATGAATTAGCAGGAGTTAGTTTCATGTATTCTGAAGGTTCATGTATTCTGATTTTAATACTTTGCCTATTATTTATGTTGCAAGCATTGTCTTTTTACTGTGTTCATGAAATCTTTTTGTTTGGAAATTTGCTTAATGTTAGGGAGCCACACTTACTAACCTTTTTCTTTATGGCTTTTGCATTGGGCATCTTGTTTAAGACCTTCACACTTGCTAGCATATAAACATAACCACCTATATTTTCTCCTGATATTTTAAAAAGTTTGTTTTTCATTGTTAGCTGTTTAATAGATCTGAGATTTTTTTCTGTGAAAGATGTGAGGTAAAAGTCTAACTTTTCTATTATTTCCAATGGATAACAAATTGTTTCTTTGCCTTTTATGAAGCAGCCCATGCCTCCACTGATCTGAAATTTCACATTGAGCATGTGTAAATTCCCCTGTAGTCATGGCTTTGTTTCTATTAGTCTATTTGCCTACGCTTTAAAGTACATTATAATATCTGATAAAGTCCACAGTCACTGGTCTTTGTTTCAAAAATTTATTGGCTCTTTCTGTGAATTTTTCCCCAGGGAATTAACCAATTATCTTCTTCCTGTAGTGTCTGCACATTTATTGTTAGGTTATTTTATAGTTTTATATTCTTAAATGATATTTTTCAATTATATTTTCTAGTTAATCATTGCTGATATATTTAAAAATCTACTTTTTAACAATATTTTGCTTGAATATCTTGCTAAACGCTTATTAGTTCTAATGCCTTGTCAGTTAATTACCACAGTTTTTCTAGGTAGAGAATAATACATTCTATAAACCATGATAGTTTTGTTTTTTTCTTTTCAACTACTTATCTTTTATTTCCTTTTATTTTCTTGTCACAATGGCTTGGACCTCCAGGACAATGTTATATGATAGCTTGAGAATAGTTTTTTGTTTTTTGTTTTTTTTGTCTCTGAAAATGAATCAGAATGCTTTCAACATTAAATTGTAATATCCCAGTCCCCAGAATAGTGTCTAGAACATAGCTAAACTAATATTACTAAATATACGTTACTAAATGAATAAAGGTCCCCATTAAATACATTTTCCCACTGTAGGTTTTTTCTATTTTTCATTCATCATATTAAGGAATTTCCCTCCTACTCCTAGTTTTCTAAGAACTTTTATTTCTCATTATGAATGAGTGTTGGATTCTGTGGAATATTTTTCTCAGCATGAACTGAGATGATATAAATTGTGGTAAATTACATGAATGGATTTCCTGTTACTAAACCATTTTTGGATTTCTGGGATAAATTCTACTTGGTCATGATGTAATTTTAAAAATGCATCTCTATGCATGTGATTTGCTAATGCTTTAAAATCAATGTTCATAAGAGAGATGGGTCTATATTTTTCTTTTCTTGTGTTGTTTTACTGTGAATATATTTGTCTCCTAAAACGAGTTAATAGCTTTCTACATTTTTCTGTGATGTGAGATACATCCATTTCTTCACCATTTGGTAGAACTCACTTGTAAAGCTGTTTGACCTAGTGTCTTTTCTTCAGGGGTAGATATTTGACTTCTTTTTCAGTATATTCTATGATTATTTTTCTATTCAGGTTTTCTACTCCTTGTGGTAATTTTAATAACGTATGTTTTCCCCCAACTCATCCATTTCTCCTATTTTTTAAAGAAGTTGTATATAGCATTCTCTTATCTGTTTTTACTGCCTTAAATATCTGCAATTGTATTTCTTTCCTGGTTCCTAATAAGAGTTATGAGGGTTTTTTTGTTGTTTATTTGTTTTTTTAGAGACAGGGTCTTGCTCTTTTGCCTAGGCTAGATTGCAGTGGTGCAATCACAGCTCACTGCAGCCTCCAACTCCTGGGCTCAAGAGATCCTCCTGCTTCAGCCTCTTAGGTAGCTGGGGCGACAGGTACGTACCACTACACTCAGCTGATCGTTTTAGTTTTTTGTAGAGATGGGGTCTTGCTATGTTGTCTGGGCTGGTCTTGAACTCCTGGGCTCAAGCAATCCTCCCGCCTCGCCCTCCCAAAGTGGAGGGATTATAGATGTGAGCCACTATGCCTGGCTGATTCTTAATTGATGTTGCCCAGATTTGCTAAGTTACGGCAAAATTGCTGGTTATCTCCCACTATCCTTTTCCTTCTCCAGGAAGTAACGAAATCCCTAAGTTTTGGTTGTGAATGTGGCCAGCAAGAATGAGGCTGTATTTCCTAGCCTTATGTGCAGCTTGGTTGTGGCCACACAACTAAGTACTCACCAATGGGATATAACCATATGTGGCGTGTACAACTTCTAGGAAGTGTCCTTAAAAGGAAGGGGTGTACTCTTTTCCTGTCTCTTCCTCCTTTCTGCTGGCTGGAATGTGAGTATGACGGCTAAGGTTAGGGCAGAAAACTTGACCAAGACATAGAAGCTACATGCTACCTATGATGGAGTTACAGAATTGAAAGAGCATCCAGTTGCACACTATAAGGACAAATGTTTTTCTTCAGTTTAGAAATTCTCAGCCGCCATCTCTTCAAATATTGCTCTTTGGCCATTTTCATTCTTTCTCCATCTAGCATTTCTGTTAGATACAAGTTAGAACTTTTAAACCTTTAAACTTAGAACTTGTATCTATTAGATACAAGTTAGTTAGTTAGTTAGAACTTTTAAATCTTACTTTCCATGTCCCTTTATTTCGCTTTCATGTAGTCTAACTCTTTTGCTTTCAGTGCTACATTCTGGATGAATTTCTCAACATTAGTTACTTGTCAATATATAAGTTTTATGCCTGACTGTCAGTGTTTGGGGTGCTCAAGTGGAGAAGACTTCTAGATAAAAGAGTTTTAGATATTCTTGGAGCTCAATAATGGGCTTACCACTGGTATATAGCATTTACATTAACATTTCAGAGCTGAACTATAGAGTAGATTCCAAACAATGAATCAGTATAAGATTTCTTGGCAGTAACTGACTTGGGATGGTTATGTGGACTCTGTTTTCTTATGCAGGGCAATCAGATATAGGGCACATGTTCTGAATGTCCTTGTGCTGGACTTCCTATTCCAGTGCTGTGGAACGGGGGTTCTTTGTAAACCTTCCTCCTTCCACGTAGAGAAAAGGAATCCTATTCAATTTCTAATTTAAAATGGAAAATTACTCACCAAAGGAAACATCACCAAAGTGCAGAGCTGGAACATTAAAATGGAAGGTAGGTCCAATGACACAGCCTCTGGAAGGAGGAATACAAGGTGGGGGAGAGGGAGAGAATCCAGTGAATCAGAGTCACAATCAGGAAGTAGGGCAAGGATAAGTACAAAAACCATACCTTGACTTTATGTCAATTATAGTATCCAGGATTTAAAGAAATGATGACATGATGGTCTATCACAGTGGTTCTTAAAATTCTTTTTCATGATTCAAACCATGGGTTTTGACAAACAATGCTGTGGTTAACTTATTATCTTATTTCTACCAATGAATAGGTGAGAGGCAGAGCAGATGGATCACCAAACAAGGGCACAAAATGTTGTTATTTTGAATGAGACACATATCATGTAAAGTTATTAATGTGTCAAGAAATAAAAATTATAGGTCTAATCATGTAATACACATCAAAGACTATCATTGATACTAGTAATCCCTGTCCATGCTTTCATATAAACTGTTCCAATTCCACTCTTACCACTGTGACATTCCTACCACTGTGACATTCACTCACTGTGATGTTGGCCAGCCACTTTATCTCTATCAGCTTCTGTTTCTCTTCCTCGTGTATAAAAGAGAGGACTGGACTAGGTGACACTGAATGACTCTTTACTCTAAATGTTGGTCTATTTCTCTCTCAGTGTAAGGCTTTATGATCTTGGAGAGATGCTGTAGCTTAAAATAAATAATAGAGAGATTCTATGACTTCTAGCTTAGAAGGTATTGTAGGTAGAATAATGGCTCCCAGAGATATCTATGTCCTAATTCCCAGAACCTATGAATATATTAGGTTACATGGCAAAGAGGAATTAAGGTAGCAGATGGAATTAGGGTTGCTAATTAACTGAATTTAAGATGAGGAGATTATCCTGTCTTATCCTAGTAGGCCCACTGTAATCACAAGGGTGATTTTAAAAATAGAGGAAAGAGACAGAAGAGGAGGTCAGAGTGCTGCAATCTGAGAACTCAACCTGGCTTTGAACACAGAAGAAGGAAACTTTGAACACAGAAGAAGGAATCCAGGAATGTGAGCAGCCTCAGAAAGCCAAAAAAGGTTAGGAAATGGGTTCCCCTCTAGAGCCTTCAGAAGGAAACACAGCCCTGCCAACACTGATTTTAGCCTAGCTAGACCTGCATTAAGTCTATAAAACTGTAAAATATTAAGTATGTGTTGTTTGAAGCTACTAAATTTGTGATAATTTGTTACAACAGCAAAAGAAAACTATTCGGTTATCTTGTTTACCTTCAGAGCAATAATATTTTTCTCCATGATCCATGTAAAGACATGGATTGGTACCTTAGTGATACTTCCGGTTGCTTCAGCTCTGACTATAATGTGATGAGAGGTTGTTGTAAGCCTGGGAGGAATGGCCACAGCAAAGACTCACTGCAACAAGTTTCAGGTCTAACTTTCTCATGAGCATTTATTATATCTCATGCTAACGATCTGAAGTGATTTTAAAGGGAGTGGTTGGGACTCAGCCAGGAATTGGGATCCAGTTGAGAATGAAGTCAACAAACAGGCCGACAGGCTATATGCTTCACTTGAAAAAAAGCTTTTAGGGACCAAAGTAACAAATAGATCAAAAGTGTCTGACATGCGCAAGATGCTAAAGAAAGTAGGAAAGAAGTTTAAAAAATTTACACAAAGCAGACATTTAATCAATGCAGAAGTTTAAACAACCAGAGATACATGACACTTGTTCAAAGGCACATGTAACTGAGGGAATTGTGGCTGAACCATCCCATCTGGACTTAGATATGGTCACATTAATTCTCACAGGGATTCAGAATGTTAGGACAATCTATGCCAAGGCTGTGTCATAAATCAGTGCAGGGGTCTGTTAAAACTATAATTTGAAAGACAAGAGAGAGAATGATTCAATTATTACAATACGTAAGTGAGACAAGTTGAATACAAAATGTATCTGTGCTATGGTTCAAACTTTATAAAATCACATACATAAAAATAGGAGGG
The DNA here is from genome assembly GCF_000001405.40 of Homo sapiens. Lineage (NCBI taxonomy): Eukaryota > Metazoa > Chordata > Mammalia > Primates > Hominidae > Homo > Homo sapiens. Next base: position 146,629,055 of record NC_000001.11, on the reverse strand, counting down.
AAGAAAATTGCTTGTGGGTAATTTAAAAAATCACACTAATTTTAGTGTTGTTTATCCAACCACTGAAAATATTGTGTTATATAACTGGAAGAGTAAACAGAAAGAGTGAAAGTATAATATTTGTTATGATCTTTCAAGGCACATTAGCTAAAATACTAGCTTATGCAGTACTGAGAAATGAGTACCTGGCAATAAAAAAGTAAGAAACAAAATTCCAGAACCTACGATATTAACTTTATAGACATTTCCTGGGCTATGAGGCCCAAGAAAGTATTTCTGACAAAGTAAAATAACAAGTCAAGTCAGTGTTAATGTGTGGAGCTGAGAACAGATGATGTATTATACATGCATTTTTGCCCTTTATGAGTAGACATTTATTCATGACACTAGATTTTTAACAGGTTTTCAAAATTATTGTTAGTGGTTTGAAATGCTACAAACCACTAACAATTCAACACTATTGGACAAATGAAACACTGAGCTTTAAAGGAAGTGAACTGAGGAGGAAATTTATGTAAGTCTATTTCTCTTAGCAATTGATCATGAGTTTGGTGATAAATCCCCATAAAGATTCTTTCCATAGTCAGGTTTGTTGAAGGAAACTAGAAATGAACATCCAAAATCAAGAAGTGGCATGTGAATTTTGGTAAATGGAAATGTCCAGAAGATAGAACAAGAGGCTTACCCTGCACAGAGCAGGTGGAGTACTAACTAGTCCAAGTTCACTTGTGAGCAGATTCCTGGGAGATCCCTAAATCCTATTATTCCCAATGGAAAACCCAAGTACACCTTAACCTATTTAGACATTGCAAGTGACATGCATGACTACTCTGGGATCTTTAGGAGAACAGATCAGAGATTTAAAAAATTCACCCAGGAAATTACAGAAGTATTATTCACTATTACAGCCTCCTGGAATTTTTTTTTAAATGACAGCTTCATTGAGATATAATTCACACATCATACAATTCACACATTTAAAGTGTACAAATCAATGTTTTTTGTATATTCACAAATATATGCAACCATCACTACAGTCAATTTGAGAACGTTTTTATCACCTCAAAAAGAAACCTCATGCCCTTTAGCTGTCACCCACTATCCTGCACCCTCCAGCCCTAAGCAACCACTAATCTACCTCAGATCTATATAGATTTGCCTACTTTAACCATTTCATATAAATGGAATCATGTAATGTGGTCTTTCGTGACCGGGTTCTTTCATAATGTTTTCAAGGTTCATAATGGATGAACCTTATTTTCAAGGTTTATAATGGTGTCATTATGGCTGAACCTTGAAATCATTATGACAAGTGAAAGAAGCTAGTCACAAAAGACCGTGGTAGCAAGGTTCATTCATGCTACCATGTTGTAGCATCTATCAGTGCTTCATTTTTTTTCATTCCTTTTTATGGTCAAATAGTATTCCATTGTATAGATATAACACATTTCATTTATCTTTGGCTACTATGAATGATACTGTTATAAACATTCATGTACAAGTTTTTGTGTGGATATATGCTTTCATTCCTCTTGGGTATATACCTAGGAGTGGAATTGCTGGTCATATGGTAACTCAGTGTTTACATGTTTGAGGTGCTGATAAATCATTTTCTAAAGTGGCTGCCATGTCTTACATTCCTAATTACCAGTGTATGGGAGTTCTCATTCCTCCACCTTTTCACCAATACTTACAGTAGTTCCTTATCTGTAGTTTTGATTTTCTGTTGTTTCAGTTACTTATGGTCAACACGGTCCAAAAATATTAAATAAAAAATTTCCAGAAACAAATCAGTCAGAAATTGTTAAGTGCACTTTGCGTAGTGTGATGAAGTCTTGTGTCATCCACTCTCTGTCCAGCCGAGGTCATGAGTCACCCTTTTGTCCAGTGTATCGATGCTGCATATGCTACCCGCTCTTTAGTCACTTAGTAGCTGTCTTGGTTATCAGATCAACTGCCACAGTATTGCAGTGCTTGTGTCTGAGTAACCCTAATTTTACTTTTGCGCTTTGGGGCCTAAAAATGCAGATAAAGGGAAACTACTGTATTTTCCATTTTAAGATTATAGCCATCCAAGTGAGTGTGAAGTAGTATCTCATTGTGGGGTTTTGATTTACATCTCCCTGAGGATTAATGATATTGACAGTCTTTTCATGTGTTATTGGCCTCTTGTATATCTTCTTTGAGAAATGTCTGCTTAAACGCTTTGTCCATTTTTAAATTGAATTATTTATTGAGTTATAATTGTCCAATAATTTATTGTCCCTTATCAGATATATGAGTTGCACATACTTTCTCCCATTGTGAAGGTTGTCTTTTCACTTTCTTGACAGTATCCCCTTTCAAGCACAAACTTTTTTACATTCTGATGAAGTCTAATTTATTTATTTTTTCTTTGGTTGCTTGTGCTTAGATGCTGATTATCTGAAAACTATTGCTTATTTGGTTTTTGGATATGGATATTTAACCCTATTTTTTTTGTTTGTTTGTTTTTGAGACAGAGTCTCACTCTGTCACCCAGGCTGCAGTGCAGTGGCACAATCTCCGCTCACTGCAATCTCCACCTCCTGGGTTCAAGTGATTCTCCTGCCTCAGCCTCTCAAGTAGCTGGAATTACAGGCATGCATCACCATGCCCAGTTAATTTTTTTGTATTTTTAGTAGAGACAGGGTTTCACCATGTTGGCCAGGCTGGTCTCGAACTCCTGGCCTCAGGTAATCTGCCTGCCTCAGCCTCCCAAAGTGCTGAGATTACAGGCATGAGCCACCACACCGGGCCTATCCATATGTTGTCTTCTAACAGTTTTATAGTTTCAGCCCTTACATTTCAGTCTTTGATCCATGTAGAGGCAGTTCCCTTCTACTCCTAGTTTGTTACTTTTTTTTTTTAATCATAAAAGGGTGCTAAATTTTGGCAAATGCTTTTTCTGTGTTTACTGAAATAATCATGTGGTTTTTGTCCTTTATTCTATTAATATGTTGTATTACATTGATTGATTTTCTTATGTTAAGCCAACCTTTCATCATTCAGGATAAATCCCACTTCGTCATGGGGTATAATCCTTTCCACATGTTGCTGGATTTGGTTTGCTAGTATTTTGTCAAAGATTTTTGGGTCTAAATCCATAAAGGTTATGGGTTTTTAGCTTTCTTTTCTTGTAATGTTTTCATTTGGTTTTGGTATCAGGGTAATACTGGCCTCATAAAATGAGTTGAAAAGTGTTCCCACCTTCTTATTTTTTGGAAGAGTTTGTGAAAGATTTATGACAATTCTTCATTAAACATTCAGTAGAATTTACCAGTGAAGCCACTTGATCTTGTTTTTTGTTTGTTTGTTTTTTGGTTGGAATATATTACAGGTCTATTCAGATTTTCTATTTCTTCTTGAGTCAGTTTTGGTAGTTCGTGTCTTTCTAGGAATTTGTTCATATCATCTACATTATCTAATTTTTGGCATACAATTGTTCATAGCATTATCCACTAATCCTTTTAATTTCTGTAAGGTTGGTAGTAATGTCCTTTCTTTTATTCCTGTTGGGTAGAGTGTGCTGTAGATGTCTGTTAGGTCTAGGTGGTTTATAGTGTTCAACTCTTCTATTTCCTTTGTGATCTTCTGCTTAGTTTTTTATTATTGAAAGTGGGGTATTGACATCCCTTACTATTTTGCTGAATTGTCTATTTCTCCCTTCAATTCTATCTTTCTGCACTTCACAGATTTTGGTGCTCTGTTATTAGATGTGTGTTTATAATTGCCATATCTTTTTGATGAACTCACTATCTTATCATTGTAAAATGCCCTTCTTTGTCTTGAGTAACAATTTTTATTTTAAAGTCTATTTTGTCTGATATAACATAGACTCTCCAGCTTTCTTTTGGTACTGCTTGCATGGTGTATATATTTCCATCCTTTTGGTTTCAACCTATTCATATCTTTAAATCTAAAGTGTGGTATCTTGTAAAAAGCATATAGATACAAGATAGATATCTTGTAAAAAGCAAAAAGATATAGATTTTTGGCGGGGTTGTTTGTTTTGTTCTAATCCATTCTGCCATTCTCTAACTTTTAATTGAAGTATTTAATACATTGACATTTAATGTAATTGTTGATAGGGCAGGACTCATGCTACTTATTTTCTATATGTCTCATATCTTTTCTGTTCCTCTATTCCTCCATTACTGCCTTTCTTTGTGTTAAATGGATATTTTCTACCCTTTTGAATTCCTTTGTTATTTCTTTTACTGTATTTTTAAGTTTCTTTAGGGAATAGTTTAAAGAATGGGCAATCCTGAATTTGGGTAAATAATTCAGAGTCAAAAATGAGGGCAGTAGTATTCATGCATCAGGAATGTCTAACAAACCCAAATACATGAGTTCTTGCACCTAATATACAACCTTGCTTGAAGGAGGTACTCAATAAGAGTTTATTTAACAAATATCCAAAATACATATTTATTCCTAAAAGGGGTAGCTATGTATGTTGATGGTAAGACACAGTATTATTAGGCCTGAACTTAAAATGGGGAATGGCCAGGTGAAATTGGGATGGGCTTTCTTATTAAACTTGAGGGGCAGTTAGCCTTCCTTGGCTAGCACTTTCCCTTTCTTTCATCTACCTGAAAAGTAAAACTGCTCCTTTAATATCCTATACTTTCCTTCCTACAGATAGGGCCATTATTCCTTCTATCTTAAATGTTTTTAGAGCAGAGCTTAAAGGTTTTATCTTTGCTGCTTATGTATGAAGGCTTGCTTATGATACTGGATGTTGTCAAGGGTGCTTATGACTCAGAGCAATACTTCCTGATGCCCAGTAGTCAGCTTCCAAGAGTTGATCTGCTGGATCATATCAAAGGCCCTCATGGGACTAGAGGATCCGTGAATTGGAGACAAGGTTATATTCACAAGTTTGTTCTTCCTACTTCTTCAGAGAACCACCCTTCACTGCTTGTCATGAGAGATGAGATGTTATGAAGGTAGGAAGTGGGCTGAAGTTCATATAAATGAAAGTGTATTCCCACCCTTCTCATGTTGTATACATACCCAAAGGATGTTAACCATGGGCTGGGATAAGCACGGCACATATTCGTGAAGAGTCAATGTTATTCAAATATTTGGAAAACAACCCTCATTTTTCTCTTATAACAAACACACATGTATTATGGAAGAGAACGTAAATGTCTTGTGAATGTTTCAGATAAGTCTTGAGACTTAAAAATAAAAAAGATTATGATTGTGACAGGTTGCTTTGGTCATGCCACAGAACCCTTGAGGCACACACGTTCACTCTCCTTAGTTGTTGGGGGTTGTATGACTTTGCTAGGGCTGCCATAACAAAGTACCCTAGACTGGGTGGCTTAAACAACATAAGTTTATTTCTGTTGCTGTCAGACGGGTTGGTGATTGCAGGGTTATTTTTTTCTGAGGGTCTCTCGCTTCAGCTTCTCTTTATTTTTTCACATGGCCCTTTTCTATGTGTATGTCTGTGTCCTAATGTCCTCTCCTTATAAGGACACCAATCATATTGGATTAAAGCCCACCCATCTGACCTCATTTTGCCTTAATTACCTCTTTAAAGGCCCTATGTCCAAGAAGAGTTACATTCCGAGGTACTGGGTGTTAGGACTTCAACATATAAATTCTGCGGGAAACAATTCAGTGCATAACAGGGACACTGAGGTGGAAGAGTTGAGAATAAATAGTAATCACCTTTCAGCTAATCTTGAGATTCTGAATGTATAGTATATATCATGAGATCAGTACATTTTCCTTGGATCCTTCAGGTCATATGTCTCTATCTCTTTTCTATGTTATCCCCAGGGCTTGCCCCAAGGGAGACCTCAGCTTGTAGATGGAGGGAGGTCTTGCTAGCAGTTACCAGAATAAGAGAAACTGCCATGGTAATTAACAACCTGCTGCTGTGGGAATCCAAACAGAGTCAGAGCAATGTGTTTACAATGCTTGGAGACATAATAGTGAGATCATGTAAGTAATTTCCTTAAAATAAGAACAAAAGACAAAAGTTTAGAGAAACTGTGATAATGGCCAAAGCTTAGCCCAGATGATTTTATTCAGGTGTTACTGTAATAACTTATTTTCTCTAAACATCCTAAGACATAGAGAGTAACTAGAAGCTAGTTTAATGTCTAAATCCTTATTTTATAAGACTATAACTTGTAGAAAAACTAGATCTCCAAACAGCATCTGTATCTATAATAACTTATACATGTTCACTAGGGAAACACTGATGGAAATTTAACACACTCTATTATGCTGATGTGTTCATATCAACAAAGATAGTCATCAGCATCCAAGACAGGATCTACTTAAAAAGCTAAAAAGGCAACAGGTTAAAACTTCTGTTAGTTTCTACATTCATTATAAATGTACCTTACCTAATGGTCAGTTTCACAGGCTCAGGTGACCCATTGACATTGACCAGGAACTCTTCTTCAAAGTTTCCCAGGATGGTAGAGCTGAAGGAGATCTGGATAGCTTGGACTCCACTTGGTTCAATGATGCCTTCCTTGGGACTGAAAACAAAGCAGGCCCCCAAAGCTGAAGTTGGAGGGGTCATGTTGAAGAGAGCATCGATGCTGTCTTTGTTGTACAGTATCGCCTATATCAATAAAAGGCAAGAATGTGAAGGTCAATGGGCCTCTGACCTATTTTCATATAAGCATGTGTCTGTACTGTTTAACAGCAACAAAGGGAAAGTTGCAGAATTAGAACCAAAGAAGAACACTCAGGGACAAATGAACAGTCTGATGCCTTGAGTGTTTGAAGATAGAACTCCCAAGCCAGAAAGTAATTTTATATTTTTAGTCTCCTCTTTAACATGAAATTAGTCATATATATTATGCTCGTGCTATAAAGACTGATCATAATCACATATACTGATGAAGAGCCTTAAAATACTCCCTTTTTTGCTACTCTCTATAAAGTAACCAAGGGAAAGTAAGTATTTCTCTTATACGCATGAGAAGGCTGAGGTTAAGCAGCATACTTAAAAATAAAAAGCAAGTTAGAATAGCAGAGTGAGAATTACCTAAACCTATGTTTATAATGTAGCTTGAAGAATGTAAATGAGACATCACTGTGGATCCCAGATGACAAGGGTTCTCTTTGTTGTGCTATCAGATTTCATCCTATTGAGATATTTTCATCTCAGATTCTACTGGATGGATGATTGTTTTGAGATTCTTATGCAAGCAACTGTTTTACTATAGAAAAGTTGTACTCCTATATTCTAGTGTTGTGGAAGCATGTTATTGCCCATATGTGGTTGCACACTGGGTTTAGTGTGTGCATGTAAAGAGCTCATGCCTGAGCTCCTTCATGCACACTCGTGACATTAGGCGTCCTATAAGGCAGGCCTCAGTCTACTGTCCCTACAATTCTTGTGCATGAACCTTCACTACAGCCATGTTGTTCTATCCTGGCTTCCAAAGACACCACCTCTGATCCTTGCCAATGCTGTCCTTACACCTAGAGGGTGAACAGCATGTTTTCCTGATTTATATAGGAACCACCCTCAACCTACACATAAGGCTTTGGAGGACAAAGAGCATGAGAGATCTCAAAGAAACTTTCAGAAGGTTAGCAGGCAAATGTGACGTGTGTCAGGAACGCGGAAGCTGAGGGAGGAGGATTCCCGGAAGAAGTCAGATGCAGACAGAGGTCAGGAGAGTAAGTTTGGAGCAAAGGTTACAGACATTATTTTTAGTTAGAGATTATTGTCATCCCTGACCTTGAGGAAGAGAGTAATTCTAGTGGGGCATGACTGCAGAATCCAGAGGACAAATATTTAGGGAATTGAGTGGGTGTACAGGAAATAGTGGCTATTTTAGATTCCTGTTTTGAGAAGATGAGTGGTGAAAGGTGAGAATGGGAGTGGCAAGACTGTGGGGAGGTACTGTGGAGGAGACAGCATATTTATAATAAATGAGATAATGCATATTCAGTGCTCAGCCTAGAGGAAACACTCACCCAAGTGCTGCCTGTTGTTGTTGTAAGAGAAGAGAGCTTGGTAACTAAGGGAATGGGGTCTGAGTGGAGGCAGAGGAGGATGAGTTCAGGGGCTCAGGTTGCAGGGAAGAGGGCATCCAGAATATATGATGGAGAGAAAGAGTCGGCAGCAGAGGCAGAGCAGAGGAAGACAGCCTCTTCTGCCAAGAGAAGACGGACAATGCACCAAAATAGAAGCATAAATAATTGCTGCTTGCTATTTTATTCATCTTTTTATGTTTCTTTCGCATCTCCCTCATTCTAAGGTCCCTGGTAGCAGGAACCAGGCTTCACCCTTCATTGCGTTTAAAGAGACCATGTAGAAAAGTGATTATGGCCAGCGACTCTGAAGCCAAACTGCCTGGGTTCAAATCTCAGCTTTGCCATTGACTTACTAGCTCTGTAACCTTGGACAATCTACTTAGTTTCTCTGTGCTCCAGTTTCCCCATGTGTAAAATGTAAGTACTACTAACTTCTCATATTGCTGTAAAATTAAATTTATTAATTTATGTAATTTTTAGAATAGTGCTTGGCAAATAGTGCTTAAAAATGACAGAGACTGTTGTTATGTTTTCGTTTGTTTGTTTGTTTTTTGTTTTTTAAGAGACAGGATCTGGCTCTGTTGTCCAGGCTGGAGTGCAGTGGCGCCATCATAGCTCACTGTACCCTTGAACTCCTAAGCTCAAGTGATCGTCCTGCCTCTGCCTTCTGAGTAGCTGGGGCTATAGGTATGTGCCACCACACCCAACTAATTTTTGTGGGTTTTTTTTTGTAGAGATGGGGTCTTTCTGTATTGCCCAGGCTGGTCTTGAACTCCTGGGCTCAAGTGATCCTTCCACCTCAGCCTCCCAAAGCACTGGAATTACAGACATGAGCCACCACACGTAGTCAGTGACTGCTATTTATATCCCCAGTGCCTAATAGAATGGGTTTAAATTTTACCTGTGCTTAAGAAGTGACTAGTACGTACTAGTGGTAACATGAAGGCAAATTGAAGGCATTAGTGGTAACTTGGAGGACCCTGTTCTTCTCTTTCAGAAGATGCATGGATTGCCTTTTAGTTTTTTTGGTTAGCAGAAATGTTTTGCCCATATTTTCTGTATGGTGAGAATTCCTCCATTTTTAAGAATATGACATCATTCTTCTCCTCCTGAGAAATAAGCACCTACTTACGAATACAGAAACCAGCAATAGTTTTGGGACACAATTCAGAGGCCTTTTGATTACCGATAATACTCTTTCCCTTGAGGTCTAGCTCCTTGGAGAGAAGAAAATTTATAATCAAACTTTGCCTCTCATTTGTTTTCCTTCTTAATTACACTGGGGAATAGGGTATACTCTTGGGGTTAATGGTTTATTCTTTATGTATCTGCTATGTTCAGCAATGACTAAGGGCAATAGCTAGTTATTCAAATTTGTCTCAAGTAGGTAATGCAATAAATTGAAAGAGAGATGCAATGAAGCATCAGCATTAAATACGCAGACAGTGCAAAATATTCCCATAAGAAGCACCTTACCGTGTCCTTCTCTGCCACTGCACAGCTCTCCAAACTGTCCAATCTGATGCATCACCTCATTGAACACTTATTTAACTGGCTGTGGTTTGCTTTACTATTAAAATTAGGGAGGGTGGGAAGTGGTGGCCTCAAGTACACTTCTGCTAAATTTACATTCAGGGAAACCCTATCCATTTTGCATCAGAACTAAAGCTTCTTTTCTGATGTGGCACTCATAAGTTCAGTCTGTAAGATACAGGAAATTCACACTGGATGAATTACAGACAGAATATCAGTTTAATGAGAACTACTGGACTTTTTTTCCTTCTCCCCAAGTGACCTCTCAAATGCAATCCAGGACAGTGTGGGATATAGCTGTGTCACTTGTCATTTCACGACAGCCATGCGACTGACTTCTTCATTTACACAGGGTTCCTATGCATAGTCCATCTCACTGTGACATTACCATCTCTGTTTACCTTCTGCATCATCCCATTTAGGCCACAGTTACTTTGTGAATGTGGGGGATGCAGGGTACTGTCCCCACACCAGGTTAGGCTGGGCTAAGAGCCAAGTGGTTTGGAGGCTGGGTTTACCCGAGGTGAGAGGTTGGGATGCTGAGAACCTGAAGGGTTGAGAGGCCAGCAAAGGCCTTCTTTTCCCAGAACAGGAGAGAGAGCCCTAGTCCCCCAGGACTCACTAACATTACATGCTGCAGGACCCTGCCAAGTTACTTAACTACCCTGGCATTCAGGTTTGCCGTTCCTTGAATGCACTTCCTCTTTTACTGTGCATACAGCTAATGGAATATGAATGTAAGTGAAATGTGCTACCATCTATAAAAATATCATATACGTTCCCCCATGCCCTTTCCCCTTCCACAATCTTGTAGACCACGTGGTAGGGGTGGCCAAGCATGAGACATTCCAGCTTCTCTGCTGGAAGAGAGCACCTGCTCACTAGAAACCTTTGTTTTGGACTTTATGTAAGGTGTAAAAGAAACTTCTAGCATATTTGAGACATTATGTATTTTTGTGTTTGTTTGTTACAATATCTAGCACTACCTTAACTTCTCTAAGACTCAGTTTACCCAGCTATGAAATGGAAATAGTTAATCGTACCTCACAAATAGTTCTCACAAATAGGTTTTTATTGTTTTGGGGTGGTTTTTGTTTTTTGTTTTTTGTTTTTTTTGAGACAGAGTCTCACTCTGTTGCCCAGGCTGGAGTGCAGTGGCGCGATCTTGGCTCACTGTAACCTCCACCTCCTGAGTTCAAGTGATTCTCCTGCTTCAGTCTTCCAAGTAGTTGGGATTACAGGTGCCTGCCAACATGCCCTGGTAATTTTTGTATTTTTAGTAGTGATTGAATTTCACCATATTGGCCAGGCTGGTCTTGAACTCCTGACCTCAAGTGATCCACTGCCTTGGCCTCCCAAAGTGCTAGGATACAAATTGGGTTTTTGTGAGGACTAAATGAACGAGTGAAGGTCAAAGCACTAGCACTGTGCTCAACACACATTAAGGGAGATGTGTATGATATTAACTACTACACGATCCACATTTCTCATATGCAAAATAGATGTAATAAAGCCTAACTTTCACAATTTGGTAAGGATTAGAAATCACACACACACACACACACACATAGACATGCACACACAATAAAGTATGAATCTGAATCTGGCACCTATTTGTCACTCATTAAATAATTGTTTAAAATACCTCTATAAAAATACAAACATATACAATGAAGGAACTTTCCCAAAATGAAGTTTCAAGGGTTATAGTCTGACGTAATGTAAAAAATGTGCCCTAGATACAAATTTAGTGATGGGGAGACACTGAAGTAACACTGATCCTGAATAACTCATGCATACATCCTGTAAAATTTCATTTTCTAATTAATTGGAAAGATGAAGCAGGAAAGTCTCTTCCAGAAACTGATTGGTTTTTAAAACATGGATTGGAGACTAGTGCATTAAGAGAAAATTCTGAAATGTGAAAACAGCTATGCTCATTAGGACGTTCTAGAAAATGTAAAAGGTTATCTATCCTCTGATCTGTGGAATTTATGTTGTCAGAGAACAAGCACTAAACAGATGGGGAGATGTATTTATGAGTTTTCCCTTTGCAATCTACAAAACAATGAGGATAAAACCAGTGAAACTATGGCTTTGATGCTTTTTAGCTTTCACTAAAGTGAAGGAGGGCTAATGAAGATAAAAAAGTTGTTCCCCTCATGATGGCCAGGCAGGAGGAGGAAGAATCTGAGCACTCCAGGGTCTCAACAAGGATGAGTAACGGCGAATAAATGTGATTGCATACTCTTTCCATCAAATAAAAACATATAAAACAAACCCCAAAAGCCAAGTACTGTTTGAAGTATCAATGAACAACTCTAGTGCTTACCTCATAACAATGTGCAGATCCAGTGAAAACTTTCCCAATATCCAGCAATTCAAAGTTGAAGTGAATCTTAGGTCCCATGCCTTCCCCTTTGATTCGGAGGGGCAGACGGATTTCTCGGCCTAGAAAAACAGTTCAGACTTTATCATCCAAATGGTGCTTCATTTACCCCAAATCATGTTCCCTCATGTACGTTACCAATATAAATAATCAAAATTATTAAATAGCTCCCTGCATTGCACCGAGGGAACTGCAATTTAACTAACGCTGAAGATTCATCCTATATGGGAGCCAATCATAATCCTGAATGCCAAAATCCTGACTGCCGAAATTGTGAAAGACCAAAATCCCAAAGATATAATTCTGGAAAAACAAAAGACATTCTTTACAATATATTTATTTACATTTTAAAGAGGGATTTACTTGAGAAACATATAAAAACACAACAGAACACTTCAAAGGCCACTTTATGCAATAAAATAGGCAATAATAGAATGCATATTTTTGCAAGCATAAACACAGGTAGACTAACAACAGTCACATGGGTATAATAGTTATGAGCATACAAGCTGTATTTATAAAGGAATAGGTGAAAAAGGGCAAAGTACAAATGCATGTCATTATGGTTGGTAACTGCAGACACCCAGCTTTATAACTGTGATCACCTGAAATACCATATGAACAACTTAAGTCTTTTGAGAAGATAGATCAAAAACCATGATGGGTCACCCCCACTTAGGCAGTTTCCCAAAGAGCTGAGATCTCCAGAAATTTTATCTCTCACAAATTCAGATCTACAAAAAGACTATCTCTTCATGTATTGAGGAAGTGTCGGCATTTTTACGTACACACACAATGCTTACACACGAAGGCAACGTCGTGATAATGCACTTGCATGGAGTCAAATTTCTATGTCCAAGGCAGCAGAGGAAAAGTCTGTCCCAGCTCTCAGAGACAAACCAATGTGCCTTCTGTATTTGTTCTCTCCCAAGTCCCTGGCTGGTTGGATGGGGCCTGTCAGCATTGAGGGCAGATTTTCCCCATCAAGTCCACTCAGACTTACACACAAATCTCCTCTGGAAACACTCACAGATATACCCAAAATTATGCTTTACCAGGTTTCCACCAGTTTTTACTGGTCAAGTTGACATCTAAAATGAAGTCCACAAGCCCATCCCTTGTCAACCTGGCACCCATGTGTTAAACCATACTAAATTTCCCAGTAAAGACAAGGTAATAGTTCCACCTAACATGGTACAATCAGCATAATGCAACTATCCTGTGTGCAGCTGAAAACACACTAATCGCTTCCCTAGACTTTGGTTTTCAGGATTTCAACATTTGGGATTTTAATCTTTCAGGACTGTGATTTTTGGGATTTTAGACACCAGGGATGTTAGACTTTAGGGATTTTGATCCTTAGGGGTTTTGATCTTTCAGGAACTCAAGATTCGGGATTATGGCATTTTAAATTGTGTCTTTTGGTATTGTGATCCAAATGTTTTAAGAAAATAAGAATATTGCTAGTTTCTTATCTTTAGGGAGCAGACTGTATTGCAATTTACATTTTAGCAGGAAAAAAATTAAAAATTTTAACCCAATTCTTAACATTATTCCAAAGTTTCTTACAAAGAAAAGTAATTCTAAATCAGAGAAGGGTGACCATTGATTGATGCTTCTCATAAAATGAGAGCCAACCTGGGGCTCCAAGGGACATTATTCACATTGATCTTCCTTAGATTTAGGAAGATCCAGAATATTAGGGATCTGAGTCTAGGGATCTTACCCGATGCTTACTTTTGCTGAATTTCTTCCATGTAGAGATAATGAAATGCACTTAACAATATCCGTTATAACAATTCTACAATGAACTCACGGTCAATACAGAGCACACAACCTTTGAAGTACTGACTGGTTTTGTTCCCCCTTTTTAAAATGAAACTATCTTTGTTCGATAATACGTGATCATTACAAAATTTAAAGAGAATATGAATAAAATTATCTTATAATTGCATCATCCAAAGATAACTACTGTTAACATTTTGGTGCCTATCCTTTTATATTTAATTGTATCACAATACTGCTAATGCAAATGGGAATGTATACTATGTTATTTTGCAACCTGCTTTTTTTCATTTAATAATACCTTTGGAACATTTTAACATATCATTAACATATCATACCTAAAGATCTCCCTTATTCTTCTTAATGGTTATATGGTCCACTGTTGGGAGGCAAATATGTTTAAAACTCTTATTGGACATTTAAGTGGCTTCCAACCTTTCATTACAATTTGTAGTGTAATTACTATCATCGAACATGTATCCGTGAACAATTTTTCCATATTTTCTTCCAGCACTTTGAAGATATTATAGCTTTCCACTGTTTCTGTTGAGAAGTCAGCTCATACTCTTATTGCTCAATTGAAACAATCTATCTTGTCTTCTGATAGATTTAATTTTTATGCACACATATTTATTTATTTTTGTCTTTAGCTTTCAGTGATTTTACTATAATGTTCCTAGGCATGGTTGCATTTATCCTTTAAGGGGCTTGTAGCACTTATTGAATATGTGAATAATTGTCTTTCATCAATTCTGAAAAATTTTGAGTCATTATCTTTTCAAATATTGTTTCTTCTCCACTTTTCACCTCTCTGTCTTTTGTGTGTGTGTGTGTGTGTTCTTTTTCTATATTTTGTCTCTGCATGCTTCAGTATTTTCAGATATTTTATTTGATTTATCTAATTTCCACTTTACAAAATCTCTCTGGCTATACCTAACAAGCGGTTAAATTCATCCACTGAGTTTTTAATTTGTTATTATAACTTCTTAGTTCTAGACTTTTCATTAGAATGTTTCTAGTTTTCAGATCTCTGCTTAATTTTGATAAAAACATTTTTAAAATCTGTGTCTGATAATTCTATGATCTGGTTCTCCTGGGTTTGTTTCTATTGTTTACTCTGGTTTTCTATCAGATTGTCTTACCTCCTCATGTGCTTGGTCATTTTTTGATTGAGTGCTGATCAGTATATATAAAAGTTATAGACATAATTTAAAGCCACAAGAAGATAACTCCCTCCGGCTTCTAGCTGGCGACTGGGGGGCATTAGTAATCCCAGACAACCTAATTTAGCTGTTCTCAGCTAAGGTTTTGTGAGAGAATTAAGCCCTGCAGCAAATCATTTGAGTGATTATTTTCTCAACTCTCCCAAGAAGGGTAGGTAGCTAGCATCATCCTAGGTACAACAGAGATAAATTAATTCCTCATAAACAATAGACACCTTAGAACGCTAGGGATTAATTATCTTCTGGATCTCCAGTGGAAAACTGTTTGAAATTAAACCAATAACAACAATGATTCAAAGCTGAACTTCAGTCTCTTTGAGGACTGGCCCATTTCTAATTCACTGGGTCCTACTCTAAAGTCTGGGGGATTAGATTACTAGGGCCTTTCCTCCTGGGACATACCATGGACTTTTGTTTTCTTCTTTAACCTTACTTATCTTTTTGGCCTCTCTGCAGTTTTTACCAAAAAGGCAGTGTCTTTAAGGATAAAGTGGCCCCCAAAGTCTGACGGTCTTGATTTCCTTCTCTTGGATCTTGGCCCCATGTTCCAGTAGTTCTCTCTTGCCTTAAAAAACAGACTCTAAAAAATATTTTGCCTTGCTTTCCTAGGTGTTCTTAGAGAGAAAGAGTTAATTCAAATTACCCAGCTTATCATTTATGAAACATTTCCAGAACAAAGGGATGCACATTTGACATTGTGACAGCTATAGCCATACTGCTCTCAAGAATGGTTGTGCTAATTCCACACAAACATCTGTAGTATTTACGGGTTCTTTCTCTCCACATTCTCCCCAGCAGTGGGGATATCACCACTTTGAAAATCTTTGATAGTTCAATGGTTTTCCTTAAATGTATACCATATAATTTCAAGTTCTCTAAGGAAAGAGGATATATTTGCTCTGTATGGACATTTTGAATGTTCAAAATACTTTTGATGCTTCGTTGATGTAGTTTTCAGTATTACAGAAAATATGCTTAGAACAGCCAAGTGATATTTCTAATTCATTATCATCATTTTAACACCTTGTGACATTTTATGTTCCACTGTCTTCTGTTGCTGTTTAGCTTTTGTATCTTTAATGCTTTTTTCCCCATGAATGTCCGTTAAAGACAGAATACTTGTCCTTTTGTTCCTTCTAGTGCTTGGCAACACAGTGGTCATTAGACAAGCATTACTTTGATTATAAGAAGCAAAAGCCATACTTAGGATGACTGATTTATTCAAAGGGTTCCCCTGCTCCATCCGATCCCTGGAAAAGAGGTTCCTCTAAAGATCAGGTGTTAGTTGTGGCAATACTCTAAACTATAGATAAAACTTTCTTTCTTTTTTTTTTTTTTTGAGATGGAGTCTCGCTCTGTCACCCAGGCTGGAGTGCAGTGGCACGATCTCGGCTCATTGCAAGCTCCGCCTCCCGGGTTCACGCCATTCTCCCGCCTCAGCCTCCCGAGTAGCTGGGACTACAGACGCCCGCCACCACGCCCGGCTAATATTTTTGTATTTTTAGTAGAAACGGGGCTTCACCGTGTTAGCCAGGATGGTCTCGATCTCCCGACCTCAAGATCCGCCCGCCTCAGCCTCCCAAAGTGCTGGGATTACAGGCGTGAGCCACCGCGCCCGGCCAATAAAACTTTCAAAGGGCCCAAACTGCATTACCCTACTCTATTATTTTTGAGGTCTAGACTATTGGGAATAATTTACACTCTTTGGTCAAGAGAAAAGTATTTTGATTGAGATCCAACTTTCAGAATGGCAAAGAAAGAGAATTGCAAATATATCATGGAATAAACTGCAGGACTATTTATAACTGTCAGGCCTAAAACTTTCTCCATCTCTTACCTTGACTGCCTTTCTTAAAAAAAAAAAAAAAAAGGAGATGTGTTGTAATAAAGCAGTGAGCCAATGTTTCTTTGGTAGTTATTAATTACTTCAAAGGAGTTTGTCTTATTTGTTGCTAGCCACTCCCCTCACCCAGAACAGGAGTACAAGTAATGCCCAGCCTTGAGTTTCTAAGTGTTAGTATAAATTTTAGGGTCACATTACAAATGCTACTTTTCCACAAGATTTTCTAAGCAGATATTTTTCTTGTCTTGGCAAAAGGCAGCAAGAGATACAAGCATGGAGGAACTAGTAAACTTTAAGGGCAGACTCCTTATTAAAAGACCAAAATATTTTAAAACATAGAGCAGTCCTCATCTATGACTGCAGTGTTCTTATTTCACACATGAGAAGTAGGGAGATGCACTACAGAACCCCTTTAATGACCCTGAAGTCCCCAGATGCAACAGATCCCATTGCATTATGTACCAGGAAATGCAAACCATGGGCTTTCAAAAACTTTCCATCTGCTATGGTCTGAATGTTAGCGTCCCCTGAACCCCAAATTCATATGTTGAAATCTTAACTCCCAAGATGATGGCATTAAGACGTGAGGCCTTTAGGAGGTGTTATGATCATGAGGGTGTAGCCCTTAAGAATGGGATTAGTGCCTTATAAAAGCTGCCTCAGCAAGCTCGTCTGCACCTTCCACCATCTGCTGGTGCCTTGATCTTGGATTCTCCAGCCTCCAGAATTGTGTTGGATAAATTTCTGTTTTTCATAAACCACCAAGTTTATGGCATTTTATTATAGCAGCCTGAACAGACTAAAATACCATCTAAGATATCCTAGATGTTCCATATTATACTTGAGTTCCATTCCTGTGCAGTAAGAAAAAATTCAGAGGAAAAAAGTATAAATAGAAGAATAAACAGACATTATTCACTCATATTAAGACTGTCAACCTGGAAAATAAAAAAGAATTTATAAATAAATTTTTAAAATTAATAAGAGAGGGACTGTGTATGATGGCTCATGCCTGTAATCCTAGTGCTTTGAGAGGACAAGGTAGGAGGAACAATTGAGGCCAGGAGTTCAAGATCAGCCTGGGCAACATAGCAAGACCTCGTCTCTACAACTTTTTAAAAAAGTTAGCCAGGGATCATGGAGTGAGCCTGTAGTCCCAGCTATTTGGGAGGCTGAGGCAAGAGGATCACTTGAGCCCAGGAGTTCAAGGCTGCAGTGAGCTACGATCACATCACTTGCACTCCAGCCTGGGCAACAGAGCAAGAAGTGGTCTCAAAAAATAAATAAAATAAAATAAACAAGAGAGTAAGATTCAGGATTAGCAAACATTTACGAAGGTCAACTGTATTTCTATATCCAGCAACAGTCAGAAAAATTTAGTTTTCAAGGTTCTATTTATAATAGCAACAAAAATATAAAGTACGTAAAAATAAATCAACAAAACATACTTGAAAACTTCAAAGCAAAAGTTGTAAAACTTTATGGGAAGACATTAACAAGGATTTAAATAAATAAATGAATAAATAGAGAACTAGACTATATTCTTGAAAAGGAAGATTCAATGTCATCGAGAGTGTCCATTTTCTCCCAACAGGTTTATATCTATAAATTCAATGTACTGCTAAACAAAACGCCAGCAGGTAGAATTTGGTGGAGTGTGGTGGGTTGATTTTAAAATTTAAATGGAAAATCAAAGGGCCAATAAAAAGAAGACATGCCGAAGGAAAAACAAATTGGGAGAACTTGCCCTTTCATAAACTCAAATCTAGTGGAAAGCTACTGTAATTAACATAGTGTGGTACTGGGGCAGAAAGTGCAAAATGACAAAGGAAACAGAAGAGAAATTCAGAATAGATGCACAAATACATGTGAATTTGATTTATATCAGAGTAGGTGTTGAATATCAGTGAGGAAAGATGGCTACATAGTGTAGGGAGCTAAATCAGCTGATATCCACATGGGATCTGCGGTAGGCTGAATAATGGCCTCCAAAGATATTTACATTCTCACTCCTGAATCTAAATATTGCCTTATATGGCAAAAGGGTGAATGTTGCCTTATATGTCAAAAGAGGTAATTAAATTAATAATTTAGACATGGGGAGATTATCCTAGACTATCTTGGTGGGCCCTAATATAATCACAAATGTCCTTAAGAGGAAAGCAGAGGGAAGCTTGACACAGAAGATGAAAAGACAATGCAATGATGCAACCAGATTAGAGTGATGCAACCACAAGCCATGGAATGCTGGCAACTTTAAAAGCTGGAAAAAGTAAGGAACAAATTTTTCCCAGGAATCTCCAAAAGGAACCAGCCCTGTTGACACCTGATTTTAGCTCAGTGAAACTGATTTCAGACTTCTGAATTCCAGAACTGTAAGAGAATAAATGTGTGTTGTTTTAAGTCACTAAGTAACTCGTAACTTGTTTCAGCAGCAATAACAAACTGACACAGAGTCCCTCCCATCTACTCTACACAAAAGTCAACTCAAGTTGGATCAATGTGATGGTAAACTATGAAACTTTTTAGAAAGAAATATAGAATGATCTCTTTACCAACTTGGTGTAGAGAAAGGGATTTTAACAATAAAAGTGAGCAAATTATAAAATAAAAGATTATCAAATGCAATTACATTAAAACTCTTGTTCACTAAAATCACCTTAATGAGAGTGAACGGACAAGACACAAACTAGGAGAAGATATTTGCAGGACATATCAAGCCAGTTACATCCCAAATACATCAAAAGCCCCTATGAATCAACAATACAAAGACAACACAATAGAAAAATGGGCAAAGGCCAAATACGAATTTCACAGGAGATGAAACAGAAATGGCCAGTCAATATAACATGCTATTTTCATTAACATAATGAAATTCATAATTGCAGAAATATTAATCAAAGCCACAGTGAGATTCCATTTCACAACTAGCGGAGGAGCAAAATTTTAAAAGTTGATCAATACTAAGAGAAGTCAAGGTTATGGAGTAAGGTTATAGGCACATCTCCTGCAGGTAGGAAAGTAGACGGGCACAACCCCTTTGGAGAAGTCTGATTACCTAGTAAACCTGAGTGTATACATCCTGTATGTCCTGGAGTTGCCACTCCTGGGGATATATCCTAGAAAAATTTGGCACCATGTACCTGAAAACATGTTCAAGAGTGTTCATAAGAGCATTATTCTCAATAGCATAACAGCATTAAGTTAGAAACAACACAAATGTCCAACTGGATAGGAATTTTTATATATTCAAATAATAGAATATTAACTGTTAAACTAGAGTCTCATGCATGACATGAGTGAATCTCAGCAAAACAAATATAGTATCATAATATTTACGTAAAGTTTAAAACATGCAAAAATAAGTTATATATTGTTATGGGTTATACCCACATATGGCTAAAAAGCAGTATGAAGAAAACCAAGGAAATGATTAACTGACTACACAAAATTTTAAATGGATAGTTACCTCTCTGCAGGAAACAGAAGGACACAGATATTCTAAAATATGGTAGAGTCCCATTTCTTAACGTGGGTGACAGGTTCACAGTTGTTTATCTTACTATTATTTCTTATATCTTAACTATATAATACAAATATTATTTTGTGTAATTTCAATATAAATTTTAAAAACACAAAACTTGCTGAAATGTTAACTAATACATTTTGTTGTGTGTTTGTGTGCACAAAATTGTTTATTATATGGTTATTTCTTGGAACCCCAAAGCTCATTATCAGAATTTTCACATTTAATAATAATATGATGTAAGTTGTTTTACCTAAATTCATTATCTAAATGAAAACAATATTATAAGTATGATATGAATGTATGCATGTGCCAGCAAAAACATTTATGTTTGCTTGAGTTTCAGCAGTAAAATGTATTGTGTGTTACAGCCCGACCTTCAGCTGTTCTGACAAGACAGATTTGTTTCGTGCTTTCCTCGTTTAAAATGTGTTATGCATTATCAGCTCATCTTCCCACAATTTCCCTGATGGTTTAGTCTTTCATGGGTCCTAGAATTTGTTTCTGCCAGGTACTGAGGGCAACTACCAACCAGGGAATAATTTAGACAAAATCTTTAGATCCTAGACTTTTAGAATCTTTAATACTTATTTTATTGTTTGTATTACAGTTCATGTTTACAGCAGTGCAGAAAGAAAATGTAATTCATGTCTAAAATTGTACAGTATCTTTACGTGCTACAAACCAATACACCCATTTATATACTTACTTATTTAAGCATTATAGAGGTAATTTGAATATTTTAAATGCCTTGTGTTATACAGGAATCTTTGATGAGTTGTTATATAGGTGTTTTAAAATGTTTTAGAAAAACTGGATAGAGTTTCTGGATGGGCTGGGAACCTGACTGTTTCTGAGAGTTACAAGAATGGAATATGGGTTGCACTATTTCAGCGGAACCATGTCTTTATGGGGTAGTGTGGTACAGGACAGGGACCAGGACTGTCACAACCTAGAATTCAAATCTTGGATTAAGAAGCCCCACAGACAACTCACCTAAATTCTCTAAGCTTTAGCCTTCTCATCTGTAAAATAAAGATAATAATTCCAGCCTACCTTACTGAATTATTGAGACACAAATAAGATTAATCTGCAAGTGTCTTTGTGTTTATATACAAATGCGTTCATATACTATAATGTGAACATAAAATTATTATGTAAATTTGATTTATGAGAGAGCTGATGTTGAATATCAGTGAGAAAAGATGGATCATTTAGTGTAAAGAGCTAAAACAGCTGGAAATCCACATGAGATCTATGGCAGGCTGAATAATGGCCCCCAAAGATATTCACATCCTCATTCCTGAATCTGTAAATATTACCTTATAAGTCAAAAGATGTGATTAAGAGTTTTGAAATGGGGAGATTATCCTGGATTATCTTGATTATGGTAGCTTAAAAATCATCTTGAACTCTGGTAGTAGGAGTCCTTTCATTTTATTCTTCTTTTCCAAAGTTGTTTCAGCTATTCTAGGTTGTTTGCATTTCCATGTGAATTTTAGAATCAGCTTGTCAATTTCTACAAAAAAACCATCTTGTATTTTAATTTTGATTTCAATTAAATCTATAGATGAATTTGGGGGAGAAATGGCATTAAGATGTCATTAAGATATTATTGAATAGCCATATTGAATTTACCAATCTATGAACAAGCTGTATTTTTCTATTTGTTTAGGTCTTTAATTTCTCTCATTAATCTTTCATAGTTTTCAGTATATGGGTCTTGTATACATTTTGTCAAATTTATCTCTAATTATTTTATATTTCTCAATGTTATTGTAAGTGATACTGCCTTTTAAAATTTCAGTCCTCTGTATAGATCTCATATCCTGCAACCTTGTACTAGTTAACTACACTTACTTTGTAGGCTTTGTTTAAAATGAATATTCTCCAGCATCGTCTCCACAGATTTTGATTCAATAAAACATATATAAAACCCAAGAATCTACATTCTTAATGAGTAGCCAGGGGGATTCTGATACAGATTCTCTAAGTACATTACTTTGAGAAAGATATGAAAATTAATAACATTAACTTCTGATGGTATGTCCAAGTTAACTGATGCAGTCCATTCTTCCACCCAAAATACAAAAAAAAATAGAATTGATTAAAAACATGGCAAATAAATATTTTTAATGCTTTTCCAGGTTCAAAATAAAGGAAAGAAAATAACAGGTTCTAGAAATAAAAAGGGAACTCAGCTAGCATAGTAAACTAGTGAGATGACCCAAAGAAGGCCCAGAGATGTGTAGAGTAGATACAGAACTTATGGTTTAGTGGGTCCAGTTATACCCTCACAGAGAGAGGACACAGCCTTGTTCCCATCTGGGAATGGAGAATTAAACTAAGATTCTAGCATAAATCCAGGACCGTAGAAAGACTACCTCTTTTCACAAAGGCAACTAGAATAATTCTACTCATTGGTCTAGGGAAGCAGTGATGAAGCCTGTCTTCTACTTAGAATTCTGAATAGGAGGGAGAGCCTCCTATGATAAATCAAAATCCCATGTACACATATGAGATCGAAATTTAGACTATCTGATAGGTGCGAGAATCAGAAGCTGAGAAAATAAAAAATCACAGGACCCTTGGCAGAAGAAATAAAAATCTGCTCTGAGGGAATAGTTTCATAACTCGGTACCCAAGCTAAAATTGAGTTCATAATACAAACATTTCAAGCCATCTGAAGAAACAATCTAGTAGGAGGAAAATCAGTGATTACTACAAACATGTGAGCTGGTATCCTAAGAGTTTGAGGTAATAAAAAAAAGTCTCATATAGCATTCTTAAAATCTTTGAAGAGATAAATGAAGAAATAGAAAGCATAATGAAGGAATAAAATATGAAAATATTCAAACTATATATAACTCCTAAAAATAAAAAGCCAAGTCAATGAATTAAAAACTGAACAGATGAATACACTGAAGAGTAGATATAGCTGAAGAAAGAATTAGTCAACTAGAAAAAAGATCTTAGAAAAATACCCAGAATACATCATAGTGAGACCAGAAATGTGCAGAGACGTTTAAGAGACATGGTAATTCCACAGGAAACACATATATCTAAAAAAAAAAAATTCCAAAAGGAGAAATTTGAGATAAGAGGAAAACAACATTGGAGAGATGCTGAGTAACCAATATGTAGCATATTACTTACTTATTACTCTGAAAACTCAAAAGTGTTTTCAATGATTGGGGTGATTTTCTTTTTAATAAATCTAATTCAATCTCCATTCTTTAATTCAATTAAGATAAAAATCAGAAGCCCTGAATTGTCTTTAAAATTCAAAATTTTCCCTTTTATGACTCACAGAAAGCAAATGGACAATGAGGTTTCATCTTAATTGGGTCTCTGAAGGAAGTGGGAGCATCTGGAATCATTTCCACCATGCTGCTTTTCTGCATTTGACTCCGTTACCTAGCAATGCATTTCACAATGTTACCTAGCAATGCATTTCACAGTTTAAATTAGAGAGTATTACTTCTTTTTGAAGTTCCCATATGCTGATCCAAACCAAATATATGTAGCTTCCCTTTGCATTTTTTTAAAAAGGTAATCTTCCTGATAAAGTTAGGTATTTCCACATTCCATTAGAAAGTCAAAATAGATGAAAGATCAGTTTCAAGAGCCAGATCAAACCATCAGCAAGTCTTTATAAATATCTAGCATACAGATTTAACTATTTCTAAGAAAACAGAATGACTTAAAATGCAGAAAAATTATTCAGTTTCAGATTAATGGAAAGGCTTTTCATGATGTTATATTTGCCATAACATGCTTAGGGTGCTTCAGTGACTGCCAACTGTACTCAGCAGAAAGTCCAATGTCCTTAGGCTGGCATCCAAGGGCAGCCCTTTATGAATGGATCCTACCTACTACTCTAGCTTTCAGCTTCATTTTCCTTCCCTCCCTCCCTCTCTCTCTCTCTCTCTCTCAATCTCCATAGCAGTCACACACTAAGAACTTGCAATTCTTTGCCACTTCATGTTCTTGCTATGTATTTTCACATAATGCTTCTTTATGTATTTTCACAAAGTATTTCCCTGACTTACATGCCCAGCCTTTGTTTATGTTTTTACGTGCTTAACAAATACTTCAAGGGTCACTTTCTCTGGAAAGCTTTCCTTGACATCCCAAGCCTGAGCTGTGTACCCTGTATCCGCTTCTATAATAATAATCAACTTCTACAGTAGCAGTGCACTATAACTGTTGGCTATGTGTCAGTTTCCTCCACTGAATTCTATGCTTTCTCAGGGCAGGAACTATGCTTTTGTACCTCTTTCTACTCATGGTGCCTAGATATCAAAAGCTTTCAAAAGAAAAGAGGGTTGCAGTTGGAGACGTGGGTTAAATCTCATGCATCCTCAGAGGCCTCCCTTATGACCAGTAGCCTTCCCTGTTATTTCCTGTCTCTGAACATATATTTACATAATGGAACACTGTACAACAATGAAAATGAAATACAACTAGAGCAAAAGTAGCAACATAGATGAGACATGTAGGCTCATTTCAGATATGTACATTTCAAAACAGGCATTACTAAATTGTATTGTTTAGAGATACATACATTGGGTAAAAACTATACATGAAAGCAATTGCAACAAAAGCAAAAATTGACAAATGATATCTAATTAAGACTTGGAACCAACCCAAATGTCCAACAATGATAGACTGGATTAAGAAAATGTGGCACATATACACTACGGAATACTATGCAGCCATAAAAAATGATGAGTTCATGTCCTTTGTAGGGACATGGATGAAGCTGGAAACCATCATTCTCAGCAAACTATCACAAGGACAAAAAACCAAACACCGCATGTTCTCACTCATAGGTGGGAATTAAACAATGAGAACACATGGACACAGGAAGGAGAACATCACACACTGGGGCCTGTTGTGGGGTGGGGGGAGGGAAAGCATTAGGAGATATGCCTAATGTTAAATGACGAGTTAATGGGTGCAGCCCACCAACATGGCACATGTATACATATGTAACAAACCTGCACGTTGTGCACATGTACCCTAGCACTTAAAGCATAATAAAAAACAAGTAAAATTAAATTAAAAAAAAAAAAGCTTAAGAGCTTCTGCACAGCAAAAGAAACTATGGGCAGACTAAAGAGGGAAAACCCACAGAATGGGAAAAAATATTTGCAAACTATGCATCTGACAAAGATTTAAAATCCAGCATCTATAAGGAACTTAAACCAATTTATAAGAAAAAAACAAACAATCCTATTAAAAAGTGGGCAAAAAAATGAACAAATACTTTTCAAAAGAAGACATATATGTGGCCAACGAGCATATGAAAAAAAGCTCAATATCACTGATCATTAGAGAAATGGAAGTCAAAACCACAATGAGATATCATCTCATATAGTCAGAAAGGCTATTACTAAAAAGTCAAAAAATAACAGATGCTGGTGAGGTTGTAAAGAAAAGGGAACACTTATACACTGTTGGTGGGAGTGTAAATTAGTTCAACCATTATGGAAAGCAGTGTGGTGATTCTTCAAAAAACAAAAAATAGAACTACCATTCGACCCAGCAATACCATTACTGGGTATAAACCCAAAAGGATATAAATTGTTCTACCACGAAAACATGCATGTATATGTTCATTGCAGCACTAGTCACAATAGCAAAGACGGAATCAACTTAAAAGCCCATCAATGGTAGACTGGATAAAGAAAATGTGATACATACACACTACAAAATACTACGCAGCCATAAAAAAGAATGAGATCATGTCCTCTGCAGGAATGTGGATGAAGCTGGAGGCCATCATCCCTAGCAAACTAATGCAGAAACAGAAAAACAAAATACTGCATATTCTCACTTATAAGTGGGAGCTAAATGATGAGAACACACGGACACAAAGAGGGGAACAACAGACACTGAGGCCTAGTGGAGGGTGGAGGGTGAGAGGAGGAAGAGGATCAGGAAAAATAACTATTGGGTACTAGGCTTAGAACCTGTGTGACAAAAATCTGTACAACAAAAACAAAACTGCACACGTACCCCTGAACCTAAAAGTTAATTTTTTGTTTAAATCATAAGCAAAAGAACAAAAACAAAAAACAACCACAAAAAAAGCAAGGATATGATGGTCATCAAGAACAGAATGGTGGTGATTTCAGGGGAGGCTGCAGTGAGAGGAGTATGATTGGGAAGGAACACACTGAGGCTTCTAGGGGCTGAAAATATTCTATTATTGATCTTGGTGGCAATAACATCGTGCTTGCCTTATAATTATTTGTTATAATGTACCGGCATGTGTATAAGTTTCCAATTGTTGCTACAAGAAACTGTCACAAACTTAGTGGCTTACTGCACAAATGTATTATCTGAAAGTTCTGGACGTCAAAAGTCCAAAGTGATCTGATCGCTGTATATTATGCATATTGAAACATCACTATGTACCCCATGAATATGTATGGTTATTATTTGTCAATTAAAAAAAATTTTTTAAGATGAAAATACACAACTAGAAACAAAGTCCAACATGGGTCTCACTGGGCTAAAATCAACATATTCCCAGGGCTGCATTCCTTCCTGGAGACCCTGGGGTAGGGGGAATTCATTTTCTTGCATTTTCCAGTTTCTGGAGGCTCCCTGAATTCCTTACCTTGTCCATCTTTACTGCCTGGGAATGACTGGTTGAGACTTTCTCATATCACAGACCTCTGACACTGAGACCAATCCTTCTGCCTACTTCTTGGGCATTTATGGACCCTTGTGATTATACTGAGCCACCAACATGATGCAGGATAGTCTCCCTATCTTAAAGTCAGCTCATTAGTAACTTTAATTCCATCTGCTGCCTTGATTCGTCTTTGCCATTTAATGTAACATGTCCCCAGATTCTGGGGGTCAGGACCTGGACATCTTTGGGAGGCCACTTCTGTGCTTACCACTAAATGTATTATGTAATTTCTGAATCTGCATTCTATTCAATAATGACACAAGGTTAAAAATTAAATTGCAGTATGTAAATGCAAAGGGTTCCTATGCAATCATGAAAAGAATGACATCTTTTATTTAGTATTGTATATAATCCCTGGGAAATATTTTAAAAGCAATGTTAAAACCATTATGTAAAGTATACTGTCGTTTACGCAAAACGACATGAGGAGGAAAGAATTATTTATATGTATTTGCTTCTACATGCCACGTGTATCTTAAAGCAAAGGAAAACAAAACAAAACAAGGGAAGGAGATTTTTTATCTGTCTAACAAGTATTTCTTAGTGACCTAAGACCAAGAGGTTTTACCAACTCATTGAAGATAATAGTAAGGAATCATCAGCAGCTCTTGAAAAGACACAGAGAATTGCACAGAATTTACAGGGAAGATAATATGGAATTACTATGTAAGCAAAGCTCTTCCCTGGCAAGCATATCTTTTAATAATCCACTAACAAAATAAAGAAGAATGTCATGCAGATGGAAAATTATACTATTCGGCTTACCCAGGATGTGAATTCTGTGGGAGAATTCAGAATTACAAACAAAACAATAGGGAAATCTCACTTGTTGTGTAATGGTTGGGAACCTCCTGGAGAGTAGCCAACCCCTTGGAATAAGGCCAAGCACAATGTCCACAGGGAGTTGCAGATGGGAGGGAGGTCCCACCACCTGTGGCACAGGGGCCACTGGAGCATTTCCAGCCCATGTCTGACACTGCTGTGCTAACATTTCCTCTAGACCTATTAGGTTGTCCATTGTAGGTGATGCTCGTCTGCAGGATGGAGACAGACCTATGTCAATCCAAAAACTCCTAGTCCATTCTGCATTCATTCTGGGGACGTCTGGAGAATTCTGCATTCACATGCAAGGGAGAGGTCAAATCAAAACAGGATTCACTTAGTCATTTTTTTCCAGTTATTTGCTTATTCATTTAATCAACATTTATTGAGTAGCTTTATTTTCTTGGTGCTAGCAGCATAAGATGTACAGGATGAGTCCTGTATGTATGTGTGGATATATATATATTATATTATATATAATTATGATATACATAATATATAATAGATATAATATATATAATAAATAAATATAATAAATATATATAAATTTATATCTAAATAAAAGTTATATATTTATAGATTTTTATATATATTTATATATAAATAAAATAAAATACATATAATATATTTTATATATATATTTATATATAATATATTTATATATAATTATAAATATATAAATAATATAATATATAAATATATATAAACATATATAAATATATATATTATATATATATTTCATATATATATAATATATATATTTCATATATATATTATATATATATTTCATATATATATAATATATATATTTCATATATATATATCAATATATCAATTTCCAAAACAGGCAAAACTATACTATTTTGCTTAGGGATGAATATGTAGGTGGCAAAATTATACATGAAAGCAAGGAAACAACTATCATAAAAGTCAAGGTGATGGTTTTATCGAGGAAAGGTGAGGGAAACTTCATTGGGAGAAGACACACACCTGGGGGAGGTGCAGGGTAGCACAGGCTTGGGTCAGGGAGCCCATACTTCTGCACATTCCTAGACTGCCTGAGCCTCTTTTACACAGAAAAAAGTGACTGCATAGATATGGACCGAAAACAGCACGGTGTGGCAGAATAGGGGAATTGCTGCACTTGAAGGATGCAAATGATGTGCATTCTTGCTGACAGTGCACTCTTATACTCTCCCCCCAGGTTTAAAACAAACACAGCAGCCATACTTTCCTGGGAAACCTAGATATAAAACAGCAGAGGTAAGCAGCACTAGCTACCATCAACGTGAAAGCCATTTTCTCATTCTTACATACGAATGAATGACCATGGACCAGAAGGCATTGGAAGGAACCCCATGAATGCATGAAAGACAAACAGCTGAACATTATGGGCAATTCAGAGAACATAAGATTTATTTTTTAAGAAACGAAAGTTCAAATGATTATCCCCAGATCAATGAGAAGAAGTTGCATCCATAAACAAACACTTAGTTATGAAACAGGAATAGAGGACAAAAGAGGTCTTGAAAATTAAAAATATTATTGCAGAAATGAAAGATCGCTAGGAAGTATTCAGAAAAAAACTGAGCTGAGTCTCTTGCAAAGCAATTGGCAAATGCTAAAGTTCAGTGCTTCACCTTGACCACAAAGAAGAAAACTTTCCAAGTTTTTGAGAAACACCTGCTTGTACCTCTGCAAGAAAGTTCCAAAATGGAAGATGCCCGGAAACCACTGTGGCAAAATGCTTTCTTGAACCTGTTCAAGACAGGCAAGGAAAGTCTCAACTGCAAAGGGAAACAATTTGAGTCAGAGTAACTTGGGTTTGTTGTTGTTATCTGTATAAAAGGGAAAATTGCCATTTGAATAACTGAATAGCAGTAATGTACCAAGCGGACTATTTAAGTTCAGGGCGGTGGCTCTGCACATCAGGAATGATGCCACAGGTGCTGGCCACAGGTCTGCTGGTGGCTGCGGAGAGCTACAGCTATGCAGCACACTCCTGCCATCTTTCCTGATTCATGAACATCAGTATTTCTCTAGGCATAGACTTGAATTAAATTTAGTGTCATTTCTTAGTAGTGTTTGATGATTAAAATCTTGTTCTTTGACAACAAATGATCAATCTTCCAGGTCTAACATTGGATTCACAGGTTTTCCAGACAAATAAAATGAAAAAAAATGGAGGAAAGAATATCAAAGACACAATAAAATTTCTTAGAGCTGAAGTGATGTGAGTCATCAGATTCAAATGGCCCACAGAAGGCTGAGGAGGATGAATAAGAAAAACCCACTCCTGGACATGACTTCATCACATTTCAGACCCCAAATATGAAAAGAAGGCCCCCAAAACATCCAGAGAAAAAGAAGAGGCTGCCTATAAAGGAATGGACATTAGATGACCTCAGGCTTTGGAATTTTTTACAATCAAGTAGTCACAAAGTCTCCAGTGTTCTGAGGAGAAATGATTTTGAACCTGGGATCCTATAGTCAGCTAAACTGCCAAGTGAGTATGAAGGCAAAATAAGGTATTTTCGGGCATTCAAGGATCAAAGTTTCCACTTCCATATATTTACATACACACATTATATACATCATTTCTAAGGAAGTTACTTGAGCAGACTGAGAATGAAAAGGTGTGACTGAACATAGAAATATTTTTTAAAATTCCTGGATAACAACTGTTCATTCAGGAGGTGACTGATCTGAATTAAAATAAGAAGCTGATAGGCTCTGATCAGTATCTTCAAAGAGAAAAAGAGAATGAATTATAAAATTAGATAGGAGTGAAGAAATAAGGAATTAGAAACCACAGGGGGGAAATCAAAAGCTGTACAAAAGAGTCAGTTAAGAAGTAAACTAAAAGGAGGCATAGTTGTGAGTAACTGATAAATTGGTAAAGAAAGAATATACTTGATATGGACCTTAGGGACATTCTTTGAGTGACTAGGAACCAGAGCACTGAACAAACAGGATAAAATGTAATCCCAGAACCTATTTGGCTCTGCAGTGTATAATATTTATGTAAGAAGAAGACTTAACAGTGGTTATCAATAATGATTATGTAAAAATGGAATAGCTCACAGAGGTTAGAGGGAGAAGGCTAGTGGACTAGCCGGGGATAACCTAGTTATAGGCACCAAAATCCTTACACATCAAGAGATAATGTAAAGTTGATGGAACAAAAAATACAGGCTTAAGTGTATTATTTAAGGCTATAAATAAACCTCATAAGATAAAATAAAACAATTGGGTTGTCAGGGGCTGAGGTTGGGGGACAGGATTGTCTGCAAAGAAGCATAGGGAACTTTATGGGGTGATCTCAGATACACATTTCCACATCTTGATTTTGGTGGTTATATGACTATTTAGGTTTGTCAAAATTCACAGAACCATGCTCCAAACAATGATGAATTTCACTGCATGTAAATCCTAACTCAGTAAACTTAGGAAGGGGAAAAACCTAGGAACCGAAAAGTGAACTAAACCCTCATCTTTCATACTGGGGCGTCAAAAGAAAATGTACGAAGTTAATAAATCCACCAAAAGCAACATAAGCATAGAGCTGGCAAGGGAAACCACCATCACAAGAAACAGCCAAAAGAAGTTTTTGGAAGTAGCAGTGGTGACACAGACTAACATTTAGCTTCATAATTTTACTATCTACATGTTTTACTTATTTATTGGCATTGGCATTTAAACACAATTCTGAAACATTTTTAAAATGCAGAAAGGTTTCCAGAGTAGTACAAGAACTTCTATTAAATATCTATCCCATGCCCAATAATGTCCTTTATAGCAAAGGGCCCAATCCAGGATCACATTTTGCACTCAATTACCATGTCTCTCTAGTCTCCTTCAACCTGGAACAGTTCTTCGGGATTTCTTGACTTTCATGATCTTGATTTTTTTTTTTTTTTTTTTTTTTTGAGACAGGGTCTCACTCTGTCACCCAGGCTGGTGTCCCGTGGTGCAATCACAGCTCACTACAGCCTCAAACTTCTGGGCTTAAGTGATCCTCCCACTTTGGCCTACTGAGTAGCTAGGACTACAGGCATGTGCCACCACACTTGATTAAGTTTTAATTTTTTGTAGAGATGGGGTCTCACTATGTTTCCCAGGACCATATTGAATTCCTGGACTCAAGAAATCCTCTCACGTCAGCCTCCCAAATTGCTGGGATTATAGCCGGAAGTCACCGTGCCCGGCCGTCATGACCTTGATATTTTTAAAGATTACAGGCTGGTCATTTTATTTTGTTCTTCAATTTGGGATTGCCTGATGTTTCCTCCTGATTAGATCCAATTTAGGTATCTTGGCCCTGATATCATAGAAGGGATGCTGTGTTCTCACTGCATCCTGGCATGTGATCTGAGAGGTTGATTTGCTGTATTATTACTGGGATAAACCAAGATAGCATCTCCCAGGCTTCTTCACTGCAAAGTTAGTTTTCTCCCCTTCATAAAAAGTATTTTGAGGAAAGATGTTTTCAGACTATTCCATGCCCTACTTTCACCCATTTTCTTAAGATCCACTGACGCTTTTACCTGAATTGGTTATTGCAATGATGATTGCCAAGTAGTACATTAAATGGATTCACAGATTCCTATTTATTCAATGGATTATAATAATCTATTAGTATCATTATTTTGATTCTTGACTCATTCCAAATGTGGTCAGTGGGAGTTTCTTTGCTGTCTTCTGTGTCATTTCGACATGTGCCTATCATTCTTTGAGCATTTCCTTACCGTCTAGCAAAGGAGATAATCCAGGCTCATCTTATTCTTTCCCTACCTTGGTCCTGGAGTTAAGCAGTTCCTTTCACTAAAGAGTGGCATTTAGAAACCAAGCTTTGGGTGATCGGTGTGCTCACTGCTATAGAGTCTCAAAGCTTCCAGGACTTCTCAATGGACCTAGCTAGGAAATACACACATGCATGTACACATGCATATACACACATTTACATGTATATTTATTTTTATATCTATCTATACATGTCAGTGTGAACTCAACAACTCTGAGTTCACATTGACAACTCTAATTCCATTCCAATTTCAAAGGGTTTGGCTTCACCCTATTTTCCATGTTTGTATCTCCTTCCTCCAAGAGTGAGAAATACTGGTTCCCATCATCCTCAATGTATTTACTTTTCTGCTTAATTCCCTGTATGTATCAAATCTCCTGATGTCATCATCAGGTTGCCATCCCACCTGTGCACCCTCCTGGTTGCTCTGGCCTCTGCCAGGCTGCCTTCCCATCCCACTTGGAATTATTTTGGTAAAACTTAAAAAGAAAAAAATTAGTAACCAAATACTATAAAAGGAACAAAAAAGGAGATTGTGGGAATTGGTCATAAGCAATATTTTTACTGCTCTAAGAGCCATGGTCCCTGATATGGTTAGGTTTTGTGTCCCCACTCAAATCTCATCTTGAATTATAATTCCCATAATTCCCACGTGTCAAGGGAAAGACTATGTGGAGGTAACTGAATCATGGGGGCAGTTTCCCCCTTGTTGTTTTTGTGATAGTGAGTGAGTTCTCACGAGATCCGATGGTTTTATAAGGGGCTCTTTCCTCCTTTACTCGGCACTTCTCCCTCCTGCTGCCTTGTGAAGAAGGTGCCTTGCTTCCTCTTTGCCTTTCACCATGATTGTAAGTTTCCTGAGGTCTCCCCAGTCGTGCTGATCTGTGAGTCAACTAAACCTCTTTCCTTTATCAATTACCCAATCTCGGGTAGTTATTATTAGCAGTATGAAAATGGACTAATACAGTTTCCATTTCCTCCACATGCCACCACAATTGTAAAGCACTTTAAAGTTTGATCTGTTATAGGAAGAAGTGAGAGGGGCATAGCTTGGCTCCATAATTCCCCTAATCAATATAATCAATATCATGTACCGCCCATGGCATGATCCCACATGCACATGTGCACACACACACACACTCAGACACCACACTTCATGCTCTGGGTGCCTGGTAACCTGAGTTTACCACTTGGAGGAGGTCACTACCTAAAATGTCGCAGTAAATGGTCTGTTGATAGAGCTTGGCTTCTAGTGGGTTAAAGTACACGGTGATTTCAGCTGATGAGTTGGGCCAGACATCACCTTCCTGAAAAACATGAAAGAATCATTAAAAAACAATATGACAAAAGAAAGACACTGCTTGTAAGTGTTATTACATTAAAACTCCAAGAAATTTTTTTTTCATAAAATTGTATATGTTTAAGGTATACAACATGTTTTGATATATATTTGTATAGTGAAATGATTACTGCAGTCAAGGAAATCAACACATCTATCTCCTCACATAGTTAACTTGTGTGTGCGTGGTGAGAGCACCTGGTCTGTCTACTCTCTTAGCAAGTACCCAACATATCATACATTATTATTAACTATAGTCACCATGCACTACATTAGGTCTCCAGAACTTATAACTACAAGTTTGTACCCTTTGACCAACATCTCCCCATTTCCGCCCCCAACCCCACCCTCTGATGCCTGGTAACCACCAATCTCTTACCAAACTGTTTCTATGAGTTAGACCTTTTTTTTTTTTTTTTTTTTTTTTAAGATTTCACACACATATAAGTGAGATCATGTGGTATTTGTCTTTCTGTGTCTGGCTTATTTCACTTAGCACAATGTCTCCAGATTCATTCATGTTGTCACAAGTGGCAGGAACTCTTTCTTAGTAAGAGTGAATAATATTCCATTGTATGTACACACTTCTTTTTTCATTCTTCTGTCGCTGGACACTTCAGTTGCTTCCACAGCTTGGCCATTGTGAATAATGCTGCAATGAACATGGGGGTGCAGAGCTCTCTTCGAGATCCTGATTTCATTTCCTTTGGGGATATACCCAGATGAGGGATTGTGGGATCACATGACAGTTCTATTTATGATTTTTTGAGGAATCTCTATACTGTTTTCCATAATGTCCGTACCAATCTACAGTCCCACCAACAGTGTACAAGGGTTCAATTCCAGGAAACTTAAAGAGAACATTTTTCTAATAAGTACAAGAAAGCATTCTTTCACCAGCAGATAGTAAATGTATACTTCTTGATAACTTATGAGGTGGTACAAGTTGGAAACAAACTTCAAAGATAACTTCAGTGAATTTATGAACATATAATGAGTTACTAAAGGAAACTAGGGTGTATAAGACATTTTAAAATGAAATGTATATTCAGTGGCTATTCACTGTTTGCCCAATGTGTTCCCAGTACTGGGGCTTCAGAGAAGCAGAAAGGTGTGGGCTGTGACTGCAGGGAACTCATACCTTAGTGGGATGATAAACATGTATACAAACATTTAACAGTATATGAGGTAAGTGCTGTGTCTATAAAAATACAGCCCAGAGGGGTCACAGAGGAAGAAGTACTTGACTTCCTTGCTGGAGGCACCACGTTTTTAACTTTTGAGGTGACAGCATAAGGAAACACTCTTACTCTACAAAAACATAGCAATGGCCCAAGGTAGAACAATAGCTTGGTCAAACCCTGCTTCTACTCCAGTGTGGCATTTCTCCCTTTAATTGGAACTACCAAAAAGTCATAATCAGGAAACCAAGTTTTAAAATGGTAATGCAAAATGCAATGTATCAGAATCTCCTTGTTAGGTATACTTTGATTAGTATTTTTAACTATGTAATCTGCGGCCTCTTCATTAGCTTCTCAAGGCTGTAAAAAGAGATGCTGATAGCACTTGCCTCAAAGGGGTTCCTAAGGTCTGACAAAGTCATGCAGGTCAAACACTTTGCCCCATGCTCAGTCAGAACTCAGTAAATAACTGACTACCATGATCGATGTTATTTTTGTGCTACTTAGAAGGACTAAGATGAAAGTATTGAAAAGGGGAAAAGATGTGTGTGTGTTTTGTATGATTTTTGTAAATAGGGCCAAGTGAGCATAAACGATCAACACATCCAGAAATCTATAAACAGTCCCGCCAGCTAAATAGAAAACTAAGGAAAGACAACTTGATAAATAATTAGGCTCCAGCTCCAGACAGTCCCTGGTGCATTCTCTATTTGCAGTCTGGCTAGAAAGAACATACTTCTGGAATAAAGAATGTCAAAAAGAACAAAATGGTTTAAAAATGCAGATATCAAACAAGAGGGAGAAAATAAAAATCTAGAGCCAATTTGGGTTTATTAATTAACACAATCAGTCTTATCAGTATACTTTGCAGGCAGTGTCTTTCCTAACTTCAGAATGAAGGAGGCACAAGGGCTTAAGGGGGAGCAGAGAGGGCTGTAAATATTATGCAGGTATGATACCTCGGGCCATTGCTCTGTTTTTGTAGAGTAAGAGTGTTTCCTTATGCTGTCACCTCAAAAGTTAGAAACGTGGTGCCTCCACCAAGGAAGTCAAGTACTTCTTCCTCTGTGACCCCTCTGGGCTGTATTTATATAGACACAGCACTTACTGTAAAATGTTTGTATATATGTTTATCATCCCACTAAGGTATGAGTTCTCTGCAGTCACGGCCCACACCTTTCTGCTTCTCTGAAGCCCTGGTACTGGGAATGCATTGGGCAGACAGTGAATAGTCACTCAATGTACATTTTAAAATGTCGTATACATCCTAGTTTCCTTTAGATCTCACATCCCCAGATCAGCCTGTGAGAATGAAGGCTCCATAAGGGTAGCTGCCGTTCTACCCCCACCCAAACCAGAGTAAGCCATCCCTGGTTTGGGTAGGGGCAGAACAGCAACTACCCTCAGGGAAGCTTCAATCTTCATGGCTCTTAGTAGGTGCTCAATAAATATTTGTTGAATCTGCAATATCTACTCAGTTTGCACACTGTGTAGTCAGTAGCAGACACCTATTCATCTCTGCAACCTACTTCTACTATTTTCTCTTCATCCAGAACCTCAAAAGTCACACAACTGTAGAGCCAAAAGAGACCTATGAGAGCATATGAGGAACAGAGAAGTCCTAAGCACTTTGATGTATTTAGGCATTTCACTGTGGCACCTTTCCAATCTTGAAATAAGTATCTGTTTTCTTCTGATAAATGATAAATATCTGGCCCCTTTTGATTGGTGGGGGTTTTAGTGATATGCAGTGTTAGAAACACTCATGGCTAGACTCAACTGGCAAGGCCAGGCAGATGAGGCAGCTCAGCCAATCAGTGGTGTATCAGTAGTTATCTCATCTCAGGACTACTGAAATCCTGGGCTTCTTACTCACCCATGACACAAACATATTCCTTTGGTGGGTTAATACTCTGCTGTGTTTGGGTAAACAGAATGGACACCGCTAACCTGCTCCTACACAAATGGAATGACCAAAGGGCCAGGGGCTATCTTAGATCCTGAGAGAACCCAGGCTAGAGAAGTCTCACCAGAACTGTAGGAAGTGGCCCCCACTGGAAATCACATAAACTCAGTGCATGTGGGCAAGTCAGGGTCTTATGGTTTGAAGTGGACCAGGAATGCTTTCAAAAGTATGATCCCAGCAATCCAGGGTCCATGTGCAGAAGAGGGTAACACACTTCAGTTTCTCTTAGAACACTCTTGGACTGCCATCATCAAAGAGGTCTGATTAGCACAACTGGAGGGATGGGAGTGAGTGGTGGTAGACACACTCCAGAGAGGTGACTGGAATCTCTCCAGAGGAGGAAGCGTTGACATTCGGAAGCCATCAGTGAGAGATCATCTGATGTGGAGGCTCCTGGGAGATGGAGAAGCCTTTCTGCTTGGTGAGAAGACCAGCACAAAGAAATCCGAATCGACAGGGTTCAGACTGAGCAAATGGAGCTGTGGGCTCAGTGCTTACTTATTGTGGGCTGCAGCTGTCTTACTCTGCCTGTGACATCCACTTGTAACTTGCAGCCTTCACTGAGCCCGAGAGATAAAGGAAGGACAAACCCTATTTATTCTAAACTCCTCTCCTGGGCTTGGAGCAGGTACCGTGTATTAAGACGGTTGTGTGTACCTGAAAACAGCGTGCTCATTCAGTTTCCTCTCACAGAAGGATGCTTTCAATGTGATTTCATTTGAAGGAGTTAGGAACATGCAGGATATTTCTACTTTTCAGTTGGGATTTAAGTAAAAGAGAAAGAACTTCTATTTCCTTATAGCAAAAACTCAATATAGCATTTTCTATCAAATGGGAGAGCAAACCTCAGAAATAGGTAACAAGCCTCAACTTTAGACCCCACTTCCAGTTTCACGTCTTTGAAAGATTTCATATGACTTCTTTAACACTTCTGAAATTAAATTCCATGTCATTTATGTCTCTGCAAAAAAAACTTTCTTTCTTTATTACTCAGTTCTAACATTTCTGAAAATCAAAACATCCAGAAATTTCCTTCCTGGCTCTGACATCAATATCCCTTCTTCCCAGTTCTACAAAACCTGCCTCATCACACGGATCCGCGTCCCCCATTCTGCGAGCCTTCTACATGTGACCCCCCTCCCATGACTGCCCATTTTCCTGCTCCAAATGAGAGGTTGAGTACATAGGATTGAATCTGTAAGTGACTATGACCTTCTTTGTTGAAAAGAATTGTCAAAATGGCCTTCAGTTATACTGTAATTATCTTCCTTCTTGGTCTTAATGTTTTCTTTCAGATTCGCAATGAGTAAAGTAATTGCATTTTACTTATTAATAAAGTGACCTACTAGAAAAAAATCAACTTTAAATTTTCAAGCCTAAAGCTAATTCCCATATTGCGATTTTTGC
This sequence comes from Homo sapiens, assembly GCF_000001405.40. NCBI lineage: Eukaryota > Metazoa > Chordata > Mammalia > Primates > Hominidae > Homo > Homo sapiens. The sequence goes on along the minus strand of NC_000001.11, from coordinate 146,590,485 downwards.
CCAAATTATTAAATATCTCTGGACACGGAGTTTCATGCTTCCTTCTGGAACAAGAATAAACAACCAAGTGACTCGATGGCCACAGTTCTGAGACTTTCTGAAAGCTGTCTATGAACAAACAGCCACTGGTTTGTGATAGATGATAAATATGATCATGAGAAAGGTGTCATTTAAAAGTGTTCACCTTTTAAAAATTATATCAGCAATACTTACAGGGGATCTTTAAAAAAAACTCCCTTGAAAATCCTTAAACATCTTTTTAAAAAATTGTCTTCCTTCCCCTCTATTACCCCTCTACCTCCTTTCCTTCGTTTCTCCCTTCCTTCCTTCCTTGAAAGATTATTTCTTACAAATCTTGCCCCCCTCCCAAAAAAAAAACCAAAGTGCAAGAACAGAGATTTATATACATATGTAATTTTCCTGGTTTATCTAAAAAGTAGTTTACGACTCAACTTTTACATTTATCAAATAAAATGGTTATGTTCTAGTTCCCAACTTACATTTAGAAGAATGATCCACGTTTGCCCACTCAAATGCTATGCTTTCCAATCATACTCTCTAATCTGACAAGACAAATGTATTTAACTACAAATCATAATATACGTAACCACCCACTGAGAGCTCATGTTCCACACTGTGTAAAGTGCTTATACACATTAACTAGTTCAATCACTACCACCTTGTGAAGTAGTATTATTACTTTAAAGATGAGAAAATCAAGGCAAAAAGAAGTATCTTACCCAAAGCCAGACCAATAGTTTAAGTAGCAGAGCTAAGATTCTGTAATAATTTTTTCCCTGACTTCTCTAAACCCACTGCAATTATAAAAAGAGTCAGGCCTCAACTTCTTCACAATATCATAAAAAAGGCCAGAAGAAGTTGAAAAATACTACAACTCAAGCAGGCTTCGTGAGACCTGGTGTTCCTGTCTGGAAAACATAGCACGGCCCCCTGCATGCTTGTATCCTTCCAGTTACTTCTGGAAGGTGACTCATGGGAGGTTCCTTTGGATGACAAAGTCAACATTAGTACATTGCAGCTCTTGAGAAATGCATGGTGGATCTGTATCAAGCTATCCTGGTGTGGTGAAGGTCAGGGTCCAGTCAGCTCACAGCAGCGGGGGTGAATAATGATGTCAAGAGTAACTATAATAGGTGATGAATTCTACCATGTTTCACCCAAATGGAAATGCTCTTCACCACATAAACAAATATTTTCAGCTATCTTATAGTTTTCCTTAAAATATTAGAAAAATATCAACATAAAGAATTTCTCTTGGGAAATGAAAACATGCTCTAAAAGCCACATTTCTATCAAAGAATAAGCAAAAAAACCCATAGATTATAGAAGCTATAATCCGTTTCATTACCCACAACTGCTCGTCTAGATCCTTCCAGATCAATAAGAGAAATCATGGCTCTCTATAACGTCACCCAGGGCAAACAGCAGTTGTCTCAAAGAGGAACAGAAAAATAGAAGCTAAAAAACTGAAGCCAAACCATCTTAGTTATCACTGACAGAAAAGTTCAAATTGACACATGACATGCAAAGAGATTTTTCTGCTTCATTATTTTCCTGGGACAAGAAACTATGAATCAAGTTAAGTTATGATTCTCAAAATAATGACCATAAAAGTTTCTAAGAGAGGGCTCTAAGATTTCACCTTCTGTCAGAGGAAGCTTCACAAAAGGAGTATTCTATCTTGATCTCACCTCCAACCCAAATACAGTGAAAAGTGCACAGAGGTTCTATAGGGCGGAGGTAGTTGTGTGTGATGTTCATGCCTTTCTCTGGAGAGAACAGAACTGTGTCTTGTCTAGCAGGGAAGGTTGTTAAGTTATTTAATGAGCCCCGAGGAACCATGCTGTTTCTAAGGCTTCCCCAGGCCTCCTGCCACCTATACTGGTTCTCCAATACAACAGCGAATGTACCAAACAATTGGAAAAAGTGTCGCTGAGCACAAGGATCCGAAAGGATGATCCTGATAAACAAAGGCTGAGGAGTGGGAAAACCACACTGATGGAGAAGCTGTGACTTGTCAAGGCCAGTTTGCTCTCAGCAGATTCCTGTCCTTCTTTCTCCTTTCTGGCTTCCATTTCCAAAGAGTCAGCTTCCACATGTTTGCAATGTGACTCAAGGCTATAATGGTAGGAGAAGTGGAAGGAGTGTGTAGTGAAAAGCTGGGTCTTTCTTCTCTGCTAGCCATCTGGACTTCCACCCAACCTGGTTCTGCTGAGCTCACATGCTATGCCCGCTTGGGAAAAATAAAGTAAACTAAATTTGAGCTGTGCTCTCAAAGTCTGAATTGCTGGAACAGCACGTTTTCTGCAGGCTTAGATGACGACAAAGCATGGTTTACTATTACTTATATGGTAATAAAGAAATTAGCAGGTTTCTCTCTCTTTTTAAGGCTTAGTTAAATTAAGCTTAAGCTTCCCTAGGGATACCAAATGAAGTTTTCTTTGATCGAGGAGACACTTGCTAATAGAAGCAGAAATGTTCCCCTGCTCGCTGATGTCCGTCAATCAGCTAGGAGCAGTTTAGGTAAATACCTTTAAATTCTCAGACCTTTCTTTTTGGGAAAATATCAAGGGTTCAGTATTCAGAAAATTGCTGCATCTTCAAAGCGTGACCTCAGCCAGCAGCATCAGGGTTCAGATACAAGGCCAGCACATTTGTGCTGCCATTCCTCAAATGACTCCTCGATGCCCATGGAAAGCAAAAGCTTGATTCTCTCTTTCTGCCCTATGATACTCTCGGCTTTTCAATTCTCAGGACTGTTTTTTATCTTTGAATCTCTCCCTCTCAGGGTACCCAAGAGACCCAAGCAGAGAAAATAACAGAATGAGACTGTCAACATTCTGTAAAGCCAGAGTCCATCCAATACAAATAGGATATTATATTTCTGAAAGTAGCCAATTACACTTGATTTTCTGGAAGGCACAAAACATGCATAACAGAACTTCAACTTGGCAGTTCTTTTCCAAAGGGGAAAAAAACCCATATGGAAATAGGTGGCTTGAGAATTATCAGTATTCTACAGAACCCAGTACCTTCCCTAGGTAAGGAACAAATGGAAAAATTTAGGCTAATGAAAAACTTGACAGAAACAATGATAACACATCCCATGCTTTAATGACTAGAAAAACAATTCTTCGGATGCTTCAACAATATAAATAAACTATCAAGTAAAGATTTTTAAAAATTCCTCCCAGCCCTCTGTACTGGACTGTCTTCTGCCTGTGGTCACTCTGTGATATGGTTTGGCTGTGTCCCCACCCAAATCTCAACTTGAATTGTGCTCCCATAATTACCACATGTTGTGGGAGGGACCTGGTGGGAGATAATTGAATCACAGGGGTGGTTTCCCCCATACTGTTCTCATGGTAGTGAATAAGTCTCATGAGATCTGATGGTTTTATAATGGGAAACCCCTTTCACTTGGTTCTCATTCTTTCTTGTCTGCCACCATGTAAGAAATGCCTTTCACCTTCTGCCATGATTATGAGGCCTCCCCAGCCACATGGAACTGTGAGTCCATTCAACCTCTTTCCTTTCTAAATTACCCAGTCTCAGATGTGTCTTTATCACCAGCGTGAGAACAGATTAATATTCTCTGGGTCATTACTCCCTTTCTCCACCAATGAACACCTCTGGGGTCTCTCAAAAGACAAACTCCCACCTCTGAGCCCTGGAGCAGCTACCAGCCTCCGTCTGTTCGATCACAAGGAAGAGAGGGAACCAAGCAGCCCTGGTACTGTGCAGTGACATCAATGCCCAGGATGCCCAAGACTAACTCCTCAAGGCTTGAGCAATGGACCCTACAGCCTTGTTAAATGATGAGCATGATGAGAAGGTGACGGAAGGGACACAACCTGCAGCCACATGGTTGGCAGGTGGTAAGACAGAGGAAGGACTTGCAGTTCTAGAGTTTTGAGTCTGTCGTTCTTATAGTATTGAGTCAAACTGCTTTTCACATGATACTATTCACAAGATTTCATTTAAATTCAAACCAATCATCGCCTCTTGGCAACTTAGGGACAGGGTCTAATCTCTTGATCTTGAATCTCCTTGCTTTAAATTGAAAGAGCCTCTGAAACAGGAACAATGCTTCCATAAAATACTTGATATGCAGGGAACACAACCAGGACTAAACTAACCTTTTGTTTTCTCTGATGCATTTGAAGATGTGAGATAGATAGATATAGGTCTGAGAAAATAAGCCTGTTTCTTATTTCTTTCCAGACCTTGAGGTAATAGTTTTAGTTTTTCTTTTTAAGTTTAACTCATTTGAACACAATGTCTTTCCTCAGTGGTCAGGAGCTGAAGAGTCCATCAGAAAGCAAGGTGGTCTCTAAGCCTCTTCATCACCCTTTTCTTTTCTTTTTACTTTTTGAGCAGAGTATCAATTAGAGATTGATTATTAGATTAGCAGGAAACACTGCTTGGTTCCAATCTCCTCTGCTTCTACTGTGAACTCAACTCATATCAACAAGCTAATTAAAATGAATCACACCCTAAGAAATAACCAATCACCGATGCATAGGTCCACTCTCAGAAATTAAGTAGTAGCCACTTGGCACAACTGACCTGAGAGTGAGCAAGATTCAGAAGAGACCTTCAGAAGCAAATGGTGCTGAATGATGCATGGTAGGTGTAGACAAATGTGTAAGCCATGACAGGCTGTCAGCTGGCCAGCGCGCCTCCTGATGCCTTCTCTGTGAAGTCACAGCCTCTCCTCTCTCTGCAGAGCCTTTAAATGTGAGGGCCTGGAGGCCCTCTTCAGCCCTCTGCAATTTCCTGTTCGCTCTGCTCTTAAGAGTTTTCACCTGCTTTTCATGGCTTCAGTGAAGATCTCCACAGCACACTCACAAATCTTGCTTCCAGTCCTGAATCCCCTCCCACAAATTTTAGTCCTGCATTTGCCAAATTTTTTGGATATCTATAGTCATCTCAAATTCAACATGTTCAGAGCCAAACTCATCATCATTTATTGATTTAAATTTGTTCATTCATTCATTCGTTTATTAGCACTGGCCACAAATGAGGATAAGGACCTCCCTGACCTCAAGAAGCTCAGAGTCTGATCCTAAATTGGAGAGTCAGAATTTGTAGATCAAAAAGGATCAATGTGACTTAACTGCAATACCCTGTTTGTGTACAAGGCAACTGAAGCCAAGGAAGATCAAATGGCTTGTTTAAGCTTATATTGCTATTGGCAAAGCTAGCAGTTAAACTGAGGACTCCTGACTTGCTCCTTTCTATCAAAGACATCATAATTCTCCCAATATCTTCAGCACAGCTTTGGAGAAACACAAATGAAATTCCTCACAATGTCTCACCTCACCATCAACAGCCAGTTGATCAAAAAGCACTTTAGTGTCTTTCTTTTGAACATCTCGGATTTCTGCCATTTCCTTCCTTTCTGACCACCCCTGGGCTGTTCCAGGTCAGCAGCACCCTCATGCATCACCCAACCTTGCCTGCAGAGATGGTCAGTCTCTCTGACCCTTCCTGCACTGGGCATTTCCACTATCTGACCTGCACCACCCATCTCACCCTCTGTCTGTGTCCACGTTCCACAGAACATGGACCCCAGTGGATGCTCTGTGGAGGGGGAGTCTGTGGTCATAGGGAAATGCTGCTTGCACTCCATTGCTTGGAGAGTCACCTTCTCTTGAACCAGTATTTCTTAAGCTTATTTGACCACAGAACTCCCTCTTTGCAAGGAACGCACATGACCACCCCCTAGATCCAGTGTTTCTGCAAAAGCACGGTGGGAGATGGCAGCCTGCAGTCTAAAGCACAGTAGGTTGGTCAGGTAGCTCCTTCCCTAATGGTCTGTTTTTGTAATTTTCCCAATTGGAAACATTCTCCAACATTGCTTGAAGTCAAGTGTTCATGTAGGGAAAGGAGGTTGGAGATGCGTGTCGAGGCTGAAACTTCTGTCACGTCAGAGGACTATCCAGGGCTCAAGTGAGCAAAGGGATCTCCACATACAATGGGTTAGATCAAGATGAGGACCAAAAATGTAAATAGGTCAAGACCAGAGACATGGAAAGGTCAGGAAGGAATCATTGGTGCACGCAGCCAGGTGGCTGAGCTGGGCTGAGGCAGGGAAGAGCTGTCAGTCGTGGTAATCTTAGATGTACTGGTAAGGTCCACATGGTCCAAGTCTCTTCCCAGCTGCAGTGGAGATCGAGGCTGATGACTGCTCCTCCTGAGGATGGGTGGCCCTGGGACCACAACATGGCAGTCAGGAGGGGGCTGGGGGTAGGCCACTAGTGAGTCCTGCCCATTTCTATTTCAGAAGCAGGAAGAACGGAATTGCCTCGGATATGTTTCTTTGCTTTTGTAATTTTCCCAATTGGAAACATTCTCTGTCTCCTTTTCCACTTAATTAAATCTTACCCTTCCTCCAATCTTCAGTTCAGATCGCATTTCTTCTAAAAATCCTTTCCCAACTCACTCATCTGAGACTACTGTAGCATTTATTTACCTGAATCAGAAAACCAAAATTTCAACAGTAAAAAGCACCCTTGGTTTGCATTTGTGCCAAGAAGTCTGTGAAATAGTAGAATTTTCCCATTAAATACCTTTAAAAGTAATGTATAAGGTAAGATTATAGTACTTTCACAAACGAGAACTGTATTTATATAAAACTTTCAGGAACTATAGTTTTTAAGTAAGGAGATTTAACATAAATAAAGAATTCATTATAACTGATACTGAGTTCTGCTGTTTTGACCAGAATAACTTTGGGAAAACTAGGAAAGTTTCATGCTTTCATTTTCACTTTGCAAAAATTGTCAACCAGCTAATGAATACTATTATGAAAAGAAAGACTAAATAGCACAGGAGGAAAACAAAATCATGATAGATTCCATAAAGACCATTTATATTGGAAGTGAATATTTCTGCCTATTTCTGGCATCACCTCCCCCCCGACAATACAAATAAAATTAGTCTCATTTGCTTAAAAATTATCATTTTGGTACCATTTCTGTGTATTACTAAAACGTTTTTCTTCCTAAGGATAAAAAAAGGCTTCGTGACAAGAATGCTTAATTCAGTTCCCACTTGGAATTCAAAAACTATCATATTAGATGCCATATTTTAACATACATACATCTCCTTCATTGAACTGTGGGTTATGGAAGGAAACATAAGGAGAAGCTCATTGGAGGTAATTCCAGTGTTCCTACTTCTGAAATAGAAATGGGCAGGACTTACCTATGGATTATCCCTGGCCTCCTCCTGACCACCATGTTGTGGTCCCAGGGCTGCCCAGGGGGAGCAGTCATCAGCCTGGATGTCCAGTGCAGCTGGGAACAGTCTTGGACCGCATGAACCTTACCAGTATGTTTAAGATTAGCACAACTGATGGCTCTTCCCTGCCTCAGCCCAGCTCAGCCACCTGCTTGCATGCACCAATCAATAATCCCTTCTTGACCTTTTCCATATCTCTGGGCTTGACCTATTTTCACTTTTGGTCCTCATCTTGATCTAACCCATTATATTTGGAGATCCCTTTGCTCACTTGAGCCCTAGATAGTCCTCTGACATAACAGAAGTCTCAGCCTTGGCACACATCTCCAACCTTCTTTCCCTACATGAACCCTTGACTTCAAGAAACTAGTCTACTCATAGAGCCTTGGGTGAACCATGCCATGCACATCGACAATTTCATTCTCCAAAAGGCCTGTCCTGTGAGACTCAGGCCCAGGTTCTTCTCTCAAGAAGCCTTCTCCAACTTCTTTGCCTATGAAAATCACCTCAGCCTCTGAACTAGAATACCTTACTGTCTTCTCCAGTGACTCACATAGCCGGTCCCAGAAAACTGTGTCCCAGAGGATGTCTCCAAGGGAAAAGCTCCCTCTTGGAGATTAACAACACACATTAGCATATTAAAGACTTTCCAAAGTCTTATAACCAAGAAACCTTTCAAACAATATTGACTCTCACGTTTCTCAAACGTACTTAGCCATGGAGCTCCTTTTCCGTGTTATATCCTTTAACAACAATTTAGAAGTGCAGATGGAAGGAAAATGAGCCTGCATAAGTCAATGGCATTTCTCACAAGTGACCTTGTATTCTAAAGTGTCCTCGTGTCCATGTCTCTTCTGTATCTGATTTAAATGGCAACAATTCGGCAGCGCTAACAAGCTGCAGGCTTCCTCACCTCCTATTGCTGTTTTTTTTGTTTGTTTTTTGTTTTTTGTTTTTTGAGATAGAGTCTCCTTTGTCGCCCAGGCTGGAGTACAATGGTGCAATCTCGGCTCACTGCAAGCTCCGTCTCCTGGGTTCACGCCATTCTCCTGCCTCAGCCTTCCTATCGCTGTTTTGATCCTCATATCACTCTCTGCCTGGTGGGAGTGAGCTAATACACAGGAAGCCTGTAGCACAGCACCTAGCATACAGTAAATAACAAAGCTGCTATTTCTTTGATTTGGGGGCAGTAGGGAGAAAGAGTGCTTAAGAGTTTAGTCTGTGGAATCAGACAGACCCCATTCTAATTCTGGCACAGCTCTCACTAGAAAGACTACGAGGTCAAGGATCATGTCTGTTTTGTCCATCAATGTCTGGTACACGCACAGTGCCTGATACAGGCCATGCAGTCAATGAGTATTCAATGAATGAATGAAAGACAAAGCAGGTCTCAACCCAGGTGATTTTGCCCAACAGAGCATATTTGGCGGTGTACAGAGATAGTTTTGGCTGTCCCACTAGCATCTAGTGGGTAAAAGTAAGGATGTTTTGCATGAAACATCCTACAATGTATAGGACAAAGAATGACCCAGCCCCAAATGTCAACAGTGCCAGGGTTGAGAAGTCCTGCTGTACAGTCAGGCCAAACAGGGATGGATTTCTAAACACTGACCCCAGCTGTTAGGCCTTGAGCAAATCACAAAATTTCTGTCTTAATATCCTCATCTGTTGAATGGGATTCTAATGGGATCTTGTATTGTACACTTGTAAGCTAATACATATTCAAATGAGAAGAACTGCATAATCCTTAGGAAGTGGTTAACACAGTGACTGATGCATGGAAATTGTGACCTATATATGTGTCCCATGACATTCTTACCATTACCTTCTATATAATGTCTCACAGTGATGGTGAGTTTCTTCAGGTGGACTCTTCACTCTCTTGCAACTCACTGTCTCAATCCCCAAGTGAGCGCTCTTATCAAAGCAAGCCTGTGCTCCCACTTACATTTCCTGTATGGTCAGCTTTTATTTATATGCTCACCAGGGGCTCCACAGTGAAAACGTTATTGAAGAACAGTTTGCTGTCTCCCTGCACCAGCCTCCTTTGATTCGCAAAGGTTCGGGACAGAACAGAAAGATGTTCTCGGAGTAAAGGATCAGTAATGCACTCTTCAAAAAACTCATCAGTCTCATCCTTCTCCTCTTTGATCAGATCATCACAGGCCCTAAAGAAAACAGGCAATGTGAGATTCATGTGGGTACTCCCATGAAGAACTTTGTAAAGGGCTTCCCTCTAGTACCTCCTCCTGGAAATGCCCTCAGCCACCACCCTGGGGTGGTCTCTCCTTGCCCTGAGTCTGTAACCTGCTGCCCTTGCACTCAGTCCTCAAACCTCTCAGAGCCTCTGTTTGCTCATCTTCAACCACCTTCTTTAAGAGATCCTCCCTGGATTCCTTTCCTATTCAATACTCATTGCTTTACTCCTGAGCCCTTATGTATATCTGGACAAATATTTTCTTTCAGGTAATCCTGTTTTTTCCAGGCTGCTTTTTAAATATTTAACATCTATTCTGCCCCTCACATGGCAAGGACAATTTTGTTCCTTTTAAATTTGCTTAGCTTTAATTCTTTCTTAGCTGTTAGTTACCTGGAGCATAGAACCTGGGGCCGGCAGGGACTAGGTTTGCATACTAATTCTGTGATCTGTTTACTAGCTCTGTGACTTTGGCAGTTCCCTGATTCCTCTAAGCCTCAGTGCCTTCTCCTTCTAGAGACCATAGGAGCTGCTCCATCAGAAAGATGTGTTGAGGGTTAAATGTAATCAAGGCTCTAGTGCAGTTCCTGGGACAAAGCTGGCAACTCCATATATACCGGTTTTCTCCCTCTGTCAACCATAGGCAATCGCCAAGCTGTCAGCTTACAAAATGCTCAAGCTATGCCTTAAGGCACCTCCTTTTCTCTCTTTTTCTAGCTTTTAATATCCATCGTGATAAGAGAGAACAGCAGCTTTCCCCAATCCACTCATTGCCCCCACCAGAGCTATGTTCACATTTCTCCTGAACTTTGCAGACTGAATTTTATCTCCTCCCAGGACATACGACCATATTCCCATCATTGTACTGGTATTACCAGGGGTGAGAGACAAATTATTTAGCAACATAAGTGCTGAGTGGGAGCCTAGGATCACTGAATTCCTGTCCCAGTTCCAACTCCTGTCAGTATTGTCAAATAACTCTTTTTAAATAACATATGTGTTCAGGGTGCTTTGATCACACACTGCAAAAAGAAGTCAAAGAAATGGGCTCGGTGTGTTCTGGTTCCAAGGAAGAAAGCATCTTGTGCTTGATTTTTATTGCCAGGTAGGAGGCAGTGTCCAAGGTGACTGGCAGCATTCCTTCCACACTGCTGGGCACGGCAGGGCAAATTAAAGACAGCTCAGTTTGCAGAAAGAAAGGAATCCATTTCTTTTTTATTTGATATTTTTGTTATCTGATACTGATCTGGAAAACTTACAGATTATATACCCTTAGAAACCAAAAAATTCCACTTGCAGGAATAAATCCTTAAAAACAATCATGGATATAAACAAAGACACAGCTACAAAGATGTCCATTAAAGTGCTGGAATGATACCAGATCAAGTGGGTAAATTTGATGTAAGATAATGAAGCACTGGTTGAACAAAAATGGGAATCATGAACATTACATTTATTGGGTACCTGTCAAACTTTGCACATGCATCATATAATTTAACACTCATAACTACCAGAAGGGTCATTAGCATTATAAGCATCATTCCCACTATATAGATGATGAAACTGAGGCTTAGAAAGGTTAAGTAACTCGCCCCAGATCACATAGCTGAAAGATAGCCTGGACTTCAGGGTCTTTGGAGGTTTGAATCCCCTGGTGCTAACCAATATGCACACTGCCTCCCAGGAATCCAGGGAATATTAGGGAATAATAAGCAGCCAGTAAAGTGGTATTAAATGGAATATTTAACATCATTTTCAAATGCCTGAAATGTTTTAAGGTGAAAAACAAAGTGGTAAAATGTAACATATACAATAATCCCACTTTTGTAATAAAAAAGCAAAAGAAAAATACATACTTATTAGGGAAAAAATACAGACTTAGACATACCAAAATATTGACTGTGGTTTCCCTGGTTGGAAGGATTAGAATGGATTTTTGCCCTCATCTTTGTGCTTAATATTTTCTAAATTTTATTAGTGCACAATGTATTTCTTTTTAAACCAGAAAACAAGTCATTTAAGAAATTAAATGTTAATTAATTCTCAGGCTGAGGCACTAAGATTTTGACCTGGTTGCCTTTGCCTAACATGCCTGCATTGGCATGAGCCTGTGGATGCCACCCCTGGAAGAGTGCACAGGTGGAATGTGGGGTGACACAATGTGGTCTGGTCTGCAGAAGGTGGAGGCAATGGATTAGATATACACATAGCAACATGAATGGATCTTAAGCACACAACCTCGTGAGAAAAAGGAGAAAATGGAATACAAAATATGACTTCTCTCTGTCTCTCCCCCAAGACAATATACATTTTGAAAGAACAGATTCATGTAAAAAGATAGACACAGTAACATATTAGAATGGTATCTTTGGGGGAATTAACAGGAGTGGGGTGTGGGGATGTAAGAGAATAAATAAAATGCTTTGTGTGGACTGAGGATGAAGATGATAGTGCTCCATGGACTGAGGAGTATGAGAAATGCAATCCCTGTACCAGAAAACAAAGAGAACAAAACAAATTCGAAAACGCTGGTCTTCTCCCATGCTGTTGAAACTCCAAATCGGTAACAGCCAGTAGAAGGCAAAGGGAGGAGAGAGGGTACTGGATTCTTCCTCTGATGGAGAATTGGAGCCAGGACTGAGAGTCTAAGGAGGAGGTGTATAGCCACAACTTCATGTGGCCTGGCTCCAACAAGGGCTTCCATAGATCTCAGTCCTAGTGTTTTGCCATCTCGTCCTGTTGATAGTCATGGTTTCTTGCACTCAGAGGTGGTTCTCTTTTATAGATGAGGAGACCTTTCATCAGACAGCATAACAGCAGGCCAGCCCTCTCTTCAGTAAAACCATGGGCTTAACCCATTTTACAAATGGTCTAGTAGCTACCAACACCTTTAACAGTCAATGGGGAAGATGTGTGTCTCCAGTGCAGCAGGGTTGAATGAGTAATAGTCCCTCATCTTCAAGTACTCAAGGCCTGTAATCTGCTCCCTTCAGCACCCACAAGAGGTGCCAACTGAATGCTGAGGAGATTAAAAACTAAGAGCCATGGTCTTGAGAGCTAGAGGAAATACTCCCATGTCCACACTTGGCCTGGAACAAATGGAGCCATCCACCTTCAAATGGAAAATGGATCATGTGACTCTAAAGAGTTAGCAACTCTGTGATCAATGTTACAAATGAAGAACTAGAGATCCTCTCCCTGTTTGGCAGTACCACGTAAATCTTCGGATTTTTGTATAAACCCTAGGGAAGGAAAGGGGCCTCTAAACATAACTCAGATTAAGTTTATTATGACACAGGTGGTAGGCTCAAAGCCCAATTAAAACTGATTTATCTAAGGAAACATGTCATTTCCTCCATCTGCATATTATAGAATAAATCCATGCTGACCACTCTGAGGGGCTCCTTTGAGAATTGTAGGAGCTCTCGTACAGAGCAAATCTAGAATTAGAGCTGGCTGCTATTGAGAAAACGGCTGTGACCTTGCTGGAGAAATGGGGAGCAAAAATCCTTAAAGCCCATGCCAAGTCTCTGAATACAGTGAACGTGATAAGAATGAGCATGAAAGAATCTTGCAGAATGTTTTAAAATCCCTCAGGACAAGGTTGAGGAAGCAAGGAGGGATGAATGCAGCCTCCATTTCTGAAGAGATTAATTTCTCTGCAAGTCTCAGGAAAACATCAAAAGAAAGAAATAAAGGTGACCTTTTAAAGGTCCCTATACATCTGATTATCAAGTTAAAAAAAAAAAATTTAAAGTACAGAACTTCTTCCCACGGGGAGGAATGTCATTGCCCAAGTGTGTAGCATGGGAACAACCCTCTGTCCCCAAACCTGGACATGTGTCCTAAGGTTTTTAGCAATACTTTGAGGTAGGTGTGGAGGAAGGCCAAACAGTAAACTGCTGGAAACGAATTGGTATTCCTGGGGCTGAAATTCCTCCACTGCAAGAAGAGATATCCAAGTCTTTGCTCATCAAGATACAAGAGGACAAGAAACCTTGATGGCTAGAATGGGACTTGAGTGTATCTGTTGAAGCTATTAGCATTATTGAAGCGATCTTAGAGCAACTTTCAGCCCCTGGAGATGAATGCCACAGGACATGCTTTAAGCCATGTTAAAATGCTAGAAAAACAGTGGACAGGCTCTTCAGTCTGACCTGAAAGTTTACCAGAAGTTAAATCTTTTAACTATAGAGGTTGCTGAAGGAGGGGGAACAAAGGAAGAAGGTGCACCCCATTATGAGCAAAAGAGTGAGACATCAAGAGAATAACGCCTGATTCAGCTCTGCAGGCCTTGCTGGGGTGCTCAAAAAAGGATTCACCCCATTCGCTAAAGATCTCGCTGCTGCTTTTCAGGGATGGGCGGGTCTCTGCCCATAAGCAAGCTACCAAAGAACATTCTGCTTTCTTGACCCCTGATGTGTGGCCTCGGACACGATCTGAGAATTTGTGACATGGAGGAGGAGGGGCCTACACTCACAGCAAGAGCACCACTGCCCTGTCCAGAAAGCAGGAGTTAAATGTTTAGTAAAGGGCAAACTTGTCTGTACTTGCCTTCCTTTCCAAGAGGTTGGGCATTTCATGACAGTTACTTCAAGGACAAGAATTCACAGCTTATAATAGGAAAGTTGTTTGCTTTCTTATTATTATGCTTGGGCTGTATCGAGGAACAATGGAGAGAAGAGCAAGAAGTGCCACCCTGGTGCAACAAGAGATCAGCATGACTGGTATCCTTTTTCCCTCTTGGCCAAGCTCCTGGCACTCAGGAGAGAGGTGGGAGGAAGAGAAGGGACAGCACGTCGTAGACTCTTTACCGAGATAAAACAATATAGTTTGGAGAAACAGGGGTTCTGGGCCTGTATGTCACACAGAGTGAAAGTGGTAGTATTCTTATTTATCTGAAGCCACTTTTCAAGTCTATTAGTTAAAAGAGGGTCATGATTCTAGATGATAAAATCAGGTTTCCAATCATGGTTATAAAAATGCTATCCTATATTTTTCCCCTTGTTACAAAGAAGTTGCCAGAAGAAATAATAGAAAGAGCAAGGGAGATAGTAAAAGAAAATGATGCAAGAGAAAAGGAAGAATAAAAGACAATATTAAAGAGATAGGGGTGTGAGTGTCAGGGGAGGTGAAGTGGGGAAAAAACTAAAATCAATGCCCATCCACTGTGGCTGAATTATATTCTCTATAGTTTAGCATCTCTGATAACCATTGGTTTAAATTTTTTTAGAGTTTAACTGCTGAAATTAACGTCCTTACATAGTTTTTGGTATTGGCATGGCATCAATCACATATTATCCATATAGCCAAACACACAGACATGGCTGAAATTAAAGCTGGCTTTCCCTCTTACAATGGGTACTCACTCTCCACAAAGGGTTATGCCCACAGGACAAGAATGATACTGAAACACTACTTTGCTATTTTACTTTCTTTACTTGGATCTCCTTTCCAACTTTCCCTTCAAGCATGTTGGGCCATTTTGATCGCTGGTGAGCACATGTGATTGGGGGAACCAGGGCAAAGGAAGCAGTACTGGATCCTTTTCCTTGTGCCTTTTAAAACCACAGATATTTCTATGCCATAAAGCCAGAGGAAGATTTTAGGCATAAGTGGTTTTTCTTTCCTCATTTTTTAAAAGATGGCACAGTGGCAATTCAGTGATTAAAGCTCATTGTCTGAATGACAAAGCTTCTGGCCCACTGTGTCCTGTCATTGTCGTGGCTTCTGATTCAATTAGGGACTGCACACTGGGGGGGTTCTTCCTGGTTTCCACGGACCTAAGACTTTTATTTTTATCACATACGAACTTGGTTTTAAACAAAGCTTTGAAGCTTCTCAGGGCTAATCTTTAATGAAAATGGAAAGGCAAATAAAAAAGGCTGAAATAAATTCCAATGAAAGCAGCAAAAGTGTTAATTCAGGGAGGTTGGAAGGAGATAAAAATGAAAATGGAGCTTAAAAGAGGCAAGCATGGATTCAGTAAAAAGAAATCTTCAAAATTTAACAGTGATGAGATTAGCTACAACAGTTTGGTTTTACATTTTATTAATTTTCTCCACTGCCTGAAGTGCCATTTTTAAAACCATAATATTAAAGATACCAATAAGAAATCATTATTAACTTATATAGCTTGCAGGGACTGGAGCAATGCTACTAAAACCAAGAATATAAAAGCCATTATATCTAAGCCCTTCTTTTTCCTCAATCTTCATATTTTCTACAAGTATCTTTTCACTGAAAAAAATTCCACATTGATGCCAATCCAAAATAGATTATTTTTAGGAACTCTTTATAAAAGCTGATCAACCTGGCCGGGCATGGTGGCTCACGCTTGTAATCCCAACACTTTGGGAGGGTGAGGCAGGCAGATCATGAGGTCAAGGAGCTTGAGACCAGCCTGGCCAACATATTGAAACCCCATGTCTCTACTAAAAGTACAAAAAATTAGCCGGGCGTGGTGGTGGGTGCCTGTAATCCTAGCTACTCAGGAGGCTGAGGCAGGAGAATTGCTTGAACCCAGGAGGCAGAGGTTGTAGTGAGCTGAGATCGCGCCACTGCACACCAGCCCTGGCGACAGTATGAGACTCCATCTCAAAAACAAAAAAAACAAAAAAAAAACAAAAAAAAAACCTGATCAACCTAGTTAGGGTTATGAAAAGTAATAGAGACAGGTAGACTTGTTTTGAAAGAATAGTGAAGAATGATAGGTTTTGTCTTCAAAATCTAGGCATTCCATTACTGCTAAACTATAACCAGGTTACATCAACTCAGGATGGACATTCTGTTCCACATAGCTCAGCTCAGATCGTTCAAATGAGCAGCTTCAAAAGAGGATCTTACACCAGAACCAAGTTAGAAAAATGTGACATTGGTTGAGTTGGCTAAAAATGTAGTACAAAATTCACTGATTTTTCATAATAACTGAGTTTTACATTCCCCCCCTCCAAATTACTGCATATAGGTGATTTTTGTTACAGACCTATATTTTTCTCTGTCCTCTTCTTGCTGGGTAGCAAATACCTTCCACAGGAAATGGGCAATGATATTACTGCGATTGTGAATGGTTATAGTTCGCTGATTGGCCAGAGATATGTAGGTTTTCTCGATGGTCAAGGAATTCTTATCCAGCCTTATATTCATGTCTATGGCAGCTCCATAGAGAGATACAAACACCTTTTCACCTAGGAATTAACAAAGTACAAACACACTTCAAGATTTATTCTAAAATTACACACCTAGGCTATCTTTTTTTCAAGCTGAAGTTAGGCAAAATAGCATAAGCATCAGGATTTCATTCTTTCCACTGTACCCCCATCAGTTCAGAGATGAGATATGATCAGAAAACAAATATTATGCTTGGTGCAGTTATAGAAAAATCAAGCTATCTTGCCTGGTCATTGTAAGAAATATATAAAATATGTATTGTTGTTGTGGGCACTCCAAAACTTTTTCTTTTTTGTAAATAGCTTTCAATCCTACAGCCTGACCAGGAGGGCAATCGAGTTATAGAATTTTACTCTATGCCTCATCTTTAGCTCATGCATGAGCTTGATTTGTCATTCTTAAAAATGCTTGTACCAACTATACTTAAGAAGAGCTGCTCAATATGAGAGAATCTAAGTCCATTTGAGAACAGTGATCAGGAGGGAAAATTCAGTAACTTCAAAAATAGAAAACTGACTACTTAAAAGAAACCACATCCCTAAACAGCAATTAAAACAAAACAAAACAAAACAAAACAAAACAAAACAAAACAAAAGAAACACACACACACACATACACACACACACACACCCCTGACATGTCTGGATAGTGGCCACATAAAAAGAAGACAAAAATTGTACTAAAAATTTAAAAATTTTAAATATTAGGAATATCTTTATTCAGTATAGCAATTTAAGCCCCTGACTTTATTCAGGATGCACCAATTACCTTGATTCTTAGTATATAAGTGAGTTTTCAAGAAGACACAAACCTATAAACTATATTTGATTTGATCTCTGCAATGTCACAGCAGGTGCATTACTCTGACATCATATAGAAAAAATAAATATCGAAATACCATGAATGTTTTGTTGATTTATGTTGCTAAAGTTTTAAAGCATCATTACTTGCATCTTATTTTTTAGCAAACATTTCTGCTCCATTCACTGTTGTATGAACCAGTCATTCAGGAAATCAACAACCCTTTATACATTTTAAATGTTCTTTAGGCTCAATAACTTTGGATGCAGAAAAAACTTTCCCCAAAGAAAGAAAAAGTAAGCATCTAGGCATTTGACTTTAAAATTTTTATTTCAAAAACTTATATAGAGAGTCAAAATTTCAAGTACTATAAAAGCAAATACAATGAAACTAAAAAATATATTTCTCCCCTTCACCTAACTCCAAGTCTGATTTTTAGAGGTAAGAACTGTCAATATTTTCATGCACATCCTTTCCAAAAAAAAGGTATGCACTCTTGTCAACTTTTAAACTTTCTTTGAGTGAAATGTAACAATCTGATACGTGAAAACTCATTGTTACTTTAATTGGAATATCCTTAATTATGGATGGTGTTGAACACCTTTTCATAAATTAATTGGCTTAAACCAAAGAGAAAACCCCTCCTCCAAATAAGTTAATACTCAAAGAACTATGCCTTCTGCTGGTTGTGGTGGCTCATGCATGTAATCCTAGCACTTCGGGAGGCCGAGGCAGGCAGATCACCGGAGGTCGGGAGTTCAAGACCAGCCTCATCCACATGGAGAAACCCCATCTCTACTAAAAAATACAAAATTAGCTGGGCATGGTGGCGCATGCCTGTAGTCCCAGCTACTCAGGCAGCTGAGGCAGGAGAATCACTTGAACCCAGGAGGCGGAGGTTGTGGTGAGCCAAGATCGTCCCGTTGCACTCTACCCTGGGCAACAAGAGCAAAACTCTGTCTCAAAAAAAGAAAAAAAAAAAAAAAAAAAAAAGAACTATGCCTTCAAGATGAGGGTGAACTGGAAGTAGATTAGCCTTAGTGCAGAGTTGAATATCATGCTGGAATTGCCTATGTCTTGCAAATAACTTCAAACCTTGAATTTGATAATTATTGACTGGTTAGACACTTGGTGAAAGAAACTCAATTTTTTGGGGGGGTAAAGGTACTTGCATCCAAAGTTTCAAAATTTTCAACGTTGTTTAAAAAGCACATAACCAAAACATAATGATGCAATGCAAGGAAATAAAACTCCATGTGTTGGAACCAGCAGGTACAAGAAAAATGGAAATAGGCCCACAAAAATATCAGACACTAGGAATCATCAGATAGAAACTATGAACTAATTATACATACTATGTTTAAAGAAACAAATGGATTGCTGAAGCCATATGTAGGAAATAGAAAATCAATAAGATCTTTAAAAATTTTGAAAAAAGCCACACTCTAGGACTTACAGAAATAAAATAGTCTAAATTAGAAAAAACTCAAAATAAATATTTAATAAAATAATTTTATTATTTTTCATGACAAATTAGTGAAATGGGAGGTAGTTCAGAAAACACAAAAGGCAATATGAAGAAATAAAAATATACGAAAAATACAGTGGATAAGATACAAGGAAGATAAAGTTAGAAGGTCTAAAAGGATTGAATTGGAAACTCTCAGAAGGAGAGGAAAGAGATAATGAAGCAAAGACAGTATTTCAAAAGATGATGGCTAAGAATTTTGTTTGGAATTAAAGACATCAGTTCACAGTTCAAAAGGCCAGTGAAAGTCAAATTGGATAAATTTTTTAAAAATCAGACCTGAATATATTGCAGTGAAACTGAAGAAAACCGAAGACAAAGAAAAAATCCTGAAAGCAGCCTGAGGAAAAAAACATTATTTTTAAAGTTTCCACACTTGGAATTACACCTAACTTTTGAACTGAAACAATGGAAACTAAAAAATAATGGAATGATATCTTCAATATGACAAAGGTGAAAACAATGCCATTCAAGAGTTCTACACAAATTTTCCAGCTTTTTTTTGTCTGCAAATATCTTTCTTTTGTCTTCACTTTTAAAGAATACTTTAAAAGTGGTATAAATTTGCATTGTTTTCTTTCAGTGCTTCAACAGTGCCATTTGACTGTCTTCCAGCTTCCATAATTTCAGCAGAAAATTTTGCCATCAGTATTCTTAGTGTTCCTGTTAAGGTAATGTATCTTTTTTCTCTGGGTACTTTTATAATGTGCTCTTTGCTTTAGATTTCAGCCATTTAACCATAATATGCCTAAGTTTGGTTTTCTTTGTACTTGTACCACCACAGGCTTGCTCAGTGTTTATAAACCTCTGGATTAAGGTCATGTATCATTTCTGGAAAATTCTCAGCCATTATTGCTTAAAATATTTTCTACTCCATTCTTCCTCCTCCACTTTTGAGACTCCAGTTACATGTATGTTGACCTTCTGACTGTGTCCCACTTGGCTGTTCTATTTTTTCCCCATTCTTTTCTATTTCTCTCTGTGCTTCCGTTTGGGTATTTTCTATTGACCTGTCTTCAGGTTCACTAATCCTATCTTTTGCAGTATCCATTTTGCTGCTAAAGTCATACCATTAGTTCTTAATTTCCAACACTGTATTTTTCAGTATAACATTGTTATTAAAATCTGATAAAGATATAACAATGATATAGGCCAATCTATAGGCCAATTGCACTTCTGAATAACAATGTAAAATTTCTGAATAAAAATAGCTAATCATTATATATCAGCACATTAAAGGAATGATACTTCATAACCAAGTGGAATTTATTCCAGAAATGCAATAATGTCCCACTACTAGAAATCTGTTTATGTAGCAATAGATCTAAGGAAAAAAAATGGTATGATCCTCACTGATGCTGAAAAAGAATTCGACAAAACTCAAAACGCATTTTAAAAACATCTATAAAATAGAAATTGATAGAATTAAAATATAGTAAAGTCTCGGTAATTAAAATATTAATAGCATGGTAGCAGTGCATGAAGAGACAGATCAGTGGAATAGAATGAAGTCAAAACAGACCCAAATGCACACTGGAATTTAGTATATTATAAAGGCAGTATCTCAAATCATTGGTATAAAGACATATTTGTAAAAAAAAAAAAAAAAGTATTGTTAGGACAACTTCATAGCCATATGAAAAAACATATCTCATATCTTATATCAGAATAAATGTCAAGTGAGTCAAATATTTAAATGTTCAATATGAAGCCATATATATAAAACAATATAAATGAGAATTTCTTCATAACTTTAGAGAGGGAAAAGTTTTCTAACTATGACTCAAAATCCAGATCCCTCTAAAACACTAAGAAATTTGATTACCTAAAAATGAAAAAGAAACTCATTCAAAAGAAATAAATACATGACCCATCCAAAAACTTGACTGTAAAAGGGATACAGGACCTCTAAGAAACATGTACAGCTGCAAGATAGCACTAGTAATAAAAGAAATATAAAATATCATTTCATGACCATCAAATTAACAAACAAAAATCAAACAGTTTTATAATATCGTTTTAGCAATATATTGGCAAGAATATGGAAAAAGAATTTTTGTATACTTCTGATGAAAGTATAAATTGCCACAACTTGACAAGCCAATTTAGTATCCAGTAAAGCTCAGGATAATTTTGCCCTACACCCCAGCAATTGCACTTGTAGGTATTTATCCTGAAGGAAAATCTCACACAGCTGCCCAAGAAGACACTGTACGAAGCTGCTCAATGCAACACTGTTTTTAGAAGCAAAGAAGTAAATATTCAATTTTCACATACTGGAATGTGGCACATTCATTAAAATGAATCAGAGTAATGTGTATCTACGTGTTTAAATATTTAAAACAACATTGAATGAAAAAAGCAAGTTGGAGAATTTTATGTACAGTATGATACCATTTATGTGAACTTTAAAACTGCTCAAGACAATACTATATATTGTTTATGGATAAGTAAATATGTAGGAATAGCATTAAAATGCACCCAGTAAAGCTCCTCTGAGGAGCAAGATATGGGAATTAGATCAGAAAAGGGTAACAAAGTGGCTTCAGGTCTGTAATCAGTTTGATTATCCAAAAAAAATAAAACCTCTAGAAAGAAATGTGTACGGCAAAAGGTTGAGATGTGTTACATATAACAGGTGTTGATTATATTATTCTCTGTGTTTTTGTGGTTATCTGAAATATGTCATTGTTTAAAAAAATAATCAAAGGGAATAAGAGATCCAAGGGCTTATTTCACGCAACCTAGGGGTCAGAGAGACTAATGTCATTAATTTGAGCTGCTCACTGCAAAAGTCTTCCTTCCCAGAAATATAGCAAAAGCTATTTTTTTTTCAAGAACCATCCAATATTGATTTTTTTCACCACTATCTTCCAAAACTCATCAGCTCCACAAAGTGAAGGAAGCAATAACTCTTCTCTTATCCCCAAAGCTGTTGAAGTATTTGGTTTTTATAATACCTACTTTTATAGAGACAACCTGAAAAAGGTTCCCCAACCCTTAGCTACTTTGAAGTGGTTGGAAGTGGTGTCATGTCTCCAGGAATGGATGGGGAAGCTGTTCCTCAACATTAGCATTCTTTGTGTCCTTGGAGGACCTGTTCCCGCACTGGTGCCTTTTTGGTTTCCGGAGTTGCATGCTGCAATCATTGTAGATAGGCTTAGGAACAATCTTTTACTACATCCCAATACAGACATATTTTGTGGAAGGTCTCACTATCTCTTGCCAGGTTTGCTACCATCAATCAAGTAAAAACAAATATGAACAAAACTAATTTTACAAAAATGAATGTGAAGGTAACTATATATATAATACACTTCATACTATGGTTTCAGTACTCTCAGACAACAGAGGACACTAAGTTAAATTTATGGGTGGAGCCATAGATTTTCCAGGGAACTAACAAGTTGATGGAAAGTTTTTCATCACTTGGTGACAACAGGGTCAAATTCACTACGGTAGTGCATTACTGAACCGAACTTCTTTGGAAGTGCTCTTTGTTCAGGAAACTTAAGCAACTTGATGGCTCACCTGGCATGTCAGTGGCAATGCCAAAACCGGTATTCTCAGTCTGCACAGAAGGCAGTGTGAAATGCAGAAAGTGTACTGGCCTCAGGGGGTCCCAAAGACCTGGGTTCAAATTCCAGCTTTACTGAGCTGTAAAGTCATTTAACGTCTCTGGGCTTCAGTTTACTTATCACTAAAATGAAGGGAGTTAAAGAAACGTCCCTTTAAATACTAACACCTGCTAATTTGCAAGTCTTCACTTGCTATGAACTTATGGAAACCTTATCTCACTTCCCTAAACATTTAAAGCCCTGACAATCAGAGTGTCTTAACTTCTGCTACTTCCTATTCTAAGCTATGGAATAAGAAACAAAGAAAAGAAAACAAGGTCAAGTAATGTTTCCATTGCTTCTAAAGCCATGTTAAAACATTTGCTTCTTTTACAATACCTCTGTTTGGCTAGATTTTCTAGTTATAACAGCACACATTTATAATTAATAATAATCCCACCATTGAAACAAAGTTGATGTGGGTAAGTCTGCATAGATATTAATAGATTCAGATAGATATTATTTAGCATTTTCAACTGCAAAGCAGCAACATTACAGTCAATTACTGACTATATTATATTTTGGTATGCCTCTATTGGCCTTTATGAGGAAAAAAAGAAAAATTCTTTACGGTTTTAGAAAGCTTACTAGAGTAAAATATGTAAATTACTATAAAGCTGCCGTGTGAAGCACTAATATTATGACTGTGTGTATATTTAATAATAACACACCATCACACCTTTGGGGAAAAAGGTTACTTGCCAACTGCTGACTCCTAAAGTATCTCCTCTTCAGTAAGAGACATAATACTTTAAAAAACGCTGAATACGTGCATCAACTCTATTTCCTGAGTATGCCAATGGTTAATGTCACTTCTAAGGTGAGAAGAGTAACCTCATCAGGCATTGAAGAAGAAACCCCCTACACTACTATTTCTGGTACTCATTCTAGTAACCAAAGTTTCAATACAAATATCTTTTTTCTTTTTCCTTTTTTTATTTTGTTCAAATGTCTTTTTTGAAATGCTGTTCTGAATAGTAATATCTCCTTGAATCCTGTGATTATATTAATTTCTCAAGACTCAGTTGAAAAGTGCAAAACTTCAGCAATTAACCATTTGTTTGTCTCTTCAGAGGCAAATGATACTTCCAGTTATTTGTTTGGTTTTGGATTTGGTTTTGGTTTGGTTTTGTTGTTATCAATGTAGCCTTGAGTAATTGTATTTTTAATCTCTTCTGGAGGGATGAGTTTATAAAAGGTATCACCTTGCATCAGTTCTTTCTCAATTTTAGACTATAATAAAAAAGATAATTAAATCATTTCTCAGGTAAAATCAACTGCTTAAACAAACTTGATTTTACTATACGCAGGCACCCACAGGGAGAAAGAGGAAAAGAGAAAGGAGGGGAGAATTCTGGTTCAGAAAAACATTAATGGGTAAAATATTAGATATTGCTGAAACATTTTTATGCTCAACCTCCTTAATTGCTAGAGCACTGGTTCAAACTCTGGTTGTCAGAAAAAGCAAAGAAATCTCCTAACTTCATTTAATCAAGAATATATTCAGCGGAGGGCCAGAAACGGAAGGAACAAATGCCACTGTTAGGAACGTGATTGAGTACTTCCTGCTGAGGAGTGTCAATGCTGCTCCTTCTGGAACATTGTTTTAGGAATTATAAAGAAAAGACTCATCAACAGCCCATGTTAAATTTCCTTCCCCAAATAAATTCATATTTCAAACAGCGGCAGAAAGTTCAATCGGATGCTTATTTAATGAAATGAAAAGCCAATGATCATGGCTGCTTGGAAAAGCTTCATGATTAATTGTGTTTAGGCAGTTATTAGCATTTTTCACTAATGAAAGGTTATGGATTCTGGTCATTAACAACCCACAATAAAGATTGAAAGCATATTCTTAGCAGCAGTTCATTTCATGTAAGGAAAAATGCTATAAGACAGTTTACCTCTGCAATCTTCAGAATATGACTTTATTCATTCACCAAAGGTAACATCAGAACCTCAGGAGGTAGAAACCAACTTTTCTATGAATGATTAATTTTTTTTTTTTTGAGATGGAGTCTAGCTCTGTCGCCAGGCTGGAGTGTAGTGGCACGATCTTGCCTCACTGTAACCTCCGACTCCCTGGTTTAAGAAATTCTCTTGCCTCAGCCTCCCAAGTAGCTGGGATTACAGGCACACGCCATCACACCCAGCTAATTTTTGTATTTTTAGTAGAGATGGGGTTTCACCATGTTGGCCAGGATGGTCTCGATCTTCTGACCTTGTGATCTGCCTGCCTTGGCCTCCCGATTACAGGCGTGAGTCACCACCCCTGGCTGAATGATTAAATTTTAATACACAAATATTTATTGTGGTTCAACCTATCTTTCCTTTAGCACAGCAGTATATATGTAAGTATGGGTGTCATTCCAAATGCTTACATAAAAGTAAAATTGATATCCAGGGAGGCTGGCAAAATGCAGCCGCATTTCAAAGGCAGCACATCAAGAGAGCACAAATGCACACAGAGTTATATGGGAGATGAGACGATCTGCTATAGTGAAAGAACACTGCCCAGGAGGTAAGAGGCTGAGTCTGGCTTCTAACTGGGCTTCTATTTGGGCTTCTGATTAGTTCTGTGACCTTGGGTGAGCCACTTAATTTCTTAGGGCTTTAGTTTCTCTGTCTGTAAAATCTAAGGGTTAGATGAGGTTATCACTGAAGTCGTCACTCAAGTTTTGATTCTATTGAGCTATAAGCACTCTAAATCAGCTGAACTCAAAACTCAACAAATAGCGTTTTTTGAAATTATACCCCAACATATGTAGAGTTGTTTATTTATAAATTATACCCATATGCTACATTGCTCATGTGTCAAATGTATTAAAAATACCCCCAAATGTTTAAAAGAATGAGATAAAGATGAAATAAACAATTATTTTAAAGATAATGTATTTACTATTTTTACCAACAATTATTTTAATAAGAGTAAAAGGGTTGACTATGCTTCATTCTTTTTCAAACTCCTGATTTAAAATCTCGTGATACAGTGACCCAAATCTAATTCTAAGGCCACATTTATTCTGACACTTCGTTTCAGCAACTAACATAAGCAAAATCAACAAGGATATAAGACATAAGATGTATGCAAAATCAACAAAAATATGGAGATCCAGACAGAAAAAAAATGTATCACTGACCATATTTATTAGCAGGCATATGTTTCTTCAGTTTCATCCACTATCAGTACCAGTAACACAATGGTTTTGGCTGAAATTCAGCTAATAATTTTACCATAATGGGAACAATTACTTAATAGTCAAACAGGAG
This sequence comes from Homo sapiens, assembly GCF_000001405.40. Classification (NCBI taxonomy): domain Eukaryota; kingdom Metazoa; phylum Chordata; class Mammalia; order Primates; family Hominidae; genus Homo; species Homo sapiens. Next base: position 146,564,633 of record NC_000001.11, on the reverse strand, counting down.
GTTCAAATATATCTATAATTGCATTTAACATAAAATGACTGAATAGTACAATTAAAAGACAAAGATTTTCAGACCGGATTTAATAATCAGCCTCATTGGTGATGCTTCCAAATGTCATACTTTAAATGTGAGGAAGGTTGAAAGTGAAAGGATAAACAGATTGTACTATGTCCACACTAATCAAAAGAAAGCTTCTATGTTGTATAAATATCAGATCGAGTAGACTTTAGTGTCATAAATCTTACTAAAGATTGAGACATTTTATAATAAAATGGTTAATTCAACAGGAAGTTATAATAATCCTACATGTGTATACGTCAAGTATCATGGCCTCGAAATATATAAAATGAAAATTATTAGCACCAAAAAAGAGGAACACCTAAGTTGTAGTTGTGGATTTTAATGACATCTTCCAATAACTGATAAAACAAGGAGACAAAACGTTAGTAAAGATATAGATTGAATGGCATCATTATTAACAAATTTGACCTAATTGACATTTATGGAAGGTGTACCCTTTTGAAGCGTACAGGGAACATTTACCAAAATGGAACATATTTTGGGTCATAATGTAAGTCTCAACTAATTTCAAGGCCTGAAATCGTATAGAACTTGCTTTCTGTCACTGGTAGGATTAAACAAGAAATCAATAACAAAAAGAGACCTAGAAAATTCCCTAATGTTTGAATATTAATCAACGCATTGCTAAATAGCCCATGTGTCAAAAAAGAAATAAAAATGTAAATTCTAAAATATTTTCAATCAAGTGTTAAAAACAAAATATGTAAAAACATATGGGCTGAAGATTGAGTCAATTTTAGAGGAAAATGTATTGTCTTAAATGCATGTATTATAAAAGAAGAAAGGCTGAACATCAATATTCTGAGCATCCCTGTTAAGATCTAGAAAAATCATAACAAATCAAACCTAAAGAAAGTAGAAGGCCTGAAAAAATGAAGAGGTGAAATCAATGAAATTGAGAAGTGAACAATAAAAATAATCAACTAAGAGTTGGTTCTTTGAATAAACTAAAAAAAACTGATAAACCCCTAACAATATAGTTCAAGAAAAAAAAAAGAGGAGGATACAAATTACCAATAAGAAAAGAGGAGATATCACCAAGGATCCTATAGCAAACAATGATTAAGAAGGGTTCTGAACAACTTTATGCCAAAATTTTAAGATTTTAGATTAAATGGAAAAGTTTATTGAAAAAGTTTAACAGAATCAATCATTAAAAAGCTGCCCCCCTTTTAAAAAGTGAGGTTAAACAAATGGCTTAAAGAATAAAATTTTCAATTATTTAAGGAAGAAATAACATGACTCTCTAAAACAATTTCTCTAGAGAATTAAGAAGAGAGAACAATTCCCAACTTGTTTTATGAGACCAATTTGTTTTGTTCTGACAAGGGCATTACATGAACAGAAAATTACAGGCCAATCTTTCTCATTAATTTGGATGCCAAATTCTTGAACAAAATATTAGCAAATATAATCCAATGATGTATTAAAATGATAATATACAAACTTGAGTTTATCCCAGAACACAGCAGGAATCTAGCATTTCAAAATCAACCATCGCATTAGAAGAATAAAGGTGAAATAATGTACAATCATGTCAACAAATGCAGAGTATTTGACAAAATTAAACATCTATTCAAGATTAAAAGTCTTAGAAACCTAGAGATAGAAGGAAATTTTTTTAACCTGATAGAGTCTCCAATAAAAACCTATAGCAAACATCATACTAAATGATGAAATACTGAGCACTTCTCTTCTGAGACTGAGAACAAGAGAAAGATATTTGCTGTCATTACTTCCAATGCACAGCATGCTAATGTCTAGCCTGTGGAAGAAAGAATAAGAAATGAAGAGCATAAGGATTGAACAAAATAAAAACTATTATTATCTGCAGATGACCTGTTTGTGTATATACAAAATCCAAAATCATCTACGGATAAGTCAGAAGTAAATTTAGCAAAGTCTGCAGATAAAAGCTCAATATACAAAACTTAACTGTAGTTTAATAAAGCCACATTAATTTAGAAAATAAGCTTGGGAAAAAATACCACACTAGCTATAAAATTAAAATAGATAAACTGTACTTCATCAAAATTAAATTGTTCTGCTAATAAAAAGACATTAAGAAAATTAATTTCTCACTGTGAGAAAATATTCACAATAATTATTTCTGGAAGACTTATATAAAGAATATATATATATATTTCTTTTTCTTTTTTAAGATGGAGTCTCACTCTGTCACCCAGGCTGGAGTGCAATGGCTTGGTCTCAGCTCACTGCAACCTCTGCCTCCCGGGTTCAAGCTATTCTCCCGCCTCAGCTTCCTGATTAGCTGGGACTACAGGTGCATGCCACCACACCCGGCTAATTTTTGTAGTTTTAGTAGAGATGGGATTTCACTATGTTGGCCAGGCTGGTCTTGAACTCCTGACCTCGTGATCCATTCACCTTGGCCTCCCAAAGTGCTGGGATTACAGGCCACCATGCCCGGCCAAGAATATATTTTTTAAAACTACAAGTCAACAACAAAATGATAAACTACCCCATAAAGAATGGGCAAAAGACTTAAACATGTACTTCAGAAAAAAAGACATCAAAATGGGCAAAAGCACATGAAAAGACACTCAACATCATTCATTATTAGAAAAATGCAAATTAAAACCAAAATGAGGTACCACTTTATACCGAGTAGAATGGCTAAAATTAAAAGACTGACATGACCAAGAGTTGATGAGAATGTGGAATTTCATACCTTCATTGCTGGTGGGAATATAAATAAAATGGTTCAACCACTTTAGAAAACCATTTGGAAGTTTCTTACAAAGTTAAGCATATGATGACTATATCACTCAGCAATTCTACTTTTAAATATTTACCCAAGAGAAATAAAAACATATGTATATCTGCACACACACACATACACGCACACACACACGATGTGTACAAGAATGGTTATTTTATTTTTTATTTTTTATTTTTGGAGATGGAGTCTTGCTCTGTTGCCCAGGCTGGAGTGCAGTAGTGCGATCTCTGCTCACTATAACCTCCGCCTCCCGGGTTCAAGCAATTCTCCTGCCTCAGCCTCCTGAGTGGCTGGGACCACAGGCACATGCCGCCATGCCTGCCTAATTTTTTTGTATTTTAGTACAGACATGGTTTCACCATGTTGCCCAGGCTGGTCTCAAACTCCTGAGCTCAGGCAATTCGCCTGCCTTGGCCTCCCAAAGAATGGTTACTAAAGCTTTACTCATAATAGCCCAAAACTTCAAAAATCCATATTTACATTAATAGGGGAATGAATAAATTATATGTAACCATACAGTAGAATACTTCTTAGCAATAAAAAGGGAGTTACTGCCATACACAAGGACATGGATAAATCTCAAAAACATTATGTTGAGGGAAAGAAACAAGACACAGAAGAGTAGATACTGTATGAGTGCATTTATTTGAAGTCCAAGAAGAAGGAAAATTAATATAGGGTGATAGAAATCAGAGCTTCTAGGTGGAGGATGGAGGGGTTGCCTGGGAATCAGCATGAGGCAGTGGCTGTTCTGTCTCTTGAATTGGGCAGTGGGTACATAGGTAGATACACTTGTCAAAACTTATCAAACTGTATATGCTCTGTGCATTTTATATTTAAATTATACCTCAATAAAAATACAATAAAAAACCACTTATACTAACATCAAAAACCACTGAATGCTTACAAATTAATGATTAAAGAACAAGTGAAGAAAGGACTTGAATAGGAATAGATCTAATGAAAATATTCAAGGCTTCTACATAGAAAACTACTGCTGAGAAAAAGTAAAGAAAACCAAATACATGGAAGGATAAACTATGTTTATAACACGATGGAGAGACAGGACTATAAAGTAGTAGGAAAGAAGGAACTAGTCTATAAATAATAATGAACAATGTGAAAAAGGCATACACTGGAGTCACTTTCAGGCAGCCAATGAAACTAGGGACTTCATCAAAATACTTGAGAAAATATTTTTATTTGTTTTATTTATTTATTAATTTATTTTTAGAGACAGACTCTCGCTCTGTTGCCCAGGCTGGAGTATAGTGGCAGGATCACCACAGCCTTGACTCCCAGGCTCAAGCAATCCTCCCACCTCATCTTCCCAAGTAGCTGGGACCACAGGCATGCACCACCACACCCAGCTAATTTGTGTTTATTTTTGTAAAGACGAAGTCTGGCTGTGTTGCCCAGGCTGGTCTCAAACTCCTGGGCTCAAGCAATGCTCCTGCTGTAGCCTCTTAAAATGTTGGAATTACAGGTGTGAGCCACCGCAGTCGGCTGAGAAAATATTTTTACAAATACTTTTAAATTGATCACTAACCTGATAGGACAATAAGGACATCAATGTGAAGACAAGCATACCAAGAAATAGTCTAGTGCCAAGGCTAGCCTTTGCCCTAATGGCTTTTGTGAACCTTCGGATTTCTGCTTTAAAGATTGCATTATGTGCCGAGGACAGCAGATAAAGTTCAGGGCCTGCCCAGAGTTGGAATTTCAAATCCAAAAATCACAAAACACAAAAAGACATAAGATACCCTGGTTGAAAACCAGCAGAAACAATAAACAGCAAACTAAATAAGTAGACTTAATTTGAATTATCAGATACAAAATATAAAAAAACCACACTTAATATATTTAAGAAATCAAAGGGAAACTTGAAAAATAAAAGAGGGGAGAGCAGTCAGATTTGATAAGAACTAAATAAAACTTCCAGAAATAAAAACAATAATAATAATTAAAAAGTTAAAACTCAGCAGGTGAGACTTCACTGAAGAGGGGATTATTGAATGGAATAATGAATAAAAAGAAAGTATCCAGATCAGTCTACAGAGGAAAAGAAATGGAAAATATAGAGGTAAAAATGAATGAATAACAGTGCAATAATAGATTAAGTATTGGAATAATAGAGTATTCCATATTCCAGAACAAGAAGGAAAACAGCAAATAATGCATATGGGGAAACAATGACACACGGCCTCTACATCACACATACACAAAAATTAAATAAAAGATGAGGCATTAACCTAAAGACAGGAGCTAAAACTATAACCCTTCCAGAAGTAAACATGGGAGATTATATTCATGATCTTGCAGAAGGCAAAGATTTCCTAGCACGGAGGCAAAAAGTGTTAATCTTGTAAGAAAAGAAAACTGATAACATGGATTTTGTCAAAATTCAAACTCGCTGCTTATAAAGAAATATTATCAAGGAAATGAAAAGGCAAGCTACAGACTTGGAGAAAATATTAATAATACATATATCTGACAAATGACTAGTATTTAGAATACTGAGTAATAAAAGGTACTTACAAATTAATAACAAAAGAATAAGCAAAGAAAGGTCTTGAACAGACACTTAAAAAGATAAATGAATGGCCAGTAAGCACCTGAGAAGGCACGCAACATCATTAATCATTAGGGACATGAAAATTAAAACCACTGATAGACATCGCTTTATACCACTAGTATGTCTAAAATTGACAAAACAGCACTACATGTTGGTGAGGATGTGAAGCAACTAGAACTCTCATGCCTTGCTGGTGGGAATGTAAAATGACACAACTATCTTGGAAAACTGATGCCCCAATGTGTTATGAGCTGTGCTTTCAGCCTTCTACCCTTTGGTTTTATGGGTCAAACGTTCCCCCTTTTCTTAAGCTAGTTTCTCTTGCTAGCAGCCAACGAGTGTGGCTAAAACTAATAGACAAAACAGATAGACCACATCACTGGCTGGTCTGTGGCATTGTTCTGCTGAGCAATGTGGAGCTAGGGCCACTTAACCATGGGACCTAAGGCAAGGGCTTGAGTCGTCCTGCTCAAATACACGTCCACAAAGCCAGCAACTCTGAACTACACTCTAGATGCCTTGTGCTGCTCCTTCTCTGGGTGTACCTTCAAGTTTCTATCTACACACAGATCACCCCAATCTACCAGTGTGACTTCCAGGGATGGGTTCTTTCCTGAGCCCTGCATTCCTCAAGTTTTCAAGCATCAATGACACCAGTTAGGTTGGATTTCTATCTGACTCCACATCATTTCTGTGGGTTCTTCATCTTGTGGATCTTAGCTTACTCTTTCCCCGGCTGTGCGCCTCTGTTTTCTCCCTACAACGCCCTTCTGCAGATAATCTGGGTCAATCAACATGAATGGGTGAAGCAGAAGTGAGAAGGAAATGAGAAAAAGCATAAAATAATAAATGGCAATGTAAAATATTAATTTGGAAGCCAACTTTGGAGACTGCATAATGTACATGCCATCTACATGACCATAAATTAAATATTTGCAACAATGTGTAATTTTCGTGATTATGGAGGGTGTGGCCTTCAAGAAAATACTAGTGGCAACAGATACAGTCCTATATTCCTGTAAGATGTTACGTAGGATATTTGCATGTTCTAAGGATTAAAGTAACCGGATCTTAATAGACTAGTGGGCACATATAAGAACATTCTGAATTGGGGTTTACATTTTTAAAATGTTAGACAAATATCACAATAAGTCAAATGGAAAACCCATGGGGCATTAAATTACCTGCAAATTTTAATATACAGACAACCTCAATCCACCAGTGTGGCTCCTGGGGATGGGCTCCTTCCTGAGTCCTGTATTCCTCAGGCTTTCAAGCACTGGGGACACCAGTTAGGGGGATTTCTGACTCCACATCATTTCTACTGGAGGCATTCATTTTTTTTTTTTTTTATCTTGTGGATCTTAGCTTACTCGAATGCAGCCAAAATAACCATTTCCTATTCAGCTTTATCATATTTCCCATCTGACCTTTTTAAATTTTTTAAAATTGATTTTGTTATTATTTATTTATTTTTAATTTCAGTGGTTTTTTGGAGGAACAGGTGGTGTTTAGTTACATGAATAAGTTCTTTCGTAGTGATTTCTGAGATTTTGGTGCACCCATCTCCTAAGCAGTGTACACTGTACTCAGTGTGTAGTCTTTTATCCCTCACCCTCCTCCTGCCCTCTCCCCCAAGTCCACAAAATGCATTGTATCATTCTTATGCCTTTGCATCCTCGTAGCTTGGTTCCCACTTATGAGTGAGAACATTCTCATCTGACCTTTCTTAATATGTAGAACTTTTAACAAAGAATACTGCATACCTGTGTCATAACACACGATAAGTCTTCCACTGTGATCGCCCACACTCTGTGGCTCAAACTCCACTTCCAGTTGCATGGACTCTCCCACATTAAGAGTTCCAATAGCTGGTTCTATAGAGAAAGGCCTGCAACACACAGAGAGGCACATCATCAGAGCATATTTCTGACTAGTGTGAGATGGGGAGGAAAGGAGACAGGAGTTCTAGTTCTGCAGACAGCTCAGACCCAGCACTGCAATTTCATGATCTAGAAGTGAAGTAGACTTTTGCTACGTAATGTGAAAGAACTTTAGTTTTAACGTTAAAATGACAGCATTAGATTAGCAATCGTAAGGGCAACTTAAACAATGCAACAATATTCTTGTTTGTGTCCTTGCCATTCAGCCCTGCTTTTAACATTCATTGAGTATCCCCGCTGGGCTCAGGCACTCAAGTTAGGGTGACTGCAAATGAATAAAATCCAGCCTTTGTCCTCAAACACTGAGATTGCTGTAAGGAACAGACTTAAAATATGTATGCAAATATTGTCATTTTCAAAAGAACAGTGCCTTCAAAGGGATAAAAATCGAGTTTTGCGAGAGTTCACAGGAGAGAGGGCATCATAGTGGAAAAATATATCTGAGCCCCAAAAGGAAAGGGATAGCACCCTCACTTGCCTTAGGATAATTCAGGACAGATGAACAGAGGGTCTATATTAAAAGGGTGGGAGGGGTGTAGAGGAACTACAGGAGATGATGCAATAGCCCAGGTGGTAACAGTAGCGCTGCCACAAAAGAGCCATGGAGAGAAGGCATGGTTTTTAAAACCGCAAGGAGAGGCCTAAGAGAAGGCTGCCTTATGGGGAGCAAGGAGACGTAGCCAAGGGAGACAGCAGCCCAGGTGGTCTCCCGGGGAAGACAATGGGGAAAAAATATCCTGACCTCACATCCCCTCCCATCTCATTGTCTACCAGACCCTCACTGGGTGAACACAACCAGAGCCAGAAATGCGAGTCGAGGGCTGTTGACCCAGGCTGTAGAAGCCAGCCTCCGGGGCTAGAGCAAACTGAAGAAGGGTGGAGAGTGCATTTGAAAAGGCAAACTGAGGACAAATTCTGTGTCTTGAAAATATAATTTGGGATGCAGACATTGTGGGGAGTGAGGGTTGATTTGGAAACAGGAAATAGTTTAATTGTTTTGGAAGAGAATAGTAAGAGGGAAGCTGGATCTGATGGTGAAATACCTTAAATAACTTAGAGAGTTCTTCCTAAATAGGAAACCCAGCCCATTTAATTATTTTCATGGTCCATTTCACTTCTTTAAATTGCTAGTTTTTCAAAGTAATGTGTTGTGTAATGCATCTGGCAGACCGAGCTGTTTCTGATTATTTACTTCGATCACAACAGTTCTTAGAGCTGTCATTCCTTAAATCTTCCCTTAGATGATGAACTCAGTTTCAGAAAATCTAAGCTTTCTGCTATAAGGATACAGAGTTTATGTCAGGGGTAGCACTGGGTGGCATCTGAGAGTATTACTACAGGACCTCAGGTGCTCCCTACTGTGAGCAATTGGTTATTTTCTCTGGTACTTTCTACTTGATCTCCTCTCTTTTCTTTTTTTAAGTTTAAAAAAAAATTTACTTTTTGTGGGTACACAGTAGGTATATATATTTATGGGGTACGTGAGATGTTTTGATACAGGCATGCACTGTGAAGTAATCCCATCATGGAGAATGCATATCCATCCCCTCAAGCATTTGTCCTTTGTGTTACAAACAATCCAATTACACTCTTTTAGCTATTTTAAAATGTACAATTAAGTTATTGACTATAGTAACCTTGTTGTGCTATCAAATAGTCTTATTCATTTTTTCTAACTATTTTTTAATACCCATTAACCTTCCCCAACTCCCCACCCAACCCCCACTACCCTTCCCACCTCCAGTAACCATTCTACTCTCTATGTCCGTGAGTTCAATTGTTTTGATTTTTAGATCCCATGAATAAGTGGATCTCCTCTCCTTTCACTTCCTGATTTTCCTGCTTCCTTTCCTTTTTCCTGTCCCCATACCTGTAGCACTGATTCACCAGTGAACCCCAGGCATTGCTGCAGAGGCACTCTGGGGCAGTGGTTACTAGCCTGACCTCTGGAGCCAACCGAATGAGTTCAAAACCCAGCTCTGCCACAACCTTGGGCAAGTCACCTAACCTTCAGTTTCCTTATCTGTAAAAGGAGGGTAATGATAGCACCTACTTCATATGGTTATAGTGAGGATTAAAGGGGTTGATATAGGTCAAGTGCTTAGAATAATGCCTGGCACAAAGGAAATGCTGTACAAGTGTTTATTATTCTTTTTGTTATGGCTATTTTTATCTCCCTCACTGGCAGCCTCTAGATGCTGTGTGATGAATCTGTGGATGTGTTTGGGTGTTTCGATGAGTTCAAGCTTTTATCATTCCCCCCTCACTCCTTCACACTGCTCTAGAGAGAGTGTAAAAAACACACACAGGTCATAACACATCAATCTCTTGTTCAAACACCTTCAGCGGTCCTCATCACCTGTGCAATCAAGTTCAAACTCCTAGGCATTTCAGGTCCCACACAATCTGCTCCCAGTAGGTTTTTGCATTTTCATTACACACATACATCTGTCCAAATATCCTATACACCTGTCATGTTCCAAGGCAGTGCTGGGGTGGGATGGGAGGCAGGCTTTAGTCTCTTCACCCACAACCTCCCCCAGCACTGCACCTGCTTTCTCTTCCCACCAGAATGTGGCCCCCACATAGACAATCGGAACTGCTAGGATCACATCAGGTGACTTGCCATTTCCCACATGCCATACTCCTTCTGAAGCCACCTCTCACAGCCCAGACTCAAAGTCACCTCTTAAATAGAATCTTTCCTGATTCTCCCTTTTGTGAATAGTATCTCTTTCCTCTCAGAGACTATAACTTCCCTTTTAGTTTATACAGTGGTTTACTTTGTACTTGAGTTGGTTTTCATGCCTGCCTCTCTCAATAGCTAGAAACTCTTGAGAAGAGAGGGAAGGGAAAACACAATCACGAGTCATCTTTGTGTCACTCATCACCCCATACATGGTTCTTTACTCAGGAGCCTCTCAGAAGAGGTTCTTAATTGAATTACAATAAACTCTTAAAGGTAAATAAAAATATTTGTAATCAACTATCAGTGTTTATGACATCGTGGTGGAATGAGAAGGAGCAAACCTTCAGTAGAATCTGTGCCTTGTGGGAAGTGACGGTGAGTCTCCCAGTCTCAAAGTTTCTTCCTTCCTTACGGCCTCAGTGAGAATCGGAAGAAGTGAGAACTGGGCCCAGTTTCCCGGCTTTAGGAACAACACCACCATATTTACTTCTATCCTTTGCCTCCCTACTTCCTAATATTTTTCTTCCTGCATTGTACTTTCATTTTATTTTCAAATATTTCTTGGTAGCAAAAGAATAGTTTTAAAATGAATTGGATATTATTATATTGCAGTACCTAAACTATTAATAATTTTTACAGAAAAAGTGATACTAGTATCCCATCTGTAAGACCTCCAGGAATCCAAGTTCCACGGAGTGGTAAGGGTTACTTTGCCTTTGTGCTAATCGTTGGGTTTAGGTTACACAAACTTCTTCAGTAGTTATAATCACCTGGGATTGCCATTGCTACTTACAGCTGCCTAACAGATGTTAATTGGGTAGAGTGTGTTAAGTTCTGGTGGTTACACATTGTCTATAATTTGATTTTGTACTTCATTTTACTAAAATGCAGACAGGCTGAACGGGCTAGAAAATATCAAGTATCAGAAAATGCTCTTACAAAGAAGTAAAAGGTGTTGTTCTTCAAGGGTATAAGGATGGTTCAGTCTATCAAAATATTTGGTTTTGATATCATATCTTGATTAATATCAAACAATTATGGAGGGAGTTTGGTTTTGTGAAAAATCATGAGCCATGAGAAAGATTTGAGTTTTTGTTCCATCAATTATGAGCTCTTCTTAAGAACTAAAACCATCCAAATGATTCAATATTTTAGCAGAAGACTAAATATGGATCCTACAATATTAAATATTGAATATAATATTAGTATTTATTCTTCAGATGATCTTTCTTGTTTAATTCCTTACTTGAGTTTTTAGATTTTGAAATTGCTTCTTAATCCTCTCTATTTCACCTTCCAATGTTAATCCTACTTTAATCATCAAAGTTATTCTGATACCTACTAGAGTTTTAGGTCAAATTTAACAATAATTGCTTATGTTCTCTGTACATTTTATAGCCCATTGCAGCCTCTTTTGTTAGTGTAAAATTATTATGCTTATTTTATAGCAGTTGGAGAATGTGTTTTATTTTATTTTATTGTAGAGGTTTATAGTTGTAGTTTTGCCTTTGTGATATATTGTTGGTTAGGCATCTTATAAACATTTATTGGGTGTTTATTTATTCTAGACAGATGCTGGGGACATACAAATGAAAAGAGTTAGATACAATCCTTCCATCTGAGAAGCTCACATTCGAATAAGGGTAACAGACATGCAAAGAAAGTTTTAGTTTTTGTGATTTATAAGAACCTAAGCATTTTATAAACTTAACCACTAATAAAATCATTATTTCAACGAGAAAAGGATGATCTGTTTTTTTAAACAATTTCCTGTGGGACATTATTTCTAGCTGTATATTGACACTAAAAGTGGGAGGACCATGGGCTTTTGACTCCAAATTCTCAAACTATATCCGCTGCTCTACCATGTCTATTAACAACCATATTAACTGAAGAACACTGTCTAGGAACAGAAACATCTGTGTGGTTTTTAGAACGGATCCTTGTCAGGGGATCTCCTTAGAGATTCTAACTCAATATGATGTGACCACAAATTCAACCACATTCTTTCTCATTGAAGCCATCAGCGTTCTCAGTTGCAAACAACAGAAGCCAGCTGTGGCTAATTTAAACAGAAAAGGGACTGACTGGAAGGACTTGAGGCAATTCACAGAATCAATGATAGTTGAAAAACATGCATTTTGTGGAGAAAACATAAAGCCATTATTTCATGAAGAGTCTAAACAGGAAAACAAAAATATTTGCAAACAGGGAATTTGAGAGACTTGGTTACACAGAAGATGGGAGAGGTGAGAACTCCAACTGAAGAAGGTGAGACAGCTCCGAGATTCATAACAGCGGTAAGCTTTTTCCACCCCTGGACTGGAAGCAAAAGGAGAGGAGGAAGTGTTATCAGATCCTGGGGACCAGGGTCACCTGGCAGAAGTTAGAACCGTGGCAGGCCAGCCTGACAGTGGCTAGAACCATGGAGGAGGTGCAGTGGTGGCTGGGGACTCTGCTGAAGACAAAGAGGGAAGAGGCTTCTTCCTTCTTCCTACTCTCCAGTCTCCTGCTAGTGTCCCTGACTGGTCAAACCTAGCTGGAATCTGGCTGAGCCAGGAGGCTAGGAAGGCTCAGGAAGCCCCACAGGGACACTGAGCAGCAGCGCAGGGGAATGGTGAGACATGTACCTGAGGGCAAACAAGCCCAGAGCTAGCCCATGTTTGCACGAATCCAGGTTTTGATGTTAACTTCCTGGGGGAGTTTGGGTAAGTCATTTAACTCCTCAGGCTTTACTCCCTTCACAGTAAAATGGCAATGCTGGGCCAGCATGTCTACTGTTGACAAATCCTGACCAGTCCCTGAGTTGCCTCCGACAAATCCTGGCCAGTCCCTGAGTTGCCTCCCATTTTACCTTAGAATTGTTTCTATATTAGGAAAACATAATTCATATTCATAGGTAGATGGATAGAAAGATTTTATATTTTTTTTGCAACTTCACACTATTAAATCTGTGAAGTGATTTTTGCTTCACATTTACATGAATCTAAAATATACGAAATTGCCATTTTGGCGTGGTTTTTTTCAAATTCAGCCAAACAGCGCAGGAAGATATGTTCCCGCACTTGCATATCCACCTTAGGTAGATTCTTTTTTTCATAGAAAAAAGAAATACCATTGTAACAGTTTTTAATGGGTATTGTGAATGGTGGTTGTGGGAGACCATTTTTTCAATTGAAAAAGATGGTTTTTTTTTTTTTTTTGAGACATGGTTTTTCTCTGTCACCCAGGCTGGAGTGCAGTGGCATGATCATGGCTCACTGCAACCTCGAGCTCCTGGGCTCAACCAGTCCTCTTACCTTGGCCTCCCAAGTAGCTGGAACTGCAGGTATGGACCACTACACCCAGCTTATTTTTTTGTTTTTTGTATTTTTTGTAGAGACGGGGTTTTACCATGTTGCCCAAGCTGGTCTCAAACTCCTGGGCTCAAGTGCTCCACTCGCCTTGGCCTCCCAAAGTGCTGAAATTACAGGCATAAGCCACCATGCCAGGCCAAGATGGGTTATTTCTAATTCATGGGAAGCCAGCTGAACAACCTGTTTCCTTCTCCTCCATCAAAATATGTGAGGTTTGCCATGAGACGACAAACAAGGCCTGTAGAGAATTTATGACCAATGTCTGGAGACACTGAGTTCCAAAAGAACTTTTCCTTTGCCTTTAGTGGTTGATTTATTTAAGGTGGTTTAGAATCTTGCTTCTACCTAGAATGCAGAAAGCTGGAAAGAATGTTTCTTTTACCCTAACCATAAGAAAAAGTGAAATAAATAACAAAATCACAACCTTTCTTGTGCCTGTCAGAGAGCAGAGGTAGCACATCAAATAGCCTGAAATCTAAAGACAGACCAACCCATTTCCCCCGAGGGGGATGGGATATGCACATACGGTTTAGACTGTGGCTTTCGCCTGTGGCAGGCAGAACTTTCCTGCAAGCAGAAGAAAAAGTGAAAGAGGATAGAACAAAAAAAAAATTTGGAGAGATAATAGCTGAGATTTTCCAAAATTAATGAAAGATTCAGGAAGCTCAGAGAACCTCAAGCAAAATTAAAACCCAAACCAAGCAAAAGCAAAACAAAATCTTTAAAACAAAAAGCAAAACATAAACAAAACTTACACCTAGACACATCATTTCCAAACTGCAAAAACCAAATAAATCAGCAAGTAGCCCAAGAAAAAGAGACAATTACATACAGAGGAACAAAGATAAGAATCACAGCAGACTTCTCATTAGAAAAATGTAAGTCAAAGGACAATTGAGTGACATATTTAAAGTACTGAGGAAAAAAATCTATATATAATTGTTAGCCCAGAATTCTATATGGTGAAAAAAAAAATCTTCCAAAAATGAAGGAAAAATAAACACTTTTTTCCAGATAAACAAAAACAGGGAATTTACAGTAGACTTGTGCTACAAGAAATATTAAAGGTAGTTTTAAGCCAGGAGAAATAGGATATCAGACAGAAATGTGGATCTACACGAAATAGTTCAGAGAGAGTGATTCACCTAGAGTACTTGGAGAAATAAACACAAATTCCCTCCCAAAGGATGTGCCCTCAACTGGCAATATGGCAGTGCTGCTACCCACAGTATGGCAAAGTGGGTCACTTGAAAACCCTCCCACCAGAAAATACCTAGAAAGACTGGATAAAAGATAATGTAAATAAATGCATAACTGAGCATGCACAAAAATAAGAAAAACTCATACCATTCCAAAACAAAGAGGAACCTAAGAACCACAGCAGTAAGCCACTGAGCTAATGATAGGACTGCCCTGGGTTCCCAGTAGCCCAGAAGCCTGGGTTTTTAATAGCCCTGCTGGAGCCGGAGACAAGGCCTCACAATGGTCAAGTTAGGGGACTGGTACCAGATCCCCGTATAAACCTGAGAAATGTGAAGGACTCCCCAAACACACTCCCATCAGCAAAAGAAAAAGTGTGTATCTGAGTTTTTAATTAAAGGAACAAAGTTTCTCTAGGACATTCATAACTTGAACTTGTGTCTTATGAAGGTGTGGGATTTGCATATGAGCTATCAGTCCAGGAACTCCTAAGGCAGGAAATTACCAAAAGAGTACTCCATGGTAGCCTAACTTTTGGGAATCAAGTAGAAGCAAATTCTAATCCCTTTTGGACAAATGAGTCATTAAGTCAGCAAAGGATGCCACAGATAATGCCCTTCTGAAAGAGAACTTAAATCCAGTATATACACACTACTTTTTAAAAACAGAACTTAAATCCAGTATATACATACCACTTTTTATAGAAAAGAACTTGAACCCCTGCTTCCTGTCTTCCCAAGCTGGTTGTTCTTTTTAAGACCCCACTGGTCAGCCACTTGCTCTCATGCCCCAAAACAAATCCTTCTTTCCCATCTTATAAGAGAGGTCCTTGAGAGATGGGGTTGTTTCATCATTCTTATACCAGCAGTCCCCAACCTTTTTGGCACCAGAGACTAGTTTCATGGAAGGCAATTTTTCCACAGATTGGGGGTGGGGTGGATATTTTCAGGATGATTCAAGCACATTACATTTATTGCACACATTATTTCTATCTTATTACATTGTAATATATAATGAAATGATTACACAACTCACCATAATGTAGATCAGTGGAAGCCCTGAGCTTGTTTTCCTGCAACTAGACGTTCCCATCTGGGGGTGATGGGAGACAGTGACAGATCACTGGGCATTAGGAGCATGCAACCTAGATCTCTTACACGCACAGTTCACAATAGGGTGTGTGCTCCTATGAGAATCTAATGCCGCGGCTGATCTGACAGGAGGCGGAGCTCAGGCGGTAACGCAAGTGATGGGGAGCAGCTGTAAATACAGATAAAGCTTTGCTCTCTTGTCCACCACTCACCTCCTGCTGTGCAGCCTGATTCCTAAAAGGCCACGGACTGGACCGGTACCAGTTCATGGCCTGGGGGTTGGGGACACCTGCTTTATACTGTCCCATGGTGTCTACACTGTGGTTAGTCCACAAATACTCAGATTAAAATCCAGCTCTATCACTTACTAGCTCTGTGCTCTTCAGGAAATGATGTGACCTCTCTATCCCTCAGTTTTCTCATCCTCCAAAGCCAGCAACAGCAGATTGAGTCCCTCTCACAGCGCACCACGCTGAACTCTTCTGCTTCCTTCTTCTATTTTTAAAAGCCCTTGTTGGTTACACTGGGCTCATCCAGTGAATCCAGGATTATCTCCCAATTTTAACATTAGCTGATCAGCAAATTTAATTATATCTGCAATATTAATTCCCCTTTGCCATACAACATGATACAGTCACAGGTTCTGGGGATTAGGATATGGACATGTCTGGAGAGCCATCATTCTGTCTACCACACTGGCCATAGCTCATTTGAAGGAAAAAGAAAAGAGCAAACACCGATTATATAGCACTTGATATATACCAGCAGTTTCTGTTGATTATCCCAACAACCTTATGAAGTGGCTGGTATACTTTTCCCCATTTTTCAGAGAAGAAAACTGAGGGCCATGAGCCAAGGAATGTGGGCGGCCCCTAGAAACTGGAAAAGGCAAAGAAATGTACTCTCCCCTCAAGCCTCCAGAAGGGAATGCAGCCCTGCTCTCACTTTGATTTTAGCCCAGTGCAACTTCTGACCCACTGAAAAGTAAGATAATAAATTTGTGTTGTTTTAAGCTACTGAGTTTGTGATAATTTGTTACAATGGCAACAGAAAACTAATCAAGCCAGTTATAAAAATTCTCAGTCAAGACAAATTTATTTCTATATTCTCATGGGCCATTCTCTGTACTAAAAGAAGGACTTTTATCCAGCATTTTGAAGAACCAAAAAGAGGATTTAGTATAATATGGATATAAGATATTAAACCTTGAATTTTTGTTTCCTCTGAGGATGAAGAGGAAGTCTACCCTACATCAGTGAGGTCTCCCAGCTTTGCAACTGAAGACTGTAACAAGCAATTCCACCCCCCAATGTTATGGTAGCAAATTACTTGAGCTGACTAGATTTAGCTATAATCAATCAAAAACAAGAGCTAAAGGCATGCATACCTACAAGTTTTGATGTGAAATACAGCATTTTTGTTGCCAATGTTTCGTACCAGCAGAATCTTCTGGGTGCTGTATTTGACAGGACAAGTGGAAAAATTCAGCTTGTCAGGAAAATCGAGAATGGCTCGTGCCCCTCTAGCTTTGATGGGTACAATAAACTTTTCTCTTTCAGTAACACAGGTCAACGTATGGGCGTAATCCTACAAGGGAAGGGTATGATCATTATTTGTGGAAAAAGCAACATGATCACGATAACTGTTCAAGAAAAGGGTCGATGAGAGGCATTTTGCAAAACAACTTTTAGTATAGTTCTATGAAAACATCTTAAAACAATTACAGAAGTACTTTCAAATGAGATTGTCTTTTCTGAGAGAGAGAGAGAGAGAGAGAGAACAGATCTAGTGTTAAAACCTACAGCTGGTAGAGAAGCTATGCTTCATGTGTCTGTCAGGCAATAGGGAGGTAGGATGAAGGTCAGTGGAAGGCCAGGCCCATTTCTCCCGTAGATCCAAGAAGATTCACAACAGTTCCCTCAGGTCCTCCTTCCAAACCCCACTTCTCCTTCAAGCCCATGTATTAGAATGATGTTTCTTTTTTTTTTTTTTTGAGACAGAGTCTCGCTCTGTCGCCCAGGCTGGAGTGCAGTGGCGCAATCTCTGCTCACTACAAGCTCCGCCTCCCGGGTTCCCGCCATTCTCCTGCCTCGGCCTCCCGAGTAGCTGGGACTAGAGGCACCCGCCACCACGCCCGGCTAATTTTTTGTATTTTTAGTAGAGACGGGGTTTCACCGTGTTAGCCAGGATGGGTCTCGATATCCTGACCTCGTGATCCACCTGCCTCGGCCTCCCAAAGTGCTGGGATTACAGGCGTGAGCCACCGCGCCCGGCCGATGTTTCTAACTAATGGCCTCTTTCTGCCTATACTCTTTGCAATGTGACTTTGCAGCTCCTCCATCAAGTAATGAGTCTCCACTCCACTTGCTTTCAGCAATACAAGGTGGCCAAAGTTATGCTATGCCAGTTTCAAGCTGAGACCTCAAGAAGCTTTGGGTCTACCCAGTCTTGTTCTTGGAACCCTGCCAATGGCATGTGAACAAGCCTGGTCCAGCCTACTGCAGGATGTGCACCTGGATGCTCCAACCAAGACCATGCTAGACCAGCCTAGAGCCAGCTGATCCCCAGATATGTGAGCCCAGCCACAATAAGCAGAGTTCCCTACCTGATGAGAGGGCCCAGGCAACACCAGAAAAACCACCCAGCTGAACCACAGTCTTGTGAGCAATAATAAGTGCTTATTATTTTAAGCCACTAAATGTGGGATTGTTTGCAATCATACAGAACTAGCTAACTGATGCGTAAGTCAGTTGAAACCTCACTTCTTGCACAAAGCCATTTCTGACCATTCCAAATAAAAATGCTGAGGCCCTAGGCATCTCTCTTCTCCAGTCATGAGTTTAAATGCAACAGAAATGCTGAATAAAGTCACTCTTTATGCCATCTCATAAGATAGAAATAGAATATTTGCCTGCAGTGTAGCAAAGAAAAAGTTAAAAGAAGTCACCATAAAAGGTATCTGATATCTAAAAAAAGCTTTGTTTTCCTTCATTTTCTCATCCTTTTATTGTGTGTTTTAGCTGCAAGGAGTCTTGATTAATGAAAAGTCATTTTGAACAGAAATTTCCTTTTGGTAACCATGTGATAAACGGTAGTAAGTGGTGGAGGTTTTAAAAAAAGCTCTTTTTGGGCTTTGGACATAGAATAAGAATGGGACCATCTGGCATACAAATTGGCATACAGGGCTGGCCACATACTCAACCTCATGAAGCCACAGGACAAGCATAAAGCAGTGGCATCCCCAGTTTATTCATTCAACTATGTTCATTAAGTGCCCAGGTGCCAGCACAGCACTGTGCTAGGTCTAGGAATACAACCAATTAGGAAATGCAGACATGGTCACGGTCCTCCTCCAGCTCACATCAGGATGGAGGAGACAATGAACAGATGAATAAAGGATATGTAATGTACAGTGCAACTCACATATAAATAAATATAAAGCTAAAACTGCCAGGAATGCTCACAAATAGCCTTTACGCCTGTAGTTCTATCTGTCCCCTTGGGCTCCAAACTCATAACCAGCTGCCCAGTCAGCATCTCATTGGATATAAACTTATGTCCCAAACCAAAGCTCCTGATGAATGTCACTGCCTGCTACTGTGCATAAAGATTTCTGCTGAGGGCCAGGAATGGAGGCAAAACAGCTTCAGCCCAAAGGGGGAACCTTTTTCTAGTACCCACAAAGGCTCCACAAAGACAGCTAAGGTCTGACCCTCTCTCCAACTGCAGCATCTCTCCAGCGGTCTGGCTTTAGAACCCTGAAATGAGGCATCCTTTCATGCTCGATTTCTCAATTTCTTGATACAATCCATAGGATCTACCTTCAAAATATATCCAAACTGCAATCACTCTTCACCACCTCCACCCCCGCCACCCTGGTCCTAGCCACTCCGATCTTTCCCAGGCTAACAGGACTTTCTATTTCAACCGTTGCTCTCCTAAAGTCTATTTTCCACCCAAGGGTCAGAGGGACCCAGTAAAAATGTAAGTCAGCTCAGGCTGCTTCTCCGCTGAAAAGTACCTAGGCTGAGGCTGGCGCACTTGCGAAGGTCCCGTGGTCTGGTGCCCCCATCGCTTCTCTGGCCACATCTCCTCCTCTCCCCTGGTTCCCCCTGCAGCCACAGGTTTCCCCTTCAGAGCCTTTGCACATGATGTTCTCTCCTTCCCTCTACTTATTCGTGGTGCTCACCCCCTCACCTCTTCAGCACTTGGCACGGCGATCCACTGTCTCCCCGAGGCCTCCCGACTGCCCTATTTTCAATAGAACTCTCCCTCTCCTGCCCCATCACTCCCTTACCTTCTGTCCAGCTTTAGTCTTGCCCAGAGCCATCTAGTATATCGTATATTCTACCTCCCCAGTGAGTGTAGTGCATGTCTCCCCCGTATTTCCATGTCAAGAGGGATTTGCCCATCTTCTTGCCTTCTGTATACCCAGTACCTAGAACAGAGCCTAGTATCTAGCAACTACTCAACAAATACTTCCCGAAGGAAGGAAAGTCGGTAACAGAACATTTGGTAGTGATGAGTGACGGGAAATAAATCATGATATGGGGACAGAGAGACTGGAGAGCTCTTTTACATGGCGTGAGGGGGGGGGGGCGGTCAGGAAAGGCCTCTATGAGGAGGTGACACTTCAGCAGAGACATGAGTGACAAATGAAGCCATGTGGATGGATGGCTGTCTGGGGGAAGTGTGATTTGGAACCTGTGGCCAGAGGGGAGCAAGGGAAGGAGTGTGGTTAGACACATGGCCAACAGGTTGTGGCGGCCAGATCCCAGAGATCTTGTAAGCCATTGTTAGGACGTGAGAGGGCTGAAGGCATTCCCAAGGCTGAAAGCTGATCTTGATGTAACCTGAGTAACGTTTTAGAAAAAGCGCTGGCTGCTATGTGGGCCACGGACTGCAGCGGGAAGAGGGAGGCCAGTTAGGAAGCCACTGCTGTAGTCCAGGCATGAGATGACACAGATGTGGACTTGTGTGGGCAAGTACTTAGCCTAGCATTTAGCAAGTAGTAAGTACTCAATAAATGTTAACTGTCCTTATCAGACTTTTGTATTAAGTACAATTTGTGTAAGGCATATAGGAAAAATTCAACATATGTTTACTCTCGTTGGTAGGGAGCCATCTAGCCATCTATATACTGATAAGGATAATAATAATAGAACAAGATAATTTCAGAAAGTGATGAGGGCTTTGAAGAAAATAAAGCACAGGAAAGTGATAATATCGGATGGGGTTGATTTAGGTTAGAATAACTAAAGAGGTCTTCCTGAGGAGGTGACCTTCGGATGGGGACCTGAACAGCAAAAGGAGCCAGTTGGGTGAGATCTAGGAACAGAGTGCTCCTGCCAAGGGGAACTGCAAACATACAAGTCCTAAGGCAGGAGTGAGTCATAAAAAGGAATAAATAGGATTCAAGAAATTGATTAAAACTGGGTTGCTAGTATATTTTTAAATAAAGAATGTAACTGGATTGTGTGTAACTCAAAGGATAAATGCTTGAGGGGATGAAACCCCATTCTCCATGAGGTGCTTATTTCACATTGCATGCTTACATCAAAACATCTCATGTACCCCATAAATATATATATCTACTGTGTACCCACAAAAATACTTTTTATTTAAAATATATCTTTTAAAATGGCTGGGCGTGGTGGCTCAAGTCTATAATCCCAGCATTTTGAGAGGCTGAGGCAGGTGGATCACTTCAGGCCAGGAGTTCAAGACCAGCCTGGCCAACATGGCAAAACCCAGCCTCTATAAAAATTAGCGGGGCATGGTGGCTCACACCTGTAGTCTCAGCTACTCAGTAAGCTGAGGCAGAGAACTGCTTGAACCCGGGAGATGGAGGCTGCAGTGAGCCGAGATCGCACCACTGCACCCCAGCCTGGGCGACAGAGTGAGACTCTGTCTCAAAAAAATTAATAAATAAATAAAATAAAAACAAAAATAAAAATAAAATTTTAAAAATTGAGTTGTTAGACTCTTAGCTCTGCAATTGATTCTGGTTTCCAGATGGTAATGCCAGACTCAAAACTTATGCTATCTAGACATGAGGAAGCACAAATTACACTAAGCACACTTGATCTTAGAAAACCCCACATAATTCAACAATGCAACAGCCTAGTCTGATTACTACAGAATCCTAAAGAGATAAGTACTATTTTCGCTTTTTCTTAGGCGATCAAATCCAGCCAGCATATGTTTTTTTGGGAATTATAAACTGAAAAGCCCCTGGCACATGTGGAGACTGAGCATTAACTGAGGCGTTGAGAGCTAGAACAAAAGATGCTGCTGAATCCAGGATAAGAGGAGATCCTGAAGTGTTTGTCTCATTTTATTCTGTACTCACATATCCGCTGCCTTGTTCTAGAAGGAATTAAAGGCAGCTGTAAATAGTTTAGGAGGCTAATTGAAATACTGAGAGAGATGTTTTCAGACCTTTTCAAGTTCCCAAATAAGGAAGGTTTGAAGTTTGATTTGCCTTATAAATTTTTTCATAATCAATTCACACACCCATAAAAGAATATAAGGTTCTTTAAACAAGTCCCTTAAAATGTATTCCAATCTCTGAAGTTATGCACTTAATATGACTATATTAGATCATACATCATTATATATTGCTCTGCTGGCTTACAATTAATTCAGATGTTATGACTAGGGAGGCTCTGATGGCCTGCAGGCTTAAGCAATCACTTCAGTTGATGAACTGAACACCCAGCCTCACAAACCTGCTTTTCCTCCTCTGTTCCCTATCTCTGTAAATGACACCACCATTTGACCAGTTGTTAGCCAAAATCCTACAGTTCAAACTAGGTGCATTTCTTTCTCGTATCATCGATCCATCAGTAAATCCTGGCAGCTGTACAATAAAAGTATACATCCGGCTGGGCACAGTGGCTCATGCCTGTAATCTCAGCGCTTTGGGAGGCTGAGGTGGGCGGATCGCCTGAGGTCAGGAGTTCGGGACCAGCCTGGCCAACATAGTGAAACCCCATCTCTACTAAAAATACAAAAAATTAGTTGGGCGTGGTGGCAGGTGCCTATAATGCCAGCTACTTGGGAGGCTGAGACAGGAGAATAGCTTGAACCCAGGAGGCGGAGGTTGCAGTGAGCAGAGATCACACCATTGCACTCCAGCCTAGGCAACAAGAGCAAAACCCTGCTTCAAAAAAAAAAAAAAAAAAAAGTATACATCCTTACTCCTCCTACTTCTCATCACCTTCACTGTCACCACCCTCATCCAAACTTCCTTATCTTTTACCTGAACTACTATAGTAGCCTCTGCCCCCTGTATGCATCAGGGATCAGTCAGCTACGTTATAAAAGGAAAAAGAGCAAAATCAGAGCAGTTTACACTAGGCAGAAGTTTATTTATCTTATACAAAGAAGTCCAGAGGTAGGTAGGCCAGGTCGGTAGGGTGGCTCAACAGTGTCATCAGAGACTCAAATTCCTAAATTCCTGCTCTACCATTCTAGCATGCAGTTCCCATCCTCGATGTCACCCTGTGGGGCAGAGTTGTAACCACCCAATGGGTTCTTCCAGCCTGCTCCCCAGAGAGAGCCAATTTATCAAGACAGGGCAATTGCAATAGAGAAAGTTTTACACATATAGAACTGGCTAAACAGGAGACTAGAGTTTTATTATTACGCAAATCAACCGCCCTGAAAATTTGGAGACTATGGTTTTTTAAAGATAGTTTAGGAGAGGGGGGTGGCTAGGGAATGGGTGCTGCTGATTGATTGGGGGTGCAATCATAGGGGTGTGGAAAATGGTCTTCATGAGCTGCTAAGTCCACTTCTGGGTGGAGCCGCAGGACCAGTTTGTGGGTCTGGGTGGAGCCATCCATTTTCAGAAACGCAAAAATCTGAAAAGGCATCTCAAAAGGCCAATCTTAAGTTCTACAACAGTCATGTTATCTGCAGGAACAACTGGGAAGTTGCAAATCTTGTGACCTCTGGAATAATGGTTGGTAATTATTTATATCTACATGTTAACAGAATTCAGGTTCCTCTCATCCTCCTAACCTGGTGATCTTTCATCAGCTTTACACAAAGGTGGTTTAGTTTTGAGGAACAGATACAATCTTTTAAACTATAAACTAAATTTCTCCCAAAGTTAACTTGGCGTAAGCCCAGAAATGAGTAAGGCATTTTGGAGGTTAAAAGCAAGATGGGGGTTGGTTAGATCAGATCCCTTTCACTGTCATAATTTTCTCACTGTTATAGTTTTTGCAAAGGTGGTTTCATAATGGAGAAAACAGCAGACACTAACCTAATGGAGTGCTCAAAATAAATAACACCATTAATAAGTCATATATCAGCATCATGAATCCCTTGGCATGATGTGCTGAAAAGGGATACAGTATCATTTCTGCGGTATTCTTGCCAAAATGGCATGACTTCACTCTAATCATGACAAAACATTAGACAAACCTAAAGTGAAGGACATTCTACCAAATTACTAATCAGTGTATTTATAGGTAGACAGGCATAAGCAGGGCAGGAGTGGGCTTTTCCCCCACCCACTAAAAATGTCAGGTGATGGTTTGGCAGTTATCACATTGCCTCTCTAAAAGTGATAAATTGGCAGCCAGCACCAGGGAGAGGCCTTTTCCTGATGGTCCACACCTGTTGCACTAAAGAGTGAACTGAGTATAGGTGCCAGGGAAACACAACTTCCTAGACATGCGCATTAGGAGATAAAATGGCAGGGTATGACCTTCCAAGGGCACGCCATGAGAAAAGGGAAGAAAGCCTCTAATGGGCATGCATACAACTTCCTAAACACAGTGCACATGCTCATCTCCCAAGGGTAAGGAGGGCTCTGTGCATGAGGGCAGCCTACTTTAAGGGAAGAATCATGGGAAAGAGGCCAGCCTATAAAGTCTTAGGATCAAGGTTAAACACTACTCTTGACCTTCACATGCCCACTTGGGTCTCTTCCAAGCATACTTTCCTTTCTTTCCTGTTCTAAAGCCTTTTTAAATAAACTCCCACTCCTACTCTGAAAGTTGCCTTGATCTCTTTTTCTGCCTTATGCCCCTCAGTCAAATTCTTTCTTCTGAGGGGGCAAGAACTGAGGTTGCTGCAGACCTGTATGGATTTGCCACCAGTAACTCGGATACCTTCCACTGGTAACAATCAGTATCCTTCAAAGAGTGCCAAAGTTATGAAGGATAAGGAAAGACTAGGGAACTGTCACAGATTGGAGTCAACTAGGGAGAAATACAACTCAATACAATGCGGGGTCCCGGATAGGCTCCTGAGGCAGAAAAATGATATTTGGGTCTATGGCCATACCACCCTGAATGCACCCAATCTTGTCTGATCTTAGAAGCTAAGCAAGGTTAGGCCCGTTAGTACTTGGATGGGAGAAAAATGATATTTGCAGGAAAACTGGTAAAGATCAGATGAAGTCTGTAGCTTAGTTAATAATATTGTACCGATGTCAATTTCCTATTCTTGATAATTAAAATGATGAGAGAGATTCAACATAAGTGGAAGCAGGGTAAGGGATTAAAGGAACACTTTCTAGTGTTTTTGCAATTTCTTAAAGTCTAAAATTCATTCAAAATAAAATAATGCTTTAAAACCAAAAATAAATAAATAAAATGGGTCTCTTCTATTAAGGGTTTTCTAGAAACCTCCATCTTTCCACCACTCTCCTATAAAAGTTTTAAAACATTTTCAAAAGCCACTTATCACTATTCTTAGACTGCCAGTGATCAAAAGGGCAGCCTCGCGGGTTGCAAATTAGTGAAGAAGAGAAAGCTAGAAGGAAGAGGAAGTGGAGCATCTGAGGGAAAGATTTTTAAATGAACTTCTTTGTGTTGCTAAATTTATTCGTATCCTGGAATGGGCTACAACCATCACAAGGACATAAAAATCATCAGGTAAATTCAAGGACTTTTTAAAAATGCATCTAATCACCTCCTGTCCAAAACATTCAAGCTTAACCTTTCTCTTGAAAATGCAATCTGCTCTTTACACCCTGCCTGCATACCAGATTCTGAGACCTAGATTGCCACAGGAGCAGAATCATCACCTTGTCCTGATTCAATAGGTTCTTGTTGTTACATTATCAGCTTAAGATCCTGGGATATGTGGAGATGTGCCTATTCATTACTGAAAGAGTTCATGCACAATTTATGTCCTTCACATAACTTTGTCCTTAAAGGCTATTTTCTGAATCCATTTCAGTTATGTTTTCCCAACAGCCATATTAGGAGGTGACTGTTGTTTTTCCATATTCAAAGTAAAAGAAATGAGACAAATATCTCAAAATGATTGAGGTGCTCACAATAAAAATGTAGTGGTAAAGATAGTACCAGATCTCGTGTCTGTAGCTTCTGTGCCCTCTTTCATAGTCCAGAGGACTGAGCTACTCTAGCAAATGGGTATATGAGAACTGGTGACCACAGTTAATCCAGCTGACATGACACCAGCCATTACATTCAAGTGCAGTGATGTATTTTGCATTGCTCAGCTCTTTCTACTTTTCAAAGTCCTCTTCACATATTTCATTGAATTTGATTCTCAAACCACATTGTAATGTAAGTAGAATAGCTATTTCCTTTTAGTAATCGTAACATCATGCCATTCAATATATAAATAAAGCCCCTTTATTAACATTACCTTATCTAGGTCCCACTAAAAGAAAAAATATAAAGTAGTAGAGTCCCCATTTTCTAGATAACTGAGGCTCAAAGATTGACTGGTCCAAAGACACCCAGGCAATGAAGGGGAAGATGGAATGTAAGAGCAAGTCTTTTTGACTCATTATCCAGTCATATTTCCCCCACTGTGCAATAGCTGCATAGCAAAATGAAGAAAAATTACAAGTTTCTGACTATGAGTCCAAAAATGAGTTAACATGTGATTTTATGCTAGAAGATAATCTAATGAGGTCACTCTGCTTAGCTGCTTAGCTACCGCTGTTATCCCAATGGGACTGGGCAAGAATAGAACCAAGTCATGCAAGTAAGAGTAGCACCTGATTGGGCACTGGGCTTGGATTCAGGTTGTTATCTCTATGGATAGCTGTGGTTCACTGAGGAACCATTCCAAAGATGTTAGAAGAGCCAGACAGAACCTACATTAATTCATTGGTTAAAGCTCAGAAATAATCATGAGGTCTCTGAGACAGGAGACAATTAGACATAGGATGGCTCCTATTATACACAAAATTTCATTGAGTCAGCTCTCTCCGCTTTACTTCTTGCCCTAGTATATCTTAAATATGTGGTTTTCCCCTTGCCTAATCCAGGAAAGCTGGATTTCATAACTAACAAGACTTTAGACTTGTGCTTCACCTTTCAGCATGCTTCTGGGTTCCATGATGTCCCAGAGCCTATGTGCTTATGATTAAAAAAAAAAAAAGAAACTGAAGAGGGACCCCAGTCTGCAGGAGTGAGATGGGCATGGGAAGAATTACATTTTCTCTGGTTCCTGGGTATGCTGAAGATGACATCCAGGAGAAAACTTCTGGCCCCTCAAACTGCCCCATAGCTCAGCCTGCGGGCTGCGACTTACAGTGACATCAGCAACATGATGGATTCCATCGCCAGCAGCCTGGACTCCAGGAGGCACCCCAGGCGTGGCCGATGTGCACAGGTAGGAGCATGTCCTCTGCGTGGCCTCTGCACTGGAAGAGCTTCAAGGCCTTTTCCTCCAGGGCTGAGGGGATTTGTGTTTCGCCTCTGTTTGTTTTTGTGTACTTCTGTTTGGCGAAACTTTCAAGCACGCAGAGCAACGTTCTGATAGATAGTGCAGAGAGGAGCTGCGCAGCATCCTGGAGCCGAAAGTTACAAGGAAGAGACCAAAACCGGTAAAGTCACGGATGTTGTGGCCCGAACCTGTAAATCCAAACAATCTCACAGTTATGAAATGGAAAATTTGTGGGGAAAAACAAATGCTTTGGTTATTACAGTGTTACTACATTCATAAAATGTATTTCATTTGGGGGAGTTTACACTGGGGGTAATGAGATTTTTGCTTTATGCGTTATTTATAACCGCTTAATCCAGGTACTGTGGGTTTTTTTAATTCCTTCATTTTCACAGCTACAAAACACTTCAGCATTTCTAATTTATTTCTGCTTACAATACAGATGTTCTTAGTTGTGTTTCTAACTATATTTCAACCGTTACGATCACGTTTGTTTGTGTCAGCGCACAAGCCGGGGTTGTATGTGCAATACACAATAGTAAGGCTTCAAGAAGCCTGTAAAAAGGCCTCTTGTGCTTTCATTATCAACAAATTAAAATATGCTGCATGGCACTATCTTTATCATCAGTGGTTTTAATCTTTGGATAATTCCCCTGCAGTTGGGTAGGCAGAGTGACAGCCCTCTCTCAGTGTAGAAACACTGCATGCCTTAAAATGGCACTTTTCAAGATGACCATTTGGAAGCAACATTTGGAGAACACTTGGGTTATGTCCTCTAACTGAATTTCCAAGCTGTTGGTAACGGACTAAAGAAAATGTAGTCTGTACTGAATATTAAGGAAGCAAGAGTGTAAGAGCCTTGAAGGTCATGTGTAAATATTGACATTTTATTTTATTTAGTAACCAAATTGGGGCCCTTGCATTGCTTATCTTGCCATAAAAACTCCTCACTCACTTTCACTGCCCTGCAGATTGTCAGGGAAAGATCTGATCTGAGCAGCTCTGGGTGCTCTTCCTGCCATTGCTAACAAGACTGAATTTTGTTTGTGCAAAATCTGAGTCAGAGGGGTGTTCCTCCCCTCTCATCTCCACCACGGACTGATGCACCTGATTAGATAACAGAAATTTGTGGGCTGAATGTTCATGTAGTGACATGAAAGCCAAGATGCAAAAACAGTCAGAGAAAACAGCCTCCCACTCACTCAGAGTCAAGTCAGGTGTCTAAAACCAAAGTTATCTGGGGAACCAATAACTGGCTAATTTGGCCAGAATACCCTTCTCTGTGTCCTCAGCAGCAGTGTGAGGAAGAAATACCAGCATGTCCTCAGGCCCTGTACCCTTCTCAGAAACCAGGACTCTACCTGCAGAGCTTAATCAGGGCCATATTCTGAAGGTGAGATGCAGGCAATGGCCAGGTCTCTCCACCAGCAGCAGTGGCTAGAATGCCCCACACACTTAACAACTTCCGGGACACATTTGACTGTTGACCTACAACAGCATTGCTTTCCTCTGCCAAAGCAAAGAGCTCTGCTCATGTAGAATAGGCTGGCAGTTTGGTAACTTGCCAGAGGCTCCTGTCTCCCTACAGTGAGGTCACCAGAATCGCTTCCCTCCTGAAACACAGTCGATTGAAATGAAGGTCCAGCAGAAATTAGGGGCCAGTGAGTTAAACATGGAGGCCACTTCCAATGGTCTTTAGCCTAAGAGGTTTTCTCCAAGTGAAAAGAAGAAAATTGAATATGGGAATAAAATGATCTTTTAATGCTTCATAACTCAACTCTCTGACTTACCTCAAAAAGAGAGAAATAGTGTAAAAAGCCAACACTGTTTTCTGCCCTCTAAATTTGAGTTTTGAAAGGTGCTCCTCAAATATTAATGATCTGGTTTCTGTGCCCAAATAAATGTCATGATTTACAACTCATGCTTATGGTTGCAATCCTAATCACCCTTCCCTACGGCAGCTTTATAAGTCTTGCCCAGTTCCACTACTGAAATAGTGCACTTGGATTCAAACAACACTCAAAAACCTTGTTTTTTGTTTTGTTTCATTTTTAACTATTACTGAGTGGACAGGGTCAATCCCATTCAAAATTCCCAAGTAGACAAAATCTGTCTGTGGCCCTTCCCCTTCCCCTCACCTTCTTGGCCGCCTCCCTCCATTCCCACTGATGAACTTCCAAGCTTCCTACAGCTCCACTAGTCCTTTTCAACCAATGGGAAACAAAGCAGTTTCCTACATTAGTGTATCTGCCTTCATAAAGTAGTTTAGTGTTTTGCACAAACCAAGAGAATGTTCATTTTAAAAGCAGGAAAGAAAGATTACAGATGGAATGTCAGACACCAGGGCACCTGGATAAAATATAATTTGGGGCAGGGGAGTATATTCTCATCTTACCTAAAGTAGATGAACCAGTCAAGTCAGTACCCATAAGGTAGGCTTGATAAATCTCAGGACCAGGCACCTCCACCCCCAACAAACACACACACACCTTTCCACTGTGATGTTTTAGGCACAGTGTATTGTAGCTCTGCCTATCTACTCAGAACCTAATGTATTCACATGAAAGTAAACTAACAGAGTCTGGCTGTCCTGGTGATTCTCAAGACCCTATTGCCTCCTCACTTACCCAAAAGGAAAGGAGCAGTAGTTTTTTTTTTTTTTTTTTTAATTCAAGAAATCAGCAAAAAAAAAAAAAAAATGTGTTAGTGTTTCTCCAAAACTTCTAAGTTAGAGTGGCACACTTCATTTTTTTTATAAAGAATTTGATTAACTCTGGTTGGCCCAGATTTGCTTCAGCCTAAAGCCCAACATCTCTTTTGCAGCGTGGTATCCTTCAGTTGCTCATACTTGAGCCAATAGAGGTGGGAGGGGAGATGGAGAAGACTGGTTTTATTTGAGCTTGTGAAAATGGCTTTTTATCAAGTTCAATGTCATAAGTTTTCTTCCACAGGAAAGTAGAATATATTTTCTGGTGAGCAATAGTTTTTTATTATATAGAAATGGTTCCTAATTCTTAGCAGACAGGGATTTGAGAAAACAGGGGAGTTCTCCCAAGTCACAACAAATAATGTGATGGTCAACGTGATAGACTATTGTATGCTTTGATAGCTAGTTTCAGACTGATTTTCTGACACATGAGAGAGGAGCAGTGCCTGTTGCCCATGGAAGGCGATTTGCTGGGAGGAGGAACACAAACATCCCCAAAGGCTACCAGGTCAACTGTCATTTTCAAAATTACCATTAAAAGTAGGCTGGTGGGCCGGGCACGGTGGCTCATGCCAGTAATTCCAGCACTTTGGGAAGCCGAGGCGGTCGTATTACAAGGTCAGGAGTTCGAGACCAGCCTGGCCAACATGGTGAAACCCCATCTCTACTCGAAATACAAAAGTTAGCCAGATGTGGTGGCTGGTGCCTGTGGTCCCAGCTACTCAGGAGGCTGAGGCAGGAGAATTGTTTGAGCCCAGGAAACAGAGGTAGCAGTGAGCCGAGATTGTGCCATTGCACTCCAGCCTGGGCAACAGAGTGAGACTCCGTCTCAAAACAAAAAACAAACAAACAACAACAAAAAAAAACCAAAAAAAAACCCACAATAATTAGCTGAGTGTGGTGGTAGGTGCCTGTAGACCCAGTTAACTGGGGGTTGACGCAGGAGAATCGCTTGAACCCGGGAGGCTGCAGTAAACCGAGATGAAGCCACTGCGCTCCAGCCTGGGCTGCAGAGCAAGACTCTATCTCAAAAAAAAAAAAAAAAAAAAAAAGTAGGCTGGGCATGGTGGCTCATGCCTATAATCCTAGCATTTTGGGAGGCTAAGGTGGGAGGATCACCTGAGGTCAGGAGTTTGAGACCAGCCTGGGCAACATAGTAAGACCCTGTCACTACAAAAAATAAGAAACAATTACCTAAGCATGGTGGTGTATGCCAGTAGTCCAGAAATTCAAGATTACAGTGTGCTATGGCACCACTACACTCCGTCCTGAGCAACAGACAAAGACCTTGTCTCTGAAAAAAAAGAAAAGAAAAAAATTATTATTAAAAGTAATAAGAATAGAAAACATAGGCTGTGTATGCTAGATTAACAAAACATTCCCCCTACAAAAGGGGGAAATTTCAATTTTCTATGAAGTTTGAAATCTATAATCATCTGGCATTATTTCCAGGCATGTAGAAAAAAATTCATTTGTCTTTTCATCTGGATTAGTTTGTCTCCATCAGTGTGTACATCAAAAGTACCTGGGGATTCTGTGGGTTTGGGGAACATTTTTTTGTTTGCTTGTTTGTTTGTTTTCAAAATATATGGTAGTATCCCACCACAAATCTATACTAAAATAAAATTTCGCAGTGTATGTCAAATAAATGTGCACTTTGAAAAATTCCCCAAGTAAATTTTGAGATTGGCTCTTGATTCAGTGACACTAATATAAACACTTTCACTTACTTTTGAATTTTGTGGTGACCGATCTTAAGATTTGAAGCCTACACCTTCTTAACTTGGTCCATGGGGGCACAAAAGGAGAGAGAGTATAAATGCTGAGGATGACCTTAACAAAAGTGAACACGAAATTAAGAGATGTGAACCCAAAATAAAAGAAAGCAAAGAACTCTGTCTTCCCTTGTCATCTTTAACTCTGCTCTATCTTGATTCTTCTCTGTGTTTTTCACAGGCTCTTCTTCCTATACCCACTCTGTAAAGTGATTTACCCCATAGCTCTCCACCCCTTTCACCTTGGATCTCTGGTCAGATAATCTCACCTTCCTCTGTGGCTTCAAAGCCATATACATTTGACTTCTGAATTCATCTGCTAGGGCAGCCATAACAAAGTACCACAGACTGACTTGGGTGGCTTAAACAACAGAAATGTATTTTCTCACAGCTTTGGAGGCTGAAAGTCCAAGAGAAGGTATTTGTGGCTTTGGTTTCTTCTGGGGCCTCTCTCCCTGGCTTGTAGATGGCTGTCTTTAGCCTGTGTCCTTACAGGACCTTTCCTCTGTGCTGGCACTTCTGGTGTCTCTTCCCCTTCTTACAAGGACATCAGTTCTGTAGAATTATGGGCCACCCTAATAACTCCATTTTAACTTATTACCTCTTAAAGACCCTAATATGGTTTGGCTCTGTTTCCCCATCCAAATCTCATGTTGAATTGTAATTCCCAGTGTTGAAGGAGGGGCCTGGTAGGAGGTGATTGAATCACGGGGGGGCGGACTTCCACCTTCCCGTTCTTGTGATAGAGTTCTCACCAGATCTGGTTGTTTGAAAGTGTGTAGCACCTCCCACTTTGCCTCGCTCTGTTCTGCTGGCCATGAGAAAATGTACCTGTTTCCCCTTTGCCTTCCGCCATGATTTTAAGTTTCCTAAGGCCTCCTCAGCCCTGCTTCTGGTACAACCTGCAGAATGGTGAGTCAATTAAACATCTTTTCTTCATAAATTACCCAGTCTCAGGTATGTCTTTATAGCAGTGTGAGAAGGGACTAATACAGAAAATTTGTACCAAATAGTGAGGCATTGCTATAATGAAACCTGAAAATGTGGAAGCAGCTTTGGAACTGAGTAATGTACAAAGGTTGGAGCAGTTTGGAGGGTTCAGAAGAAGATAGGAAGATGAGGGAAGGTTTGGAACTTCCTAGAGACTTGTTGAATGATTTTGACAAAAATGCTGACAGTAATATGGACAGAGATAGCCAAGCTGGTCTCAGATGGAGATGAGGGACTTACTGGGAACTGAAGTAAAGGTCACTCTTGCTATACTTTAGTAAAGAGACTAGTGGCATTGTGGCCCTGTGCTAGAGATCTGTGGAACTTTGAACTTGAAAGAGATTATTTAGGGTATCTGGCAAAAGAAATTTCTAAGCAGCAAAGCATTCATGATGTGGCCTGGCTGCATCTAACAGCATAAACTAATATGCATGCACAAGGAGATAATTTGATACTGGAAATTACATTTAAAAGGGAAGCAGAGCATAAAAGTTTGGAAAATTTATACCCTGGCCATGTGGTAGAAAAGAAAAACCCATTTTCTGGGGAGAAATTTAAGCCAGCTGCAGAAATTTGCATAAGTAAAGAGGAGCCACATGCTAATAGCAATAGCCAAGACCATGGGGAAATGCCTCCGAGGCATTTCAGAGATGCCTCGGAGGCATTTCCGAGACCTTTGCAGCCGCCCCTCCCATCACAGGTCTGGAAGCATAGGAGGGTTATATGGTTTCATGGGTCAGGCCCAGGGCCCTGCTACTCTGCGCAGCCTCAGGACATGGTTCCCTGCATCCCGGCTGCTCCAGCTCTAGCCATGGTTCAAAGGGCCCCAGATATGTCTTAGGCTGCTGCTCCAGAGGGTGAAAGTTGCAAGCCTCATGGCTTCCATGTAGTGTTAAGCCTGTGGGTACACAGAGGGCAAGAGTTGAGGCTTGGGAGCCTCCACCTAGATTTCAGAAGATGTATGGAAATGCCTGAATGTCCAGGCAGAAGACTGCTGTAGGGGCAGAGCCTTCAGGGAGAACCTCTACTGGTGCAGTATGGAGGGGAAATATGGTCTTGGAACCTCCACACAAAGTTCCCACTAGGGAATTGCCTAATGGAGCTTTGAAGAGAGGGCCACCATCCTCCAGACTCAGAATGGTAAATCCACCAACAACTTTAAGCTCCATTATTTTGGAGCTTTAAGACTTAATGACTGCCTTGCTGGGTTTCCGACTTGCATAAGGCCTGTATCCTCTATATTTTGGAATGGGAGCATTTACCCAATGCCTGTACCCCCCATTGTATCTGGGAAGTAACTAACTTGTTTTTGATTTTACAGGCTCATATTTGGAAGGGACTTAACCTTGTCTCAGAAGAAAATTTGGACATGGACTTTTGAGTTAATGCTGGAATGAATTAAGACTTTGGGGAACTGTTGGGAAGGCATAATTGTGTTTTGAAATGTAAGAAGGACATGAGATTTGGGAGGGGCTGGGGCAGAATAAAATGGTTTGGCTGTGTGTTCCCACCCAAATCTCATGTCTAACTGTAATTCCTAGAGTTGGGGGAGGGGCCTGGTGGGAGGTGACTGAATCCTGGGGGTTGACTTTCCCCTTGCTGTTCTCCTGATAGAGTTCTCGCAAGGTCTGGTTGTTAGAAAGTGTGTAGCGCCTCCCCCTTTGCTCTCTCTCTTTCCTGCCAGCCATGTGAAGATGTGTCTGCTTCTTCACCTTCCACCATGATTGTAAGTTTTCTAAAGCCTCCCCAGCCATGTTTCCTGTACAGCCTGCAGAACTGTGAATCAATTAAACCTCTTTTCTTCATAAATTATCCAGCCTCAGGTATATCTTTATAGCAGTGTGAAAACAAACTAATGCAGACCCTGTTCCCAAATACAGTCACATTCTGAGGCACTGGGGGCTGGGAATTCAACATATGAATCTGGAGAGACATGGTTCAGAACATAACAACTTCCAGTTATATAACTTCAATGCTACGTGATGACTGGCTCATATATTTGAAAAACTTTCACATGAAAAAGGGACAAGACAAGGACCAATGTGTGGAAGGTAAAAGCTGAAATTTTCAGCTGAACAAAAGGAAGGCCTATGTGATAATGAGGGGGGTCTAGTTATTACAGGCTGCATTCCCTGATAGTGTGTCCCTGCCACAGGAAGGGCACAGCAGAGGCTGAGTGGACCACTATCGTGCCTGTCTTTGGGGAAATCCAGCATAAGCCTCCAAAATCCCTTTTCCTCTTTTAATTTGATGACATTAATGAAGGAATATGAGCTCACAGGGATTAAATCAAGATGATTAAAACAAAGAAGTAGAAAATATGGTCACACGTCTACAGTGTGTCTACAAACACGGCATAATCAGATATGAGAAAAAGGAGTTTTGTGAAATGTTAGAGTCACACCCTCCCTGACGTGAGCAATACAGTGGCCAGCAAGGCAGGAGAGGATGTGCTCTGTATCAAGAATGTGAGGCCTACGGTAAAGCTGACCGGTACAGGTGGAGCAAGACCAACTAAGAAGCATCTTTCCCTGGAGAAAACTGTCACTCATCAAGAGGATGTCCATGGCAATCTAAGTGGAGATTTTCCCAAAGGGACTACAAATGTCAGAACCCAGGTGATCTGACATCAATGAATCTTCCTGAAAGCCCCTTGGGATGTCATCTGATGACATGAGTTAGCATTGGTGGACTAGGGTTGGGAGATCTGACTTGAGAGCCAATTTCTCTGTGTACACTAGTCAGCTGACCTAAGGTGTGTCATTGCCTTCTCTGAGTCTCAAGCTCCTCATCTGTAAAATAGAAAGAATATGGCCTTACCCTGACAGCATATTGTAAAAATTGATGAGATATGATTTAACTATAAATGTGCTATGAATTTAACCATGCAATTTAATTTATGTAACTGTGAATTGTAGACTATTATTTAAACATGTGGTATTAATATTATTGTCATGTTTTCATTTTGCCCAATGTGATGGTCAATACCGTGTGCTATAAATGTAAGTGAGCTCCTCATTAGATGCAGCATGAAAGATTCTGAGGGATGCCCTTTGATAATTTGATTCGCTCAAAAAGATACAGACTTCCTAGTCACAATGGGGAAAGTAATCCAGTGGAGGTATTCGTATTCCAAAATACCACTGGGAGATACAAAGGAATAAAAAATTAAGAAATTCCATACATCAGAAGGACAAGAGCTCTTGAGGTTCTTTCAGTGGACAGTGGTTTTAGACTTCACTGTGCATTAGTTCTGTCCAAGATGCTTATTACAGATGAAGGCTCTCCTTCACTAGAAGCCCTCCCCATCACTACTCTTGATTGCATGGTTCAGTAGGACAATACTTTGAAAAACATTTCCCTGGTGAGTGAATTCAAACCCTCAGAAGAGGGATTCCATGCTTCATACAACACTATGGAGGCTTTGAAGTGTTTACCATACTTGGGTTCTATTGGCAATATCCAGGGGTGACTTGGAGTTTCCTTAAGTTTCCTCTCAAAAATTTCCATTTACTTAACTCCGAGATATGTCAAAATAAGCATTCAAGCTAAGTAAAAAATTGGTGCTTGTTAGACAAAGCCGCTTCAAGACAATGCCCTTGATCCTTCCTCCTCTCCAGGGTGCCACCCTAAACCCCTCTACCTAGAAATTTTGGATTTGCCAATTGCCCAGAAGGATGAAAGCCTCACAGTGCAATCATTGTCAAGTCCTGCTGAGCTGTGTGGGAGCTGGCTTATGTGGAACTGCCTGAGCTTCTCAGGGGCCTCCTCCTGGCACATCGAGCTCAGATGAAATGGAAGGCCTCAAAGCCCCACTCACCCCACCCTACCCACCTTCATTTATACCAGTTCACAGAAGAATAAGGAAAACAGACAAATACCGTATCTGGAAGATATCTCCAAAGACCTAAAGCCCTAAATAGGAAACTGAGAAATTTGTGGGAACCTTTAGAATTTTGATCTCTTCATACACACTGCTAGTCACTGTTACTGAGAAAGTAGCAAGACCAGCTTTTTCCATTCATTGTCATCTGCTCTTGACATGCTGGACTCACCTGCTGTGTCTCCAGATCATGTGCATGGCTGCATGCAGTCTAGGGTTCTCCACCAACAGGCAGATCCACCTCAATAAAGGAAATTACTTGAATCAGTGAGGGACAACTAACATCAGGTGACATTTTAAGGTA
The DNA here is from genome assembly GCF_000001405.40 of Homo sapiens. NCBI lineage: Eukaryota > Metazoa > Chordata > Mammalia > Primates > Hominidae > Homo > Homo sapiens. The sequence continues at coordinate 146,527,626 of NC_000001.11, read as the reverse complement.
AACTCTTTTATGGCTATACTATTTCTGTCTTTACTAAGTATACTTGTAATCTGATCAGTAGAGTATAAGTAGCCTGCTCTCTCATAATATTTTTGTAGAAATCAATACAGTGTAATCAAATTGGTGTCAATAGGTTAGATTCCTTATTTGTAATTATTGAGGGTTTTCATATCTTCATTGAAAGACTATTGGTTTACATCATGCCATTTGACTTTTGGTTCAAGTGCTTTCAAAGAAACTGATTTCTTAAAATGCATCCTTGCAAGCCTGACAGTCTAACAGTTGAAAATCTATGCAAGACCATAAGGCAGACTAAAGATGGGTGAGAAGGCAGGGATGGGGGTAACCAAGGACAGAGATACTAAGTATACAAATAGATGTTTTCCAGCCAAAGCTGGAGGAGCAAATGGAGCAACTGCTAATAAAAAGTGGGCATGTACATTTTGATTTCAATATTTAAAAGTAGCCCAGTGTTCCATTAAAAAAAATGCAGCCACTATTCAAGGAAAAAAATGTGTGTAATATGTATGTGTGTGTTACATTAAGAAAGGAGTTCCACTTCAATTTCTGGGCTTCATAAGCAATCATCCTTGTGATCTTTCGTTTGTGCAGTTTCATAGTCTACAAAACACTTTCACAAATATTACTTATTCATCCAACAAACATTTATTGAGTTCTTCCTCACCCCCAAGCATTGTGCCAGACACTGGAGATACAAATATCAAGAAATAATACTTACCTTCAAGAAGTCCACAGAAGCAATCTGCAATCTCTTACCCTCAACAAATTTAAGGAACAGAAATATCTTTGCAAAGAACAGAATGGGAAGATGATTTTTTAACTTACAATGCCCTGCTACAATCCAGATTTCCAAAACCCTAGGAATGATAAAGGAGAGAAAAAGATCATGAATTTCCCAATATTTTGAGAAAGCCATTATACTGCTTCTCATTCATTAGACTCCATTGCTAATCACTGGAGTTTCATACTGTTTAAGGAGGCATTCCTCCAATGCCTTTCTGAAAGTTTCTAGGGATGTCCTAATACCTACAGACATCTCCATTTGCCATACACCTGGACTGAAAGGGGATAGTATTCTCTCTCCTTAATTGTAATAGGTTAGGCATTCAATTGACAAATAAACCTTGAGTACATTAACTTAAAACATAATTGAGGATCAGCTATGATGTGTCATGCACTGATTGGAATTATAAGAGATGAGTAAGTCCATGCCCCTTGATCACAAGTAACCCAGAAAGGGAGAAATATTTACAAAAAGCTAGGTAAAATAAAATGTAAAGCAACTGCTCTCCAGTAGTGGGAAGGGCATGCCCTAGGGCAGACTTTTTCACCTAGCTAAACTTCCCAACCTCTGACTCCTGTCTTCGCCATGCTACACGTGGTAGGACGAGCATCCGAAACAGACAGCTGACATGCTTTAGGCACTGTGTTGTGTGCACTTAGATTCTTCAAAATTCTGGAATGGGAATATGTCCTCTCAGCCCATTAGGAAACAAGCCAGCCTAACTTCACTTTTTAAAAAAAATCTCATCAGATTCATCTTATTTTGATAGGAATATTGAGTTAGGTGACTAGAAAGATATAGGGAATCTTGACTTGAACAAGAATTCTGAGAAAGTCTCAAGATTTCTTGCTGGTCAAGCTGGAAAATAATTTGTACCAAATGATACCACACAAGATTAATTCATAATATTTAAATGACAGTGCCCTAAGGGTGCTGGTGAGCCTAGAGGAAAGTTTCTAAAGATATTTCTTTGCCTGTGCCCTTAGCTCTGTATTATCCAAATATGTTACACAACAATTCAGATGAAGGTATAGAAATCATGCACAATTAAAATGCCAATGAATGTTTAAAATCTTAGAATATGGCAAATAACTGGCACTGTGCTGGCTCATGATAAATATATGTTTGACTTTCTAAAATGAATGAATGAATGAATGAATGAATGGCTTATACAGATTTGAAAAGGAACTAACACTAAAGAAATCACATGTAATGGGATAAATTTAAGATCCTGCACTAGTATCCAAAACTAAATACTAAAGCACAACACACAAGAGGAGAGATTTTACTGAGAAGTTTAATTGGAGATAGTCATTCCCCATCCCTGAAAAAAAAAAAAAAAAGATACATAAACAAAACAACTCATATCCTACCTTTAGACTGCATTAATAGAAACATAATACCTAGAATGAAGGAGATGATAGTTTACTTTGCACTATCAGGTCACATCGGGGGTGTTTTGTTCAATTCTGGATGCTACACACTGAACTGACTTCAGGAAAAATAGAACAGTGAATAGGCTAAACAGCATGTGATGTGAGACATAATTTATTGTGTCTGATTATCATTATAATCATAAAAAGAACTAAGTGCCAAGTGCTTTACATGCATTTTCTCGTTTAGTTCTCACAACATTTTGCCTATGAGGCAAGTACTATTATTATCCCCATTTCACAAAAAGAAAATAAAGGCTGAGAGAGGCCAGGCAACTTGCCCAAAGTCAGAGAGGTGATGGGGGGTGGGCAGCCAGGAATCTCAACAAGGCTTCTCTTGTTCTAGAGCTAACACACATAGGAAGGGGAGATAGAGCCGGGTGCAGTGGCTCATGTCTGTAATCCCAGAGCTTTGAGAGACCAAGGCCGGAGGATCACTTGAGGCCAGGTGTTCAAGACCAGCCTGGGTGACATAGCAAGACCGCCATCTCTACAAAAAAATTAAAAATTAAAAATTAGCTGGGTGTGGTGGCACATGCCTGTAGTCCCAATTACTCAGGAGGCAGAGGTGGAAGGATTGCTTGAGCCCAGGTGTTTGAGGCTGCAGTGAGCTATAATTGTGCCATTGCACTCCAGCCTGGGTGACAGAATGAGACGTTGTCTGAAAAAAAAGAGGAGAAGACAAATATTAGAAAGACTACCACTTGGAAATAGGATTGGTGCATAGTCATACCGACTATAAAAGGGAGCACTAAAACCAAAGAATGGGAAAATTGGCCCGTTACGTGGAAAAATGTACAGTAATTCTTTTAGGTGTCTCACACAGATCCCTTCCCAGGCTTTTCAACCCCATTTCAAATCAAATTGACTATTTCCTTGAACAAGGGCAATTATATTAATTGCAAAGAGTTTTCTGTTTGCCATCTACCAAAGGTTACAGCTCAAACATTTAAGGTAGTGTCTTTCTGTTGGCCACATTTCTCTGTCTCTTTCTATTTCTGTTCCTATTAACTACTGCACGGATCTGAATAATGCAAATATTAAAGATGTTAGCTTTGACTTTACAAAATATATCAGCTATAGGTGCCCTTGAAAGCCAGGACTTGCTCCTTCCCTTGGTGCCACCTTGAAACCAGGATGGGAAATTTGCAGGTCACCCTAGGTTTTGAAAAGAAGCGATCCATTTCCAAGTTGCAATCTACTTGAAATAATCTCCCCAGTTACGTGGAAGTAATTTATTCCATATTTACTTTCTGCTTTGGATTATCAAATATCTCTTCCTCTTACCCCCGGGGGCAGCATTTGGGATTAAAAAACTTCTACTACCTGCCCTGCTGGGGCTGCATTATTTAACTCTTTCATGCCTATTTAAGAGCAGGCAAAATTTGCAGCAAATGATAACTGAAGTCCCTACTAGCCCTAAGATGTATTATTCTACGTTAACTTTATTTGTTTTAGATGTACTCTATTTCCAAAACTGTTTATTATTTTTAGCAACATTTTTTTAACAACACTGAGGCTGACCTATATAAAGTTAAGCAGCTGAAAGTAAAATATTTAAGTAACAAGTTGACCCATGCAATGCCAAACTAAAGAGTAGATGTATTGTTTATTCCAGGGTCAGACGAAGGTCAAGTGGTGCTAAACCTAGAGGTCCCCTCATTTGGGTCAAGTCTCACTTTCCACATGAATGGATTGCCACCAATGAAGGCAGCCAGGGGACTGTTTTGTTTCAAATTCCCTGTCCTGGGTGTAGCCCTCCAAATATCAGTGCTTGCTTGTTGAACTTCTTATGGAGAAGAAGAAAAGTCTTTTAAAAATAAATCTTGGACCCTCACATCTCAGAGCCATGGGCGAGCCTGACTTGCTTTTGTTTTTAATAATAGACTACCTTTTAGAGTTGTTTTAGGTTTACAGGAAAGTTAGGCAGAAAGTATGAAGAGTTCCCATATACCCTCTTCCTACCCTACCCCTACTCCCACAGTTTCCTCTATTATTAACATCTTGCATTGAACATGACTCTTTTTTTTTTTTTTTTTTTTTTTTGAGACAAGGTCTTGCTATGTTGCACAACCTGGACTTGAACTCCTGGGCTCGACTGATCCACCCACCACAGCCTACGGAGTAGCTGGGACTACAGGAGCACCCCGTCAGGCCCGACTGAGCATGACCTTTTGACAGAGTAGTCCAGGTTTGCTATTCTTAAGTTCCCTGACCTTAAGATGGCAAAGAATACTGTAAGGCCCATCCCTGTTCCAAATAGGACTCACTCAATCTGTAGACCTTAACCAGCTTCTAGGGCCAAGGCATTCCTCCTACTAAGAAGCCTTTGTCACAACAACAGGAACCTGACCCAGACGCAACCTCCCCTAAAAACAAGCCAGACAAGAGAGTGGGCAGGGAGCAGACAGCAGGAACAGGCTCTGGCGAGGGCCTGAGAACAGCAAGTTTCAACGAGGTACTTTTGAAGAGATTGTTGGCTACATTATCTTATTTAATTACCGTGGCATAATCCTTACATGGCTAAACTATTTATCAAAAACAAGGCTGTGCAACAATTCAGCAAATGTCACTGTGTTGTTATTGGTGAAAGTTGCTCCCACAAACTGCTCTTTCGGGGTGTGCTGTGCTAGGAAGAGCCTTTTCCAGGTGCCTGGCCATTCTTCTGCACCAGTTTTTAATTGCTAATGAATTAAACTTTCCAAAGAGATAAGAATAATGTTGTTTTGTTTGCGCACAGATTGCATGACTAACAAGGACGATATAAATAAAACCATTCCAAGCTTTATCTGTGGGTGGACAACAGTGCCTGTGTTCAAGTGAAGCCTGAGATGGCTCCCACACAAGATTAGGTTGTTATTGCGGAAGCTGAGGCTTGCACACTGTTAAAAGCCCGAGCTAATATGTTCGCTTAAGACATTATGCCTAATTATGCTATGTGTCAGTAAGGGAACCTGTTCCCCAAACGTTAAACTATCCTGAAGCACCAGTGTGGGTCTGAGCCAAGTGGACTCTGTAGGATTCTGAGCTAACTATGCTCCATGGTGTTTATGAAAATGGGTAAGATCTGATCCTGGTGCATTCTCTACCTTCAGGATGATATGTATTCCTACTTGGACCAGTAACTATCTTAACAAATATATGTGAGGAGAAATGTTTGTGCTTTTATTTTTGGAAACTTACCATAAAAATCTGCAAACATTTCCTATAAAATGCAGAGTTCTCTGTCCATCAAGTTGTTTGGGGGCACTGAGGAAGGAGATGTTTATTTATGAGTTTGTTTCCAGTTCAAAAAAGGAATGCCTTCATGAGCAGGAGAAATGACTGAGGTCTGGATTTCTGAGTCATGATTTGGGCTTGGCTCGTGGTTTTAGGAGAGTTGAACATCCTTTAGCTAATGTTTCTTGTCTCTATGCGGGTGGGGTGTGCTATGATAAGAACACTAGCCTTGTTTTGGCTGAATGTTGAGTGCAAGAATCCTTTGCTGACCTAAGACCATCTAGAACTGCTAGAAATTCAGAATGGCTAGAAATGTATGTGTTGTGTGTGCCTTTCTCTTTGTTCCAACCCTAACCTTAATTGTGTGTGTGTGTGTGTGCACGCACACGCGGTCAAGTCAAGCAGGGTAGAAATCTGAGGCACTGGTAGCCCACTGGGATGCCTTTGTCTGGGATTCACTCACCATCAGTCAAGAGGCTTCAAAAATTAATTTAATTTGATTAATGGGAGATTGAAATCCCACACCAAGGCCTTAGGAAATCTCATGGTGAATTAAGTCACATGGATCATTTCATACCTCAAACTTCCTGTGGCTTCCAGGGAGAATCCATAATCTCCAGGAGTTGGTGAGGCAATCTTTCACCCCTAGACACATCTGGACTCTGACTGCAACAGGTAGAATCTTGACTCTGTCCAGCCATCCACATCTCTACTCCCAGCCTCTTTCCATATATTTTCCAAAATACTTAAAGTCACCCTGAATGCCCCTCTTAGCACTTAATGCTCAGTATCATCATTTAAGCTCATTTTACAATTTTTCAATGTGTCTAGAAGTGTCCTCATTATTTCCTAAAACAATATCCTTTTCCCTGCACCCCACATTTCTTCCTAGAGGATGCCCATTCTCTCCTCTCCCTTCCATCAGAGCTCTAACCAAAGCCCATGGTTGCTCCCTACTCTCTGACTTCAATTCCTCATTCTTCCTCATTCTCACTTTCACTGATGCATGCTCTAATCACCTCAGTTCTCCTAGTCTTTCATCATTCTAACCCACTCATAAATACTATTTGTATTTGTTTACACACTCAGTCAAGAACTTTTTACTGTCATATCTGGCTCAACATTTTTCCTGCCTCTGTGTCAATTTGGTTCCCTTTTTTGTTCTAAATGTATCATCCACTATTCATCCTTTCATCTAAATCCATCTTTCCATCCATCTACTTCACAATTATTTATGGAGCACCTAATGGGCTTTATGGACTGCTTTAAGCACTGAGAATAAGAAGGTGAATAGGTGGCAGCCCCTATTCCCAAGGAGTTCACAGGGGAAGATGGATGCACATACATCACATGTGGTTAATTATCTGGGTGTGATAAAGGCAATGAGAGAGGAGCACAGAGGACCAGTCTAGACCAGGGCAGGGGAAGGTAATCAGAGCAGTCAGCTCCTCCTCCCCAGCCAGGCTGGTCTTTCTGCAAAACCATCACTCCTCAGTTCATGGCTTCCCATGCCGTGTACCTGAAATGCCCTTTCTATCCAAATCTTGGCTATTTTACAAGATCAGAGTATTCTACTCTACCTCTGGGAACTTTTGGACTTATTCATAGCATCCAATTTAGGAATTCTTTGATACATGATGCTTTGCCTTCTCAAATAGGTTACGGCTTCGAATTTAAGGAGAGATCATTGTGTCTCAGTACTTTTGTGTTCCTTACACTGTGCTACCAAAAACACTGAATTAAAAAACAGGACATGGATAATTCATTCCTAGATTTTCCTGACCATCTTACCTTTTCTGCCAACATGAGTAACACCTTATCTATATGTAGTAGGCACTTAATAAAATAAAGACATTGTGAGACATTGGAAAGAATAAGAACTTCAAACTCAAGTTCAAATTCTAATTCAATTACTGGCTGTTTGGACTTAGGCAACTTTATCTTTTCTGAGCCTCAGGCTCCTTAAATGCAAAATGAGGACTAATAACACAAACTTTATTTCTATTTAGGGGACGATTAAATGAATCTGTATATGTAAAATGCCTAGCACTGTGCTTTGCATATATTAAGGAATCAAAATATGCTAGATCCTGTCCCTCCCTCTATTCTTCGTCCCCTCTCCATCCCCAACCCTTCATGCCAGGCAAAATTTGGCAAGAAGCAATAGAGACATTTAAAACTTTAACACCTGCATGCTTTTGGTTGCAAAACAGTGCTTAAGCTTTTCTCAAACTCCCAACATAAAGCCTGGGAAGGACCTAGATTTGTTCATCACACCCAGCTTGTCACAGGGAAAATCTTGGTGTATGTATTACTCAGTCTTATGTGGGCATAAATGTGATAAAAGTTCTGTGATCTTTGAATTTTATGGCTCTCAAAAACATGTGACACTCTACATTTTTTACTGCCCTTCGTCAGTCAGCTGATTTTGAGACCTAGGGAAACCCCTGTACGTTCTTCGACCCACAGAAAGGGTTAAAGATTCCTACTACAAAAGGACTCAGTGTTCTAACTCTAAATGTCTTGGGAACATGGCCTGGAAAGGCTGAGGGCCATTGCATTACACAATTACCTATTTGCTGGAGACAGTATATTTAATAACTAATCATCTAATCTAATAATACTGAAGAATATCAGACTCAAAGGTCAAGTGTTTAAGATTAGGGAGAAAGCAGCCTTAAAAGTACATTTTAAAGAGCCTCACAGGTCAACAAGTCAGCCTTAGAGCCTGCCATGCAACCACCACTTCCAGGCTGCTAGGGGAATCAGAAATGTCACTATCTTTCAAACTTAGAATATTGATTATATCCACTCTACTCATAGGGGCTTTATTCCATGACATCTCTTAGTTAGCAATTTAAGAAAATGATTTCATCCTATATAATGCCAGATTAGCTCAATGACGAAAAATGTTACACTAGGAGCTCTTCGATACACACTTGAGAGCTCTTACCCAAAATGTTATTTTCCCTCTGGACTTTCCTGTGTTGATAAGTTCTGTTTGCTTCCAATTGTGGTTCACTCTTGTGGATCTTTTTCTCAGAGACCTAAGTGATCATCATTCCTAGAGATATTTGTGGTACAAATTCTTTATTTTCAAGTTCTGAAAACCTCATTCTAAAAAGTCACCCTTTATTTCTCACTTTTAAAAGCCTGAATGGGCACTCTTCCTCATCTTTCATGAAGTTAAAGTCTTGTCACAATTCAAATTCCCTAGATGAATCCCTTAAAGAATCACTACACAGTGCTGACTCTCCAATGTGCACACTTGACCAGCAGGACGTGTATGTTTATTTCAAATATTTGAGTCCTTTTGCTTGATCTTTTCATAAGTTGGTCTCACTTCAGTCCCCTGATGGCTTTAAATCGTGGTACTTTGCTCACAATTTCTCAGAGTAGAACATTTTTAGAGAAAGATCTAGACATCTCTGCTTTTTCTAGGAAAAATAAAAACATAAAAACTAAAAACCCCGCAACTCTCAGGATAGACCGGATTATGCTGAGGTAACAAATTAACCCTAAAATCCCAGTGGATCATCAAAACAAAGGTTTCTATTTTGTTTCACTACATGCTCATCACAAGTTAGTGAGATGCTCTGCTCCTAGGGCTACTCAGGCACCAGGAGCAACTCCAGGTAGTTCCTCAGGGACCCAGGCTGAAGGTGATTACACCATCTGGTCATGTCCCTACTGTAGAAGACAAAGAGGACCTCATAGCATTCTTCTATGCCTAGGCCCAGAATGTACATTGTCCCACTTCAGTTTATAGCCCATTAGCTAGTGCAAGTCACAAGTCCCCTAAGTACCAGGAAATGTGGTCTTTTCTGTGTGCAGAAACAAGAGAAGAACAAAAAAAGTATGCAAACACACTCACATCACCATTGCCTACATTAAGATTTTATGCTTCAAGAAGAGTGAAGCCAACAGAAAAGGCTGAACATAAAGGAAATCTCTAAGCCTGGACACCCGGTGGATCCAGAATAACCAAAACATAATTAAAATACTTACTGAGCACTTACTGAGTACTTTTCTCAAGATTAATGCAAATTTCTATTCTGCCTTTAATTCCTTGATTTTTAAAAATATTTTAAGATTTTTGCCAAGCTTTTACATTTTAGGTTATAAAAGAATTTCCAAGGCCTGGTATGGTGGCTCATGCCTGTAATCCCAACACTTTGAGAGGCCAAGATGAGAGGATCACTTGAGCCCAAGAGTTCAAGACCAGCTTGGGCAACATAGTGAGATCCCATCTCTACAGAAGATAATAAAATTTAAAAATTAGGAGGGCATAGTGGCATGTGCCTGTAGTACCAGCTACTCAGGAGGCTGAGGTGGGAAGGTCACTTGAGCCCAGGTGGTTGAGGCTGCTGTGAGCTATGATGGCACCACTGCACTCCAGCTTGGGCAATAGGGCAAGACCCTGTCCAAAAAAAAAAAAAAAAAGAAAAGAAAAGAAAAGAAAAAAGAAATGATCTTCCAAGAAGAAAGGTTGATACTAATTTTTAAATGTAAGGTCAATCACTACTTGGTTCACATTAAATTTTCTAGCAAATCTTGTGTTCCTCATTTGCAAGATTTGCTTCTGATTTGCTAGATTTGCTTCCGGATTTCCCTTGGTTTGCTTCTCTTTGTTCAGAAGATAAATTCACACTCAAAGTAGCACAGGGCCTGACATAGATGTAAATGCTAAGCATATATACCAATGCTTAGGAATAACAAATAAATGAGTGTGAAATTAGAAGCATCACTACCAAGAATATTTATACAAATATCTAGACTTATACTCCATGCTACAACAATAAAATCCAAAATCAATGTGTCTTACCTTTCGCATACGATCATTAATGCCAAAGGGCAGTACTGATTTCATTAAAAGAACAATTAGAAAAGATGAAGAGAGATTTTCCTGTTTTCCTCCAATTTTGAATCTGTCCTCCTTTTCCCATTTTCCCCATTTTCACAGATTCTTATGATAAAGTTTTCATTTCTCAAGGAGCCAACGTCACCCCAGACTCACACAAGGGAACACAACTGTGTTATCATTGCTTGTCTGAAGGAAGGGAAGTCACCAATCCTCCTTCAAACAGGAAACCTTGTGGAAAATAATTGTGAATGTAGAGCACACCTGAGCAGAAAAAAAATGCTGACCAGAACTGTGCAATAAGTTTCTTCCATGTTGGAAGAGTTTGACTTACAACTCAGCCATTCTCTGCTGCTTATATAAGAGCAAAGTCACGTCAAAAAAGAAGCCAAAGGAAACAGAATGTTCTCCATTGCAGGAATGACTGAAGTTTCGCCAATTAAACTTTTCCTTAGGCATGAACATAAGTAATAACCTAACATATCCTGAGTACTACTTTGTGCTATGCAGCCTGCTAAACACACTACATGCATTAAGGTTATTGAAAGTGGAAGTAATGCTCCCAGTATTTGTGCAGGATAAAAAGAAAATATTAAATTATTTGTTTTTGTTTATTTTGTAACCTTATTATTTAGTTTACTTTTTTGCATTTTATTATTTACATCATACTGTATATAGTATATTGGTACCTATATAAAATAAATATATACTCACACACACATATGTTGAGAGCATACGAATAGCAGTTGCAGCTCAGTTTATTTTTAATCAATGAGAAAGGATTATTATTATTATTGTTAGTTATCATTATTCCTGTTTGCAGAAAAGGAAACTGAGGCTTAAAGAGGTTAAAAGGACTTACCCAAAGTGTCAAAGTTGGTAAATGGCAGAGCTGGAATTCAAAGAGTCTGATTCCAAAGTCTATATAGTCCGGCGTGATCATTAAAGGAATTCCTTGTGTTCAAAGAGCAGTGCTTGAAAACCAAGCTCATTTGTGCCTGCAGAAATGCCAGCCTCTGGGGTAGAAGAAATGTCATACTTTGATCATCTTCCACACTGAATTAGGAGGAAAAGCAGAAGAAAAGAAACTGAGGGTACCAATGCCAGACAGTCACTAGGTAGTAAATGGAAAAGAATTTAAAGAAAGTGAAAATCAAAGGAAAATATCACAACGTTTGGTTGACACCCTATTCCTCACCCAGCCCCTTAATGTCTTTCTACAGAAATCAGATTTCTGGTGCAGGCAGTTCATTGTTTGAACATGCAGTAATGGACACATCCAGATTCCTAACACTGGGGAGTTCAGAGTCAATCAACATGGATTGAGACACTTACAGCTTCATCTTTTGCTGATTGAGCACTGAGGGGTGTGTATCCCCATGCGGTCCCTAAGAGCTACACCCACGGGAGAAACATTTTATGTTGTTCAAAATACTTGGTGCTATGGTTGTTATCTTCAATTTTCTTAACTAGTAATGAGTGATCCTAGTAAGTGTTAAACCAATATGCACTAGGCTCTCTTTAGGATATTCATTACGGAAGGCTTTGAAGCTGAGAAAGAAGTTTAGAGTTTAGGGAAAATTTTTAAAACAACTCTATATTATAGGCATTTTAAAAAATAAGTGCAATGGAATTCTTTAGAGGTAACCAAGTTTCTCAGGATATCTTTGAGGCAGTGATAAAGATTTAAGTTTTTAAAATCACTATCAAACCCCTTTGTGCAACATTTGCATAAATTCTCAAACAATGGGACTGTTTTCATGTAAATTTGTTTTCAGGGAGATTCCTGCTTTCTGAAGGCAGTGTAACTGTAGCTGAGTTACATAAAGTGACATTTTATTGCCTCCTGTGGAAGATGCTTTGCACTAATGATCTGAAATCTGATGTCTCAAGCTAGGAATTAGATGATCTGTGGCTCAAAGTGTGAAAAGAGAAAGTGGGGCCTTTATGTTTTAGTTAATTACTTCTGGCTAAAATGTGGGGAGCGCTCCCTGGACCTTCTGGGACTCCTGGAATCCGGAAACCTGTCTACAAAACCTAAAGGATTGAAGCAGTTGACCTCATCACAGGAGTGACCACAGGGGGAAAAAACAGTGATTCACAAATCCAAGCCTGATTTCAGTCAGAAATTTTTCTGTGTTTCATAAATCTGCCTTTTTTCTCTAACTGCCCTTGCCACCTAGCAAGCCAGGAACAGAGAGACCAAAAATCATCATAAATATGGAATATGCAGTCGGAAATGTGGAAAAAGAGCTTGCTACCCAGGGAGAACAAAGCTTTCACCCCTCTGGGGCTTCACTGTGAAAAAGAAACAACTCTGCTTGTTTTGTCTTATTTTCCCAGATACTTCTATTTGAAAAATATAGTAAATCAATTAATCAATTTTTCTCTCCCTACTATCCACGCCCCCTCATTTCTCCAGTTCTCTAATTCTCTAATTCCTGAGTTGTCTAATTCCTGAGTACTCCTAGGGCAGTTCAGCTTACTACAAGAGAATTTTTTGTGGCTGTTCTCAAACTCCATATTCTGTTTGCAGAGAATGCTGTTCCTTAATTCTGTTTGAGTTTCAAAGAGAAAAAGCTCATACCAGTTTAGATTACCCACAATCCTCAATGCATATCGAACAAAATTGTCATTCCTAATGGCAAAGTTCAGGATATAACTGTGTTAGTTAATTTAATCATTTACCATGAAATACCAGGTGTCTTAATCTTATATATAGTTCTTAAGTTGGCTGCATATTTTTGTGCAATTGAATACTGACCCTACATGAAGAATACAAGAATTTTGTTTTTAAGTAAATGTTGTTAGAAATAAAATGTTTCTACTGGAAAAAAAAATATGTTATTAGAAGCACTGTGAATTTTTCTCCAATGCTTGAAGAGTGACCACTCCAGCAAGCCTGGCTTATGTTGGTGGCATTCTGCCCTGCCACTACCTCCAGCACATCCACAGACCTTTATTTTTGTTATTTTATGACCACATGCAGGATTCTGGCACCAAGGACTCCATTTGGACTTAGGAAAAGTAGAAGAGCACTCTGAAAACTGGACGTCGGGAATTGATGAACTGGCATCGCACCCCAACAACACACTCTGCTTGTGGGCCTTACTCTCCAGATACCTGATGTATTACTGGAGAAGCAAATGCAACAAGGCAAAGATGTCTTCATTTTCTGTCAAAGCAAGGCCTCAACTATGGTGTCATTGAGGCCCTGAATCTCCGCAGCCAGCCAGTCAGACCCCATCAACAGCTGCAGCAAGCAGGGCTGAGGAGGGGAATGGGAGGCGATAGGAGCCAATGAGGGCTGAGCCCGCAGCTCTGTGTCTGACTGGAGCAGAGAGACAGAGAGGCCAGGGCCAGAGGAAACCCCAGCAGCAAGGGAAAAACAGATTGACTCTCAGTGACTCATTTAGCTCCTGGGTTGGACAGATCTCTCCCCTGCTGGCAATTTGGCTCTGCATCAATAGTTCGAATACCAGGCTGAACAGCTTCAAATAATTAGGGGGAAAAATCTGCAAAACTGCTAGCCATCCAATTCTTTACTCTGTGCTGAAAGACACAGTACAAATGACATCTAGGTTATTAAATATGAAGTCACTGGATTTGCTGCCCATTTGGTCCAAAGGCAGAAAACTGGATAAAACTCAAATTTATAATTCAGTGTAGATGGCCTGTTTGTCCTTGAGGCGATCCATGAATTTTGGCTGGGCAGGCGCTGTGAATGTGGAAGTAATGTCGTGGGGGAAGGGGGATGAACAAGGTTTGTTCCCCCCGCCCCGCCCCGACTCGGCTTACACCCCCTGGGGAAAAAAAAATGAAAATGTCAATAAAGACTGTGAATGTGAAGAGAAATGGAATCTGAGCCCAGAGTTTAGTAGCTGGCAGTTTAAACTTTATATACTTTAGGCCGACAGGCGTCTGGATCTCCTGTACTTTATATCCAGCGTACAAAAACTGAAGCAACAGGCTCATTTGGTATCAGTAAAGGTCAGTTAAAATTATAGAGACATTTTTTGGAGCAAATCTCCAGTCTTGTATTTGCATATTTATGAACTAGAGATTAAGATAGGCCATTCCACTTATTAGAGCAGTGCTGCTATAGTTAATAGTCTGTCAGCATTTCCATTATAAACCCCATTTTTCAGTGTTTAGTATCTCAGCTGTTAGAAATTACATCAGGCTGAAAAGTGGTCTTCAGCATCTCAGGCCTTGGCAGGGTGAGCCGGTGGTGGTGGTGGTGATGGGGCTTGGGAAACCAACAAAGACATTTAAATCAAGCCAACTGTTTTTACATTGGATATTAACAGTAAATATGAAATCAGAGATTTTGAGGGGAGTTGGTGAATTCTTCTCCTCCCTCAACACCCCCCCACCAAATTATCTTTCCCCTGTCTTATCCTTGTCAGTATCAGGGCTTTCACTCTCTATTTAAAGGGAAGACTCTGGGATTTTAGGGCAAAGATCCAAAGTTTTGGCTTGGCAAAATAGTTTTCCTCACTTCACTGGAATTGTGGGGGTAGGGGAGAGCATCAGAGTAAAGCAAAGATGTTGAAGACATTCATTCATTCATTCATTCATAAAGAATTGGCTCATGCAATCATGGAGGCTGGTAAGTCCAAAATCTGCAGGTTAGGTGGGCAGGCTGGAGACTCAGGGAAGAGCTGATGTTGCAGTTTGAGTCCAAAGGCAGTCTGCTGGCAGAATTTCCTCTTCCTCAGTGGAGATCAGCCTTTTCCTTATGACCTTCAACTGATTGGATGAGGTCCATTCACATTATGGCACATAAAATTAACCATCACAGAGGCTAAGCTGCTTTACTCAGTCTATGATTTAAATGTTAATCTCTTCTAAAAAATACCTTTGCAGCAATATCCAGACATCTTTGACCAAATATCTGGGTACCAGGGCCTAGCCAAGTCGCACATAAAATTAACCATTGCAGGGACCATGTTTTAAAGATCTCCTATACATCAAATCCTGGGCTTGGCCTTGGAGACACAAAATTAATGACACACTCCTTGTCCTCAAGAAACTTATGATCTACCATCACACTGGTACCAAGTTTTCACAATAAAATTACAGACTCAATAGCTGGTTCCATGCTTTGCTTTCTCTTTTTGGCCACTTGGGATATCCCCTGCACAGAGGCACAATTGTGAGTGTGCTTAGCTGCATTCTCAAGAGAAGGCACTGCTATCTAGGGACTCCTTATCACATAGGAAGACAGCCTGCTCTTTCCAAACCAAATTCTTGTAAATTCACTGGACACTAACCTGTCAAGTAACTCAGTGATATTCAAAGATCCTTTGGGATTTGAGGAGAAATTGGAAAAAGAGAAAAGAGGAAGCAGCTTGCTTTCTCAAGTCATTCATTCAAAAAAAAAATGAGTATTGGCTCCTGTTATATGGCTCCTCGATGTGTTTTAGAAACCACACAAACACATCCTCAACTGGACAACCATAGAGCAGGTTGAAAAATTCCTACTCTACCTGGCGGAGTTTCCAGCCCCTCTGCAGAAGTGCACACCTATGCAAAAACCTTCATCAGAAGAGAACCTTAAGGGATAGTCTGACAGTAGGGAATCCCAATGTGTATAACCAGTGGTCCTTGCTATCTGACTCCGAGAGCTACACTGAGTAATAGAAGCAACTCTCCTTGCCCTGTCTTCTAGGTTTCTATTATACTTGGAGTAGGTAAGCTTTATTTTATTTGCTCAAGATATGTCACACCCCTGGACACACAGAATAAAAATTCAAAGTCCTCCTGGAATTCAAGATGTGTCATACCCCTGGACACACAGAATAAAAATTCAAAGTCCGACTAGAGAGGCAGAGAATATCATCACTGTATCACTCCATTTTACTTTATTGAAAACCTTAAAAGTAAATATAAAACGACAAATTACGGTGCTGCTATTGTTGCTTGCTGTCTGGGAAAAAAAGAAATGTTGGATAAGAAGGTCAAAATGTGCCAATTCAATGCCCTGAGAATGGTCACCTAATCTTCTATCAAGAGATGTGACATACCATCTAAAGAACGGCTGCCCAGCCAGGCGCAGTTGGTCACATCTGTAATCCCAGGACTTTGGAAGGCTGAGGCAGGCAGATTCCTTGAACTCAGGAGTTCAAGACCAGACTGGGCAACATGGTAAAACCCCATCTTTACCAACAATACAAAAAAAAAAAAAAAGCTGGGCATGGTGGTGCGTGCCTGTGGCCCCAGCTACTTGGGAGGCTGAGGTGGGAGGATCACCTGAGCCCCAAGGGTGGAGGTTGCAGTGACCTGAGATTGCACCATTGCACTTTAGCCTGGGTGACAGAGTGAGACCCTGTCTCAAAAATAAGTAAAGAAAGAATGACTGCCCTCAATGCCTAGGAGCTTGACTCTGCTTTACTTCTGCCCTTTCGATTCTCTGTGAAATGAACAGGACTTATGTAATTGCTTTCAGCAGCATCTTTGAATTACAATTACATAATAAGACACACACCAGGATGTGTGTAATTGTGTAATAACAGCATGCCTCACTGTGCTAGGTTGGTGGCCAATAACCACTTAGTCATGCTATTATATTATAAGAACATATGCCCTCAAGGCATGTTGAAATTATTCTGGGGATCTCTAAAGGAAAGCTGACTGATCAAAAGAGAACCCCAACTTAAAAAGCTATAAAATAAATAATTTTTAAAAATCTGATAGTAATCCCAACAAGAAACAAAAAAATTACACCTACCCTAAAAACAAACAAACAAAAAACCTGTAGTGTAAAATCAAAATCAAAGTGTTGTGTAATGATTCACTTACGTCACCACAGGATTTAAGATGACAGAGTGTTAATAAGGAAAAAACAAGAAGCTGGCCAGAAGTCAGGTGTCGTGATGCCCTCTTCATAGTTGGTCAGCGTGAAGACTACAGAGGAGTTATGTCTCAACCCAGAAAGTTCTAGCTTCTTTGGAGCCTACTCCTTCCCAAGAAAATGACACCCCAAAGGCTCTATAAACTTTCCACACTTTGAACTTTTGTGTTGTTCTCATAGTCATCAGATCAAAAAATAATCTCAGAAATGTGAGATCAGACTTTTGCAGTTGAATCTCCCCAATGATATTTTCCTTACAGTGAAAGTATGTGCTAGGATAAATTGCCCACACTTTATTCTTACAGCACAAGATACGTATATGTTATATATATAGTATGTGTACATAC
This sequence comes from Homo sapiens, assembly GCF_000001405.40. Lineage (NCBI taxonomy): Eukaryota > Metazoa > Chordata > Mammalia > Primates > Hominidae > Homo > Homo sapiens. The sequence goes on along the minus strand of NC_000001.11, from coordinate 146,510,105 downwards.
GTTTCAATACCTAATTTTTCTGTATATGCAAACTACATTTCCATCTCTTCCACTCTTCTAACTCATTTGGCAGGAAAAAAACCTCATGCAACAAAAATAAGGCAGTATGAGATGAGGGGAGAGGTGGGAGAGATACTTTTGCAATTTATAAAATATTAGTTTGTCACTTCTTAGATAAGGCTGTATCAATACAAGTTATAATATCGAGGTAAACATAAATGTATATGTGTAATATACTTGTAATTCACAATTGATGTTTTGTTTTTTCCTTATGCAATTAGAACCTTAAAATATAGAAGTTTTGATCATTACTGTAATGGGCTGAATTATATCTCCCCTCTCCCCTAGATTCATATGTTGAAGTCCTAACGCCCAGTGCCTGAGAATATAACTGTATGAGGAGATAAAGTCTTTAAAGAAGTAATAAATTAAGAGGAGGTTATTCAGGTGGGCCCTAATCCAATATGACTGGTGATATGGTTTGGCTGTATATCCACCCAAATCTCATCTTGAATTGTAGCTCCCATAATTCCCACATGTTGTGGGAGGGACCTGGTGAGAGATAATTGAATTATGGAGGTGGTTTACCTCATACCATTCTTTTTTGTTTTGTTTTGTTTTTTTGAGATGGAGTCTCACTCTGCCTCCCAGGCTGGACTGCAGTGGTGCAATCTTAGCTGGCTGCAACCTCCACCTCCCGGGTTCAAGCAATTCTCCTGCCTCAGCCTCCCAAGTAGCAGGGATTACATGCACGTGCCACCACACCCAGGTAATTTTTGTGTTTTTGTAGAGATGGAGTTCCACTATGTTGGCCAGGCTGGTCTTGAACTCCTGACCTCAAGTGATCCACACGTCTCTACCTCCCAAAATGTTGGGATTATAGGCATGAACCACCATGCCTGGCCCTCATACTGTTCTTGTGGTAGTGAATAAGTCTCACAGGATTTGATAGTTTTATAAGGGGAAACCCCTTTTGCTTGGCTCTCATTATCTTCTCTTGCCTGCTGCCATCCATGTAAGACATGACTTTGCTCTTCCTTGCGCTCTGACATGATTTGAGGCCTCCCCAGCCATGTGGAACTGTGAGTCCATTGAACCTCTTTCCTTTATAAATTACCCAGTCTCAGGTATGTCGTTATTAGCAGTGTGAGAACAGACTAATACAACTGATGTCCTTATAAGAAGAGGAAATTTGGACACAAACATGTACAAAGGGAAGACTGTGAAGACCCAGGTGGAAGATGGCCATCCACAAGCCAAGGGGAAATGCCCCAGAGGAAACCAAACCTGCAGACACCTTGATCTTGGACTTCTAGCCTCCAAAGTTGTGAGGAAATAAATGTTGTTTAAGCCACCTAGTCTGTCGTAGTTTGTTATGGCAGTATACATTTATTACATTATTATATCAACTGCACATTTATTACATCAACAAACTTTTTTTTAAACAATGCTGAGTATAAGTAATGAGAATATAATGGAGAGGAAAACAAGGTCCATGTTGTTTTAGGGCTTATAGTCCACCAAAAAATAATTTTGACAGGACATGCATAGGAAAGGCAGCAAATATAGTTGTGGGTTTTAATCCATTACGTATGTGGCATTTCCAAAATACCATATGTAAGCTGATTTTAAATATTTTCAGTGATCTTAAAGGACATCAACTGAGTATTTCAGTCACCTTAACAACCAAAAGTATTCAATGATTCAACAAATGACCTGCAACTAATGACTCAATCTAAACCCAATCTAAACCTCCATTGAGTTAAATTTGAGGAAGTACCTACAAAATTATTGTTACCTCTCTGCAGGGTGCTGGACTGGCTCTCACCCACTTCAATTATGCACATCTCTTCCCAACTTCATGTTCAGTCATACCAGATGAGTTGTTTGAAATCAGCACCCTTCACACTGCCCACTGAAGGCTCCACTTCAAGTCTGCCCTCCTCTGGAGCCTTTTGTTAAATCTTTGCCAGCACACCATTCGTCAGGGTGCACCCCCATCAACAAGACAGCTTAAAGACATTTAGAAAGCAAAACCATGACAGAAAATGTCAAAGGGGAAGAGAGGAATATACAAATATGGAAATAAAATAATAAAGTGGAAGATTCTGATGTATTAAGCCAGAGCAGCAGTTCTCAAATGTTATGGCCTATATCCAAATCACCCAGAGATGTAGGGTGGGGCCAGGGAATTGAATTTCTAACAAGTTTCCTGGCTATCCCACTGCACTGGACCATCGGTATGGCTTTTTCTCCTAACACCAGTTCGTCTCCTGTGCTTACCACCTGGTTGAGGAGGGGTGGAAGTGCATGGCAGGTGTGGCTAATGCCATTGGATTGGCAGCTCTTGGTAAAGGAAATCGATGGCCATGTATAAACAATGTTTAAGCTGAAGTCCAGTGAAATGGTCCCTGGGGACCCACAAGCTGCTCACAGCCAGGAAGGCAGCACTGCCCAATGTTGCCCCCACCATGGAAGAAAAAGCATGCCAAACACCTTCATCTAGCCCTGAAGGTATTTTCACTAGGCCTATGTAGAAGGTAGTTTGGCTAAAACAGCTTCAGTTGGCATATGCAGAAAGACACAATCTTAGAGCCACAGTGAATTATTTGTTTGGAAGGCAGGACCCTATTAAGACACTGGATGTTGCCTTATCCATATCTGGATCACCACAATGCAAACCATGCCCCTGGAGACAGAAATCTACAAGCCACAAAGACAGGGAGAAAGCTAACATGACATTACTGGGAAGGTGAGCATACAGTAATTAGATCTCACAAAATAAGGATGATAGAAGAATTCCATTGTGTTCACATTTCTTACCCTCTGTAATGTTGAAGATCTGAAATTTGGTTGTAAATACATTGGTAACTTTTTTGTCCAAATTACATTCCCAAGAAACAGATAAAAACTGAACACAGGTTGAAGTTTGGCTGTTTTATAAGTATGCAGTTACTGAAAGCACTGGTGATAACACTGTCAGAAGTGAAAAATTATAGATGATTAATAAGAAATCGTTGAAAGAAATGGTTCTTGCCAAACAAAACATCAATGAGATTGAAAACAATTTTCATTGACAAAACATGTGCCTGTTGGGCATTCCAGAGGAGTGTGATGAGAATAAATTTGACTGAACCTTTAAAAGAGTTTTTACTTGTTGGGTCAGATCTTTCTGCTAAATCCCTCAGTGTCAAAATGCTGTTTTGCCTTTCCTACCTGCTCTGGGCATACTCCGTCACAAACTACGTTGTGTGAATCTGAGGACTGCTTTAGAAATGAGTTCCCAAATTGCTCAAGAAATAGTTCAGGCTGTAATTCTGAAAAGCCTTCTGCTCACTCAGGTCCTGTGGGGGGAGTTTAGCCAATAAAGGAAAGAAAGAAAGAAAGAAAGAAAGAAATTAAACTCTTTCAAAAGCAAACTTTGGAACCATGACAAACATGGAAGCCATGTGTATACCATGCTGTCAGCATTTCCTGAAGAAGCTGTGTGTGGGCTTCAGGGAGGGCTCTGGGATGATAATCTGGAAATGATGAAGAATTCTTTTATGTATTTTATTGTAGTACAGGTCTAATAAAAGCTAAGTATTATAAATGTTAATGGTGCATTAATTGTAAGTTAAAACAATAATTTGATACTATTTTTCCAACCACAAATTGGCAAAAAAATTTAAAAGTGGTAATGAAATAGGAAAATGGGTGAACACTCAAATACAGTTTGTGGAAATATAAATTGATAGAACCTTTTTCAGGGACAACTTGGCAGTATCTATCAAGATTCCAAATATACCTATCCTATGAGGAAGCAGAATGCATATGAGTTAAGGACAGACTGGATTCAGAGATCCTGGATTCCAATCCTGGCTCTACCAATTAGAACCATGAGATCTCAAACAAGTTGCTTAACCTCTCTGAGCCTAAGTTTATCATCTGCAAAACTGAGATAATAATAGTATCTATAACTCATGGGGTTGTCATGGGAATTTTAAAAGTTGATATTTGTAAAGTGTTTACACTGGTGCCTGGCATATAGGAAGTGCCTAGAACCCTAATTCAAGGAAAACATTCTATAAAACTTCTAGCCAAATGTCTAAGTTCAATACAACATGGTTTCTCACAACATATAAATGGAAACTAACTCTAGAGGTCCAACACTGAGAAAATATGCAAATAAATGCTAGTTCATCAGCGTGATTGAATAGTTTATAGCCCTTTAAAGAATAAGGTAGGCTGGGCGCGGTGGCTCACGCCTGTAATCCCAACACTGTGAGGCCGAGGCGGGTGGATCATGAGGTCAGGAGATTGAGACCATCCTGGCTAACACGGTGAAACCCTGTCTCTACTAAAAAATAGAAAAAATTAGCCGGGTGTGGTGGAGGGCGTCTGTAGTCCCAGCTACTTGTGAGGCTGAGGTGAGGCAGGAGAATGGCGTGAACCTGGGAGGCAGAGCTTGCAGTGAGCCAAGATTGTGCCACTGCACTCCAGCCTGGGTGACAAAGTGAGACTCCGTCTCAAAAAAAAAAAAAAAAAAAAAAAAGAGTGAGGTACAGCTCTGTGTACCCCAAGAACAACGTATTGCTGAGTACAAAAACAAATTGTAAAACAGCATGTTCAGTAGAATCTCATTATTATAAAAGTGAAGTTTGTGTGTGTGTGTGTGTGTATGTGTACCTGAAAAGATATATACCATACTTACCAGTGATCACCTCTGAGGAGTGAGATTAGAGCAGCGAAGAGACTTCCAATTCTTACTTTATACACTTCTGTATTGTTTGAACCTTTGAAAATGAACATAAATTACTTTTTAATTAAAAAAGCTTTTAAATCACTAGTCTGAGCATAGTTTAGATTTAAATAATTATTCTTTCTCTCTCTCTTTTTTTTTTTAAAGATTCAGATTCATAGCCATGCGATGAATGCTACTGTTATCATTGACATAGATGACCAGCCCGGAAATAAGATTGTATGAATAGTCCATTTAGTTAAATGTTTCGGCCACTTAGATCTATGTGAATGTGAGCATAAAATGTGGAAACACTTAGGAAATAAGCTTTCATTGTATAGTATAATAGGGGGTAATGAGATTTGGTCAATCTGTCAGAGATTTAAACCTACCCGATCCTAAAGAAAAATAGGCCTAAAATATTTCAAATGTGAGGTTATATTAAAAGCCACAGTTTCAAACTGTGAAGCTAAAGAAATCAGTTGTTTCAGTTTATTGTCTCAGGGAAAGCACAGTGTAATACCTGAAGGACTTGAAAGAGAACCAAAAGGAGGGGTAGCATTCCCAGCAGCTAGCACTTTCATCCAATGCCAGGGCTTTCATTGGCCAAATTATTTTCAAAGATACTGCCTGACCGAAGCACTTCTGCAATAAAAGTATCTCTGTGTTAGTCAATGGAATGGGGGAATGTTAAAATTGAAAGAGGCCTTTGAGACCAGCTAGGTCAGTGTCCACATTTCACAGAAGAGGACACTGAGTTCTGGAAAGATCACGGGACTTCGTAACAAAAACAAACTACAGCTCAGGTCAACTGACCATCAGTATAGTATGCCTTCTAATACACTACTGTCCTCGCACTTTTTGTATTTTAATGTAATGGTTTTAAAATGCACATGGGAAAAATAAATATAAACTATAATATAGAACACAAAAGCTCCCAGAGAAGAGTTTACTTCCTATTCTTGTACTCCAAGTCCCAGTTCCTCTCCTCAGATATGACCACTATGCTCCTCAGATATGACCACTGTGCTTTTTGTTTTGTTTTGGTTTTGGTTTTTGAGACGAGTTTCACTCTGTTGCCTAGGCTGGAGTGCAGTGGTGTGATCGTGGCTCACTGCAGCCTCAACTTCCTGGACTCAAGCGATCCTCCCAGGTCAGCCTCCTGCATAGTTGGGAGTACAGGTGTGCACCACTACGCCCAGCTAATTTTTTGTATATTTTTGTAGAGACAGGATTTCACCATGTTGCCCAGGCTGGTCTTGAACTCCTGGGCTCAAGTGATCTACCCACTTCGGCCTCCCGAAGTGCTGGGATTATACCTGTGAGCCACTGTGCCCAGCCTATAACTACTGTCAGCAGTTCCTCTGATAGTCTTTCAGAGATGCTCTATGAACTTCTAAGCAAGTGTATATATGTGTGCATGCATGTGTGCAGCATATTATATATACAGTTGACCCTTGAACAACATGGGTTTGAACTATGTGGGTCCACCTATACATGGATTCTTTTCCACCTCTGCCACCCACAAGACAACAAGACCAACCCCTCCTCTTCCTCCTCCTCCTCAGCCTATTCAATGTAAAGATGATGAGGATGAAAACCTTTATGATGATCCACTTCCACTTAATGAATAGTAAATGTATTTTCTCTTCCTTATGGTTTCTTAATAACATGTTAACTTACTTTAAGAATATTGTATATAACACATATAACACACAAAATATGTATGTGTTAATTGACCGTGTATGTTATCAGTAAGGCTTCCAATCCACAGTAGGCTATTGATTTTTAAGTTCTGAGGGAGTCAAAAGTCATATGCAAATTTGCAACTGTGTTGAGGGGGTAGGTGCCCCTAACGACCAATTGTTCAAGGGTCAACTGTCCTATCAAGCTTCTTGTTTATTTCTTTGTTTTCACTTGAATATATCATGCAAATTATTCCTTATCAATACATGTTAATCTTCTCTCATTCTTTTTAATGGCTGCACATTATTTCATTACATTATAATATATTACAATTTATTTCATCAGTCCCATCTCAATAGATATTTAGACCTTTTTGTCTTTTGTATTACAAACATGCTGTTATCAATAAAAAGTACTCATATACACATCTTTAAGCACCTGTCCAAGTATGTGTGGAGTATACATCAGATAAATTATTAGATGTGGAATTTAGCCAAAGAGTATATTTAATTTTGATAAGCAATGCCAAATTTTTCTCCAAAAAGGTATATTAATTTACACTTCTACAAAGAAAATATAGTCATTATTTAAGTTTTATTTGTGATTTTTTTCTTCACTTATTAAATGATAAGTTCCTTGAAGAAAGAAACCATAGCTTCTACAACTTGATTCCAATGCCCATGGCCACACATATCATCATTCTTTAACAAAGATTGAATGACCAAAACTGTGCTAAAGACTGAAATACAAAAATAGATATATATTATTTCCTATAGTGGTAGACTAGTTATCTCAGAGTAACCCCTCTGCTGAGAAAAAGTAAAATGAAATTGGGAAATATATTTTTTGAAAACCCACACCTTCCAAAAGCACCAAATAGTTAATCAAATAAGAAACTGCCCAGTCAAAATCTAGAAAAAATGAAGCCCCTATATTAAAATCTGTTTGGCCCTAATGAGATTTGCTTATCTCGAAGAAATAACTGTGAAACTGCATTTGCTTAGGGCAGGTGGGGGTCTTTCAGGGCAGAGGAAACAAGACTTAAAGCTCAGGGTCCACCTTAGCTTAAGACTCAGATAAACCACCTGCCACTGTAAGGTAGAACCTAGCAAGGTTATCACTTCAGGGTAAGGGTAAACCAGAATTAAACCAGTCCTTCAAAAGACTTGCAGCCTAGCTTCTCATCATTTGGCTCTTTTAGGGAACCTGAAGCCTCAAACTTAGATTAAGATAGTCCTGCATCAGTAGCACCTCTAGAATCGTGGCAGAAACAAATTAAAATACTCTCTTGTAAGAGGCACTATCATCTTATGTCTCAAAGTATTCCTAAAATACATTGAATAGCACACAAAGAAAACAAAATGCATAGGAAACAAGGTACCATGAGCAAGAACCAGTTAAAACAAGAAGATAGTAGAAACAGACCAACAAAGACTGTTTGTCATATATTGGGATTATTAGATACCAACTATAAAACAACTATGCCTACCAAGCCTTAAAAAAGAAAAAAAAAAGGAAAAGAAAGAAAGAAAAGAAAAGCTTCAAAATTTCAGAAAGACACTGAGGGGGAAAAGTGACATAATTTTGAAAAGGGGAAATATAATGACAAATTATGAATTAATTGAGTGAGTTTAAGGGCATATTAGACATAGCTGAAGAAAGAATTATTGAACAGAAAAATAAGTCAGAATAAACTTTCCATATTACAGCACAAAGAGACAAAAACATAGAAAATATAGCAGAGAGGATGAGAGGGAGGACATCTTGAAAAAGTCTAACATATATTTAATTGCAGTTTTACAAGAGAGAGAAATGGAGCAAAGACAATATTTAAATTTTTATGGTTAAATGACTGAGAATTTTGGAGGACTGACTCATAGAACTTAAGAATTCCATGCAGGATAAAGAAAAAAGAAATCTACACCAAGATTCACCCTGAGATATTGCAGAAAACAAAAGAAAAAGTGAAAAAATCTTTATAGCATCCAGAAAAAAAAATTTTAAGTTTCTAAAGCACAAAAATAAAAACCAAAGGAAAAATGGGAATATATTCTCCATGTTCTTATAGAAAATAAAAACTATTATAGAACTTTATAGCCAGCAGAATATTCTTCAACCATGAAAGTAAAATATAGGCATTTTCAGACAAACAAGAATTGAGAGAATTCACAACCAACTGACTTAGGCTAAAGGGTCAGAGACACAGAAAGGATTAAGAATTTTAAAAATGGTAAATATATGGGTAAACATAAATATTGACCTTAAAAGCTGTAATATGCATGTCTTACAGAGTGTTAAAATATACAGAATTAAAATGTATAGCAACTCCATGTTGCCAGCTAGAAACTAGGGAGAAAGGGAAGTTTTGTTAAATTATTCTAAGGTCCTGACCTCTTGACTTCAGGTAATCCACCCACCTCACCCCCATCTCTACTAAAAATACAAAAATTAGCTGGGTGTGGTGGTGCACACCTGTAATCCCAGCTACTCGGGAAGCTGAGGCAGGAGAGTCGCTTGAACCTAGTAGGTGGAGGTTGCCATGAGCCGAGATAGCACCATTGCACTCCAGCCTGGGGGATAAGAGCAAATCTCCATCACAAAAAAAAAAAAAAAAAAATTATTCTAAGGTCCTTATACTCATTCCAGAAGGACAGTAAATGTACTGATTAACATTAGACTTTAGGCCAGGCATGGTAGCTCACACCTGTAAACCCAGCACTTTGGGAGGCCAGGGTGGGAGGATTGCTTGAGCCTAGAAGTCTGAGACCAGCCTGGGCAATATAGCGAGACCTCGTTGCTACAAAAAATAAACAAACAAAACTAGCCAGGTGTGGTGGTATGTGCCTGTAGTCGCAGCTACTGGGGAGGCTGAGGTGGGAGGATCGTTTAAGCTGGGGAAGTTGAGGATGTAGTGAGCTGTGATTGCATCACTGCACCCCAGTCTGGGCCACAAAGTGAGACCCTGTCTTTAAATTAAAAAGAAAAAAAAGACTTTGCTAAGGAAAGGGTGACTATTGTGTGATTTCTAGAGCCAGAGAGCCACTGCTCAAAGAATAGAAAAAGAGTACATTATTTTCATATCAACAGAAAAGGAAAAAAATAGATGGTAAGAAAAAATAATCATTTCAAAAGAAAGGCAAGAAAGGTGAGAAAAAGAAACATAGATCTGGTGGACCAAACAAAAGCACAAAATAAGATGGTTGTTTCTTGGCCAGGTGTGGTGGCTCACGCCTGTAATCCCAGCACTCTGGGAGGCCCAGGTGAGCAGATCACTTGAGGCCAGGAATCAAGACCATCATGGCCAACACAGGGAAACCCTGTCTCTACTAAAAATACAAAAAATTAGCTGCGGCTGGGCACAGTGGGAGGCCAAGGCAGGCAGATCACTTGAGGTCAGGTGTTCAAGACCAACCTGGCCAACATGGTGAAACCCCATCTCTACTGGGTCGTGTTCATTCTTACTCTCTGTCCCACTCAATATCTCCTCCTGGAGCCCCTGGGGCTGCCAGGTGCTTATCTGTCAGGCGATGCCCCCAGCTGAGGAATAAGGGACCCATGTCCTCAGGAGGAAGGAGGGTCACTTGAGGTAACGAGCACTTTCTGGGTCCGTGGAGAGGACACATGGAAGACGCTCAGTGAGTGTCGGGGGATGCGTAGTCCCTGACACATGCCCTGATAACTTCGAGTATTTAAACTGATTTCTTCCCACTGATGTCTCTTTTGCTTCTCCATGGATTCCCACATCCCCAGTCAGGACTCACCCACCTGGCTCCAACACTCTCACCTGCTGGCTTTCCCAGGAGTCCAGAGCACTAACCAGGCTCCAGGCAGGAGGAAAGAATGAATGCCTTTTGTTTCATTCTCTAGTGACTTCTCCCTGCTGTCTACTAGGGCATTTGTTTCTCACCATGTCTTCTCTCTCTCAATAGTCTTATTTTTCCAAAATTTTTTCCAATTTCAATGGGCTAGATTGTAATGTTAGTGATTATAATGTTAATTCAACACCTTCCACATCCCTATGTAATAATTTCTTCCAATAGATTTTTATATATAAATATATGCATTTATGTCACTGTTATATACATTATGCATATTTGCATGTATTTTTAATAAAATGTAGATATATGCAATGTACCTATCTGTATGATCATTTCATCAATATCCCATGTTTAGTCTTCCCAATTCTTTTCTCTCATATGTTCATTTAACGTTGATTTTGCTTGATTTTTAGAATCTCCTCCCTCCCAAAACACAGCCTGTATCCAGTGTGATTTCCTTGCCTTTGTCTTATCTACTTGGAAGCTATTTGGGTTTATTAATCCTAAATTTTTTGAATATGTTTGTCAGTTGGGATCACCTTTTCCTCCTGGCAATCTTGTCATTACTGGGTGATGCATGAAAAATCAACAATACAGAAAGTACCCAAATGTCTTTCTTGGCTTCCCTTTACCCCTTGGATTTTCTTGTTCAAGGCCGCTTTCCTTCTCTGATGATCCTCTTGGGTGGAAGAGAAAGTCACAGTAAGATCATGGATGACAGTGAACGCTGTTGGGTGTGGTTTCATTTTCAGAGCTGGGTTTAGAGACTTCCCTTGGAATGAAGAACCCTCCCCAGCTGGAAGGTGATGCTATTGAAGGCTCAGCTGACAACACACATGGGCATCAAGTCACTGGCCACATTCATGCCTCAAGTGTCCTAAAACCGAAGATGACCAAAAGAAAGCTCCCATTCAGCAAGTGGAGACTGGCCTGCAGATTCCCTGGCCTGCAAGCTTAGAGTACGAAGGTAATCACATCTATGGCTCTTAGCTGCACTCACTCCTTATTTCTCTCTGTCTGTGATGACAGCTCCTTCTCCCACTGCTTTTTTCTTCTGTATTTGTTCTCTCCAGCAGCTGCTGTCACGTCTGCCTGGTCTAACCTCTGTGTCCCATGGGCTGCCACCCTGCCAGGCCCTTCTGGTCCTCATCACCTGTTTGCTCTCTGAACTCTGCTCTGTTCCCACTGCTGCTGTCCTGAGAGTCCTTCTCACAGCTGCAGGAGAGCCCAGCCTCCTTGTCTCCCTCCAAGTGCATGGTGTGAGCTGCTAAACACAGGGTTCTTTGCCTGGAATTGCACGGCTTGAGTAATTTGCCTTTCCTTCCTGCATCCCAAACTCCATTGCCCCTTTCTGCTGGGAGCATTGCTTTAATACGTCATTTATACACAGATTTTTCTCTTGGGACAGCTTTTGAGCAACACAACTAAGTCAAACTTTAACCCTCACCTTGTACATGGGAATGAGAAGTGTTAAAAATGAGCACTAAGAACCCCAAATCAAAAACTAAATTAGAACCTGGGTCACAGAAGAGAGTTCCCTACTAGCCTGGAGTCAGGTGTGTCTTCAGCTCCAGATGGGCAAACTTATGCCAACGTGGATGAAGTTTCCAGGGACTGTGCCTGCTCCTCATGGAGTCACTTAGCTGACATTAACTGGAGAACATTTATGACATTCCAAAGGAACCTCAGCCGAAGGTAGATGCAGAGGGCAGGGCAGGACTTTGAACCTGCATAGACCACGAGGTACATTCTCACCTCTCTCCTTTTTATTCACATATCTACTTCTACAAGCTCAGTTAGAATCTAAAACACAACTCAGGTGAATCTTGAGGACAGAGAAATACGAGAGCATTTAATGAATTAACTTTGAGAAAAGTGAGTCCAGGGGTCAGCTTTATGTCTACATAAGATGATAGACAAGAACCTATCTACAGGACAGACTTTGCCTCAGACAAGCCCAAGTGAGAGATTTAACCGAAATTGTCAGAAGAAAGACTAAAATCCATACAGCCACAGAGAATGAAGGCAATCACGAGAGAAATGAGGATAGGAAAGAAAATGATGGGAAATCAGGTTGGTTCATTCATTGTCTCTAAATCCTGCTACCATGTAATAAGCACCTGGTGAGATTTCAATAAACATGAATGCCTTGAACTGACATCTTGAGATTCTCACTTAAATGGTCTGGGGTGTGATGTGAGCATCAGTACCTTTAAAAAACTTCCATGATATTCTAATATACAACCGAAGATGACAAGGACCACTGGTCTACTCTGACCTCAGGTTTTCAACATGGAGATGACCACTTGTGTGGCTACTCCACACAAAAGGCTGAGCATCCATCAGACATTGATGGGATCTGTATTCACCTCTCAACAGTAGTATTTGTAGAATGTAGAAAAAAATAAAAAAGAAAAACAAGAAAATAGGTGGATTAGACCTATAGTCTCTCTACTTAAAGCACACTTGCTTAATTTTAAATACAAGTAAAATAAGAAATAGTCATTATATTGAAACCCAGTATACAGAAAACAATACCTCGTATATTACACATATTCAAATTTAGTATTTTCTGTTCAATTTTATTTTATTGTATTTTATGTTTTGTTTTATTTTATTTTATTTTTAAGACAGAGTCTCTCTCTGTCACCCAGGCTGGAGTGCAGTGGCGCAGTCTCGGCTCACTGCAACCTCCGTCTCGCAGCTTCAACAATTCTCATGCCTCAGCCTCCTGAGTAGCTGGGATTACAGGTGCATGCCACCACACTTGGTTAATTTTTGTATTTTTTTAGTAGAGGCATGGTTTCACCATGTTGGGAAGGCTGATTTCGAACTCCTGGCCTCAAGTGATCCATCCACCTTGGCTTCCCAAAGATCTGGGATTTAGGCATGAGCCGTCATGCCCACCTTTCTTTTCAATTTTAAAATAAATCCTGCAGTTTACATTTCCACACACTGATTCCAGAGCCCATGAATGGGTTCAGCACTGCAGTGTAAAAATTCTGCTTTGCTCAATTCTTTTCATTCAGCCAAATCCTCAAAGAGAACTCGTAGTTCTCACTCAACTAGAGAGAATATAATAATAAGTAAAAACTGAAACTCGGCCGGGCATGGTGGCTCATGCCTCTTAATTCCAACACTTTGGGAGGCCAAGGAGGGTGGATCATCTGAGGTCAGGAGTTCGAGACCAGTCTGACCAACATGGCGAAACCCTGTCTCCACTAAAAATACAAAAATTAGCCGGGCGTGATGGCACGTGCCTGTAATCCCAGCTACTTGGGAAGCTGAGGCAGGAGAATCGCTTGAGCCTGGAAGACAGAGGTTACAGTGAGCTGAGATCGCACCACTACACTCCAGCCTGGGTGACAGAGCAAGACTCTATCTAAAAAAAAAAAAGAAATAATAATAATAATAATAATAATAATAAAACTGAAACTCAGGAAGAGATGATATATGAATACTTTTTTATGCTACCCTTGACGCTGGCATAAAATACTAAAAAGAAATCTTTCCCAACAAACCACTTTGGGAAAAATATAACAGGGAGAGGAGAATGTAATAAAACACAAACTAATCCTTTTCACTTTCTACTTCAGAGTTTTGTCGATCAGATATTGAGAATATTTCTAGAAATGCCTTAAGGTGTAACCAGGTATGGAATCAACTTCAGGGAATTAGGGATAATAAGTTGGGCCATGGTTACAATCACCACCCTTCCTTTGTAATTCCATTTGACTCTTTCCTTTTCCTTTTTTTCTGATCCTTTTTGGAAGAACACATAATATTTCTTTTGTCTTTTCTCATTTTTAATTTTACCGACAAAACAAGTAGCAGTGACATCATATTTCTTTGTAAAAGCTCATTCCTATCCTAGCCAAGGTGACCCAGCAACCTCTAGTGACTGTCAAGAACTCCAGATTGGAGAATTGACTCTCCCTTCTCTCCAACTTATTGAAAGGGACTTCGTGCGTGGGTTCTAGTTTCAGGGTTGTCAATAGCAAGTCATGTGGCTTTAGTTAAGTCAGCCCTGTGGCATCACTGCTCCTCTGTTGTAAAAGGCAGAACTGGATGTGGATGTGGTCTGAGGTCCTTCCTGTATCTCACCTCCAGGGTTCTTCCCATGGCCCTGCACACCCTTCCCTAAGAGACGGGGACATGGAGCTGTAAGGGAGTGGGTTTCTCTGTAAAAGGTCCTTTCCTTCTGCAGCCCTCTGTTTCTGAGCTTTCATGGTTGATGCTGAGAAAATCCTCACTGAGGGGTGTGAAAAGCCATCACTCTGCTCCAGACAGAAGGAATCAGGAGGAAAGGGGCTGATGTCACCGGCTGCTGGTTGGGCAGAGCTAGGGTCCCTATATCCTTCACCTCAGCTGACTGGAAGTTCAGGGGCATTTACTTTTCACTTGTGGATGGCACTTGCCTCTTCACTCAGCCTTCGGCTCAGCCTTCAGCTCATCCTCCTAGCAGGAGCTCAGTTTGCCCCTGGGCTATCACCACTTAGCAGTCCCTCTAGACTCAGCCATCAGCAGGACCTGACAAAGATGCCCATTTGATCTTTCCTTCTCTCTCTCCTACAGATACTAAATGCTGCTGGAACAATGAAAAGAAAGAAAGGATATCACAAAAAGCATTTTCGTTTGATGAAAAAAACTAAAAGAGCAAAGCAATTGAAAGCTCAACACAACACAGGAGGGATCCATGGCTGAGGATTGTATTTCAGAACCACTGACTGCTCTTGACAATTGTTAACCCACAATTTTGGTTAGAGAAGCCACAGTCCTTCAGCCTCCACTTGATATCAACACTTAGGAAGACCAAAGCCAGATGGACAAACAGCATTGAGAGGCTTTAGCCCTGCTCCTCTCACTTCCATCCTGTAGACAACAGGGAATTTGCCGGTGCAGAATATGAACAATGCCATGTTCTTGCTAAAAATGCTTAGCCTGAGTTTCATAGGAGGTAATCACCAGACAACTGCAGAATGTAGAACACTGAGCAGGACAACTGACCTGTCTCCTTCACACGGTCCATGTCACCACGAATCACACAACAAAAAGGAGAAGAGACATTTTGGGTTCAAAAAAAGTAAAAACATAATGTAGCTACATTTCTTTAGTTATTTTGAACCGAAAGTATCTCCTCATCTTTTTGTTGTTGTCATGGATGGTGGTGACATGGACTTGTTTGTAGAGGACAGGTCAGCTGTCTGGCTCAATGTTCTACATTCTGAAGTTGTCTGAAAATGTCCTCATGATTAAATTCAGCCTAAACGTTTTGCCAGGAACACTGCAGAGTCACTACTGAGAGTTTCCTACCTCAGCCCATCTGCAGGCAGAGAAGGTCCAGTTTGTCCATCACCATTATCGTGATACTAGGACTGTCACTTGGTTAAGGAGGAATCTAGAAGACCTGTCCCTTTTAGAGACACCTTACTTATAATGAAGTATTTGGGAAAGTGGTTTTCAAGAGTATAAATGTCCTGTATTCTAATGATCATCCTCTAAACATTTTATCATTTATTAATCATCCCTGCCTGTGTCTATTATTATATTCATATCTCTACACTGGAAATTTTCTATTTCAGTTTTTACTATATCCTTGTTTTTGCTAGTTTCTGTTGTTGAAAAAAAAATTTCCTGCCTGGGTTTTAATTTTTGTCCACAGTTAACTTTAATCCATACAACTAAAATTTTTTGTCTATCACTTTGGACTGGTGAATTGTTTTTTTACATTCAGTGTTATAATCTTTTATTATGTTGATTGGTTTTGGCAGGTAATGATACGAATTAATAAAAACATTTTTATTTCCGAGTTTATTTTCTAAACACTTCCACATTGTAGGCTATGTTTACCATATGTTGTAGATTGTATTTACTACATTTCTTTGTTCTAGTTATTTGTATTCTCTGATAGTGTGTGTGTTTGTCTGTGTATGCCTTTGGCATTTAGGAAGGGTTGTATAGGTCAAGTTTAATATTGCACTAAAATGTTCTTGATAGTTTTTTCCCCTTTGAACTAGACACACTTCTAATATTTGGTTTATACGTTTTAAATTATAATTTTCTTTTTTCTTTTTCTTTTTTTTTGAGATGGAGTCTCGCTCTGTGGCCCAGGCTGGAGTGCAGTGGTGTGATCTCGGCTCACTGCAAGCTCCGCCTCCCAGGTTCACGCCATTCTGCCTAAGCCTCCAGAGTAGCTGTGACTACAGGTGCCAGCCACCGCACACGGCTAATTTTTTGTATTTTTAGTAGAGACGGGGTTTCACCATGGTCTGGATCTCCTGACCTCGTGATCTGCCTGCCACGGCCTCCCAAAGTGCTGGATTACAGGCGTGAGCCATCGCCCCTGGCCTAAATTATAATTTTCAACATCAAATATTTCCATATGACAATTACATGATTTGTTTTCTTTTTCCTATCTTCTTTACCTGCCACTTCTCATAATAGAAGATAGAGATGAAGATGGAGAGGAGAGAGAGAGAGAGAAGAGAGACAGAGAGAGAGAGAGAGATTGAGACTGATTTTAAGGAATTGGCTCATATAATTGTGGAAGCTTGGTGAGACCAAATCTGATGAGATAGGCGAGTAGGCTGGAGACTCAGGGGAGAGAGTTGCAGTTCAAGTCTAAGGGGAATCTGCTGGCAGAATTCCTCCTTGTTAGGGGGAGGTCAGGTTTTATACTATTAAGGCCTTCACCTGACTAGATGAGGCCAACTCACACTATGGAGTGTCATCTGCTTTACTCAAAGTCGGCTGATTTCAATGTCTCATTTCATCAAAAAACACTTTCACAGAAACGTCAGAATAATATTTGACCAAATATCTGGGCACCATGGCCCAGCCAAATTTACACATGCAATTAAGCATCCAACATATAATATTGAAAGTGTAGAAAATCAAAGACAAAAGAACATCTTGAGAGAAGCTGGAGAAAGAAAACACCTTACCTTAGAAGAACAAGGATGAGTACTACATTAGACTTCTCTTCATAAACCATGCAAGCAAGAACAGCATGCAGCTGACATATTTAGTATTGGAGGAAAAAGAACTCTGTTAACCTAGAATTCTTTAGAATTACCCTTCAAACGTGAAGGAGAAATAAAAGACTTTCTTGACAAACAAAAATTGAGGGAATTTGTCACCAGTAATTTTGTCTTCCATGAAAGGTTAAAAGAAGTTCTTCAGAAAGAAGAAAAAAACCACAAAGTTTAAAGACATATCTACATGAAGGAAGCAAGTTAGAGGAGGAATAAATGAAGTTAAAAATAAAATATTTTATTATGTTTATTCTTAATTCATATAACCGTCTGTCAAAATAAGAAAAACAGCAATAATTGATTGGATGATTATATGTTATTAATACATCAAATGAATGAGAGTAATGTTTTAAAAGGTGGTAAGAAAGGAATTAGGAATTTTGTTTTTAAGGTACCTGCATGACCCATGAAGCATCATAACATTACTTTAAGTTGACTTAGATTATTTGTAAGTATATATGGCAAGCAATAGGGTGAAAACAAAAACACAATTTTTCTTTTAAGAAATGGAATTTGTATTGTAAGAGAGAAGAAAAAAATGGGATCATATAACATGTTCAATTATAGCCAGAGAAGGTAGAAAAAGAGTAAAAGACACAAAAGGAAACAATGAAGAAAGTCAAAAAATAGAAACAGTTACACATATGGTACATATTAATCCAATGATATCAATAGTCACTTTAAATGTGAATGGTCCAAGTACACCAACTAAAAGACAGAGACTGGCAGAATGGAAAATGAGGTCCAACTATATGTCATCTACAACGAACCTACTTTAAATAAGAAGACACAGAGATATTAGAAGTGAAGAGATGGAGAAAGATATATCATACCCATCGTAATCAAAAGAAAATTGGAGTAGCAGCTGGGCACTGTGGCTCACACTTGTAATCCCAGCACTTTGGGAAGCCAAGGCAGGTGGATCACTTGAGGTCAGAAGTTCAAGACCAGCCTGACCAACATGGTGAAACTCCATCTCTTCTAAAAATACAAAATTAGCCGGTCATGGTGGCGCATGCCTTTAATGCCAGCTACTTGGGAGGCTGAGGCAGGAGAATCGCTTGAACCTGGGAGACGGATGTTGCAGTGAGCTGAGATTGCGCCATTGTACTCCAGCCTGGGCAACAAGAGCGAAACTCAGTCAAAACAAAAAACAAAACAAAAACAAAAGCAAACAAACCAACAAAAAAACAAAAAAACTACAGTAGCCACATTAATTTGAGACAGAGCTGACTTCAGAGGGAGGAAAATCATGGGGATAAAGAGAGTCTTTATATAATATAAAGAGGTCACTTCTCCAAGAAGATATGACAATCCTTAAATGATATGCACCTAAAGCATCTAAATATCAGGGGCAAAAGCTGATAGAACTTCAAGGACAAATAGACAGATTCACTATTACAGTGGGAGGCTTCAGCATCAGTAACTGACAGATCAGAAGGCAGGAAATCAATAAAGATGTAGTGAAACTGGACACCACCATCAGTCACCTGGATCCAACCGACTTTTTAGATTACTTCATCCAACAAGAGCAGAATACATATTCTTTTTAGGGTCACATGGAGTGTTCACCAAGATCCACCACATTCTGGCCCATAAAACACACTTCAACATATTTAATGGGATAGAAATCATACCAAATATGCCCTCCATTCAAATTATGGAACTGAAGTAGAAATCAACAACAGATAGCTGCAAAATCCCAAAACTGGAGATCAGACAATACACTTCCAGTAACACATGGGTCAAGAAAAAGTCTCAGGGCAAATTACATATTTTGAGCTAAATGAAAATAAACATACAACTTATAAAAAATTTCTGGGTGCAGGAAAATTGGTGCTTAGAAAGAAATTCATAGTATTCAATGCATATGGTAGCAAAGAAAAAGGATCTACAATCAATAATCTGAACTTACACTTTAGGAAACTCAAAAAACAAGAAAAAATTAAATCCAAAGTAAGTGGAAAGCAAGAGACAATAAAAATTAGAGGAGAAATCAAGGAAATTGAAAACCAGAAATCAATAGAGAAAAATCAACAAAAAGAAAATGTAGTTCTTTAAAATAATCAATAAAATTGATAAACATCCAGCTGGTGAACCAAGAAACAATGAGAGAAGATACAAATTACAAATAACAAAAAGAAAAGAAGGTCCTCACTACTGATCTCATGGATATTAAAAGGATAACAGATGAAGATTATCAACAATTCTCCGCTCACATATTTGATAACTTGATGAATTGGACCAAGTTCTTGAAAGACACAGTCTACCAAAACTCACACAAGGAGAAATATATAACCTAAACAGATCTCTATTTATTAATGAAATTGAATCAATGATTAACAACCTTCCAGAACAAAGCACCAGGTCTAGATGGTTTTACTACGAAACATTTAATGAAGAAATGATACCAATTATCTCTAGAAAATGGAAGCCGAAGGAACACGTCTTATCTCTGGTCTAGGAGGCACTTTACTAGCAAAACCAGACAAATGGTTTTGAACCAGGATATTGAAGTAGCCTGCACTGCTGACCAGCTCCTGAAACTCAGCCCTCGAAAAACTGTAGAAGCAAGAAGGAAACATGGCTTACGGGACCTGTGAAAAATGGTAAATCTCCCTTAGAGACCAAGGCGGTTTTGAACCGGTGTGTGTGGAAGGTTGATGTTCACAGGTAGGAGAGAGAGAACGACATAGAGAAAAGTATTTTCGGTTCTGCTCTTGCTTCTGACTCCCTTGCTATGGGCCAACTGCGGCTCTTACCCCTTCACGAAAGAGATTTGTCAGCGGCTGTTTATTTTTTGAGACGGAGTGTCGCTCTGTGGCCAGGCTGGAGTGCAGTGGTGCGATCTCGGCTCACTGCAACCTCCGCCTCCCGGGTTCCAGCGATTCTCCTTCCTCAGCCTCCCGAGTAGCTGGGACTACAGGCGCGCACCACCACGCCCAGCTAATTTTTTGTATTTTTGGTAGGGATGGGGTTTCACCATGTTGACCAGGATGGTCTGGATCTCCTGACCTTGTGATCCGCCCGCCTCGGCCTCCCAAAGTGCTGGGATTACAGGGGTGATCCACCACGCCCCGCCATCAGCGGATCTTAATCCACCAGTGAGGCAGCTGCGATGCGACTCCTGGACACATATAAGCTTCCCTGAGGAAAAGAGTAGATGAAAACAGGGGAGGACAAACCAGATGATCCCGGGGCTTTCCTTTTCCAGCTTTCCTCCGCAAATCTCCAGAGGTAATGATTGTCATGGCCTCTCCAGCACGATGCTTAAAGAGACGTATTACAAAGAATCCCCTAGATAGAAGATTTGCTTGGTGGAGTATAAAACAGGGGTAATCGAAATGAGTTTTGGGGACGTGCTGCTCTCCACTTGGGGCCCATCCTTCATTTTGCCGATACCACCAAAGACTGGGCCTTCCTCGACAGGAAGATCCGAGGTCCCTCTCTGCAGCTCCCCTCATCTGCGTGCGGGTTCCTTCCCACACGCCTCCCCTGTCCCTGGGCCCCCGTACCCACTGCCCCTTCCCCACTGCGTGTGTCTGTCCGACCCCACAGCTTCTCTCCTTTCTTGAGCCTCACTCCACCGCGATACGTGGTCTGTCCAAGGTCCAGTCAGTGAAATCAGTGTCCAGGTGACTGTGTATTTCAGGGATCCGCCAGAAGAGACAATAAACGTCCCGTCGGTTTTAGGGCCAAATATGCAAACGCAGAGACCAACCAGACACACTAGCTGCTTCAAAGACAGTCTCTGCGAAGTCCTTACTTAGAGAAATTCCACTCCAGAAGGAACTGGAAAGCTATACAGTAGTTCCCTTTTCCTTCTGTTTATTATTGCGGCTGTGACCTGCCTGAGTATACACAGTTATGGTAAATAAATGTAAAAACCGCATTGTGCGGAAACTGCACGCTGCACCAACCAGGAGTTGAACACGGATCTCGTGCATGGGAGGCAGGAATTCCACCACTAAACCACTGACGCCTCCTGCTAGCAAAAACTGCGGCCTTTACATGGAAAAAGGTAAGATCGGGACATGGGAAGAGGAGTCAAGATTTTTACCGTGTTCTCTTTGGAACATGTAATTAACAAAAAGGACACCCAGGGCAAAGGCTCACATTAGAGATTTGCATCAGGCAACACCAGAAAGTTATGGCTTCACATTAAAAGAGCTGATTTGAAAAAGACTTATTCTGAAATAGACTCTGTACAACTGGATAACAAACCTCTGTAAGAAAACACCAGAAATTCACTCAGTTTCTTGTCTCCGGTGCTGTATCCAACGTGAACCTGTGGAAAGTTCTTGCCTTGCTTCTTGATACCTTCTCTTTGCCTTCCCATCGCCTGGGGCCTTCCAAACCCTTTCCTCCCAACCTTGACACAAACATCAGTACTTTCCCCAAAAGGGCCTTCAGAACCCAGGGACCCTGGTTTGGAAAGCTGGACTCTTGGGATTGTGCCTGGGATAGTCCCGGAGACCTGGGTAATAATTGAGCTTCTCTCCTCATGTACCTATTTCAAATTCCTGGAAAATGCCACGGATCAGATCTTGCTTTTAACTTCTTATGCCTTACAGAGACCAAAACAAGAGCGAAGAAACGGACATTTCACTCCAAGATGTCTTCCCTTCACCTCGCCCTCGTCGGCCACCCAAGGAGGCCAGTTCAGGGAAAAACAATTCCATTCGATTCCATTCTATTCTAGTTAGATGCTAGGATATTACTCCTCTAGCTAATGTAAAGCGTTCTTTTGCCATTTCCCTTTGTCTGATATCCATGTTTTCATTCTCATTCTTTTGTTTACAATAAGCCTGGTACAGATTTGCACCACTCTTTTTTGTTGTTGTTGTTTGTTTTCTTTTCTTTTTAAATGTTTTATTTCCAATTTTTACTTTAATTTCAGGGGTACACGTGCAGGATGTGCAGGTTTGTTCCATAGATAAACCTGTGCCATGGTGGTTTGCTGCACAGATCATCCCACCACCCAGGTACTAATCCCAGCATCCATTAGCTCCTCTTTCTGATGCTCTCCCTCTTCCCAGCCCTACCCTCTGGCAGGCTCGAGTGTGTGTTGTCCCCACCCCCACTCTATCTGTCCATGTATTCTCATCATTCAGCTCCCACTTATAAGTGAGAACACAGAGGGTCATGATGATGCCACTCCTCCAAGGATTTCAGGCTTCCCAGACGCCTAGTTTTCAGTCTAGTTCTTCTGTGAGATCTTACACTTGGGGAGCTACACGTTCTCGCGTTTGGGGCTCTTTCAGGTTCTATCTCCATTTTCCCCTCAATTCCTCCCCATTCTGCTACAATAACAAAACAATTCTCACCTCCGGAAGATCCCGCCTCTGCCTCCGCACGAGCCTTTCAGGAGGTCTGAATGTCTGGTCCACCGCTCCCCGGCTTCTTTCCCCGCTTTTGCTTTTCCCTTCCCCCGCTCCCGCCCTCCCGCCTCACGACCCGACCACCGCCCAGCTGAGCCCCCGCGGCTCCACTGCGCAGAAGGTGCACTGGAGGCCCTGCCCGTTGCCCGCCCCGCGGGGTGCCGAGAAGTCAACCTGAATAAACGCCTTGTAAAAAGAACTTCCTAATGGAAAAAATATCTTATGATTTCCATTCTCAACGCTCTTCAGAGGACTAAAAGATAAAGGCCATGATGGATTCATTCAACAAGTCCTAATCCTGCGCCCTGGTGTGTGCCAGACCCTGCTCCCCGCGAGGGGATCCACGAGCGACCCTCACCACTATCCCTGCCCTGGTGGACCCTCCGTGCGGGACACAGCATCCGAAGATGGCAGCGGAAGCTCCTCAGCGCCCCGAAAGCGACTGGGCAGGGGGCACAGGCTCCCTCACTGGGTGAAGGCCGCACAAAGAACCGGAAGAGCCATCCGGGTAGCTCACCCGGCGTTCAGCTTCCCTTGGGCCCCCTGGCTGCTCGGGCCCGGATCGCGGACCGGGGCGTTTCCGGGGATTTCTGAAGCGGAGGAGGGGCAGGGCGGGCGAAGGCCATTCGGCTCTCCTTCTGGCTCCAGAATCTCCCAACCCGCAGGTGTGCAGTGTGACCAGCGCGACTCACCGCTCTAATCGCTCCGATTTTCCAAGGCCTTGCTCAGTAGTCCTGCCAGGCGGGCCCTGAGGCTGGAAGGGATGGGGGAGTTCGGTGAGTGCGCCCTGCCTACAGCGCCCAGTGGAATCGCTAGTACCTGTCTCTGTGGCGCAATCGGTCAGAGCGTTCGGCTATTAACCGAACGGTGAGTAGTTCAAGACCACCCAGGGACGCCTGTTCTAGCTTTTAAAGCATTCATGTATTATCATCACTAGAGAATCTCCCCCTATTCTTCCCATAGTCCTAAGTCCGAAAGGTTGGTTCCAGGCCAGCCAGGGATATGCCCATTTCAGGAAGGTTTTTCTCTTCTCAGGATTCTAGTCACAGTTAACAGGGATCCCTATCAAGAGCCACCCCACTCAGAGATCCAATTCTGACAGAGCATCTCCTGAAATGTCAGGTTGTCTTGTGCCTGAGTGCAAGAATCAGAGACCAAACAAGTCACTTCTGGTGCGATAAAATCCTCATGCCTGCCCCTTATAGGCTTGGATGGATTATAGACCAGCTTCCATTTTTTTCATTTTTAATAGGAGGCCTAGAGAGGTGTCCTATCCCCAGGATGGGCCTGGATTTAGTGATTGCTCAATCAATAATGTGACCAGTGGAATCATTGATCATCATAATAATCCTCTCCATCATTTTTGAAAACAGCATTTCCCCCTTCAGTTTGTACATGATTTACTTAACCCTTTTCAAAATGTGTTTGAAGAGATTGGCTTCATGATTTTAGTACTACAAAGAATCTTGAAACCATCATTCTTGTACATATATCTTTGACCACTGATATTTCTATAGTGTAGAGAACTAGAGGTGCCACTGCTACATTACAGGCTTTTTAATTTTTATTTTTAGTTTTTATGACAGGGTCTCATTCTGTCTCTCAGGCTGGAGCACAGTGGCCCAACCATGTCTCATGGCAGCCTCGTCTTCCCAGGCTCAAGTGATCCTCCCATCTCTCAGCCTTCCCAGTAGCTGGGATTAGAGGCGCGGGCCATGGTGCCCTGCTAAATTTTGTATGTTCTGTAGAGAAGGGGTTTCAACATGTTGCGCAGGCTGGTCTCCAAACTCCTGGGCTCAAGCAGCTCCGAGGCCTCCCAAAGTGCCAAGATTTACAGGCATGAGCCACTGCAATGGACCTTACATAATGCCTCTAACTTCAGCACATTTAGCACATTTATCCTCTGCACGAGCGATACCAAATCATATTCCAATTTATTTCTCAACTCTCATACTGCCCCTTTCTTCATTTACTTGCTGGCACAACAAACTGTCTGCCACCCTACCCACCCCCCCACCCCCACTTTATTTTAGACTAGGTCTCACTCTGTCATCCAGGATGGAGTGCAGTGGCTTGATCTCAGCTCACTACAACCTCCACCCCCTGGGCTCTAGTGATCCTCCCACCTCAGCCTCCAAAGTAGCTGGATCTATAGGCATGCACCACCGCATTCACCATTTTTTTTTTTAAGAGATAGGGTCTTGCTATGTCGCCGAGGTTGGTCTCCAACCCCTGGGCTCAGGAGATCCATCTGCCTCGGCCTCCCAAAGTGCTGGGATTTCAGGCATGAGCCACCGTGTTTGCCATGTGCCCATGATATTCTAATAAGGGGACAGGTTCCCTCCCGGCTTAACTAAGGGGACAATACAACAGAAGGACATGGTGGACATTACACACAGATATTCTGTTGCATAGGATGGACAGCTAAACTTCTAAGGCATTTTATGTTTATTTTATTTTATTTTATTTTATTTTTCGCGACAAGGTCTTCCTCTGTTGTCCAGGCTGCAGTGCAGTGGCATGATCATAGTTCACTGTAGCCTCAAAATCCTGGGCTCAAGTGATCCTCCTGCCTCAGCCTTCCAAGTAGCTGCAACTATGGGTATGCACCATCATAGGTGGCTATTAAAAAATGATAATAATTCTGTAGAGATGTGATTTCACTATCTTGCCCAGGCTGGTCTCCAACTCCTGAGCTCAAGTGATCCTCCTACCTCAGCCTCCCAAAGTTTTGTGCTGAGATTACCGGCATGAGCCACCATGGTCAGCCCTGTTTCTTTTTAAAATTTATTTATTTTGGGACAGGGCCTCACTCTGTCACCCAGGCTGGAGTGTAGTGGCATGATGACGGCTCACTGTAGCCTCAACCTCCCTGGGCTCAGGTGATCCTCCCACCTCAGCCTCCTGAGTAGCTGGGACTAGCAGCATACACTATCATGCCTGGCTAATTTTTGTATTTTTTTGTAGAGATGGAGTTTCATCACATTGACCAGGCTGCTCTCCAGCTGAGCTCAAGCAATGCACCTGCCTTAGCCTCCTAAAGTGCTGGTATTACAGTCGTGAGTCACTGTGCCTGGCTTGTCATTGTTTCCTGTGGTGACCAAGTCACATGGGTCCAGAGAAGACAGATCACAGTGACTTCTTTGATAGCTTTCTGCCAAGTCGCTTATCCAAAGAAAGCAAAATCACAATGGTCCCAGATATTTTTTTTCTCCTCCCCTTTCCTCTTTTCTTTGTAAATCTTGATTTTACTTTTATTTGCTGAAAACAATCTAATGCCAGTTCTCCCTTCTATATTAATGGAGAATGAGCATGCAAATAAGTGTCTCTATATGATTCCTTGATAGATTTCTTTCAGAGGCTATGTCTATAAAAATTAGTCCATCTGAGACCCATCATTGGAGCCAACAGAATCCGGCACCTAACAGGCCCCTGGTGCAGACCTGGATCCTTAGAGCTATTGGCTCTTGTTCCCGCAGTTCTTCTGTTTTCATGAGCAGAAACTGAGCAATTTTGCTTTAAAATACTAAGTATGGTCATTGGACAAGTCCTTTCCTTCTCTCTCTCTCTCTCTCTCTCATGTTTGCATCATTGTTTTCTGCCATCAGTGGCATCAGTGTAGATTTCTGGTAAATATTATGGAGTGAATTTCTCAGGACACTCTCTGTTGGGTGGTGTTTGGCAAGAATCCATCCGTTTGGTGATACCTGACAGCTAATCTAGTCTGTGAGTCTTTTTTGATTGTTTATTCATTGTCCTGAGGATAATTGTATTTCCTGATATTTGAGACTGCAGCAAATGGGAAGTTGCTCATATCTCATCTTTCCAATGTTTGGTAAAAATTTTATGGGCCCAGTAGCTGTCAATATCTGCAAGAGTGGCATCTCTATTATAAAGATGATCTTACTACTCAATGCCCCTCACCCCCAACCAAATTTCATTCCGTAGGAGCTCTTGGCCATAACAAATTAATAGACCTAAAGGAGATCTTAGCACAGGAAGAAAACTGAATCTGCAGCATGTAAGGAACAGTTTTCTTTGATTCATATATTCAGGTTTCTAACTAGCTGAAAAATTCAAATATATGCCCTTTAAGGATGAAGTTTAAATCACACTACAGAAAGGAGAAAAAAAGAGTGATATGATCACAAGTAAGCAATGGAATCAGCAATTTGAGCACTTCTCACAACTACACAAATCAAATTTAACAATCTCTAGAACAGTAAGGAAGTTCAGCCCTTAATGAAAATGGATGAAAAGAAATTATTCATTCACTTTTATATGCCTGGAAGGAGAATGTCCTGCCAGACTCAAAAGGGGATCAAAGAATTACTCAGATTTTCAGCAGTGAGGGTTTTCCAAGGATCTAATGATGTTAATTTTTCAGTTTGTTTCCCTCACTCATAAGCATTGTTAATAGACACAATTGCCTCTGTTTTCACCTTAAATGATGTTACATAACCCAATTATTTGCTTTCGAATGCCCCCTGGTTTGGTGGAAGGAATTTTTCTAATGTATAAATATATTTTCTTATGAAACCAATTGGCATACTCTTTCAGTGGAGTGAATAGATAAATTAAGTCTCTAAAACTTTAAAGAAATTACTGCCTGATTATCTGAAGTACAGTAATAATCACATATATAAAATTAAAATAAGAAAATTAAGCAGGGTGTGGCAGCTCACAGCTGTAATCTAGCACTTTAGGCAGCTGAGGAGGGAAGATCGATTGAGGCCAGGGGTTCCATACCAGCCTGAGCAACATAGTGAGACTCCTGTCTCTACAAATTTTAAAAAATTAGCTAATTAGGCCAGGCGCAGTGGCTCATGCCTGTAATCCCAGCACTCTGCGATGCCAAGGTGGGTGGATCACCTGAGGTCAGGGATTCCAAACCAGCCTGGCCAACATAGCGAAACCCCATCTCTACTAAAAATACAAAATTAGCTGGGTCTGGTGGCACATGCCTGTAATCCCAGCTACTTGGGAGGCTGAGGCAGGAGAGTCGCTTGAACCTGGGAGGCAGAGGTTGTAGTGAGCCGAAATCGCATCATTGCACTCTAGACTGGGCAACAAAAACGAAACTCAGGCTCAATAGTAATAATAATAATAATAACAATAATGCAAGGATGTAATAGTCCCTTCCCAAAACTAACCCCTGAGGAGCTAAGGGATGTATGCACACAAGTAACTGTGTTCTATTCAGGTGACCTTACCAAAGAGAAAGAAGTTTCAAAGCCCCCTTGGGCCCTCACTGCTGCCCAGATGTCTGGGAGTGTCAGCCACCTCTTGACCTCAATCCCCTGCTTCTTACCCCTTTCCCTAACATACAAGAAGCCAGAAATTTTTATTAACTTGAGATGTTTCTTTAGGACATTAGTTCACCATCTTCTTGGTTTACTAGCCCTCTGAAATAAAGTCACCTTCCCTGCCCCAACACCTTGTGTCTCCTGACTTCTTGGCTGTCATGCAGCAAGTAGGGTGAGATTTGGACTCAGTTACTTACTAATTCAGTAGGTAATATCTTTAAAAGGAGATAATTCTAGAAACTAGGAGACTGAATTATTCCACTTACAATTTCTTCGTAAATATATTTAGATGTCATCTAATACATGATGCCATCATCCTCTATTAAATGTCAGCTCAATGTATAATTTCAAGATATATAGTTAATTTTAAAATCCATGACCAATATTAATGATTATATGGAGTTAATAATGGAGTTAATAAATAATTTTGATAATAATAATAGAGTTAATAAATAATAATAATTAATTTCGATTGCCTTAAAATTAGTTAATAAATAATAATAAATAATTTTGATTGCCTTAAGATTCTCTCTCTATATTACTTTACTTGGAGAATAGTGTTGCTTGTTGAGTTCACAACATATATATGTGTGTATATATATATGTGTGTGTGTATATATATGTGTGTGTATATATATACACATATATATATACACACACACACACACACACACACACATATATATATATATATATATACATACATTTTTTTTCTGTTTTTGAGACAGAGTCTCACTCTGTCACCAAGGCTGGACTGCAGTGGTGCAATGATAGCTCACTGAAACTTCAGCCTCCAGAGCTCAGATGATCCTCCTGCCTCAGTCTCCCAAGTAGCTGAGACTATAGGTTCCCCCCACCACACCTGGCTAATTTTTGTATTTTTAGTAGAAATGGGGTTTCACCATTTTGGCCAGGCTGATCTCAAACCCCTGACCTCAAGTGATCCGTCCACCTCATCCTTCCAAAGTGCTAGAATTACAGGCATGAGCCACCTCGCCTGGCCCTACGTATTGAATTTTTTTACGTGGCATTAGCTTTTAAATCAAAGCTACCACCAAAAGCCAGCTTTGCAAAGAGAGTATATCACTGAGAACCATGTACAACATGTAACGCTGGTGAGTTTTAATTATACCTCAGTAAACTTGACTTAAAAAAAAAGACATTCCCAGATTTTGGCACAACGGAAGCATTATAATCTTCTATTCATTTCTGGCAAGAGTATAAATAAGTTCAAAAACTTTGGAAAATTGTTTGCCTGTATATTCTAGTGGTAAAACACACATACATATATGCTATGACCCAGAAATTCAACTTTTCTACCCCATAGACTTGTGCTTTCCAATATGATAGCCACAAACCACGGGTAGCTATTGAACACTTGAAATCTTGCTAGTGTCACATGGGGTAATGATAATACCTTAAATATATTTAGTTGAATATATATTATAAAAAATAATTTCACCTCTTTCTTTTTACTTTTTAAAACATGTCTACTAATACATTTAAAAGTACGTATATGCCTGGCATTATATTTCTATTGGAATTTCTATTTCTAGAGAAACGTGAATATGGTTTACCAAAGACATGTAAAACAAATACATATTTATTCAAAATATTCCTAAACTATAAAGAATTCAAATGTCTGAGGAAAGAAAAGAAATTTTATGTGAGGAAAGTGAGTGCTTTCAAATTAACAAGCCCAGAGTTAGGCATTAAAATGAGACAGCAACAATGTCTTATGTCCCTGTTTTGAAGCCGTGTATTCATCTATTAAAACAGCTTGCTATCATCACAAGTGGCTATAAAGCAACCTAAACATGCTGCACTGGACACCATCTCTCACTCCCTGTAGCTGAACAATGTATAGCTAATCATTAATCAATGTTATTTCTGTAAACTTCAGGGAGTTCCTGACAGGCAATTTTGTACCAGCCAACTCCCCGTCTCCCTTTTTGGTCTTTAGAAACCTGCTTGTAACAAAGGGCAAATGGAGCCCACATCCAAGATTGCTTGGATCTGAGTCTTCCAGGCAAGTGTCCTCACATTGGCTCAAACAAACTTTTTAAATCATGTTTGTGCTTAAGCCCCTTCCTTCTAGGTCGACGTTTTTGGCCCAGGGAGCAGAATGCAGAGCGACTCATCTCTGACCATCTGACTGTCCTCTCAAAGGCCTCCAGGGTGGCTACATAGTAGTAAGAATTTGATTGGTGAGATCAGTTTGCAGTCCAGGAAGAGACAGTCTCCGGTGTGTGTCTTTGAAGAGGTGCTTTCTCTTCAGAGAGAGAGAGAGAGAGGGCAGGTTGGTTTTTGTGCCTCAC
Organism: Homo sapiens; assembly: GCF_000001405.40. Lineage (NCBI taxonomy): Eukaryota > Metazoa > Chordata > Mammalia > Primates > Hominidae > Homo > Homo sapiens. The sequence continues at coordinate 146,479,842 of NC_000001.11, read as the reverse complement.
ACGGTGTGTATCACACAATGGAGTTATACATATTCAGCAGGTTTGGAGAAACGCCATTTCTGAGGGGTGTTGAGCTCATGTGCAACGGGTAAACATATATGTAACGTGCACCCCATCTTCATATTGGGAAGAGATTTTAGCATTAAAATTAGATGGAAATTGGCTCTTTATGTCAAAAGGTGAACTATAGGACATGAAGTCGGTTTGTGTGCAGTCCCTGTAACATGGCTGAAACTGGCTTGAGGTCTGCAGTTGCTTATCAGGAAAGAATGGAAGGGCACTCCTCTGTCCCATCAGAGGTCTGGTGATCTGGGTTGTAAATCCAGTTGAGAATTGCTGGGAAGATTTTGACAATTTGCCTGCTAGCTCCTATTGTTAAGGAGTTTAGCAAGAGTGTGGTTTTTCTTCTAGCCACAGAAATTTAGGAAGTTGCTATGGCAGTCCAGCCCTGAATCCTTGACCCGTAGGTAACTTTTGTTTTCTTAACCTTAGAGTCTGTCTTAGTCTACAAGGTGACATCTATTTTTGTCTCTCAGACCACATTCCTCCTGGACTAGGTGCCTGGCCAGCTTTGAAATCCTCACGTTCTGACTCAGAGAAACAGATGGGCAGTAAGTGGTGAATCCTCCTGAAATCTGGACCTTCCCACTCTTTGGTTGAAGGCCTGGAGTTTGCTTGAGTTGTCCTTTCCAGCCTTCCCTTTCTACGATGGAGGTTTTCTGTCTTTACCCTCCGGTTAAGAGACTTGAGTTTCAGGGGGAAAAAACTGCCCTTTCCACCTCTGCCTCAGGACAGAAAGTTTGGGTCACAGTCAGGCAAAGGACTGTGTGGAAAGCTTCTGCCTTTTCTGCCTCTGTCCCTCATCAGGAAGGTCTGGGTCAAGATATTGGCAGGTAGGCACCGGTGGTTTTGTTTTCTGTAGCATGCTTTTATGAAAGTTTGAACTTAGGTTTTCACTTGTGACTAATTCTTGTTAGTTCTTTTTTTTTTTTCCCTTGAGACGAGTTTTGCTCTTGTTGCCCAGGGTGGAGTGCAATGGCGGGATCTCGGCTCACCACAACCTCCGCCTCCGAGGTTCAAGTGATTCTCCTGCCTCAGCCTCCCAAGTAGCTGGTTTTACAAACGTGCCACCACGCCCAACTAATTTTGTGTTTTTAGTAGATACAGGGTTTCTCCATGTTGTTCAGGCTGGTCTCAAACTCCTGACCTCAGGTGATCTGCCCACCTCGGCCTCTCAAAGGGTTGAGATTACAGGCGTAAGCCAATGTGCCCGGCCCCTGTTAGTTCTTACCTGGAAAATGCACAGAGGTACTTTCTCCAGCCCTGAAGAAAAGAAGTGATCTGCTCCCGCTGACCCTTTCAGGGGCTACAAGTGACCAGGGACGCTGCAGAGGTGTCACGGTCACTACTCACCATGTGAAGGCGGCCTCATAGAGCATTCCCCATCAGAAGAATATATTTACGAATCCCCTTTCCTGCTCTTCTGGGAGGGTATATGAGCGATGAGTCCCCCAGAGCAGATGCACTCTGTGGCCACCTGGTGGTTAGAAACAGTGGGAGCCACTGAGACAGTGATACACAACTCCGGTGATATCTGTAAGAGTGACTACATAAGCAGGACACTGTGACCCAAAACACATCCCAGATTTTGGTCATCTTTGCAAAGCTCCTGAATTATGGGAAATCAAGCTTCAAAATCTGAGGATACTCTGAAGAAACAACCGCGTTTAGAACCACCAGCTGGGTTTCTGTATAACAGTTATGAAGCATCCTCTTGTAAATATCCAAGAAACCTGACCCACCTAACCAGAAAAACTCATAAGTAGAATGGAGGAAATGGGGATCTTTTGAAATGACTAAAATAATTTATTAGGGCACACAATTGGAAAAATTTGGTTTTAGAATCAGGCAAATTAAATGGGAGACTTACTTCCAATGATACCTAGAAATTTCTAAAAGAACTACTGAGAAAATTGCCTCCATTGAGGATTTAAACTGGGGATATCTGATGCTTTTTCTGAATTGAGAAATATTGAGGAGGCTTTGTCTCTTTCGCCTCCAACTGCTCCTTTTCCTCCTGCCCCTGCACCTGCATAGTCTCCCTTACCTGAGCCCTCCTGTCCTGCCTTGCCTCTTCTTCCATCACCATCACCTGAGGAAAGTCCCCAGGGCTCTGGCCCCTTCCCTGAAACTTCTGTTCTGGCAGCCCCTTTCAAGGTAAAACCCACAGGAAGAGGGGAGCCTACTATTGTGTATACTGCTTCACCATAATGTGAATTAAGAATATTGTAAAAGACTTCCCTTTTCTAAATTGAAATACATTTTCCTCTTCTCTTTCTAAAGCAGGCTCTGCTTTAGATTTAGAAGTAGATTGGAGGAGAATTTAGCAATGCACTTAAAAGGCCAAATAAATCTGTCATTGATATTTTAAATGGTTGAAAATTATTTATTTATTTATTTATTGAAACAGGTTCTCACTCTGTCACCCACGCTGGAGTGCAGTGGCTCCATCATGGCCCACCACAGCCTCAAACTTCTGGGCTCTAGCAATCCTCCCACCTCAGCCTCCGAGTAGATGAGGCCACAGGTGCATGCCACCACGCCTGGCTAATTCTTCAACTTTTTATAGAGAGGAGGTCTCACTTTGGTTTCCAGGCTGGTCTTGAACTCCTGGGCTCAGTCAATCCTCCCGCGTCAGCCTAATATTTACACTGACCACGGAGATGCATTTGGAGAAGGTGGTGATTTTGGAATGCTTTAGAAGCAACCTAGGTTTCTTATTTCACCAGGTCAACCCACCAAAAATGACCAATAAGTCTCTGAACTCTTAGGAGCAATTTGAAAACCCAAATCTTTGGCCATCATCAAAATTCCTTGTCATTCAAAATTAGGTACTCTGGAGAGCAAGGACAACCATTTTGCTGATGCTGCAGCTAAGAATGCAGCTCTGAAGGTGACAAGAGACACAGAACTTCTCTAAATGACCTTGCTGACTTATGACCCATTGAAAACGTTATTAGAAGAAGCACACATGGGATCTCCCAAGCAGAAGATAGATCTCTGGCAAGATAAAGGGAACAAGTTTTTCTTCAGAAACAGGCGTATGGTATGGGCCCAATGATACACTGATCTACCCCTTAGGCTTCAATTACCCTTTTTAAAGTAGTTCATAAGCTGACTCATTGGAATTCAGACTAAATGATAGCATGGGGAAAGCAGTGCTATTGAAAACCATCGCCTATGATTGCACAAGAGGTTTATTCTTGTAGTACTATCTGTTCTGTCCCAAACATAATCCTGGAAAACCCCTTCATGGGTCACAGGGACATTTTAACTTTAGGACCCTTTGAGACATGGCAGTTAGACTTTATCCAGCTGTCTCCATCTCAGGGTCACAGATACTTTCTGGTGCTAATTTATATGTGCTCTCACTGGGGTGAAGCATTTCCATACTGATGAGCCACAGCCCAAGTAGCAGGTAGACTGTGATTAGAAAAAAATCATTCCTCATGGGGAATGCCATCTGATCTACATAGCAACCGAGGAACACACTTTATCAGGCAGGTAGCTGGATCCATTTGTAATGTTTAGCCTATGTCCCAACATTTCCATTGTGCCTGTCACCCCTAATCCTCTGGACTAGTGCAACTCAATAATGATACAATAAAAACTCAATTGACAAAGATAACAGAAGTTTTTAACCTTCCCTGGCCAAAGATCCCCCACTGTTTCTGGAAAACTTCCACTCCCTCCCTTTGAAATAATAACAGGAAGACCCATGCAGTGGTTAGATGAAGGGGCTTATGAACCTGCACTTCTTAAAGGTAACATTCTCCATTATTGCTAAGTTCTCACAAAACTTCTTACCAAGAGCTCCAAAATTAATAAAATATTCCTTTCATAATGAGCTGCTGAGGGATGAAAATATAAAAAATTATGCCTATAAACTGGAGAAAACATCAAATACTGGAAACAATATCAAATAAAATATTCCCTCCAAGTCCACTGGAGAGCACCACGTAGGTATTATTAATATTATTATTATTATTTTTTGAGATGGGGTCTCACTCTGTTGCCCAGGCCAGAATGCAGTGGTGTGATTATAACTCACTGTAGCCTTTACCTCCTGGGATCAAGCCATCTTCCTCCCTCAGTCTCCCAACTAGCTGGGACCAGAGGTGCGGGCCACTGCACCTGGCTCACATCAGGTATTATTTCCCAATCTCTGTGGCAGTAAACATAAGGGCATTGACACACAGATTCATGTTTCTCATATCTAAAAGGCAACCCTACCACAGTGGACATCTGTCAGTGGAGGTTTTCACTTAAAGGTGACCTGCAATCTTCCTAACCAAGATGGCAAGTAGCTGACATCTGTTATGGTACAATTTCACCCAACATACCGGCCTGTATAAGCAGCTATTCACAATTCCAGTGCTTACTGCAACTGAAAGAGTTGGTCTCTTTTTCTATTGACTGGAATACGTACACTGTTAGGGCTCCTTTAAGTTGTAAATTCCTCCTGATTGCACTGACAATGCAAACCAGGGTCACATCAAGCAAAACCTGTTTATCGAATCTGTCTGACTCATCCTTACCTTCCTGCCCCCCATGTTTCAGTTTAACCCATCATAATTGTACGTCAAAATAACTGCCTGTAATCCCAGCACTTTAGGAGGCCAAGGCAGAAGGATCACTTGAGCCCAGGAGTTTGAGACTAGCCTGGGCAAAGTGGTGAAACCCTGTCTCTATAAAATATACAAAAATTAGCTGGGCATGGTGGTGCCCACTTTTAGTCCCAGCTACTCAGGAGTATGAGGTGAGAGGATGACTGGAGCCCAGGAGTTCGAGCCTGCAGTGAATTCTGATGACACCACTGCACTCCGGACTGGGCAAAAGAGTGAGACCCTGTCTCAGAAAGTAAATAAATAAGCTGGGCATGGTGGTGGTGTGTCCCTGTAACTCCAGCACTCGGGAAGCTGAGGTAGGATGATTCATTGAGCCCTGAAGGTCAAGAGGTCAAGACTGTACTGGCCTGTGATCTTGCCACAGCACTCCAGCGTGGGCAACAGTGAGACCCTGGCTGAAAAGGAACAAAAATCCGAAACAAAACCAACCAAACAAAAAATGTTGCCTCACTCTGAAATAGCAGTAGTAAACACCATGATGCTATTGGAAAGTTAAGAGAAAAACACTCCCTCCTGCAATCAGGATCCAACCTGCCCTCTTGCTCTAACATGTGTGACCCATAGTTTAAATGCCGAAAGCTGATGTACCCAAATTATACTACACTTACCTGTTGTGCACCAGCATTTATTTTGTCTCTGGAGGAGATCACCATCCATGGCCCTTAAATGTCTGAAGGCATGGAATGATGAAATGCAATGTCTTTTAGGATATTTGGTCACCGCTATATATATATAGCTACTAAGGAAGCTGAGGTGGGCGGACTGCTTGAGCCTGAGAGGTCAAGGCTGCAGAGACCCATGATCATACCACTCCACTCCAGCCTGGGCAACAGAGCGAGACACTGTCCCAAGAAAAAAAAAAAATTATTCGATGTAGTCCTAAAACTATTATGTAGAATACTATTGTTTACATCACATCACGTCAGCCCTTTAAATGGCTTAACGCTTATTTAGGTACAATCCGTAAAGTTTTCCTGGTAATTAAGTATACCGAAGAACAATTAAGTATAAAAGAGTTACTGCCTTGACAGGAAGATTGTAAAAATTGTAAAAAGATAAATAAATAAATAAGAGTCAAAACTGTAGCTCTGTGAGGCTCAAATAACATCTAATTCAAGTCACAATGAACATCTAGCAATCACTGTGAACACCACATAATTCACTTAATACATTTTGCCTGAACGCCCAACACATCTGAATTACCAACACCGTATGTAGCCAAGAAACTGACAATCATTTATAAATTATCACCTATGACTCCATCTGCTCTACGCACTTATTTTTTAAATTTTACTCATTTATTTATTATTTTTATTTTTTGTAGAGAAGGGATCTCACTATGTTGCCCAGGTTGGTCCAGAAACAGAAACAGACCCACACTAATTTCATAAATCGGATGACCATACAGTCATCCGATTTATGAAAAAAAGTGCCAAACGGTGCAGAAGGAAAAGGATAGTCTTTTCAACAAATGGTGCTGGATCAAGCAGACACATCCATGTAGTAAAAAGTGAATCATAGCCGGGTGGGGTGGCTCATGCCTGTAATCCCAGCACTCTGGGAGGCTTAAGTGGGAAGATTACTTGAGCCCAAGAGTTTGAGACAAACCTGGGAAACATGTTGAATCCCCATCTCTACAAAAAATATGAAAATTAGCCAGGCATGGTGGCACACTCCTATAGTCACAGCTACTCAGGAGGCTGAGGTGGGAGGATCGCTTGAGCCAGGAGGTGGAGGTTGCAGTGAGCTGAGATCCTGCCACGGCAATCTAGCCTGGACAACAGAGTGAGGCCCTGTCTGAAAAAAAAAAAAAAAAGAAATGCAAAAACTAAAATAAAATTGCTATAAGGTTAACACAGAAAAATGTGTTCATACTCCTAGGTTAGGCATTGATTTTTAAACAGGACACAAAAAGCAGTAACCATAAAGGAAAAGATTGATAAAGTATAATTTCATTAAAATTAAGAATCTCAGGCTGGGTGCAGTGGCTCATGCCTGTAATCCCAACACTTTGGGAGGCCGAGGCAGGTGTATCACCTGATCCTAGGAATTCCAGACCAGCCTATGCAATGTGGCAAAACCCTATCTCTACTAAAAATACAGAAAAGAGCTGAGTGTGGTGGTGCTCCGCTGTAGGTCCCAGCTACTTGGGGGCTGAGGCAGGAGCAACACCTGAGCCTTGGGAGGTCAAGGTTGCGGTCAGCTGTGATTGTGCCACTGCACTCCAGCCTGGGCAACAGAGTGAGATCTTGTCTCAAAAAGAAAAAAAAAGTTAGAGAATCTCCACTCATGAATAAGCACCATTAAAAGAGTGAAAAGGCAAGCTACAGATTGAAAAAAGGGAAATGCAATACACATATATCTTAGAAAGGACGCATATCCAGAATAAAGTATTACAAATCAACAGAAAAACAAGCATATCAATAAAAACTGGATAAAAAGATTTAGCACCGCGTTCACTCAGATGCTCACGCAGCCTCGCGACCCTCACCTACCCCTCCCAATACCGCCGCTGTCTCAACCGCCGCCCAGCCCATAGCCTGCGCCAGCTGGCTCCTCAGGGTCCCGCTCGGCGCGTCAGGAGAGCCCAAGGCGCAGGCGCAGCGGGGCCCTAAAGGTACATGGCCGCCTCTGCCGCACAGCGGGTTCGCGCGGGCCAGGAAAAGGAGTAACCGAGCGGATAGACAGAGTGCAGCAGAGACCGGGAAATCCCTCTCTCCCCTCCGCCTCTCTTTTAAAGCACCAGCCCTTGACCCTACAAATCGCTGATTTCCCGGGCCACTTGAACCGCCCCTGACAGGTTAAAGGGGCAGAAGACACACCCCCTCGGGGGCCCGGAGCGACCCCGCGCTTAGGACTGCAGGCCTGGTGCTGCAGCACCGCCCCCGAGTCTGACTTCCAGGCCCGGGCATGGGGTGCAGACGCACAGACGTGGGAAGGCAACCCCCAGCTCCCCCGAGAGGTGGCCTTAGGTCACTCGCAAAAACAATAACCCACATGTCAGTGGGACTTGTAGTGATTTTCTAATTTAAATTAATAACAGATTTTGCAGATGGGCTTCCACTGAAATAAGCCTTTGAGAAAAAGAAAAACTTTTTCAACAAGATTAGGAAATACCAAGAAATAGGAAGTAAAGCCATGCCGTCCACCCAGCTAACAACTTTGAAAACTTGAAATTTTATCTAAGGCAAATGCTTGCATAACTTTAGGTCGTGCCATTATTATTATTGTTATTATTATTATTATTATTATTATTATTATTTGAAACGGAGTCTTGCACTGTCGCATGCAGTGATGCAATCTCGGCTCACTGCAACCTCCGCCTCTTGGGTTCAAGTGATTCTCCTGTCTCAGCCTCCCGAGTAGCTGGGACCACAGGCCCTCGCCACCACGCTCGGCTAATTTTTGTATTTTTAGTAGAGACGGGGCTTCACCATGTTAGCCAGGCTGGTCTCGAACTCGTGACCTCAGGTGAGCCACCAGGCTTACCCTCTCAAAGTGCTGGGATTACAAGCATGAGCCACCCACTGGGCAAGGCCTGCCTGGAAATAATCGTGAGAAATAAACTCACCCGTCCAAACCCAAAGAATGGACTCCAAGACCCGGAAAACAGCAGAAGTGCGACTTATTATTAATGACAGTCTTGCAAGATCGGGTGTCTGGTAGGCAGGCACACCCAGTAGGCTTACAACAAGCAATTTATCCCCTAGTGTGGAAGTGCCTCCCCAGGTTCCTCATAGGCTGAGTACTATGGGGTCACAGTATTCCCGGATGTCGCCTATTGGATCTTGGGTTGGGACTTTTAGGTTGTTGTTTTTTTTTTTTAGGGTTGTCTCCCTGTATTTTGTTGCAGCCCATAATGCATTGCAATCATGGTCAGCTCGGGGGCTTTTCAAGTATTTGACTTATGACCTGGGCAGTCAGGCAAGCTGATAAGAATAGATGTAGTGAACTATTTTGCAGGCTAGTAAATGTCCATTCTAGACTAAACTCTTTGGTTTGGACAAGGCAGCTAAGGTGGGGGAGTGGGGGTGGGCGACAAGCAGGCACCAGCTATTAAAGCAGCGGCCTAGTATATTCTGTTCTTCCATAGTTTGCGGGCCCAAGCCTAACTTCCTACAATAATAATTATATACAAAAGTTTTTAAAAGGGATAAAAGAAAAGAGGGGATGTCTCAAATGAATACACTTAAGCTCCCCCGTCAAGAAACAAGAAAAAAGCAAGTAAAAGAAACCTAAAGCAGGCCAGGCACGGTGGCTCACGCCGGTAATACGAGCACTTTGGGAGGCCAAGGTGGGTGGATCACCTGAGGTGAGGAGTTTGAAACGAGCCTGGCCAACAAGGCAAAACCCCGTCTCTACTAAAAATACAAAAAAATTAGCTGGGCATGGTAGCACCCGCCTGTAATCCCAGCTATTCTGGAGGCTGAGGAAGGAGAATCGCTTGAACCCGGGAGGTGGAGGTTGCAGTGAGCTGAGATCGCACCACTGCACTCCGGCCTGCACCATGGGAATGAGACTGAATCTACAAAAAAAAAAAAAAAAAAAAACCTAAAGCAAATGGAAGGAAATAATACAGATAATAGCAGAAATCAATGGCATTGAAAACAGAAAAAAACAAAAGGGGAAACTAGTGAAAATAAAGCTGTCTCTTTGAAAAGATCAATAAACTTGACAAAGAAAAAAAGAAGTCAGCTTATGAACATCAGGATGAAACAGGGACTACACTCATTACAGACTGCAGGTATCAAAGGGATAATAATAAGGGAAAAACTATTTAAAATTCTGTACACACATATATTTGACAACCCAGATGAATTGGACAAATGTGTCGTAAGTATCAACTACCACAACTTACCTAAAGCAAAACAGGTCATCTGAGTAGCTCTGTAACTATGAAAATAATTGGATTCCTAATTTTAAAATTTCCAGAAAGAAAAGCTCCAGGTCCAGATGGTTTCACTGGAGAATTCTACCAAACGGTTGAAGAAAAATTAACATCAATTCTTTTTTTTTTTTTTTTTTTGAGGCGGAGTCTTGCTCTGTCTCCCAGGCTGGAGTGCAGTGGTGCAACCTTGGCTCACTGCAAGCTCCGCCCTCCGGGTTCACGCCATTCCCCTGCCTCAGCCTCCCGAGTAACTGGGACTACAGGTGCCCACCACCACGCCCAGCTGATTTTTTGTATTTTTGGTAGAGACGGGTTTTCACCGTGTTAGTCAGGATGGTCTCGATCCCCTGACTTCGTGATCCGCCCACCTTGGCCTCCCAAAGTGCTGGGATTACAGGCGTGAGCCACCGCGCCCAGCCAAATGAACATCAATTCTGTACAATCTATTCCAGAAAATAGAAGATGAAGGAACACCTCTCGACTATTTCTGTAAAGCTATGATTACCCCAACTCCAAAACCAGACCACAAAAATGTTTTATCAGTCAATGAAGAAAAATCATTTGACAAATTCAACATCTATTCATGATAGAAATAAAGAAGGGAGGCCAGGCTCTTTGGCTCATGCCTGTAATCCCAGAACTTTGGGAGGCCAAGGTGGGTGGATCACCTGAGGTCAACAGTTCGAGACCAGCCTAGTCAATATGGCAAAACCCCATCTCTACTAAAAATACAAAAATTAGCTGAGCATGGTGGCAGGTGCCTGTTAATCCCAGCTACGAGGAGGCTGAAGCAGAGAATTGCTTGGACCTGGGAGGTGGAATTTGCAGTGAACCGAAATCACGCCACTGCACTCCAACCTGGGTGACAAAGCGAGGCTCCATCTCAAAAAAACAAAACAAACAAAAACAGAAATAAGAAAAAATAGAAAGAAGGGAAGAAAGAGAATGTTTTACAACTATCAGAAACATAGGAACACAGGACTTTGTCAGCTCGATAAAGACAACTTACAAAAAAATTCACAGTTAACTTCTTACCTCATGGTGAAAGACCACATGCTTTCCCTCTAGGACTGGGAACTAAGCAAGGAAGACCACGCTCACCACTGATATTTCACATGACAATCCTACCCAAATCAATAAGGCAAGACAAGGAAATCACAGGCATACACTGGGAAGGTGGAATAGATGAACTTTGCCCTATTCTTCCTGCTCATTACATCTAAAAACCTTGGGCATTGTACATACAACAAACATAGGAAGACTGAAGGGCAAAGAGAAGGTAGGAGGCCATCTGGCTTCCTCAAGACCCACAGAAAGCCAGGAGATGAGTTCCCAGGATTCCTCCATGCCCCCGCATACATCCTAGATGTAGAGCCAAAGGAGATGGCAGCCCAGAAATACCAATGGCTACAGATCCAGCAAACCCCAATACAATCTTGCTCTCTCTAGGCAAAGGATCAGCAAAGGGGCAGTCTAGCAAGACAAGACACATATACGATCATCAGTTTCCTCAGGTCAAGCACCGTGGAAGAAAAGCTGTGGCTGCATCAACATAAAAGCTAGCAAAATCCCAGTGAGGGGCTTCGGGTTTCACGCTTGCGCAGGTATAATGACATATGCTAAACCCCCACCTTGCCCCGGGGGTTCTTTAGGTTCCAGCATTTTATTTATCATGAGACACACAATGACTAAAATGCTGGAAACTAAAGACAGAGAAAATACCTCAAAAGCAACAGAGAAAGACGACATCTTACCTAGAGGGGAAAAACAATTTCAATGACAGATGTTAGAGGAGGAAGCTGGGGCTGTCATCATCATCCCTGCCAGGTGATAATATGTTTACCTCCCTGTCAATAGAAACTACATTTGGAGCCTAGACTTCATTAGATGGTCATGAGGCACCTCTCCCTCTGTCTGCTAGGCTGGTATCAGAGGAGTCCTGGTGGAGAGTCAGGACTTTCATCCACCCAGCAGTAATAAGGCTGCCCTTGTCCTGTGGTGTCACTGGAGGCCACGTGGAAAGCAGTAATGAAGCACTCCTACCCACCCAGCCAGGGACGTAGCAGTGGAGGAGGAGTGGGCTGCTGGAACTCCCTCTCCTACCTTAGCAGCTCCTCCACTCAGGGTGTCAACAGAGGTCAGTCAGATGAGAAACCTGGATTTTTACACACACCTGGCTACAATGAGATGGCACCACTCTTCTTCCCCTGCAGAAACAGACTCAAAAAAAGGTAGTTAAAACAGAAGGTTTCAATAAAATCGAAACTCTGATAACATAACACCCAAAAGTCCAAGTTTCAATTGAAAATCATTCATCATACCAAGAACTAGGAAAATCTCATACTGAATGAAAATAGACAGCAAATACACGCTGGCAATGAGATGAGAGAGGTGTTGGGATTGTCAAAGAGTTTAAAGCAGGCAAGCCTGATGAAATGATTTAATGAGTACTTATAAGAACACTTGAAACAAATGGACAAGTAGAAAGACTCAGCAAATAAATACAAGACATAAATAAGAACCAAATGGAAGTATTAGAAGTGAAAAATGCAACTAAAATAAAAAGTCCAGCAGATAGGCTCAGCAGCAGAATGGATGGTGTGAAGCAAACAAATCCATATACTGCAGATGAGAAAAACAGAAATTACAGAATCCTAACAGGGAGAAAACAGACTGGGGGGGAAAGTGAACAGAACCTCAGGGACCTGTGAAACTACCTCAAAAGTTCTCACTTTCATGTTGTTATCAGTGTCTGGAAGGGGAAGAGGAAGAAGACAAGGCTGAAAACATACTCAAAGAAGTAAATGGCCGAAAGCTTCCCAGAGTTGGCAAAAGACATAAACCTACAGGCTCAATAAGCTGTGAGAACCCTAAATAGGATAAAACCCAAAGAGGTCTATGGCAAGACACGTGACAAAATAAAATGTTGGAAAAGAAAGACAAGGAAAATATCCGGAAAACAACAGAGAAAGGTGACACCTTACCTAGAAAGGAAAAACAATTCCGGTGATGATGGATTTCTCATCAGAAACCATGGAGGCAGAAAGAAGTTGTGCAGTGCTTTTCAAGCCATGAAAGAAAATAATTGTCAGCCCAGACTCCTCTGTCCAACAGAAACATCTTTCAGGAATTAAGGGGAAGATCAAAACAGTTTCAGATTAAGAAAAGCTAAGGGAATCTCTGACCAGCAGTTCTGCCTTAAAAGAAAGGCTAAAGGGAGTTCTCTAGACAGAAAGGAAATGATTAAAGAAGGAAACTTGGGATGTCAGAAAGAAAATTTTAAAAAACAGTGAGCAAAATAGGCCTTCTTTCTCCTCTTGTGTTTTCTAAACTATGCTTGATGGTTTCAGAAAAAAAATCATAGAACCATTCGATGTGGTTCTAACTCTACATACAGAAAATGTTGGAAACAATTATAAACTGGAAGGGTAAAGAGACCTATATAGAAGGTTGCTCGTCTATCGTTCACTCAACTGGTGAAACAATGACACCAGTATACCGTGTGGTCAGATATAGATGCACAGACATATAAATATATATATATATATATACCTGGAAAAACCAAGAGGGCTATACAAACACATATACTAAAAAATACTATGGATAAGGCAAAACACCATTCTCAAAGATGTTCAAGTCACCACAGCAGGTAAGAAAAATAAAGCATATCCAGAAAATGAAACCAGAGAGAACAAACAGAAAAGGAAAAATAAAATGGCAGACTTAAGCCCTACCATATCAATCATCACATTAAATATCAATGGGCTAAGTACACCAATTACAAGACAGAGATTGGCAGAGTAGGTTAATGGACATGACCCAACTACATCCTGGCTACAAAGAGACTACCTTCAAATATGACAATACAGGCAAGTTGAAATCAAAAGGATGGAAAAAGATATATCATGCAAACATTAGCTAAAGGAAAGGAAGACTGGCTATATTAATGCCAGATATAGTATATTTCAGAACAAAGAAACTAATCAGAGAGAGAAAGGGAAGTTATAAAATGATGAAAGGACCAATCCACCAACCCCTCCCCTGACAAAAGTCATAAATATCTATGCAACAACAACCTTAAATACTGAACAGATAGCTAGACTAATCCACAAATATAGCTGTACGCTTCCATGTCCCCCCTGTCTCTTGTAGGACATTGAGCCAGACAGCTGACCTGTCCTCTACAAACAAGTCCATGTCCCTACCATCAATGACAACAACAAAAAGATGAGGAGATACTTTGGGTTCAAAATAACTAAAGAAATATAGCTACATTATCTTTTTAGTTTTTTTGAACCCAAAATGTCTTTTCTCCTTTTTATTGTGTGATTCGTGGTGACATGGACTGTCTGAAGGAGACAGGTTATTGTCCTGCTCAGTATTCTACATTCTGCAGTTGTCTATCTGGTGATTACCTCCTATGAAACTCAAGCTAAGCATTTTTAGCAAGAACATGGCATTGTTCATATTCTGCACTGGCAGAATCCCAAGTGACATGCTGTCTCCTGCCAGCAGCTCCTGACTCCTGTTCTCTACAGGATGGAAGCTGAGAGGAGTAGGGCTAAAGCCTCTCAATGCTGTTTGTCCATCTGGCTTTGGTCTTCCTAAGTATTGGTATCAAGTGGAGGCTGAAGGACTGTGGCTTCTCTAACCAAAGGAGCCTAGTGGGTTAACAATTGTCAAGAGCAGTCAGTGGTTCTGAAATACAATCCTCAGCCATGGATCCCTCCTGTGTTGTGTTGAGCTTTCAATTGCTTTGCTCTTTTAGTTCTATTCATCAAATGAAAATGCTTTTTGTGACATCCGTTCTTTCTTTTCATTGTTCCAGCAGCATTTAGTATCTGTAGGAGAGAGAGAAGGAAAGATCAAATGGGCATCTTTGTCAGGTCCTGCTGATGGCTGAGTCTAGAGGGACTGTTAAGTGGTGATAGCCCAGGGGCAAACTGAGCTCCTGCTAGGAGGATGAGCTGAAGGGTGAGCCTCAGGCTGAGTGAAGAGGCAAGTGCCATCCGCAAGTGAAAAATAAACACCCCTGAACTTCCAGTCAGCTTGAGGTGAAGGATATAGGGACCCTAGCTCTGCCCAACCAGCAGCCCCTTTCCTCCTGATCCCCAGTGTCTGGAGCAGAGTAATGGCTTTTCACACCCCTCAGTGAGGATGTTCTCAGCATCAACCATGAAAGCTCAGAAACAGAAGGCTGCAGAAGGAAAGGACCTTTTGCAGAGAAACCCACTCCCTTACAACTCCATGTCCCCGTCTCTTAGGGAAGGGTACGCAGGGCCATGGGAAGAACCCTTGAGGTGAGATACAGGAAGGACCTCAGACCGCATCCACATCCAGTTCTGCCTTTTACAACAGAGGAGCAGTGATGCCACAGGGCTGACTTAACTAAAGCCACATGACTTGCAGTGGACAACCCTGAAACTAGAACCCACGCACGAAGTCTCTTTCAATAAGTTAGAGAGAAGGGAGAGTCAATTCTCCAATCTGGAGTTCTCGACAGTCACTAGAGGTTGCTGGGTCACCTTGGCTAGGATAGGAATGAGCTTTTACAAAGAAATATGATGTCACTGCTGCTTGTTTTGTTGGTTAAATAAAAAATGAGAAAAAGACAAAAGAAATATTATGTGTTCTTCCAAAAAGGATCAGAAGAAAAGGAAAGAGTCAAATGGAATTACAAAGGAAGGGTGGTGATTGTAACCATGGCCCAACTTATTATCCCTAATTCCCTGAAGTTGATTCCACACCTGGTTACACCTTAAGGCATTTCTAGAAACATGCTCAATATCTGATCAACAAAACTCTGAAGTAGAAAGTGAAAAGGATTAGTTTGTGTTTTATTACATTCTCCTCTCCCTGTTACATTTTTCCCAGAGTGGTTTGTTGGGAAAGATTTCTTTTTAGAATTTCATGCCAGCATCAAGGGTAGCATAAAAAAGTATTCATATATCATCTCTTCCTGAGTTTCAGTTTTTTTATTATTATTATTTCTTTTTTTTTTTTTTTTTTTTTTGAGATGGAGTCTCACTCTGTCACCCAGGCTGGAGTGTAGTGGTGTGATCTCAGCTCACTGCAACCTCTGCCTTCCGGGTTCAAGTGATTCTCCTGCCTCAGCCTCCCGAGTAGCTGGGATTATAGGCACGTGCCATCATGCGTGGCTAATTTTTGTATTTTTAGTAGAGACAGGGTTTCGCCATGTTGGTCAGGCTGGTCTCGAACTCCTGACCTCAGGTGATCCACCCTCCTCAGCCTCCCAAAGTGTTGGAATTAGAAGCATGAGCCACCATGCCCGGCCAAGTTTCAGTTTTTACTTATTATTATATTCTGTCTAGTGGAGTGAGACCTACGAGTTCTCTCTGAGGATTTGGCTGAATGACAAGAATTGAGCAAAGCAGAATTTTTACATTGCAGTGCCGAACCCATTAATGGGCTGTGGAATCAGTGTGTGGAAATGTAAACTGCAGGATTTATTTTAAAATTGAAAAGAAGGCTGGGCATGATGGCTCATGCCTAAATCCCAGCTCTTTGGGAGGCAGAGGTGGATGGATCACTTGAGGCCAGAAGTTCGAGACCAGCCTCGCCAACATGGTGAAACCATGCCTCTACTAAAAAATACAAAAATTAGCCAAGTGTGGTGGCAGGCACCTGTAATCCCAGCTACCCAGAAGGCTGAGGCATGAGAATTGTTGAAGCCACAAGACAGAGGTTGCAGTGAGCCGAGACTGCGCCACTGCATTCCAGCCTGGGTGACAGAGCGAGACTCTGTCTTAAAAATAAAATACAATAAAATAAAATTTAAAAGAAAATACTAAATCTGAATATGTGTAATATACGAGGTATTGTTTTCTGTATACTGGGTTTCAATACAATGACTATTTCTTATTTTACTTGTACTCAAAATTAAGCAAGTGTGCTTTAAGTAGAGAGACTACAGGTCTAATCCATCTATTTTCTTGTTTTTCTTTTTAATTTTTTTCTATGTTCTACAAATACTACTGTTGAGAGGTGAATACAGATCCCATCAATGTCTGATGGATATTCCGCCTTTTGTGTGGAGTAGCCACACAAGTGGTCATCTCCATGTTGAAAACCTGAGGTCAGAGTAGACCAGTGGTCCTTGTCATCTTCAGTTGTATATTAGAATATCATGGAAGTTTTTTAAAGGTACTGATGCTCACATCACACCCCAGACCATTTAAGTGAGAATCTCAAGATGTCAGTTCAAGGCATTCATCTTTATTGAAATTTCATCAGGTGCTTATTACATGGTAGCAGGATTTAGAGACAATGAATGAACCAACCTGATTTCCTATCATTTTCTTTCCTATCCTCATTTCTCTCGTGATTGCCTTCATTCTCTGTGGCTCTGTGGATTTTAGTCTTTCTTCTGACTATTTCAATTAAATCTCTCACTTGGGCTGGTCTGAGGCAAAGTCTGTCCTGTAGATAGGTTCTTGTCTATCATCTTGTGTAGACATAAAGCTGGCCCCTGGACTCACTTTTCTCAAAGTTAATTCATTAAATGCTCTCTTATTTCTCTGTCCTCAAGATTCACCTGAGTTGTGTTTTAGACTCTAACTGAGCTTGTAGAAGTAAATATGTGAATAAAAAGGACAGAGGTGAGAATGCACTTTGTGGTCTACGCAGGTTCAAAGTCCTGCCCTGCCCTCTGCATCTTTCTTTGGCTGAGGTCCCTTTGGAATGTCATAAATGTTCTCCAGTTAATGTCAGCTAAGTGAGTCCATGAGGAGCAGACACAGTCCCTGGAAACTTCATCCACGCTGGCATAAGGTTGCCCATCTAGAGATGAAGACACACCTGACTCCAGGCTAGTAGGGAACTCTCTTCTGTGACCCAGGTTCTAATTTAGTTTTTGATTTGGAGTTCTTAGTGCTCAGTTTTAACACTTCTCATTCCCATGTACAAGGTGAGGGTTACAGTTTGACTTAGTTGTGTTGCTCAAAAGCTGTCCCAAGAGAAAAATCTATGTGTAAATGACGTATTAAAGCAATGCTCCTGGCAGAAAGGGGCAATGGAGTTTGGGATGCAGAAAGGAAAGGCAAATTACTCAAGCTGTGCAATTCCAGGCAAAGAACCCTGTGTTTAGCAGCTCACACCATGCACTTGGAGGGGCACAAGGAAGTTGGGCTCTCCTGCAGCCATGAGAGGGACTCTTAGGACAACAGCGGTTGGAACAGAGCAGAGTTCAGAGAGCAAACAGGGGATGGGGATCAGAAGGACCTGGCAGCATGGCAGCCCATGGGACACAGAGGTAATACCAGACAGAGGTGACAGCAGCTGCTGGAGAGAACAAATACAGAAGAAAAAAGCAGTGGGAGAAGGAGCTGTCATCATAGACAGAGAGGAATAAGGAGTGAGTGCAGCTAAGAGCCATAGATGTGATTACCTTCCTGCTCTAAGCTTGCAGGCCAGGGAATCTGCATGCCAGTCTCCACTTGCTGAACAGCAGTTTTCTTTTGATCATCTTCGGTTTTAGGACACTTGAGGCATGAATGTGGCCAATGACTTGATGCCCATGTATGTTGTCAGCTGAGCCTTCAATAGCATCACCTTCCAGCTGGGGAGGGTTCTTCATTCAAGGGAAGGCTCCAAACCCAGCTCTGAAAATGAAACCACACCCACAGTGTTCACTGTCATCCATGATCTTACTGTGACTTTCTCTTCCACCCAAGAGGATCATCAGAGAAGGAAAGCGGCCTTGAATAAGAAAGTCCAATGGGTAAAGGGAAGCCAGGAAAGACATTTTGGTATTTTCTGTATTGTTGATTTTTCATGCATCACCCAGTAATGACAAGATTGCCAGGAGGAAAAGGTGATCCCAACTGACAAACATATTCAAAAAATTTAGGATCAATAAACACAAATATTTTCCAGGTAGATAAGGCAAAGGCAAGGAAGTCAGACTGGATACAGGCTGTGTTTTGGGAGGGAGGAGATTCTAAAACTCAACATTAAATGAACATATGAGAGAAAAGAATTGGATAGACTAAACATGAGATATTGATGAAATGAGCATGCAGATATGTATATAGCATATATCTACATTTTATTAAAAATACATGCCAAATATGCATAATATATATATCCAATGACATAAATGCATATATTTATATATATAAATCTATTGGAAGAAATTGTTACATAAGGATGTGGAAGATGTTGAATTAGCGTTATAATCACTAACATTATAATCTGGTCCACTGAAACTGGAAAAAATTTTAGAAAAATAAGATGAACGAGAGAGAGAAGACATGGTGAGAAACAAATGCCCTATTAGACAGCAAGGAGAAGTCACCAGGTAAAGGACAATGAAACAAAAGGCATTCACTCTGTCCTCTTGCCTGGAACCTGGTTAGTGATCCGGACTCCTGGGAAAGCCAGCAGGTAAGAGTGTTGGAGCCAGCGGGGTGAGTCCTGACTAGGGGTGCAGGAATCCATGGAGAAGCAAAAGAGACACCAGTGGGAAGAAATCAGTTTAAATTCTCAAAGTTATCAGGGCACGTGTCAGGGACTACGCATCCCCCGACACTCACTGAGCGTTTTCCATGTGTCCTCTCCATGGACCCAGATGGTGCTCGTTATCTCACATGACCCTCCCTCCTCCTGAGGACGTGGGTCTCCTTATTCCTCGGCTGGGGGCATCGATTGACAGATGAGCACCAGGCAGCCCCAGGGGCTCCAGGAGTAGATATTGAGTGGGACGGAGAGTAAGGATGAACACAACCCAGGGTTTTAAGGAAATCTGGGCAGAAGTGGATCCCTGTGAGAAGAAAACTGAGGACATGGCCGTGGGCATGAATGGAGATGATGAACTAAATGGAGTTTCATAAAAGAGACAGATTTATACCCTTTCCATGAGAAGGTTGCCCTTTCATTCTTTTATTTCAAAACGAGGGGAGAAAACAGAGCAAGAAGCTGGGTATGTCAGGAGACTGACTTGTGGGCCCAGGATTTGCACTTTTACTAATGTGCCTAATAGGTTGTTACTGAAGTGCATGACCGGGGGAAATTGACTTAAAAAGGGATGCTGAGGAAGAGAAAGAAAACTGGCAAAAGATACTTTCTAAGTAAACACAGGAAGGGAGTCTCTAGAAAGTAGAGATCCTAACAGTTACTCTTCCTCAGTTGAAACAATGCACGTGAAGTCATTTCCTGAGTGCTAACTTACCAGAAAGATAACAGAATTAGATAACATCTATTCATAGATTTATTAAGCAATTTTTACTGAATTAGCCCTTTGGAAATTATCATAATTAATGTTATCAACAATGATGGAATGTAGATATTATTTTTCAGGTCTCTCAGATGACAGGACTGAGATGTAAATGCCAACACCACAAATAACTTGGCCGAGATGAATAATGAGTAAGGGTTAAGCCCAGGACCTGAGAGCAGATTTGATCCTAAACCCCAGGCTCTTGCTCACCTCACTGGGTTGGAACATTGTGGATTTCTGCTTGACTCTGAGGGAGCACGAAGAGACCCCATTGCCTCCTCCCCTCACAGCACCATGACCAGGACACCCGGATTAGAGCTTCCTGGTCCCCTTTCCTTCCCTACCTTGGAAGGGCCATTGGTTCCCAGGATCACCGTTGGTTGTGAAGCTGCAGGTGGTGGAGGAAACATCCCGCCTGGCTAAGCGATAGCCACAGTCAAACCCTTGATCCAGTTGCAGTCACAGACAATTGGGCACCAGGGTTCTTGGCTCCAGCTGTGCCTGTGAAGTCTCCACCTCTGACAGGTGGTGGCTCAAGTCTCCACTCCAAGGCCCGTGAGGACAGGCCACCTGAGTGGGAGCTGAAAGGAGAAGGGGCTTCAGTAGGAATGCTCTCAGTTTTCCCTTTGTTAATCATGCCCAGAACACCCATCTCTGACATCTCCGCCTCTGAGGTAAGCCACCCAGTGGCCCAGGCCACAAAGACAGACATCATGTAAATGGGGTGATGTCACCTTCCTGTCTGTGCCTGGGGATGCTGAGATGGAAGGTACCCAGGCTGGATGACCCTGAAGTGAAAAACCCCCACTTCAGCCCAGAGGGCTTTGGATTGGCTAACAAGGCCATGCCAAATATTCTGTTATTATTAATCTCCATCCTGCAGCCTAGAAAGAATGTTCTGGAGAACCTTCAGAGCATAGGAAATGCTATTTTTCTCAACACACAGGAGTATAAGAACAGGGGAGGACTTAGAGCCTCCAGGCTTTGGGAAGGAACCATAGAAAAGGGTTTTGGGACACTGTAGACCAGCAGTCTCCAAACTTTTTTGCCTCGGGGACTGGTTTCGTGGAAGACAATTTTTCCTTGGACCAGGGGTGGGGGACGTGAAAAGAGGGAAGGATCATTTCGGAATGAAACTGTTCTACCTCAGATCATCAGGCATTAATTAGATTCTCGTAAGGAGCGCGCAACCTAGATCCCGTTCATGCACAGTTCACAATAGGGTTTGTGCTTCTATGAGAATCTAATGCCACCGCTGATCTGACAGGAGGCGGGGCTCAGGCTGGAATGCTCGCTTGCGGGCCACTCATATCCTGCTGTGCGGCCTGGTGCCTAACAGGCCCAGGACAGGTAGCTGACCACAGCCCCCGGGGCTTGGGGCCCCCTGCAAGAAACCAAATACTACATGAGGCGAACTTTTAAGAGTTCTGGAACATTTTGAATTTCCGTTGCCTATAATGGTTTTACCACCAACCCACACATATACATCTTGTTGCCACATAGTGGGTTTCCGCAGCCATACGCAATGTTGTAAAGGGACCAGTCCCTTCACGGACACTTAGGGGCCACAGGTATTACAGATCAGTATGTGTGGTTCTGTAGGGAGGCAACACCGAGCACAATCCTCATCTTACCCACTCCTCCAGTGGGGTCCGGGCAGCACCCCCTCATAAAAATTATTGCTGTTTCCACAGGAAGAGGAAATCACATTCTCAGAAAGTGGACAAAATGCATTATGATTTGCAGTGGTTTTCGTTTTCTTTTTTTTCTTTCTTTTTTTTTTTTTTTTTCCCCGAGACAGACTCTCGCTCCGTCTCCCAGGCTGGAGTGCAGTGGCGCCATCTCGGCTCACTGCAACGCGATTCTCCTGCCTCAGCCTCCCAAGTAGCTGGGATTACACGGACGCACCGCCACCCCCGGTTAATTTTTGTATTTTTTTAGTAGAGACAGGGTTTTACTATGTTGATCAGGGTGGTCTCCAACTCCTGACCTCAGGTAATCTGCCCACCTTGGACTCCCGAAGTGCTGGGATTACAAGCGTGAGCCACCGCGCCCGGTTCTTTTTTGAATGTTTGGAAGAGTTGAGCTGTGAGGCCATTTGGTCCTGGGCTTCTCTTTGTTGGGAGGTTCTTCAGTCCTTTTATTTGTTATTGGTCGTTCAGGCTTTCGGTTTCTTCTTGATTCAATCCTGGTAGGTTGTGTGTTTCTAAGAATTTATCCATTTACTCTAGGTTATCCAATTTGTTGGTATAGAGCTGTTAATAACAGTTTCTTTTTTCTTTTTTTTTTTTTTTTTTTTTGAGACGGAGTCTCGCTCTGTCGCCCAGGCTGGAGTGCAGTGGCACGATCTCGGCTCACTGCAAGCTCCGCCTCCCGGGTTCATGTCATTCTCCTGCCTCAGCCTCCCGAGTAGCTGGGACTACACGCTACTGGGTAGCTAGCTGGGTAGCAGGCACCCGCCACCACGCCCGGCTAATTTTTTTGTATTTTTAGTAGAGACGGGGTTTCACCGTGTTAGCCAGGATGGTCTCGATCTCGTGACCTCGTGATCCGCCCGCCTCGGCCTCCCAAAGTGCTGGGATTGCAGGCGTAGGAGCCACCGCGCCCGGCCTAATAATAGTTTCTTATGATCCTTTTTACTTGTGAGGCTTCTGTTGTAATGCCTCCACTTTCATTTCGGATGTTATTTATTTGAGTCTTCTCTATTTTTTTCTTAGTTAGTTTGCCAAGTGTTTGTTAATTTTACTTTTTCCAGAAAAACAACTCGGGTGCGAGAGGCCTACGTTGCATCACCACTGGAGGCCAGTAGTTCCCAATCAGCCTGGAAAGAATAGTAAGACGTTGTCTCTCCTAAAAAGAGAAAAAGAAAGAGAAAGGAAAAGGAAAAAAACAAAACAAAACAAAAACCAACAACTCACTTTTATTATTTTTCTGTAGTATTTCTGTTCTTCAGTTGATTTACTTCTGCATTGATTTTTGTTTCCTTTTTTCAGTGAACTTTGGATTTATTTTGTTGTTTTTTTCCTGGTTTCTTGAGGTGTAATGTTTATTTGAAGTCTTTCTAATTTTTTAATGTATGCATTTATGGTTATAAACTTGACTCTTAAGAGCTGTTTTTGCTGTTTCCAAAGATTTTGTTATGTTTGTTTTCACTTTTGTTGGCCTCAATATATTTTCAAATTTCCCTTTTGATTTGTTCTTTGATCAATCAGTTGTTCAAAGGCAAGTTGTTTAATTTCCACGTATTTTTTAATTTTCCAGTTTTCCTTATGTAGTTAATTTTTAGTTTCATACCATTGTGGTCAGAAAAGATACTCGATGGGATTGGAATCATTGTTAATTTGTCTAAGATGTACTCTTCATTATTTTAATTGATGTATAATTGTTGCACACATTTTGGGGATACACATGATATTTTGATAAACATATACAATTTATAATGATCGAATCAGTGTAAGTAGTATATCTGTCACCTCAAAACTTTATCTTTTCTTTATGTTAGGAATATCCCAATTCCTCTCTTCTAGTTATTTTAAAATATACAAGAAGTTATTTTGAGTTATAGTCTCCCTAATATACTATCAAATACTAGAACTTATTCCTTCTATTTAACTATATTTTATATGCATTAACCAATATCTTTTCTTCCTTCTCCCCTATCTCCTTCCCAGCCTCTTGTAACCACTAATTTTAATATATGATATGACACATGAATTCAGTTTTTTCTACTTGTTTATTTTTATATGGTTACAAATATGTCACATCCATTGCTTAAAAAGAAAATCTTCAATCGTTTGTTGAAATATTATGCATTTTTAAATACATTGCTTTTTCAAGATTGTCAAAAATCTGTTCTCAATATATGTGTTCATTTATATTTGGACTCTATTTTCTTTTGATCCATTTAATTGATCACATACCAAAGCTCTGTTGTGGCCATTACAACTCTGTGATTGTTCTTTAAATCAGGTGGAGCTAGCCCTCCAATTTTGCACTTCGTTATACAGGCATTTTGGTTATGCTAGTTCATGTTAATTTTAGAATCAGCTGCCATTTTCTACCAACGATGCATGCTGAAATTTTGAGTCGGATTGCATTGAATTCATAGATCAAATTAGGGGAAATGAACATCTCAACAATATTCTTACACATGAGCAAACAATATCTTTCCAGTTATTAGGCCTGCACTATGTTCTCCGTGAAATATGCTCTAATTTTCAGTCATATTCACATTTATGGATTTTATACACTTGACATTATTGTAAATGGTATTCCTTTTACATTTAAATTCTGCCGTGCAATTGCATAAACACAATTTATTTTTGCATATTGATCTTATATCCTGCTAGAAACAAATGCTTTTTGGATTCAGGTTTGATCGGCCAGTGGCAATATCTTTGGAAACTTGCGTATTTACCAGGTATGAAGAGTCTTTCTCATTTCAATTGGAGCTTTATCACCAGCCCAAGGGAGAGGAATGTCCTAACGCATATCAAGTTCTGAGGTTGGGAAGAGTTTGTCCTTTGTAGACAAATGCATGTGAAATGTTCTGTATGTTCACCAATAAGTTTTCCTTAAGATTACTCATGCAGTTATAAGGCTGCCCATCTGCACTTGTGTTTAGCTGCAATACTATAGTTGTAAAATTTAGAAGCCAATGTTCTCCCTTAGTTTAAAATTTAATATTCAAGAATCTATTCCAACATTATGTAGTGCCAAAAACTTTGGGATGATATGCAATGATATGTCCAGCAAGTATGAGTTTGTACCTGATCCTTATTAATCTTCCTTCTGATGTGATCTATTATAAAATGAGACCTTTAAGAGCTTTAAAATAATTAATAATGGCATGCTGAGGAGGTTAGTTTGTGGGATATTCAGTAGCCGTAGGAAACAGTAGTTCCTACTCTGTATCTCAAGTGGGAGTCCACTCTTCAGTATGTCAGCTTCAAGACCCTGATCTGCAGTGGAATTTGCAGCCCCCTGCTGTGTCAGCTTCATTACTTCAAGGGAGGGTGAATGCCTTCAGTTCTTTAGGTCACAATTGACACATGTAGCACATTTTGGTACCTCTTCAGTTACTGACCTTTATGCCCACTCATGTCAGGCTTGCTCACCTGAGTGATTCACAAGATCACATTCCCAATGCATCAGATCACAGTGTCACAAAAAAAAAAAGCATTTATTTTTCGTTATGTATCTCTCCTGAATTTCAACCTTGATAGGCTAACATGGCTCACAAACAGCTTTAAATTTGGTTTCTCAAATGTCTGTCTAATGGTTTACAAAAGTCCAGTTACTCAAATGAATTTATCTTACAGTCCGGTTTTCTATTGTTCCATGCTGTGCCTCAGTGACATAAACCAAGAGTCAGTATATAAAAAAGATTTATTCCCACTGGTTTATAACCAACCAATAACTAGTATGCCTGTTATATATAGTTCTGTGCATTGGGTTGCCAGTCTCCTTCCTTCTTTTGCCTGA
The DNA here is from genome assembly GCF_000001405.40 of Homo sapiens. Taxonomy (NCBI): domain Eukaryota; kingdom Metazoa; phylum Chordata; class Mammalia; order Primates; family Hominidae; genus Homo; species Homo sapiens. Next base: position 146,454,545 of record NC_000001.11, on the reverse strand, counting down.
TTTTTGTTGGAAGTGGAGATGATGTAATGTTATGGGTCACTTCTATTAGTGTCCCTGGACTACAGTTCTACCATCTATTTTTTAAGCTATTTTACCTCGTTATTATAAGATCTGCATATTTGTGAGCATCATTTATGTTATTAATAGTTAACATCTGGGGGGGTGGGGGAGGGATAGCATTAGGAAATATACCTAATGTTAAATGATGAGTTAATGGGTGCAGCGCACCAACATGGCACAGGTATACATATGTAACAAACCTGCACGTTGTGCACATGTACCCTAAAACTTAAAGTATAATAATAAAAAAAAAAGTTAACATCTATGGTAGTCACTTCTTTGGTTATGTCAGAGACTAAAATCTGAAAATCAGAAATTCATTCTTTATTTCAGGTGTGTGCATGCTGTTGTGTTGATCCCTCTCCCCTCCCAGAAAAGTCATTGTAGGCCCAAGTCGATGAAGGGACAGACTGTGAAAGAACAGATGCAGAGCATGGACTAAGTATGCAGTGCCCACTGAATCAAAAACTTTGCTGAAGTTGCTTTTCTGCGATTGTCTAACATTCCTCTGAGTCACCTTATCTGCTGCTTAAAAGCCCCAAAGCATTTTCTTAACTGTCTTGTGGCCATTGTTATAAACTCTGCTCTGCTCTTCCTGTGTCAACTACCACACAGTCTGTTTCATTGCATGGCCCTAAAGGCAGAGCCATTTTTCCAACTTTAAGTGCACTAAGGGTATCCTGTTTCTACAAAACCAGTGGATGTTAGTGGTTCTCTTAGGGATTTTTTTTTCTTTTTTGTCATATAAGGCCATAATTGGAGTAATGTGAAAAATATTTTTTCCTCCAGAAGTTATTAGATGCTGCTATATCCAATATTTGTTCTATCAGTACACTATAATGTATCCCAGCTATGCATTTTATATTTCCTAAAACTTCACTTCTGAGAAGGCCCTTCATGTGTTTTTAAAAATTCATGGCCCACCCAGCAGCATTACTAAGTCTTTTGGAGTCTAGCCTCATGGTCTTTCTGTTGATTTTCCTGCTGTCAACATATAATCTGTGAAATGAAACAAAGGGAGGGGATCCAGGCCAAGACTTGGCGACATTCACTTATGACAGTCAGTAGTCAGACACTATGTGCAGAGATCCTCCAGATCCTGTTTGACCAGCATCTTTGGGAGGTTAAGAGCCCAGCCCTGTCAGAACCACTACTCATTATCATCGACCCTTTCACCAGAATGCACCTGTGGGTGTCGGCTACTGATTTTCTCACCTGCAGGCAACTCAGGCTGAGCTGAGAGCAGAAATCTTAAGCTCTTGTCACTAAGGACTCTTCTGTGCTTCCTCTGTATCACCCGCCGTAACTAGCATAATGCTTTACCCACAGGGGCTCAAGAGATGCATTTGTTGAGCTCAACAAATTGAGAATCCAAGTTGTCTTGATAAGCAGAGATGTTATGGTGTAGAGAATTGGATAGGGTAAGCAGAGGAACAAAACAGGTTGTCATTTTGTTGTTGTTGTTGTTGTTTCTAAGAGTACAAAAATTGTGACTGGCAACTGCTGGGGAATCCTAAGGCAGGACTTTAGTCCCTAACCCCCCTACATTCTCACTACATTCATGGAAGCTGCTTTACTCCTTTCCACCTTAGGTATTTCATCTATAATTAGAGGATAAAACACACAACTTCTAAATGCTAGTACTATGACTGATATAGAATTTATTTTGGACATGGGTGAATCTTGGAGTCTCCAAAGCATTTAAATTACCAGACAGAGGCTGGGAGTGGTGGCTCACGCCTGTAATCCCAGCACTTTGGGAGGCCGAGGTGGGTGGATCACCTGAAGTCAGGAGTTCGAAACCAGCCTGGCCGACATGGTGAAAACCCGTCTCTACTAAAAATATAGGAAATTAGCGGGGCGTGGTGGCGCACACCTGTAATCCCAGCTACTCAGGAGGCTGAGGCAGGAGAATCGCTTGAACCCGGAGGCAGAGGTTGCAGTGAGCCGAGATCATGCCATTGAACTCCAGCCTGGGTAAAAAGAGCGAAACTCCGTCACAAAAAAACAAAACAACAACAACAACAAAAACATATATATATATATATATATTACCAGACAGAAGATAGATAATCTGTGATTACTATGTCAAGGACAATTTTAGAATACTTGTTAAATTCACCCCTTTCTTTTCACAGCTGGCCAGGACATAGTCAGTAGCTACTGATACCTTGAATACCTTGGCTGTGTTAACTGTTTTGACCCATCATGGAGCCAAGATGTTGGTTGTACCTTGAGATGCTGATCTGGCTGAAGTCCAGGGTCACGGGCCCAGGATAGGTCATTCAGCTATTTGAAAAAAACAGAAGAGAGACCAGGCCATCCACTGAGGTCATCTCCATGCAGCATGGGCCACTGGTTCCAGTGAACCCACCATCACCATACTTCTCAGGAATCGCTGGTCACTAGACTGAGAGTTCTGTCAAAGCTGAGATCATATCTTGCTAATCTCTGTGTTCATGGTTCCCAGCTCAGGGTCTAGCACTGAGGGAGTTCTCAGGAGAGTGTTCATCAATTATTGAATAAAAGCGATTGCAAACCTCCTCTCACCTGCATTCCTGTCCCAAATATCCTGTCAGGGATGCTGAGATTTCTCCCAGGATGCAGCAAATCCCTTTCCTTAGACTGGCCCTTGCCTTACACCATTCATGCCCCAGGATCCCTCTCTGTGGGACATTGGAGGAAAATGAGTCTGTTCTGAAGAAGTCCTCTTATGGTTCCCCCTGTCATTAGGAGCAATGTCTTCACCTAAACTCCCACTCTATGGGTTGCCACAGCACCCCAATGTGGGGGAACTTTCATATTTTCTTAAAAAGCTATATTTCTGTTCTTTCTCTCATGGGCTTGAGTTCCTTTGGGGAGACATTAATATCTGAATCCCAAGTGTTTAACACAGCGTAAAGAAAATTAAACACCAATAAATATTTATGAGATATCATTTGGAAACCTCCTTCAACTGTAAGTACAGAAGAATATTATAAGTATCACTGCTTTGTATACTAGCAAGGGACACTTACTCTAGCACCTGACCTAGGGCAGAGCTTTTTAACATAAGAATGGATGTCTCCAACCCTTCTCCCAGCATGGTTATTCCCTCTAACCCACACTGACCTGAAGAGCATCCACTGCTACGGCAGCCCCAAGGTCAAGCCTCCTGGGTCTGGGGCGGGGCTCATGGTCACATCTTCCCCCTCTTGGAGTTGCTGCTGCCCCTCACTATAAACCAGATGTCATCCAGCCTGTGGCTCTCCCTGGCCAGGGGCAGGAGACTCCTGTGGAGTAAATTTCTCTCTCAGTCCCCACTGCTCAGCTCGCGCTGCTCCTTGAGAGTTTGGATGATGACAGGCATTGCCCATTTCCCCTGAGGCTTCTGTCCCAATTTGTCCTTATTCCCCCCTTCTTTGGTTTTCATTTACCAATGGCTTGTCCTTTGTGAGTTGTTCTCATCCCCTAAACCTGCTGACTTTCTTTCTTTCATCTGTTCCCTCAGTTCTGGGCTTCCAGTGTGTGGACTCAGCTCAGGCTCCTGCAGGAGACACACAGAGTCAGGTCTCAGCTGCAGGTCCTGGGTGGCATTAAAAACCATCTCAGCAGAGTTTCACCATGTCTGCCAGGCTTGGCCGGTTGTGGTGGTTCACGCCTGTGATCCCTGCACTTTGGGAGGCCGATGCAGGTGGATCGCCTGAGATCGGGAGTTCGAGACCAGCCTGGCCAACATGGTGAGACCCCATCTCAACTGAAAATGCAAAGGATTGGCTGGGCGTGGTGGCGTGCGCCTGTAGTCCCAGCTACTCGGGAGGCTGAGATAGGAGAGTTGCTTGAACCCGGGAGGCGGAGGTTGTGGTGGGCCGGGATTGTGCCACTGCACTCCAGCCTGGGCAACGAGAACAAAACTCTGTCTCCACCAAGGTGACATTTTCCACCCTGTGTCCTGTTCCCCAATAAAAACAAATTCACAAATTCACAAAAAAACTAAACTAAACTAAAACTGTCTCAAAAAAAAAAAAAAAAAAAAACCAAACAAAAAACCCCACCATGTTGGCCAGGCTGGCCTCCAACTCCTGTCCTCAAGGGATCCTGTAATCTCCCCATTTTGGGAGGCCGAGGTGGGCAGATCACTTGGGGCCAGGGGTTTGAGACCAGATTGGGCGACATGGCAAAGCCCCATCTCTACAAAACATATAAGAATCAGCCAGGCGTGGTGGCATGCACTGCCTGTGGTCCTGGCTACTTGGGAGGCTGAGGCTGGAGGATAGCTTGGGCCCGGAAGCTTGAGGTTGCAGTGAGCAGAGATCATACCATTGTACTCCAGCCTGGGTGACAGAGCGAGACTTTGTCTTTAAAAAAAAAAATAGAGGCTGGGCACAGTGGCTGACGCCTGTAATCCCAGCACTTTGGGAGGCCGAGGCGGGCGGATCACGAGGTCATGAGATCGAGACCATCCTGGCTAACACGGTGAAACCCCGTCTCCACTAAAAATACAAAAAATTAGCCGGGCGAGGTGGTGGGCGCCTGTAGTCCCAGCTGCTCGGGAGGCTGAGGCAGGAGAATGGCGTGAACCCAGAAAGCGGAGCTTGCAGTGAGCTAAGATCGCGCCACTGCACTCCAGCCTGGGCGACGGAGTGAGACTCTGTCTCAAAAAAAAAAAAAAAAAAAAAAAAAGAATTGACTTGAAGGAGTCAGGCCGGAAGGCCAAATAGGAGATGAATGGGGATAGCGGCTTGAATAAGGGCAGTGGCAAGGAAAATGGGCTAGGGGTTAGGGAAGGGGGCCGACTGGCTGTGCACCCAAATGCTAAAAAGGGTCCAGAAAGGAATGTGTTCAGCTATTTTTCAAGGACTTCTAAAACTCTCTTAAATGATGTTTATATTAAGGCTGGTGGTGGAGTCTTTCAGAGGCAGTGTTGGTGCTAGAAGAGCTCTTGAGGATCATACAGCCTCCCCCCTCAATTTCACAGTGAAAGAAAACCTCAGAGAAGCAAAGCAACTTGCTCAAGGTCACACAGCATTTCAGTGGTAGAACATGACTCGTGGTTCTTAGATAGCATTACCCAGCCTCCACTGAGGCTAATGGCTGTAGGCGCTATGCCAACATGACTAGATCTAAGGCGACGCAAGCAATATTTTAAGGGACTGAACGCAGATTCCCTCTCTTCCCCTTCGCCACCCCTTCCTCCACGCGCGACTCCAGTGATCAATGAATAATTGTGGAAACAGTTCCTTTGTGCAGAACACTTCGTTAAAAGAGGTGCAGAGATACACGTCTGCGGTAGGATTCCTTATCCTGAGATCTGAGAGCACCTCGATGCTTCCCCAACCTGCTAGGTGAGGGTGGAAAGGGCATTCCTGAGGCAGCCGGTGCCCCTCCTCTGCCCCCCAACTCCCACGTGGTTTCTCCAGCCAAGTTCTCACGGAGTGGCCCCTCCCTCAGCGGCTCCACTGTTGCCATAGCAATTGGGTGGGTGGACAGCCCGTCCTATCTAGAGGCCACCCAGCCCTCGCGTGGGGAGTTACCATAACAACCCCCTAGTAATAGAGGGGGTTGGGTACCGCCCCCTTCCCCCGCAAATGGAAAGGTGGGTGGCTTGATTGGCAGCTGGGCACACGAAAGAAGGAGGGAAAGGGAAGGAAAAAAATAAATAAATAAAAACCATCTCAGTTCCTCAGAGACTCAGAGAAAACACAGTAGGAAGGGACCTCAGAGAGGAACAATAAGCCCCTACCTCACTGAGGAGGAAAGTGAAGCCAAGAAAGACTAAGACTCTCCCAGGCTCCCTCACCACATGGTGGCAGCAGATCGACCACAAAAGCCTTGGCCTCAGCCTCCAGGTCCAAAGCACCTAACTCACCCACCAGGAACTCACTGCTGCGTTTCAGAAAACTTTGGATCAAAAACAGCAATTTCCACTGTGAAAACAAATAAAGTAAAAGGGCTTTTCCTTGGACAAACCTTTTATCACGGTTCTGTAGTCCTAGTATTTATACTCAGTCAGTTGTCATTCGCTGGCTGGTAGATTCAGGCAGGGAGCACATAAAGATTAAGTAATGCTTAACACAAGCCTGCTCTCCCAGCCTGGGATCTCAGCTCCTCCCTTCTTCAGGGAGTTTCCTCTGCTCTAACTGCTGGAGAGCCTCAGCCCTCATGTGGGTCATTTCTCCATGGTGATACCTATTATTTTCTTCCTCTCTTGGAGATAAGAGAGGGCAGAGATTGGTTCTGGGTCTCCACAATTCTAGGTTTTCTCCTAAACCAGCCAGCTCAGCTGAAAGCAATCATGACAGAGAGGTCAGGTCAGTGAAGAGGGTCCCAGGGGAGCAGGGGGTCACAAGGACAGCCCCTCATGGAGATGGTCAGGACCGTGACGTGGGCAACATTTGACCAATTCTGCTGGGGATGATGTGCCAAGGATTAAGGGGAGGATGCTGCCATAAGGAGAAAGGGGAAGAACCAAGGGAGTAGGAGAGGAAGGAAAATAAAATGATTGCCATAAAGATAGAAAGAAATGCAGACTCCAGAGGCAAAGCCCCATGTCACAGAAGGTTAGTTCCAGGTTGTGGATCCTAACCACGCAATTCCTGCTGGACTTTGCTCAGCCCCATTTCAAAAAGGTTTTGGATCAGTGACTTCTTTGTTACTTCCACTTTCCCCGTTTGTGAACAAGAATCACTAGAATTGTTTTTCTAGGAGGGGGGAGGGATAGCATTAGGAGATACACCTAATGCTAAATGATGAGTTAATGGGTGCAGCACACCAGCATGGCACATGTATACATATGTAGCTAACCTGCACATTGTGCACATGTACCCTAAAACTTAAAGTATAATAAAAAAATTTAAAAAAAAAAGAATCGTTTTTCTATGTCTGTCCCACCATTGCACACTGAGGGCAGATAAGCTGTTTGTTCAGTTTCACAGGTTGATAGAGGGAAGGGAATTATGTCAAGGACACCCTCAGAAGCCTCATTCATACTTGGTGTGGATGATTAAGATAAGATTTTAAATTTTTGATCTGGTGTGGTCTACATACCATTTTTCACTTTGAACTAACGCTTTAATGACATGAAATTTGGAAACCTTAGGGGAGAGGGTGAATGTATTTTGCAGATGGGGGAATGTGAGTGTCCAACTGCGGTAGATGGAATTTCTGAAATGGTCCCCAAACATGCCACACCCTTGTCTCTAAAGCCTGTTAAGGTGCTGAGACATCATTCTGGTGATTATGTTGTTATAAGCCAGTTATACGACTTTAAGATGGTGAGGTTACCTGTGTAAACTGGATCTAATCACACCACTGCATACATGCCAGTGGTTTCTCTAGCTGTCAGAAGAAGGTAACGTCAGGAAGAATGGGAGCTTGAGAAGGACTCCATGAGCTGTTATTGGGACAGCCAGCACAGAAAAAGAAAACCCAGTCTTTCAACTCCCACAAAATGAATTCCTCCTACACCTGAAGTGAACTTGGAGAAGTAGCCTGAGCTCCACATAATTACATAGCCAGACACACCTGGATTCAGCTTCCTAAAACCCTTATCAGAGAACCCAGCCTCTGTTCCAGACTTCTGTGGTTTCAATCCACTAGTTTGTTGCATGTGTTAATAGGCAGCAATAGAAAACTAGTACAGATGCCTATCTCTACTCTTGATTTATTATTTCAGATACATGGAAGCTAATCCCTCTAAGAGAAAAAAATTAAAGAGCAAAGAACTACAGCAAAAATCTTGCACTCACGTTCACCTTTATGTCACTATTCTGGAGCCCTTGCAACCTGAAGAAGATAATGAGAGGCATTCCAAGCATGTGAGGAGTATCTCTAATGTTACCAACCAAATTTCTGAAAGAATAAAGATGGTACAATACTAACTCCACATAATCTTATGTGCAAATTCATCATCTATCTCTATTTCTTATAGCAGATTTTTTTCTTTTTTAGCTCATTCATTTAGGCTTGCCAGACCAGGTTTGGTAGCAACTATCAGTTATCAGCAAAAATGAAACAATTCACGAAGAGCAATGAACAGGACTATTATTAAGTTCATCAAAAAAGTCCCTAAAATGCAATATTTCCTCAAATGTCACAAAAGTAAGACAATGATTCACTACAAAAAATCCCAATCTAAGAAAATTTGAAATTTAATGATGTCGGATTTCCAAATTTTTATTTTGTTGGGGCCCAGTCATGGGCACCAGAGATTAGGAAATGACTGTGCAGAGGCTTTAGGGTATTTGGGGAAATGACAAAAATATTCTAAAACGTGACTCTGCTGATGGCTGCACAATTCTACAAACCTCCTTAAATGGTTACATCGTAGATTTAAAATTGGTGAGTTTTATTACAAGTAACTTTTTTTTTTTTTTGAGACAGAGTTTCACTCTGCATTTTCCTCTCACCTGCCCCACACCTCTTCCAAATCTGTTCTTTCACTTCCAGGTCGTTGAGTTTTTCCATTTAAAAATATAAAAGATACAGAAAGAAGAAGATAACCAGTCATCCATATTCCCATCACCTGGAATTAAGTACTATTCACATATGTACATATTTTTTCTTCCAAATCATTTTGAAGTTACTCTCTTTTTTTTTAATTATACACGCTTAGCATAGACCATACCACCAATACAGAAAAAGTACAGATAGGTAAAATTTCTGATCACCTTAAGTTCAAAATAACTTTTGTTAACATTAGGGCAACACTGATCGAGTCATGTTCTTCTGGTATATCTACAGAGAGAAGAATGTATATTTTAGCTAGACTGTCCCCCCCGCAATAAATAAAGCTCTCTCTATATATACACACACATATATATGGGAGCTATATATTATATATACACACATATATATATATATGCTTTTGTAAAATTGAACTTAGACTCTATTTTTATTTTACAAATATTCCATTTAATAGTGCATGAATTTAACTGAAGACAAAGAGGCAGAAACAGAAATGAAGGAATTCCTGAACTCTCAATCACATTTAGAGAGACGCTTTTCTAAAGGAATCCTCTAAAGCTAAACATTCATTAAATTAAGTAGAATGCATTATGATTTGCTGTGTTTTTTTTTTATTTTTTTTGAGACGGAGGTTTTTTTTTTTTTTTTTTTTTTTTTTGGCTCTGTTGCCCAGGCTGAAGTGCAGTGGCTCGATCTCGTCTCACTGCGACCTCCGCCTCCCATCCGCCTGCCTCAGCCTCCCAAAGTGCTAGGATTACAGGCGTGAGCCACCGCGTCCAGCCTGCAGTGGTTTTCTTACTACTTTTTACAATCAAATTGATTAAGGCATTGGTTGAATATGGTACAATGCATCCATTTCAAGTTTGATGACATGTCTACTACTCCAGAAGGTCCTCTTGTGCCCTTTGCAGTCAGTCCCCTCGACTCCCTGACCCCAGCAATTAATGATGTATTTTCTGCCACTATACAGGTTAGTTTCACCTGTTCTAGAAATTCACCTTGATGGCACCACATAGAATGCACTCTTTTCATCACTCAGCATGAGGTTTTTGAGATTGGCCCATGCTATCTCATGTTTCCATAATTTGTCCCATCTTATTGAGGGTAGTACTCCGTTGGATGAATATATCACAATAGGTCCATTCACCTCTTGATGCATATGAACCTTTTCCAGTTTGGGGACTATTGTAAACAAAGCTGCTAAGAACAAGTTCTTTTTGTGAATATATGTTTTGTAAATTCCACTTGTCATTCTTTAGTATTAACTGATTTTGTAAAATGATGTCACCTTCACAAGTGCAAAATTCATTCAAATGTTACAGAGGCCTGAAGCATAAGTCTACACAATTTCCTTTGTTATATTTCATAATTAAGGGGAAAAAACTTTATCTGGGATGTTGTTTCCTATCAGCAAATCCTTAATGTAAGCCATACAGGATGCTAGCTGTACTATTAGACTATCTTCTGTAATCTGTGCAATAACTCTAAGAAGTACTTCGTATTATTATTTTCCTGTAACACTTTCCAACTTGAAGCCTAGCAAATTGAAGGACCTGGCCCCAGGTCAAACAGAAGGCAAGCGGCAGCGCCAGGACTGGAAGAAGGCCTTCCCAAAGGCAGACAGAAGCTCACGTCTTTGTCAGAACCTCGGTATTTCTGATGCGCCTGGAAGCCAATATCCAAGCCGTTCTCAGCCACTGGATTGGTGGGCTGCTTTGCTCAGAAACTCCTCGATCAGGAATCCCAAGCATACGTTAGTGATGACGGTCCCAAAACAAGGGACATTTCTTAACCATTCTAAAAACCCGTTTGCTCATCAGTAACGCAATAAGAGTTGCTTTCGGTCTTGGTTCATATATTTTATATTTGAGCAAGGCAATGTCCGCTGCTGGGGTTAGAAGTAAATGGCTCGTCTTCAGCAAACTAGATCAGTCCGTGGGACGTACGGCTTCCACTCGCCGTGTCCTGAACACTGGCTGGGCTTCCTGTGCGTTCTAGCCGGTTTTCTTTGGAGCGGCGGGTTTCTGCACGGCTCCGGGGTCGGGATGGCAGAGGCTTCTCGGAACACGCGGATCTATGAGTGCAGTCCCCGGGGTAGCCACCAGGGAACGCCATAGGCTTTCCCGCTGTGTTCCTCCTTGCCTTTTCCGTTTGGGCCAAGTAGTTTCTATTGACCATGACATTACAGATCAGAAGTGGGTGGGGTCAGAAAACACACCCTGGGAGAAGCTGGCAAAATGCCCAGAACCGCCATCACTAGGCCTGGGGTTTTCTTCTGTAGTGGAATTCTCGTGCTTATGTAGTACAGGGAGGAGCGCAGCGCATTTCCGCCAAGACAGGTGAGACTGCAGTTCTGACCTGCGGGCCTCGATGAATTGCTTTAGGGCCCCTGGGCGCCGGCAGAGCCGATCTCCTACACAAAGCAAGCGTGTTATGTCTACGACCGAACGGGGACACTAAGAAAGAGCCCCAAAGGCCCTGCTTTCATCCCAAAGAACAGCGCCTGTCTGCGTAGTTTCTACCTTGCTCTATGAGGTGAGAACACCTTCACCGCTGGCACGGAAATCCTACAAACTCCTGTGGGGACCGCGGTTACAAGCAGACGCTGTGTGAAAGGTGACTCTGGGGGCTAGGGAAAAACACGAAGATTTTCACAGAGCGTGAGACCCCAAGAGACTGGAGACCATGGACCAAATTTCTGCAAACAGTAGCCTTATGTAGAAAGAGCTATGCAATCTTCGTGCTAGTTAGCTTGTGATACACATGCTCACAAAGGCTGGCGCTTCCTTCTCCAGCGAAAAGCGAGGCGATATATCACTTCCCGATTCAAAGCATCCAACTGTAAGAATAACAGTGTAGGGAGAAAGGTCTATAGTCATGGCAATATTGCCTAATGATATTTTTTTCTGTGATGGTCATTTTATAATATTATTTAAAAGTTTTTTTTAATTAAACAAGCAATGGAACTTTGAACAGAAAAATATGAAATTAAAACAATAAAAATTACCCATAATCACACTAGACTGTGATAACTAAACTGTGAATATTTTGGTTTCATAAGCTTTTAATCTTTTTCCTTAGGTATATAAAAATATTTAAGAACCAAAGAAAATTATATCACAATGGGTATATCAACTTAGTATCAGTTTTACTCATTTAATATGCCAAAGGTAACCTACTTATCCTTTGACTACAAGAGCTTTCTAAATGTCTGTATAATATTACATCAGATGAATGCAATATAATTTATTTTAAATATTTCTTATTGCATATTTAGATTGTTTCTAATTTTTGAGTATGATCAACAACTCTTTGACCAGTATTCCTATAGCTAAGTGCTTATGTTGTAGGTCTGATTATTTCCTTAGTACAAATTTCTAACAGTGGAGTGTCAGTCAAAGGGTATGTACAATGTAAACATGTAGATGTGTATTGTCAAATTATCCCCCACCAAGTTCCTAAAATATGCATCTTTACTGTCATGGTGTAACTACCAAAGTCCTGTACCCTTGAAAACATAGATTCTTATTTCAGAACATCTTTATCAGTTTAAAAGATAAACTATGCCATCCTCTTGTTGTTAGTAAAGTGCATTTCTTTGATTACTCCCCTTTTACAGAAGAGTAAATGAAGATTCAGTAAGTTTGTGTGAGTTATGCATGGGTGCATAGGTAACGCGTGCAGAAAGCAATCACTTCAGTTTTCCATATTTGAGGTCCTCTCTGGGCCAGTACAGTTCGAGACACTAGAAATTCAAAACCACAGATAATGCCCTCCTGGGCCTGTAGGATGTACTTGTTAGGTGGCAGGGGCGAGGCCCAACCAGTGCGCACAACAATGTCATAGCCCCAGGTGAGTGTGGGAGGGGAAGTTGTAGAAATATTTTCCAGCCAAAGAAATCAGTGAAGTAAAGATAGGCAGGAGGCAGGCAAAAAGGAGGCAGAACTGGCAGGTTGTGGGGGCAGGAGTGGCCACGGATGAGGAGCCAGGCTTGGCAACACAGGTGCAGGTGGCACGTGTCATAGGCACAGGCGTGGAGATCTGAGGGCGTAGAGGGGAGAAGACCGTGCACCGCCAATGTCAACTGTGTGGAAGCAAACCTGGGCTACATCTAAGAGTCCTGAGAGCAGGGGAGGAGAAGGGAGGAAGAGACAACAGAAGTCCTGGGTGGGAAGCAGAAATATTTCCTGAGTCAATGAAAGAGCCCCAAGCCTCCAGACCTGCCAGGGCTCAAGCAGGCAGCTCCAGAGGCCAAGACCTATAATCCAGCAGTTCAGGTTGATTTTGCCAGAGTAGTGTGAAGAGGCCCTGATTTTCCCCTTTAATGTATACCCATACAAAAGGCAGAAGAGTTGTTGGAAAAGCAGGAGATTCACAGTTACAAGCACATAGGAAGCACAAGAAAAACTGGTAGAAGGGATCTGGGCCCTTCAATGTTGACAGCCTTCTCTAGGAGCCCTGGCTACAACAGAAGGAGAAGGATCCTTGGTGGGTATAAAAAGGTGGGAAGGAGAACAAGCCAAACAAAACACCACCCTCAGGACTACAGAGAAGTTATTTCAGGAGATGCATTGATTCCATGTTTTTGTTTCCATAGGTTGCTGTTTTGTAACTTTTTTTTTCTTAGGTGAAAGAATTAAGTGTCCTCCCCCACTGTCTGAAGAAAGATATGCCTGTCATGAAGCGTGCCCTTACTTACTTTGAAGGGGACAAGCCTTTTCTAGCTTCAATATTTATTTCCTATTTTGATGGGGAAACCTTTAGGGAAGTAGAAAGAGAGCTTAAAGCCTCGGGGGAGACATTTTACGTGCTTGCTAAAAAAATGCATTAAAATATTTAGTACATGTCCTGAATGTAACCCAGCCCTCCAGAGCTATTTTTTTCTCACTGTATTAGTCCATTTTCATACTGTAATAAAGAACTGCCTGAGACTGGGTAATTTATAAAAGAAAGAGGTTTAATTGACTCACAGTTCAGCACGGCTGGGGAGGCCTCAGGAAACTTACAATCATGGTGGAAGGTGAAGGGGAAGCAAGGCACCTTCTACACAAGGTGGCAGAAAGGAGAAGTGCTAAGCAAAGGGGAAGAAGCCCCTTATAAAACCATCCGATCTTGGGAGAACTCACTCACTATCATGAGAACAGCATGGGGGAAACCATCCCCATGATTCAATTACCTCCACCTGGTCTCTCCTTTGACAAATAGGGATTATGGGGATTATGGGGATTACAATTCAAGATGAGATCTGGGTGGGGACGCTAAGCCTAACCATATCAGGGGAGGGGGCTCACAACTGAATATTTCAGATAATTTTAATATGTGCTGGTATCCACAAACAAGAGCCAATGTGGACTCAGCAGGCAATGTCATGGGCCTTCTGTTTCAAAAATGATTCAGATAGACTTTTATGCTTTTACATGTGCCATATGGGAGTGGGGCATTCTCATCTTGTTCCTTGTTTTACCCTCAGCATCTACCTTTCATAGCAGTAACTGATGATCATGAAATGTTTGTTGATTGAATGGCTGAAGTATAGACAGATGCAGCTTCTGTCCATGAAAGGCATCCTGCTTGCTCCTTGCACTGTGTCCAGTGAAAACTCTTGTTTCTCTGAGCAGCTGCAACACGTTTCACATCACAAGGAGCACAAGGCACTGGCTTCCATTTCCACCCTGAAGCTCAGCAGCCCCATTTGCGTCCCATCAGCTGCCTGCTGCGGAATAGAGGAGGGAAGGGCTGGGCTTCAGAGTTTGCTTTTTTTTTCTTGGTTCTGTGAATGGAAAATGTCAAAGGATCCTGTGAAGGGATCCAGATTGATACCTTGGGGTCTGGTGTACGTAGGTCTGTTTGTGTTAACTCACCATTTAAAGACAGAAAAAAGGAAAACATACATATTTATAGCCTCCTAGAGAGAGCCTTGGTGCTAGTTTTGATGGCTTGCTGGGAACACAAGTGAAGCCAAGGGGGGTATTGTGGTTGGGAGCATTGATTTTGGGAGGAAAGTGGTGCTGGTATCATTTAGGGAGGGACAACAAGATGCTCCTGTGGACCACCACTGATTCTCTCACGCTGATGACATCTGGCAGTAGTGACAATGTGATGGGAGCCCAAAGAGGGGAGGGTCTTGTAGAAATTTCACGTGGTTGCATCAACTTCAGCTTTTGGTAACTGGTGGATAGCCAAGCAGCAGGAGTAGGGCAGAATACCATGAGTCCGTGAACCAGGCAGAGAGTTGAATGACATGAACTTGAGTCAGGGAGGAGAAAACTAGGGGCCGGGCACATCTTTGATTAGTGAGTAACCAACAATGTGGACCCCCAGAGGGCTTAAGGCCCTTCGCTGGAGAACTAGATGGTTATCCCTGGGTCCTGTTATTGAGGCTAGCTTCTCTCAAGTTTCAACGCTAGTCAGACCACCATATCTAAATCATGGAAAGTGTACCACTGGTTATGTTAAGAGGTGATGTTTGAATATTTAGATGGAGATAATCAAAGTATTACAAAAATGACAAAGGATTCAATGCAGTAAACAAGTTAATTTACACACCAGAGTCAAAATTTCACAAATATTATTGCATAGAGTGAAGATAAATTTTTAAAATTTAAATTAATTTAACAAAATAAACATAGTACTTAAATGTGGCTTTTTTGGTATAGATTATTTTCTTATTCAAGATTTTTCCTTTCCTAGTTTATAAGTATTTTGTTGCTATTCTTTCACTCTCTGAAAATTGCAAAATGCATACTTAACTTTTCAAATACAAGTTTTTCCAAAAATTGTATACATCTCCTGAAAACGAGTGCCTTTGAAGATGGCAACTCCATTTCTGCTCCCTCTAATTCACGAGTTATTCTTGACTTGTTTTGTGGAATTAATTAGTTTCATCTTTTTCTTAATGGCAAAAACTACTTGTCATGATTTTTGCATGTTTCCTACCTTCTTGATCCTCATCTTTTTCTCTGATTTAATTACATCCTTTTCTGAGGATATGCTGCAGATAAACTCTCTTTTTTTGTTTGCCCAAGAATGTCTGCATTTCATCCTACTCTTAAAAAGTGGGTCCTAGAAATTCTAGGTTGGCAATTATTTTTTATTAGCACTTTGGTGATCTCATTCTTCTGGCATCCGTCTTTCATCATTTCTGTTGAGTAGTTAGTGGTCAATGCCATTCTGCCGCCTTGAAAGTAAGCTGTTTTATTCACTACCTTGTGGATTTATGCATGTGTGTGGTTGTTCTTTGGTTTTACTATTGTTTTTGGTTCGTCCAACTCACCATGACATGTTCAAGTGTAGTTTTATGTTTGTGTACCCTCTATAGATTTAGAAACTTCCCGTTGGCTTTCTTTTGATGTAGGGTATCAGTCATTATCTTAAAATATTACTTACAAACGTTTTCTCTGTTCTATGTTCTTTCTCCTCTTTGTTTAGGAATCCAAGTAAAAATATGGTAAAATGTCTCACTGCCTCGTTTTGCTGTGATGCATTCTACATAATTTCTTCTGACTGATCTTTGGATTCACTAGTACCTACTTTAGCTACTACAAAATAGTGAACAGCCATTGCATTTAAAAATTTATTTTTTGCATCTTTCTATTTTAGAAATGTTCTTTGTTTCCTTTTTCACACATTCCAGTCATTTAAAAAATATTTATTTTATTTTAGATTCAAGGGGTCCATGTGAATGTTTGTTAAATGGGTATATTGCATACTGGTGGGGATTGGGCTTCTAGTTCACCCATTACCCAAATAATGAATATTGTACCTAATAGGTAGTTTTTCAACACTCACATCCTCTCCCCTTTGGGAAACCTCAGTGTCTATTATTTCCATCTTTATGCCCATGTGTACCAATTGTTTAGCTTCCCCTTGTAGGTGAGAATATGCGGTATTTTATTTTCTGTTTCTGAGTTAATTCACTTAGAATAATGGTCTACACCTCCATCCATGTTGCTTCAAAGGACATGATTTCATTCTTTTTTATGGTGGTGTAGTATTACATGATGTGTATATATATCACATTTTCTTTATCCAATCAATTATTGATGGACCCATAGGTTAGACTTAGGTTGGTTCCGTGACTTTGCTATTGTCATGGTATTGTCCTATAATGATTTGTTTTCCTTTGGGTCGGTGTCCAGTTATGAATATTTCTGGGTCAAATGGTAGTTCTGTTTTCAGTTCTTTGAGATATCTTCATACTGTTTTCCATAGAGCTTGAACTAATTTATATTCCCACCAATAGTGTATAAGCGTTCTCTCTTTGCTCTGCATCCAAGTCAACCTCTGTTTTTTTCTTTTTTCAACTTTTTAATAACAGCCATTCTGACTGATATAAGATGATATCTCATTGTGGTTTTAATGAGCATTTCTTTAATGATTAGTGATTCTGAGCATTTTTTCATGTGTTTGTTGGCTGCTTGCATTTTTTTTTTTTTGAAAAATGTCTGTTCATGTCCTTTGCCCAGTTTTTAATGGGGTTGTTTCTTTTTCTCTTCTTGAATTCTTTGAGGTCCTTGTAGATTCTTGATATTAGTCCTTTGTCAGAGACATATTTTGCAATTCTGTTTTTTTTTTTTTCAAGCATGGCGAGAAAGATTTTATTCAGGACCAGAGCAATAGTTACAGGGACCACTGAAATGTTGTCTGACATGGGGAAGAGAGATTCCATGCTGGTCATTTTTAACAGCTTTCTTTTATTATTATTGTTATTATTATTATTATTATTATACTTTAAGTTCTAGGGTACATGTGCACAACGTGCAGATTTGTTACATATGTATACATGTGCCATGTTGTCGTGCTGCACCCATTAACTTGTCATTTACATTAGGTATATCTCCTAATGGTATCCCTCCCCCCTCCCCCTACCCAACGACAGCTCCTGGTGTGTGATGTTCCCCTTTCTGTGTCCAAGTGTTCTCATTGTTCAGTACCCACCTATGAGTGAGAACATGCCGTGTTTGGTTTTCTGTCCTTGCGATAGTTTGCTGAGAATGATGGTTTCCAGCTTCATCTATGTCCCTACAAAGGCCATGAACTCATCCTTTTTTATGGCTGCATATTTGACAGCTTTCTTTTGCTGAGATTGTTTCAAGTATGTTCCAACTTTGGGCGTTATGAGAAGAGTTGTTTTACAACATTTTTCTCTGATTATTTTTAAATCTAGGGTCTTTGTAGAACTGTTTCTTTCTCCACTATTTCTTCTAGTTCTCTGTAACGGTTATATGTATATATATATGATACATATGTACTTATCTATCAGCTATATACATCATATAGGTGATACATACATACGCTGTGAGTGCATTATTTTCCTTGGAATATTATTGTGGAGATTCTTTCAGGATGAGGAGGAACTGCACATTTGTTTCTATTAGGTATTGTGAACTGTTTTAAACTAAATTTATAGCTTGAGTTTTTGAGAATGTAATTTATGCAACAGCAGCATTTTCCCCATGCTTTGTTCAGCACCAACGAACACTTCCTTGCCGACACATGGAAGCAGGAGTGAGGTAGTGTGGGTTTACTTTTGGTTTATGCTTATTGTGAAATTATAGCTCTTTGGAGGTCTTGTTTCATAGGGGGAGAGTCTTCTATTATCACATGCGTGTTGCTGGGGACTTGAGATTTTTTCCTTCTTCCATATCACTCCACAGAGACTGAAAAACTGAAGCTCAAATTCACTGCTTTCATGAATTCTCCAAGGGCCAAAGGGAATTCAACATTTAGCTTTCTTTTCTGAGATCAAGACATCACTTAGATTTTGGTCTTGTAATTCCTTACCATCTTGTATGCTCTTTGTTGCTCCAAAATCTTCTTTTTCTTCTATCTTATGCAGAATTTCTAGTTGTTTTTATCAAGAATGTGGGTTTGAACAACTGAGCATATTATTTTATTGGAAAAGTGCAATTGCTTTTTACTACCGATTCCTAATTATCCAGAGGATCTAGAAAAAATGGATTTAACTCTTTGGCCAATTAAAACACAAATTTATTCCGAAAATGGATTATCTGTTCTTATAAAGCTATAGTATATTAAAAGATATTTAATACATAAATAACAGTAAACAAAGTATCCTCTACTATGGTTTGAAAATTATTTAGAATCTTGCAATTGTCCTGGGTCTCTCTAAATGCTAATGATCACCAATGAGTTTGACAAATAGAGATGTTACAAGTGATTGGTTTAAATCTTTGATGCACCTTAAATGTATTTTAAAATGTGCCCCTAACTCTTTATTTTACCTGACTGTATTTCAGTGCATCAGTTTAAGAGAAGACATGAGATCATGGGTTTAAGTGAGGCTTCATCATACTAAGACAACGTGATCAGGTAAGTACTTGCCCCTCTACATGTCAGCATTCTCACCTGTAACATAGTACAAACAGGACTTTGTCTGAGTCCCTTGCAACATTTTGTGGAGCATGAAATACAATAAAGACCGTGGATATGCTTTGTAAACCTTGAGTTTCTACACATATGCAAATATAAGTACTGGTAAGATATAGAATGAACAAGGGAAATAGAATCCTATTTTTATGTTTCAATTTTATGGATTGCTGGAAAATTGAAGTGTATAGGAGTCTTCCTGTGTTGCTCACTAGAATGCCTTTGGCTGGGTTTACTGGTATTGCACTAAAACAGCTGTTAGCAAAGACAAGACTTAGGCACCCAACAAGACCTTTTATTTTCATATGACTGAGCCTCTGACTTCAATATGCGTTCCGTGTTTTTCCCAGAAGTTCTTTTGTGTTATGTACAATTACTCTGCTGAACAGATTGTATTTGTTTTTTTCTTTGTTTTTTTGTTTGTTTGTTTTGTTTTGTTTTGTTTTACTGTGAGACAGTGATGCCAATGCTTGTGTATTTAGGATGGGGGTCGCAGACTCTGTACTTCCAGGAGAAGCCCCCGGAAGGTCTTAGCTGGCTCCTGAGGGGGCACATTTGCTGTGCTCATTGCACTTTACCTGGTGTCATGAAGCATAAAGAGCACAAACTTGGACACCAAGAGTCTACATTAAAGTCCCACTCCTTTATGTTTGTAAATATGGGATATTGGGAAGTTGCTGCACCTTTTTTTGCTCATTTTCTTCACTGAACAGCAGAAATAGAAAAATTTCTTCTTAATAGGGCTTAAGGGAGACTCAAATACAACACTGTATATGATGTTCTTTTGCAAATTGTAAAGCAAAGTACAAAGTTTCAAATATATTCATTATACGTATATATCTAGCTTTTTATTCCATTTGGTTCAAAAAATTTATGTGCTCCAAAAAATTATGGAGGTGATACATATCTAAGTAGAGGATTTGTCAAATATAAATATCATGATGTACTAACAAGGCTGGACAGCTTTTATTAACACATTGTCTGCAGCACAAAAAAACAATGCCTGGGCCTGAATAGGAACCATATGAAAATATTTCTTAAATCAATGAAAGATTATTTAATAATTAAGAAAAACTGGCCAGGCGTGGTGGCTCATGCCTGTAGTCCCAGCACTTTGGGAGGCCGAGGCGGGCGGATCACGAGGTCAGCAGATTGAGACCATCCTGGCTAACACGGTGAAACCCCATCTCTACTAAAAATATAAATATTAAAAAAAAAAAAAAACTAGTCAGGCGTGGTGGCGGGCGCCTGTAGTCCCAGCTACTCGGGACGCTCAGGCAGGAGAACGGCGTGAACCCGGGAGGCGGAGCTTGCAGTGAGCCGAGATCGCGCCACTGCACTCCAGCCTGGGCGATAGAGTGAGACTCCGTCTCAAAAAAAAAAAAAAAGAAAAAAAAAGGCGAAGACAAGGGTGAGTTTAGAAGGTGAAATCTGTGCTGTATATACTGAGAAATTGCTTGGGATGACTCATTTGATTCTGAATATCTGCATTAGCCAGTGCAGGCTGGCGTAACTAAATGCCACAGACTGGATGGCATAAGCAGCAGAATTTCATTCTCTTACAGTTTTGGGGGCAGTGAAGTCCAAGATCATGAAGCTGGAAGGGTTTGGCGTCTGTTGGGGCCTCTTACCGGCTTGGGCTGCTTTTTCCTTATGTGGCCTTTATACATGTGAGGTCGAGGGGAGAGACATCTGTCTCTTTCTTTCAGTATAAAGCCACCAGTCCTAGTAGACTGAGGTCCCACCCATATGACCTAATTTGACCTTAAGTGCCTACTAAAGGCCCTGCCTGTCTTCAAAAACAGTCACATCAGGGATCAGAACTTTTATACATAAGATTTTTGCAGGGACACGATTCAATCCAAAGCAATATCTTATCAAGATAACGATATGTTTGGCTACGTCTCCACCCAAATCTCATCTTGAGCTGTAGTTCCCATAATCCCCACCTGACATGGGAGGGACCTGGTGGAAGGTGATTTTATCATGGGAGCAGTTACCTCCATGCTGTTCTCCTGATAGTAAGTGAGTTTTCATGAGATCTGATGGTTTTATAAGGGGCTTTTCCCTCCTTTTTCCCACCTCTCTTTGCTGCCGCCATGTGAAAAAGGACATATTTGCTTCCCCTTCTACCATGATTGTAAGTTTCCTGAGGCCTCCACAGCCATGCCGAACTGTGAGTCAATTAAACCTTTTTCCTTTATAAATGTCCCAGTCTTGGGTATGTCTTTATTAGCAGCTTGAGAAGAGACAAATACGGATAATATGATTGGTTAGACAATTTGAGAATCTTTATAATATTTTTCAAAAGAAACATAAATATTGTAATTTTTGTCAATAACTGGTGAGCAAGGAATTTAATTTCTTTGAATGTGTTTTTGTACTTGTGAAATAGGGATTATAATTCATGCATTGACTTAATGTTATTATAACACTCAAAGAATGTATTGTGCACTAGTCCTTGCAAACCCAAGCAAAGCCCTTGGGTTACACATGTGAGTTGTCATCATTCAGTATTCCCCTTGCCATGGGAGGGGAAGGAAGCATGTATGATCTGCACTGCGATGCACACATGGGCCCCCTGGAGATGTGGAGCAGGTGATGGATCTTCAGTCTCCATTAGAACCTTATTATTGGACATTTAGAAAAAGGCAGAAAAAGTTAGCAGCTCCAGAACTGCTGGATCGTTATTGTGCTTCTGTTTTGTATATATCTCCATTGACTTCAAGTTACTGCCCACTCGGACCTATGATTCCAATCCCCCTCCCCATTCACCTACAGAATAATGAGACTGTGATTTAAACTAGAAAGCCAGTAGCTTTTCTTCTTTATTTTCTTTGAGTGATAGCCACAAAGGGGAGAGTTTAAGAAATAAGTCGTTGCTTGCATAAAGACTGCAGAGAAAAACCTTCATTTGTTTATTTTTTTCCTTTCTTCTATTTTCTATTCTAAAGCTGCATGTGGTCTCCTCCTAAAAGGAGTTTACTGGTAGCATATTAAACATGTCTAAGACACTTCTGAATATTTGAATATAAATTATTTACATAACTTGTTAATTTATTTGCTTATGTAAAAGATATGGTGGGTCAATTGGGTAAATAGCTAGCACACTGCAGACTACCTTGGCCTTTTTTTCTACCTGAATGCCTTGTGGCAATGAAAGAGTTGTGAAAAGGAGCAAAGAAGAAAAAGCAATTTATAGTCAAATTTTGAGAATTTTTAAAAGAGGAGGAAGAGGAAAACAATTTGACAGAGAAAGGAGGAAGGGAGGAAAGTAAGAAGAAAATAAAGGATCATATGTTAAAATCAGAAAGAAATATACAAAAACCTAAAGATGACATTGGAATCAATGAAAGCAAATATACTAGGGTCAGATTTTTGCCTCTCATCTCTAATCTAACACAGTCTAACACAGTCTATGTCAAATAGTTACAGCATCATAACTTCTGTCCCCTTTATTCAGAATTAGCAAAGTCTGAACTGACTTACCTGAACAGGAAGAACTAGTTGAGTAATTTCTTTTAGTAGCATGGTAGTGGAAAATTTTAGAATCATATAAACTTAGGTTGAAAATTCTGCTCCTTTACTCTCCCGCCCTGTGACTTCAGGTAAGCTTGTTGATCTTTCCAACTTCAGTTTCTTCTTCTGTAAAATAGAGATAGTAGGACCTGCCTTATATATTAAATATACATATAAACCATAGAGATGCCTCTGAAATTAGCATAAGCTCCTTTGGAAATTGAAAATGGCAATATTTGGGATAACTTTCACTGTTTATGTGTTTGCTGAAGGTAAAAATATCAGTTAAAAATATCTTTCACTGAAACAAGAGGAAATTTACTCTTAAATAGGAATACTTTATGCATCGAGCAGAGATAAAGAGAATTTACATGTGTCTCTAGGTTCCTTGGCTTCCAGTAGTATCTTTATTTGTGCAAGTTTTGTGTTTTGTAAAAGCTAGAAGGTCAATAATCAAAATGGCATTTGATTGCTTATTCATTATTTGGTGGTGCAAACATGTAGAACATTTTCTGTTTCTATTTCTGGCAAACGGAAGGGATGGTAAAACTAGACGCAATATTGGACGAACATTAGCGGCCCAGGACTGGCCTCAGTCATTGAAACTTTGATTAAGAACTCTGGGCATGATGGATAATTTTTGTGTCAAATTCACTTAGACATGAGGTGCCCAGACTAAACATGGGTCCTGGTTATGCCTGTGAGGCTGTTTCTGTATGAGATTAGCGTTTGAATCAGCAGACTGAGTAAAGCAGGTGGCCCTCCACCGTGTGAGTGGGCATTATCCAATTCACTGAGACCCGAATAGAACAGAAAGCACAGGAAGGGTGACTTCACCCTCTGCCTAACTGCTTGAGCTGACACATCAGCCCCCTGTGCTGTTCTTGACTGGGTCTTATACCATCGACACTTTGGTTCTCTCAACTACATCACTGCCTTTCCTGGGTCTCCAGCTGCAGATGGCAGATCGTGAGACTTTCAGCCCCCATAATCACATGAGCCAATTTCTTATAATAAACTCCCTCTCTCTCCTTCTTTCCCTCTCTCTCTGTCTATATATACACACACACACACACACACACGTATTAAATATATACGTGTATATATATATACACACACACACACATGTGTGCACACGCACACACATACTCTTGATTCTGTTTCTATAAAGAACCCTGATTAATACAAAGGGCAATTTCAAGGATTTGATTATATATATAAAATATTAAATCACTTATACATATAACATCGTGTGTGTGTGTGTGTGTGTGTGTGTGTGTGTGTCTCCTTTTACTGAGTTACCTCCTGATTTTTATGACTTTAGGATGAGAACCAGGGCTATTTTTCTAATAACACAGATACCTTTCCTGAGAAAAATCATCCTAGCCATCCACAATGGCAAAGATCACATATGTGTATGCATGTTCATATGGTCACATATGTGTGCATGCATGTATACATGTCTGCATGACCACATATGTGTATGCATGTGTATTAGGGTTCTCTAGAGGGACAGAACTGATAGAATAGATGTACATATAAAAGGGGGTTTATTAAAGAGAATCAACTCACATGATTACAAGATAAATTCCCATGATAGGCCATTTGCACGTTGAGGAGCAAGGAAGCCAGTGGTGCATCAGTCCGAGTCCCAAAACCTCGAAAGTTGGGAAGTAAACAATGCAGTCTTCAGTCTGTGGCCAAAGGCCCGAGAGCCCCTGAAAAATCACTGGTGTAAGTCCAAGAGTCTAAAAGCTGAAGAACTTGGAGTCTGATGTTCGAGACCAGGATGCTTCCAGCACAGGAGAAAGATGAAAGCCAGAAGACTCAGCAAGTCTGTTCTTCCATCTTCTTCTGCCTGCTTTATTCTAGCTGTGCTGACAGCTGATTAGATGGTGCCCACCCAGATAGAAGGAGGGTCTGCCTCTCCCAATCCACTGACTTAAATGTTAATCTCCTTTGGCAACACCCTCACAGACATGCCCAGGAACAATACTTTGCATCCTTCAATCCAATCAGGTTGACACTCAACATCAACTATCACAGCATATATGTATATATGTTTGTTTAAAAACACAGCAAGATATCGGAATAAGCTTTGTACACTAGGACTATTTGCAAAGTTATTGTGTGAATATAAAGAACTAATATATATCTTAAAATTTTCTGTAGAGGTAGTTGTATACACAGGCTGTAAAAGTCAGCATTTTTCCTCATATTATTCCAGAACACATAAAAAAGCAACAAGGAAAATGGAGAAAAAAAGAACCAAATATATCCTTAGTGAAACTAGAAAAAGTTAGAATCCAAAGATTTCAAAACGTATGTAGAGATGACCAAATCTAGTTGGAATCAGGCACAAGCCACATGGGAGTAAATGAAGTATGGAGGTAGTGAGGCCAATGGCTGATAATCTCAGAAAACACCAACAAAATGTACTCCCTGAAAATTTGGGAGTTCACTTCCATGTTCAAAACTTATACCCCTTTTTTTTAACCACAGGAGTGGGAACCAGGGTACACAGTCTACCAGAAAAAGTCCCCTCCTGGACCCAGTTTTGTTCAAGGGAGGAACAAGGGAGATTCAACCACACAGAGAATCACCAGAGGAGCCATACTTGCAGGAAGCAGTCTGTCTCTGTGATAGCCCAGTAGGAAAGAGCCATTCTGGTGTGAGGCCCAGAAGGTTGTCTTAATTCTCTCTCTGAACCTCTGTAGTTATCTAGGAAAACCCAAACCATTTAGTAGTATATTACAAAAATAAAAGGAAATAGATACCCATTTATACAAAAATTATCTAAGCAAACATCTGAAAAGCAAAACTCAAGTATTACAGAGAAAATGAGAACTATGGAAGACCGACAAATGGATTGAACACATACATTACTGGAACATCCAAAGAAGAAACCAAAAGAGACAGAACGAATACTTCAAAATTATAATTCAAGAACACTTCTGTGCAATGCATGAAGACTTGAATCTACCTTTCAAAAGGGCACATCAGAAGCAAGGTATATCCATTCATGACAGGCAAAAAGTGAACCACATCTTAATGAAGGTATTGGACTTAAAAAAAATAAGGTATCTATTGGGCAGCCAGAAAAAAAGAATAAGTCACTCACAGGAGAAATGAAGAAGGCTGTCCTGGCTCCCCTAGCTGTACTGAAGCTGGATGGTCATGAGGGAAGACCAACAAGATTCTCAATGCCAACCAAGGATTTTTATGTGCAGCCAAGCTAGTCTTACTATGCAGACATGATATATTACAATTTGTTGCGGTTTTTATCAAGCAAGAATTCAGGAAAAAATATTTTCATTAATGTTTTTGAGAGAACAAAAACATGGGTATGTGGAGAAAAAGGGCAATACATTTGGTTACAGAAGGAAGGAAAACAATAACAACCAATTAAAGGAAGATGCTTTGGTAAAATACAGCAAAAAAAAAAAAAGTTGTAAGTATTGAATGTATTTTACTGTAGACTGAAACCAAATGTGGATTAGGGTTACAGAATAGGCTGGAAATGTCGTATGCCCCAATAACATAGAAATAATAAACTTTTTTTTTTTTTTTTTTTTGAGACGGAGTCTCGCTGTCGTCCAGGCTGGAGTGCAGTGGCGCAATCTCGGCTCACTGCAGGCTCCGCCCCCTGGAGTTCACGCCATTCTCCTGCCTCAGCCTCCGGAGTAGCTGGGACTACAGGCGCCCGCCACCTCGCCCGGCTAATTTTTTGTATTTTTAGTAGAGACGGGGTTTCACCGTGTTAGCCAGGATGGTCTCGATCTCCTGACCTCGTGATCCGCCCGCCTCGGCCTCCCAAAGTGCTGGGATTACAGGCGTGAGCCACCGCTCCCGGCCAGAAATAATAAACTTTACCATGTCAAAGGTGAAGAAAGATAGTGAAGGTAAGGAAGCCTCATTAATTACCTCACTTGTTATGACTACGGTGCGAAGGATAAATTTTAAAGGTGGCAAATACAGCAAAATAAAAGCCTACTTAGCAGTGCAATGGTAGAGTAAGGAGGATAACATTTACTATCCTCCTTACTTACAAAGGGCACCTGCCACTGTATGGTGGTGGGCTGGTATCAACTCAGTCATACCCCTACCTGGAACCTAGGTTGTAATGTTAGTTCCACCAGTACTCTTCACATCAGGCAGCATGATAAAGGGAAGGAAGGCATTAATCAGCACAAGTAAACAATAGCTGATATAGGTTCTGCCTCTGCTGTTGGTCTATGTTCTATGTTGATAGTTCCTCTTTTTCATTTTTTCAAATCACCTATCAATGCTCCCTTTACCTTCTACCAACACCTTTCCCTATCAGAAATTTTAAACTAGTAGTATGACCAAAATTTTCATTCCAATAGACTGCAAATCCTTTACAGCTACAGTTTCCCACTAACCATTATCTTTGGACACTAGTGAATTAAGGAGCCCCAGTAAATTGCCCATGTTCTAGATGTAATCTTCTTTGCTCCCATTGTATACAAACACTCCAACATCCTTTCGGCACTGTAAAATGCCAGTTCAAAACAGGAATTCTCTATCTCGTAACATGAAAAGCCCAACATGATTATAGAACAGTCTCAGGTTCTCATTGAACGAAACCAGGACTATGTTTCTTGATGCAAAATTCTTCCCTTGGCCCTAGGACTTCACAACACACTGAGTATAAGGAATTAAAAATGAAAAATACAGATCCCATCAGTGTAAGACTGAGGGAGGTCATACCCAATTTCACCCTTTTGTTTTCTGACCGTGTGTTCTAGTATTCTGGCTTTGTGGAAAAGGTGGAGTGAACTTACAATTCAGTTATCTAAGTCAGGTCACTTTTGACGGTGAAAGGGGTTGTTGTTAATAATTATGTTAGAAATTATTATTATTATGTCCTGGGAAAACCGGAGCACATGGTCACACAAGAGACAGAGTCATACATTGGTCATTGCTCCACAGTCATTCTGCATGCTGGAGAGGAGTGCTCCAGGCCTGCAGCACGCCATCTCTCAGCTCGCACTGTGTGAGAACCTCCAGGAAGCCACCTCCCCTTCTGTAAAGCCACTGGGTATCTGCAAGACAGGCTACCAGCAGCAAAGGTGGGCAAAGAGGGCACTGGTCAATGCCCGAACTGTGGGATGTCTTAATCTGTTTGTTCTGCATTAACAGAACATGGACATGGAGGCTATGTAGTCTATTGAGAAAAACATATTTCTCACAGTTGTGGGTCCAAGATCAAGGTGCCAGCAGATCTGGGGGCTGGAGAGGGTTGCTTTCTGCTTCCAAGATGGCGACTCTTGCTGTGTC
Organism: Homo sapiens; assembly: GCF_000001405.40. NCBI lineage: Eukaryota > Metazoa > Chordata > Mammalia > Primates > Hominidae > Homo > Homo sapiens. The sequence continues at coordinate 146,426,831 of NC_000001.11, read as the reverse complement.
CTCACATTGCAGAAGGAATATAAAAGCAAACAGGATCTAGCTAGTCCCCTAGAGTGCTGTTATAAGGGTATATAATCACCTCCTCAAGGCCTCACATCTTAATCCTGTCACACTGAGGATGAAGTTTCAACATGAATTTTGGAGGGACACAAATATTGAAACCACAGCAGGAGGCAGGGAGTGTTTTCGTGGAGAGAATACTGTTGCCATCACTGCAGTTCCCACTGCAGAAAAGGAGTGGGAGAAAATTACCCCCAACTCTCTGTCTTCTGAGCATCCCATCACCTTACATTGATCTCCGTCAGCCAAATCCACATGGAAGTTCAAGCCCAGGAAAGCCAGAGTCATGCTATTTATAGAGATATTGGCAGTTTTGGGGTGCATAAAGAGGGGTAGAGAATAAAGAGGGGTTGAAAGACAAGTGAAGATAAGCCATCACTGATATCTGTCAGATACTGTGCAGCAGGGGTTTGGGGGGAACTGGCTGGTTTTGGTCAATGCTGTCTGTGAACACAGCCTTGGGAATGGAGAGACAGGGCTTGCTGGCTGGATTACAAGTGGGGAGCATCAGGGCAGGTTATTTGCTCCATGTGTAGCTGGCAGACTACCATGTGGTTTTAGAATTTGGAAACTTTAGTAACTTTGCAAAAACTGCGAGACAAAATTTGAAAACTATCCTCCATCATATTTTAAAATTAAAGAACACTATCATTTTAAACGTGTTCTAGGAACACATGTCCTTCCTCATGGTACTGGCCTTTTCTATAAATATCTCAAGCTCCGTTAAGCTTTTCTTAATAAAAGTATGGATGCACAAAAGAGGAATATTTTCTGCTTGTTCCAATATCTCTTGAGGTTATTAACATGTTTGACTTCTTAGTCATGATAAAATGGCTTTCAGTTATGACCCCTCCTCTCCTTTTTTTTTTTTTGAACTTTCCCAAGACCACCATCCAAACTCAAGCCTTCATTGCAACTGATCAAATCCAGTGCAAAAGCTTTATGGTCTTATACGTAGCATCTGCCTTCAATCTGCTTGCTTCAGTGCCTCTTCCACATTGCTACCCAAGTATCTTCCTAAAACATCACAATAACTTGGGTGATTTTTCTGCTCAAAAAGCGATCATGGATCCTCTTTGCATATATAATAGAACACAGTTCTTAGCCTAGCATTAAACATGTTCCGTAATCTGAGCCTAGTATGTTTTTTCTGGCTCTACTTCATTCTTAAGCTATCTATGCAATACAGATACGAATTTGAACATGCCCAACCTCTCTTGCCTCAGTTATTTCATTTGTCCAATTCCTTTCATCTAGCATGCAGTCACCAGGATTTGCCTGTGCTGTAAACCCCACTGTAGCTCAAGGCTCCATTCAGATTCACCCTCCTCCATCAAGCCTACTCTTGACGGTTACATTTAATCCTTCCTGATAGATTAAGTCCTTATCTTCATGGTGGACCTTCTGTTCTGGGTGCTATTATTCACCTTGTGGTTTCTGGGCTGTCTTGGCCAAGTCTTCCCCCATAATGTTAGCCATCTCCCAGACTTAAAGTTTACAAAGCGTACATTGTCCTTTTTTTTTGTTGTTGTTTTTTTGTTGTTGTTGTTTTGGTTTCTTTTTTTGAGATGAAGTGACGCTCTGTCGCCAGGCTGGAGTGCAGTGGCGTGATCTTGGCTCACTGCAACCTCCGCCTCCCAGGTTCAAGTGAGTCTCCTGCCTCAGCCTCCCAAGTAGCTGGGACTATAGGCACCTGCCACCACACCCAGCTAATTTTTGTACTTTCAGTAGAGACAGGGTTTCACCATGTTGGCCAGAATGGTCACAATCTCTTGGCCTCACGATCTACCTGCCTCGGCCTCCCAAAGTGCTGGGATTAGAGGCGTGAGCCACCATGCCCAGCCAAAGCATTCATTTTCTCATTTATCTTTACTTGTGATGTGCTACAATCATAGATATTAACATGTTTCCAATTTAGCAAGACTAGGAAACTGAAGCCCGTAGATTTTAGTCACAAAGCTAAGTAGTATACACCTCGGAAAGGAATTAATTCCCAGATACAAGGATGTATCCTGCACCACCACTGTCTCTGTTCTACAGCTGCCAAAGTGTAGAAGTAAAGTGGGTGCACATGCTTCATTCTTCAGCAGTCCACCAAGGATCCCCTGAATCCTTCTGCTCACATAGGTGATGGTAGTCAAGAGACCTGAAATGGGTCCGTCTGGAAAAGCAACTGATGAATTTAACTTTCTACATAGTTAGAAAACAAAAATCAACTCACTTGACAAGTACCTGGAAGAATTTGTATATGATTTAGCATCTTTGTGCTTTATGGACAAAATGAATACTACAGAAAAGCATTTATAAATGATAAATCTATCAATCCAAATAAAATACCATCTACTTTGTGATGTATTTCTTTTTCTTTTTCTTTTTCTTTTTTTTATCTGAGATGGAGTCTTGCTCTGTTGCCCAGGCTGGAGTGCAGAGGCATGATCTCAATTCACTGCAAGCTCCGCCTCCTGGGTTCACGCCATTCTCCTGCCTCAGCCTCCAGAGTAGCTGGGGCTACAGGTGCCCACCACCATGCCTAGCTAATTTTTTGTATTTTTTAGTAGAGACTGGGTTTCACCATGTTAGCCAGGAAGGTCTCCATCTGCTGACCTCATGATCTGCCCGCCTCGGCCTTCCAAAGTGCTGGGATTACAGGTGTGAGCCACTATGCCCGGCCTTTTTGATGTATTTCATAAATAACTAGAGTGGCATTACTTTAATCAGTTAAAAGCTTGTTATATGCAAAAATTTTAAAAGTTTGCTGCATGTAAAGGGCAGGCTTTCTAAGTTTGTGACCAATCACAAGGATCCAAACTATTTTATATTTGTTTCAGATAACTGTAAATACATAGAAATTCATGTTAAAATAAGTAACACACCATATTTTTGCATGTTTTATTTATTAAGCTTGTTATTATACGTTTTCATATATTTTTTCTTCTGTTTTGATCAAAATGATGGGAAAATAAGCTTGCATATTATAAGGAACACATTTCCCCCAATAGTAAGTGGCTTTTGTCTTTTGCTCTTTGATAAGATCTTTCAGAGAGACTTTTAATTTTCATCATTAAGTTTAATTAAATTTTGTAAAGTGGCTGGTTCAATAACACATGGCTTTGAGCATGAGTAATCAAATCGTACGTGTTTCCTGAATACTATCATCAACTTCAAATCTTGAGTTAGAATATGCACTTAGAGTGAGTTGACATTGATGACAATGGATATAACCTATGTTTCAAAATGCTTTCCTGATGATAATGTAGAATTTTTGGCTGACTCCTTGCCATTGTTTTCAACTTTGCTACGTGGTTGACAAGAGTATATACAACTAATTGAAGAAATGTAGCTCTGATATTTTATTGTTCTTGAATTATCATATTATCTAAATTTGGTATTTCTTTGTAGGAAATTTTTTAACCCACTTAACCTTTTGTGAAGTTAGTTTAGTCAAAAGTAGACAATTTAATCCTTGAATTCACTTGCCATGGTTAAGATGACTGTGCCATTTAACAATAGCTGCAAGAGACCCTGTGAGTGGGGCTGTGGGAACTCCTCTGCCCTCTGCAGGGCCCACATTTCTCAGGAAACCAGTGACTTCACTTGCTATGCAAATCTCTGACATGCAGCCTGAGTGGGGAGTCCAGAATCAGTCTACATGTTCAATATTAGTAACACTTAGATATGTGCCTACTTTTTAAGATAATAGAAATAGATACAGAAATTCTCACAATTTATTTCCAGAACCAAATTGACTATTTTTTAAAGCAATTTTGAATACTTTTCATCTTGTAGATCAGATAAGTCCATATTGCTTCTTGGTCCATACTGAGGGTTTGATTCTCTTGGATTCCTGAGGAAAATAGGCTCCCTGGCCCAGTAACTGCTGTGACCTCAAACTCTTTCCATCATTGGAGTGCGGTCAACATCAGCAGTTGATGAAACTGAAAGTCAACATTTCACTTTAGCTTGTCCTGGAACTAAACTCAGAAGACGTCTTTGGAACTGGTCACACAGGGAGAAGTATCCCGGTGTGAGGTCAGATGCATGCACATTTCTCAGTGATGTGACTACACACTGTGAACTCTGCGACTGACGCTTTCTCCATAGTGAGGAAAAAGACCTTGTTGAAAAATGCCAGAGTACTATCTTGGAACCCCAGAGTATTCGCATGACTCAAATATCAAGGGCTGGTTTTTTTTTCTCCCCAAAATGGCTTAGAAAACAAAATGTATGGATCTGATTGTCTCTTATACAAAGGCATGTTAGAGTTTGTAACCTGTGTAAATGCTGTAATTAAAACCTTGTTTTTACATGTATTCATTATGTTAAATTCTTCAGTAATTACTGACATTTTCTTTAATGTGTACATGTGGCGAACATAAGAATATGATTAGCTCGAGTTAAAAGTGTAAGCAGTAATGAGCATATTATGGGTCTCCCTTTGTCTTTGGTCACTCTAAGCTTCTTGACAATAAAGCTTGACTTTTTATAGATTTGCTGCACTATGCAATTTTCTGTAAGCAAATAAATGCATGTAAAGTAAAAATGACAACATTCATATACATATGTTGAATGGTACAGCTTCTCTTTACATTAGCTCCCCGAGTTACAACCTCTCCCCTTGTGTAGGTACAAGTCGGTGATTAAAGTGCAGAACAACTTCCCCAATACAGGAATCCAGCTTCTGAAAATATCTGTGCTGGAAAACTTGCAATGGAGGAATGGAAGACTTGAGAAAGGGAGGGCTGGGAAACAAGAGCTGTGACTCACCCTGAAGACATTCGTAAATATCTATTTTAATATCTATTACAATACAGCAATAAAGGCAAACTAAAAAAGGCTATACAAGGCATTTTGCACATCTTCATGTACTGGGTTCTCTGAAGCCCATTTCCTGTTAATATCTTTTGCTGGAAGAATCTTCTCAGGATCTCCCCTTCTGTCTGTTCCAACCAGACTCCCGTACATTCATTTTCGTTCCTCGTGGGTAATACACCCACTGAGAGACATGTTCCTTTGCTTTTTTTTTTCTTCTTAGGGGGTTTCTCCACAAGATTCCTGGTTGAGTTGATGGAGTGAAGGTCTGTCTGTCCCCCAATTTTTTTTTTTTTTTGGAGACAGAGTCTCACTCTATCCCGCAGGCTGGAGTGCAGTGGCGCTATCTCAGCTTACTGCAACTTCCGGCTCTTGGGTTCAAGCAATTCTCATACCTCAGCCTCCCGAGTAGCTGGGATTACAGACGTGCACCACCATGCCTGGCTAATTTTTGTATTTTTAGTAGAGACATGGTTTCACCATGTTGGCCAGGCTGGTCTCGAACTCCTGACCTCAGGTGATCCGCCTGCCTTGGGCTCCCAAAGTGCTGGGATTACAGGCGTGAGCCACTGTGCCTGGCCTGTCTGCCACCTTTGATGGACAGTGTGACTACAGGGACAGAGGAAGATTCCCCAAAGACCTGCACTCACCCCTCTAATGCATGTCCAGACATCGTCTGGCTCTCAGCACTCCCCTCCATTGCCCAAAGCCCTTTTGCAGGACCTCTGCCTGTTCTGCCTGCTTTGTGCTTTGTTTTGTTGCATTTTATTTCCTTTTCTTTCCTGTTTCTAACCCAGTCATCTCTTTTTCTAGTTATTCCCAACCTATATAACTCACATACACTGGAGGAAATATCTTCATGGAATTAAAACCACATGGAGTAACATTTCACGTAAGCAGAATTCAGGAAGGATTTCAGTAATTCCATCCCAAACACACACAGGCAAAGGGAGTGAAGATTTCTTCAGCAACATGGTGGCAGAAAGATCATGAAAAGATCTAGGCCAGGCAAGTATGCAAACAAGACTGACTCTTCCTTTCCACTGGAGCTTTGGGTAATTGCTCTGACAATTCTATGATTTGCTGAAGCCACAGAAAATCAGTTTTAAAACAGGATTTCTACCCCTGGCTCACTACATGACAAATAATTTTATCCTGTAATCTTCTGATGTTAAACAAAGATGGCCCTCAATGTAATTGTTACAGTGCCTCCTCCCCACTTCTGTTAGCTGTTGCTTCTCTGCCTCCCACGAGTTTAGTGTAATCCCAGAACTTTGGGAGACCAAGGAGGGCAGATCACTTGAGGTCAGGAGTCAGAGACCAGCCTGGCCAACACGGCGAAACCCCATCTCTACTGAAAATACAAAAATTAGCCAGGCATGGTGGCTTGCGTCTGTAATCCCAGCTACTTGAGAGGCTGAGACACAAGAATCACTTGAATCCGGGAGGCAGAGGTTGCAGTGAGCTGAGATAGTGCCACTACACTCCAGCCTGGGAGACAGAGCGAGACCCTGTCTCAAAACAACAAAAAACAAAAACCGAACAAACAAAAACTGTAATTGCTGAAACGCTCTTTTTCATCAATCATATATATTGAACCAGGGTCACGAAAACATGGGAAAAGTGTAATTTCTGCCTCTGAGGAACTCACAGTCTAGTGGGAGACACCATTTATTCATCCATTCTTTCATGATATACACATTGAGAATGTAACACACCCTGGGCAAAGGAGAGGTCATTTGACTATGACACAAGACAATAGTCATAGTCTTTGCCCTCATGGAATTCACAGCCTAGCCATGGAGATTAAAAATAAAAAGATCTAATAGAATAAAGAGTAGTAGATTTAAAAACACTGGAAACCCAGTGTGCAGTAAAACTAAAAAAGAGGGCTACCTAACCTAGTGTGAGAGGTGAGGTAGAGGTTAGGGTGAGAAAGGATGGTATAGGAAGGCTTTCTGGAAAATTTCAAGATAAATCTTGAGGATAAGTCAGAATTATACAGGTGAAAAGTAGAATAGTGCCTGCTACCTTGCAATTGTTCAGCAAACATCTGCAATGATTACTAACTGTCAGTTTTTGGCTCTGCTTCAATCCTCACAGTCCAAGCTCACTGCAGTTAAATCTTCAGTCTCCAGCACTGCACTTGGGAAAGCGTCAAGGAGTTGAATGTATATGTAATTGGAGTGCCAGAAGAAGAGAACCGAGAGAGAGGGGCAGAACAGCTCATGAGGGGAAAACCCACTACATACAATCAAGAATACTGCAGACTCCTCATCGGAATCTATGTAAGTAAGAAAAAAATGGCCAGGAACTATAGAGCTGTTCTTTAAAGTACTTAAAAACATTTTTGCCAACCTAGAAGTCTTTAACCAGCAAAAATGTCTTCCAAAAAGAAAAAGACTTTTCAGAACAAATACTGAGCTGATTCATTATTAGCACATTTGCACTACATAAGTGTTAAAGAAAATTTCTTTAGTAAAAGAAATATAATACCAGAAGGAAAATTTGATCTATAAAAAAAGAAATTAAGAGTCCCAGAAATATATAAAAATTATGTAAAATTTTTTTGTTTTTTCTCCTTAAAAGATAATTGATTATTTAAAGCAAAAACAATAAAGTGTTATAGGATTTGTGGCACATGTTAAATGTATGCATTTGAAGTAAAATGTATGATAACGGTAGTGCAAAGACAGAAGAGAAAAACTGACTTCTCCTGCTGTACATTCTTTATACTCTACATAGAGCTGTGATAAGTTAAAGATGTGTATTGTAAACTCTAGATGAAATAAAAATTTAAAAAATAAAAATAAAATTAAGAAGTAAGATGGAACAAGTAGAAAACAAATAGAAAGATGGTGGATTTGATTTTAGTTTTATCAATAATTATATAAATTCAAATAATCTAAACCCCCAGAATTTTTAAAAATGGGAGATAAAAAAACAATAAATATTATGTATTATTTGTTATCATCATTATTTTATAAAGGGACAGGGCATAGATTTGGACAGAAATAGTAAGTTTTACAATAAGAAATGTTACCAGAATTGCATAACATTTCATGATGTTAGAAGGGTCAATTCAACAAGAAGACACAACAATACCAAATATTGCCCAACAATAGAGCTTTAAAATATACAAAGAAGAAATATACAACAGAAAAAAGAAATGGATATATCCCGTTATTGTTGGAGACTGTAGATTCTAACCCATTTTTTTCAGTAACTAATAGAATGAGATAAGAAACCAGCAAAAGGATAGAAGAAAAACAATACTCTTAATCAGATTTACCTGATTGACTTTTCTAAAACAGTCCACTAAACAGCAATATAAAAGACATTGTTAGCAACTGCACATTTAAAACATTCACTAAAATTGATGATAATCTGGGCTATATAAACATGTCTCAGTACATTAAAAAGAATAGAAATCATACACAGTATGATCTCTAAGCACAACTAAATGAAACTAGAAATAAATAATTTCCAAATGTTCTGAAATGAAACAACACACTTCTAAAAATTCCTGAGTCAAGGAGGAAGTCACAGATGAACTTAGAAAGTATTTCAAAGAGAACGAAGATGAAAACAAAAACAGAATATATCACAATTTGTAGGATGCACTTAAAGTAGCCATTTGGGGAAATGTGATAGTATTACATGCTTATATTACAATGGGAAAAGTTCTGAAATTTGTAAATTTCAAATCATTCATGATATGTCAAGTCTTCTCAACTTGTTTTTCTTAAGGACTGTTTTGGCCTTTATTGTGTAGTTTATAAGTTCCACAAAATGTATTGGGAATTTATTGGAATTTTGTCAAACGTATATAATTTTGTCAAACTCAAGCATAATATAAATATGTTTGAGAATTAACATTATTATAAAAGTGAGACATTTAGCCTATGAATGTAGTACATATCACCCCTCATTTTGATGTTATTATTGTACAAAAGTTTTATATTATTGTATATAAAGACTTCGTAAACTATTTTTAAATTTATTCTTAAATTTTACACTTTTCACGAAATATGAAGTTAATCTTATAAATTATTATTTTTAACATTATTGCTGGTGTAAAGAAATACAATTCCTTTGGACAATGAATTCTGTATCTAGTAAACTCATTGAATTTGTTTATTAATTTAATTCATGTACAAATTTTTGGATTTTCTATTTAAATAATCATATTGAATGAAACTACTGCATTTTAATAGTTTCTCATTATTACATTTACATATTTACTCATCTTATTCCTAAACTCAAAGATAATATAGTTCACTCTTTAGTATAAGTACATTATACATTTAGTGTAGTACAGGTACATTATGAAGTGTAATGTTTACTAAAGCTTTTCTGTAAAATCTTTCTCAGGCTAAGAACATTTTTTTTTTTTACTAGAATATAATATTAACAAAACATATTCTAGAAAAGCGTAAAATTTACCAAATATTTAGATTTTTAATTTAAGCATCATGGAGAGAAATGACGCTCTCATGGTTGAAATGCAGAGGCTGGAGGCACAGATGTTCTTAGAGCTGCTATATTGTTTGAATCAACAGTGACGTATATAAGCAAAATTCCACAAAACCACAGATTTAACTGCCATTATTATTCAGAAGTATCTGGTGTTACTTCTGGTGTAACAAATGGACTATTGTTAGGATAAAGAATATCCATATGAAAAAGTGCTTTACATAAAGTAGAAACTTAAATAGTAACATAATCTGGGTACAATCCAACAATAATAATTAGAGCTTTGCTTTCCTGGAATACTATGTGCTAACCCTATTCTAAGGGATTTAGATAGAGATTTCACTGATTTCAAGAGAAACGTTTGTCTACTTGTTCAAATTTTAGTATCTGAAACTGCAATGTATCTTACATTAGATAAGCATAACTTAATTTCAGCATTATTTAATATTAGTGCATTAAAAAGTGTATGTCATTACCAATGGCATTTTAGATTTAGTGACATTTTGTATAATTTCATGAAACACTAGACACTATGGAATCATCTATAGTGTAAGGTCTACAAAAGCAGGAAATTCTATTTTAGTTACTCTTATAGGAGTCACTTGATAAATATATGTTGAATGAGTTGTCCAATGAAATAAATAAAGGCACAGCATTCTAGCATCATTCGAGGGGCAATAGTTCATCCTGTGGCCTCATAACACTTGAGCAATGATGTGGACATCACTTGGAAATGCTCAATTTAATCAGGTATGTTCATAATGAGGGCTTCTCATTTTTCTGTGAAAATACTAAAATATACTGTCTTTAGGGAGGAAGCAAACAATGTAATAAAATATAGAAAAATAGTTAAGCATGATTCAAATTAAAAGCCCTGGAATTTATAAAAATAAGCTTTATTTGTTAGGGAAAAAATTACATTGTGTAACACTCTATTCCCCATGATTCCTAGTAAATAAGACAATAAACCCTTTAAGAAGAACTTTGTCAGAAACAAAGGATCACTATTTCCCGAAGAGCTGCAAAATACCATAGGCCAGAATTAATACAGGTGATAACTGAGGTCATAAAAGCCATTTAGACAAGTTGAGTTGACAATGATCTAAGAAGGGCCAGGCCACTCTCCTGTGCCCCCTCCCTAAGCAGCTGCGCATTGCTTTGCTTTGACAACCTCCTTCCCATGCACCCCATCCCACACCCACAGCCCTGCTTGGAACTCTCCTAAGTTCCAGACTCACGTACTCGGCTGCCTCCTAGAGCCCTCTACCTGGAGACGTCCAGAACACTTTGAGTTCAGTATGCTCACAAGTGAAGTCATAAAGAGCCAAGAGTGCAGGATTGGGGTCAGGCAGCCCCATTTCTTAGTTATGCATAGACTTCTTAGTTTACTTGACCCTCTTCATTTTCAGATTTCATTTCTGTAAAATAGCAATGGGCTTTGTAGAATTGCTTTTAGAGTATTGTAAGATAACTTAGGTAATACCTCTAACAAAGAGTCAAACAGATATTGGACATATAACCAATATCTGGTACCGGCTTTCCCCTCCTTTCACAAGCTTAATGGCAATGCAGTTAAGTCAAGGACCTGGATCAGAATTACGGCATGAGGAACACACTCCATGTTTGTGCACACCCATTCCTGGATGACTTTTCAAGGGTCTTCTCTTTTCTTCCACCTGACAACAAGTTCTCCAACTTCCCTACTTGGAAGTGGCTGCCTGCCATGAGATAATCCCCTTTCTAATTTGTCCTCCCATGAACAATGCACCCAAGGAGTCCTTCCTCTTACTCCATGTCTCCTTGAGCCTGCAGAATGGAGCTCAAGTTTCCTAGAGCAGCCACGGTTCCCGCACCACCTCCCCTTCTGCCTTGTGGGCTGCCAAGCCTGCGTCCACCGTGCGCATGAACTCCAGCATCAGGAAGTTTCATGCGTGTGCCCCGTGCTCCTATCTGGGCTCACGTGAACGTGCTCTTCTCTCTTTCTGAAATGCCCCTTTCCTTTGAGCGATTGTGGAAATCCTCCTCATCTTTTACAACTAGTCTCAGATGCACCCTCCTTCCCGAAGCCTCCTCCGAATGGCCTGTCTACACATGGCCCAAACTTGGTTTCAGATCATTAAAATAGAAGGACAAAAATGAATGGTGTGCAGGGAACACACAGACAGCCTGTGGCATGGTTGGAAGCCGTGGTCTGATCTATGGCGAGTCCTGAGACCACGACTGTTCTATGATTTTTGCTGCAGCCCTGAGAACCCTGTAGGTCTGCTCAGGCATCTTGCTGCTCTTGCGATCGAGCCCTTTGTTTCTCTGCCTATCTTGTTTCCTGCTTTTCACTTTCTTGTTCTCACCTGGCTGATTTGTAAATAATAAAGTAACCGAAGTTAGACAATTCCAGCTACTTAAGATAACTGTGTTTCCAGGGAATCTGTTTCATGTGTAGAGAGGAAAAAATAAGTAGTCACAATCCTGGATTTTCTATGTGAATCAGTTTGCTTAGAGAGCAGCAGCTGTTAAAATATACATGTGATATTTGAGTTCAAACGGGAGCAGAAATTATACTTAGTGTGGGCCAAAGAAAGGCATTTCAATGACAGGGCTCTTTCATCTGGAGTGGCGTGCCTAATTCTGATTTAGAGAAAAGCAGGTCTGATCTTGTGCGGTGGAAAAGGAGGCCTGGGGCTGGGCATCAGAAAATCAGCTTTCAGACACTTCCTCCAGGTTGTAGCTGAGAAACTTGAGGCTCTTTAGTGAGATGAAAAAATAGTAGGCGTCTCATCCAGCACAGAACCATATTGTCACAGTGTACACACAGATGGCTGAAGGCAGAAAACACCACACCAGTTCAGTTCCCCCCAGTGAAACCTATCTTGCCTTGGTGGAAAGAAGTCACCAAATCTGAAGGTTTATCATGAACAGGCAAAAGAGTTTCACTTGTTTTCATGACTCAAAACATTTGGCTTAAACTGCATATCTCTCCATTTTAAATGTAAATTATAATAGGGAAACAGGAGGGAAATATGCAAGATTCTGGAAAACCTGAAGTTTCCATGTTTATCTTTTCTTTAGTTCCTTGCTCTTTAGAGTCAACCAACCCATTCCCTAGATATAGTTATAAAAAATGGCTGGGGTAAGAAAAACAAGTTCGGTGATATTTTTAAAACTGTATGCACAGTCACTTGGAGACCCTTGAATGATGTTAGGAGACTGAGCTTCCCATACTCACTGGGACACACACAGTTGCTCTTGTTTGTAAGAGAGGACGCTTCTGAAGTGTCATTTCCTCTGTTGCTAGTATCGGCCTGCCTTCCCCTTGACCCCTGCCTTGTGGTCACCACTGTATCACATGTCCACACCCTTCCTTGGCTGGGGCCCTGGAAGCCAGGGCATACTGAGTGGGACAGCTGGCAGGGGCTCGGGCTGGTGCGGTCACTGACAAAGAATCCTCCTCCAGCCTGTCAGTGGCAACTCTGCAGCTGTTGGCCCACATACCTGGCATACCTCCATCTCCAGGCAACTGCTGGGTGTGGGCAGGGATCCCAGCAGCACCCACTGGCGTCGGCTGCCTCCCACAATGCCAGCCCCCAGGTAGCCAAGAGGAGTCATCCAGGTGTCGGGGAGAGAAGCTGAGAGAAGCAGCGAGGGCGGTGGTTGTGGGAGAGAGGAGGAAGTTGGGAGGGTCACCCACACACTTACGGAAAGCTTGGTGCAAAGAGAAAGAGACCGCCTTTCAAAAACAGCCCTGCTCTACCATCCTGAACCTAGTCCCGATCATGCCTTGAAAAAATAGATTCCCAAGTGGGTCTTGCCTAAATAATGTAAGTGGACGTGGGAAAAGCACGGACTTGTCAGCAGTTTCAGAAGGTTCCTTGCTGCTGGTGACTTTGGAAAACTCCCTTAACCAGCGTGAGCCTCCATGTCCTCCTCCAGAGCAGGGGACTGTGTACCTTCCCCCAGGGAGGCCTGGAAGGATTTTGTTGGGTTTTCCTGATAAACTCACTCAGTGGATGAAAGGGGGGATGTTTGTAAAGTTGTCATATTTATGTTGAATGTAAGATCACTGAACTCTCACTGATATGCAGAAATCAACCTTAACGAGCGCTATCTGCAACACAAGAGATTTGTTTTCATGAGTACACACCTAGACGATGAACCTGTGCACACGACTTCACACTTTAAAAATGTCTCTTTTTTATCTTGCAGTTCTTTAAATACTAACAAGAATGGTTTTTAAAAGTGTTTTCAAATGTGAAAAAATACATATGACATAAAATTGATCATTAACCACTTAAGATGTGCGCAGGTCAGTGGCATCATGCACGTTGACAGTGCTGTGAAGCCATGACCACCATCCAGCCACAGAACCCTTTCATCTTGCAAAATTCAAACCCTGCACCCACTGAACAACAACCCCATTTCTCCTTCCCTCCAGCCCCTGGCAAGCACCATTCTATTTTCTCTTGCTATACATTTGACTATTCCAGGTACTTTATATTACTTTTAATGGCAAAAACCACAATAACTTCGCACCAACCTAAAATGAGTTGAATCGTGTAGTATTTATTTGTTTGTTTGTTTGTTTATTTTTTTGACTGGCTCACTTCGCTTAGCATAATGTCCATTGTTTATTATCAGCAATTACATTTTAAAATTTCTAATCTTAGAAAAAGAGGCATACTGTTGTCAATGAGAGGTCAGCAGTTTCAGAATATATGAATAGATGACAGACACAATAGACTTAAAAATTACTACCATTCGTTGTGCCAAGAAAACTTGCAAAAGTGTTCTTTCTCTGATGTAAGCATGCCAAAGGTCTGAATGTGTACACATGTATGTTACTTCCCCCACTCCTCTTTTCTTTCATTTTTATCTTTACTTTTTTCTAGGTAAGGACCGATTTTATTGTGGGGTGAAAAGTAACATAGAGCTGTACATTTTAAAGTGACTTGTATTCTCTATGTTAAGCTCAGTAAGTTGCCTCTGCTGCAGGTTGTAGGTATCTGTGTTTAGCCCTGCATACTATCTGCCCATTTCCCCTGCCTTTAGCACAGCTTGCTTCTCCCCATCCCCACAACCCTGCCTAATTCTACTTGCTTTCTTTGACTCACTCATGAAGATTAAGTAGGTACTAAGTAAAATACAAGTATTTTACTTATATCTAAATCTCATGCCTTTTTAACAATATCAATATTACTTTTCTCACTTCAGAGATAAGGAAACTGAGGCTCGAAGATCTTATGTAACTGCCTATAGCCTAGCATCCATCTCAATGGGCGTCAAGAACTAGATCGAGTGTGTTTTGAGACAAATCCCAGAGGCTGCCCTGCACAGGATGTGGCAATCATCACTGCCTTAGTCATCTGACTTTTGGTTTTTGTTTGTGTGCTTGTTTGAGACAAGAGTCTTGCTCTGTCACCCAGGCTGGAGTGCAGTGGCACAATCACTGCCTCCTGCAACCCTTGCCTCCTTGGTTCAAGTGATTCTCCTCCCTCAGCCTCCCAAGTAGCTGGGATTATAGGTATATCCCACCACACCCAGCTAATTTGTGTGTGTGTGTGTGTGTGTGTGTGGTTTTTTTTTTAGTAGAGATGGGGTTTCACCATGTTGGCCATGCTGGTCTCGAACTCCTGACCTCAAGTTATCTGCCCACCTCGGCCTCCTAAAGTGTTGGGAATACAGGCATAAGCCACCATGCCCGCCCCTGACTTTTGCTTTCTATTGGGCTTACCTGTGTATTCTCACACTCTCGGGAGAACTCAACACTCCTGAAGAACACAGCCCATGACTCCTCATTTCTGTCTCCTGGCAAAGGCTAGCACAATATTTTGTGCAAAGGTTTTGCTTTCTTAATGATAAGTGAATGAAATATGGAAAAGTTTTAACATAAAAATATATTCAAGTTAGCATTTTGCCTGAAATTTATACTTAATTACATCTAGGAAATTAAGTGTACATGATCAACATATATGTATATATCATTTTCCTATTTGAGTACTGACAAGATGGAGGAAAGGCAAGGAAAAGCTGGAGAATTTGAAATATGCACGAGGTCATTTCCATTCCAGAAATAGGAGACATAAAGTAGAGGTCGAGATCATTGACAGTGGGCTTTCTCGAGTCGGGTAGAGAAGGGGTCAGTCCTTCTAGAGCTGGATCCAACCATGTGTGGCTCTCTACCCAAGGGTATCCACCTGCTCTCCATTCCCTCATCTGTCCACTGGGGTGCACACAGCACCTCTCATGGGAATTAAAAACGGTGGTGCCTGAGCAGCTTTCAAGGAGCCAGTGGCACTCGCTGCTCAGTGCACATGAGCTAGAGAGGAGTGGAGGCCTCAGCACAGGGCCTGGTACTAACTCGAGAGATATTTGTTGTGCTCTATACCCAGCAGATACTGAGTACATGCTCAATGTTGTCATTATTTTGATAGATATTTTCTTAAATCTGGATTATCATCCTTCAGTTTGGATAAGACAGACAATATTGATGGGTTGGGGTACTTTGTCAAAGAATGTAAAGAAAGATAATGTGAAGAAAGGCAATTTTGTGATTAAAAAGGAAGCTTTATTCTTAGATTTGTTAATAAGTGTCTCTTACTGAATTATTTGCTTATTAGGCAAAACAGTGATATCATTGAATCATTCTAAAATTCCTTCCCTTTTATGTCTTGAGGTTATGAACACATGTAAGGCACCTCACCTGGCATCTGACAAACTCAACGAGACAATGAATGAACCAGAATAAATAATCATCTATTTTTTTTTCTCCCTGAACATTTCTACAGTTGAGACAGTCTTAGAATTTCTCTCTTGCATGCCAGGATATTAGACTGTTGAAATTGAATTCTTTTTTTTTTTTGAGACGGAGTCTCGCTCTGTCCCCCAGGCTAGAGTGCAGTGGTGCGATCTCGGCTCACTGCAACCACCGCCTCCAAGGTTCACGCCATTCTCCTGCCTCAGCTTCCCGAGTAACTGGGACTACAGGCACCCGCCACGACACCTAACTAATTTTTTTGTATTTTTTAGTAGAGACGGGGTTTCACCGTGTTAGCCACGATGGTCTTGATCTCCTGACCTCGTGATCCGCCTGCCTCGGTCTCCCAAAGTGCTGGAATTACAGGCGTCAACCACCGCGCCCGGCTGAAATTGAATTTCTTTCTTTTCACCAACTCGAATTTCTTCTTCTCATGTAAGGTCATCTTACATAAGTGAGACTCCTTTGTTCCCTTTCCCTTAATAACAAGCCTACACGGAGGCGAAGGTGGTGAACGCACCTCTTCTCATCTCAAAACACCCACGTGCTCTTCCATTTTTTTCTAACAAAGAAGGGAGAGGAGGTGACATGAAAACACACCATGGATATTGCTCAGCATTTGTAAAAGCTGAAAGTATCACTTGGTACACAAACTGCTTTTTGCACTACAACCTCCAGAAGAAAGCGAACGCAATTCCCCACCACCACAAATTACAGTCCAGTTTCCCCACATGTGGAAGTAACAGGAGTCAGTCAGCACATACTGAGTACAATGGAGAAATCGCCCCCGAAAAACACCAACTTCATGGCCGTATTTTCTCCTGTTACGTAAGTATGAATGAACGCACCTCCGCCCTGCCACAGCTCCATACGCCTCACCCCTTACACGCACGGTCACTTGCCCCGCGCATTCCCCCACCCCGCCCCCATGCCGCCTCAAGTCCTCCTAGCCCTGACACACAGCTGGGACTATCACGTCCAACCGGAGGTCCTGGACTAGCTCCCACAGCACGAGAAATCTTTCGTGGCGAAGCAGCAGCCCCTGAGCTGCCTCCTCTGCATAGGAATCGCCCTATCTGTGATGTCACCGACAGCGCCTTTCCCGTCCCCGTCTGCTCTTCCGCCCCACCCTCTGCCACTCGGCCGACCAACCAGCTGCGGGAGCGGGCGGAGAAAGTGACACCTGACTCTACCTCCTTTCCCTCCCATCCCCATCCCTGGTCTCTCCCAAAGAAGTAGGTTCTTAGCCTGTGATGCAAAGGACCCCTTTGGCGGCCAGCTGGAGCCTGTGCGCTTTTCTTCAAATAATGGCTTTTAAAGCTCAGACTAGAAAGTTTAGGATTACAAAGAAAAACGGTTCTTTTCACATACGGTTATCCTTGTGATGTAGCATTTCACTTGACATTTGGAAGTCGTTCAATATCAGAGAGAAACCGTATCTATGAAACTGGAGAGGCTGCTCAGATGACTGCAAACCAGCCATCCTTACTTGTTTTATCACTAGGAGTATTATAAAGACGGTCGTCCAGTTTCATGAATCTTGTAGGGTTTTTTTCAGATACAGCAATGTACAAAAATGTGCTGCCCCAGCAGAGCACACTGGACATTCAGGCATGGTGCTGGAGTTTGTCATCTCTTCACTGCCTTCTCTAGACCTTAGCGCTTACCTCATGTTAACACTTTATATGCTGCGAAGACAGAAACACAGTCATCCAAATTTGGCAAAAATATTTGGGAGAAATTTTATTTCAGGTGTTTAACTGATTACTTTTAATATGTAGACTACAACACCAAACTCTGAGAATACTCCACAGACTTATTAATGGTTTCCACCCCCATCTCTGCAAATCTATCAGGCAAGTTTTTCCCGCCCTTTACTTTCATATAAGCTGAGTCACAGTCTGTAGTGGGTTTTGGGGGGAGTGTTACTGCCCAACAGGTACACCCTGCCTGCTGCCTAGACAGAGCCAATTTTTCGACACAGGGGAATTGCAATAAAGAGCTGCACTCTTTATTTGGTGATTGGGGGCCGGTGAATTGAGAGTTCTGCTTGGCCAGGTCGGAGATGAAATCACAGGGAGCTGAAGCTGTGGTCTTGTGCTGGGTCAGTTCCTGCTTGGGGGCCACAAGACCAGCTGAGCCAGGTTATCAGTCTAGCTGGTGCCAGCTGATCCATTGAGTGCAGGGTCGGCAAAATATCTCAAGCACTGATCTTAGGTTTTCCAATAACGATGTGATCTCCAGGAACAATTTGGGGAGGTTTAGAATCTTGCAGCCAGAGGCTACATGACTCCTAAACCATAATTTCTAATCTCGTGGCTAATTTGTTAGTCCGGCAAAGGCAGTCTAGTCCCCAGGCAGGAAGGGGGTTTGCTTCGGGAAAGGGATATTATCATCTTTGTTTCACAGCTAAACCATAAACTAATTTCCTCCCAAAGTTATTTCGGCCTGTGCCCAGCAATCAACAAGGACAGCTTGTACGTTAGAAGCAAGATGGAATCAGTTAGATCAGATCTCTTTCACTGTGGTAATTGTCCCAGTTGTAATTTTTGCAAAGGCGGTTGCAGAAGCAGAGGCATAGGTCTGACTTCTTTCACTCAGTCCTATGTCTATGAATTTTTCATGTTATTCATATGGTTATTTGGTTCTACGTGTATTCCTTTGTAGGAATATACATTAACTTATGTATCTATTCTACTGTTGTTGAACATGTTGACCTAAAAGAAGGAGGCTGAAGCACAAAATATAATTTAGAGTTTACTTGAGTCAACATGAAGACAACTGCCTGGAAGACTCACACCAAGGAAGCTTGGATTTGAGCTCCCTTTGGCCTTTGTCACAAGCAGGTTTTTATTTTTTATTTTTTATTTATTTATTTATTTTGAGATGGAGTCTCACTCTGTTGCCCAGGCTGGAGTGCAGTGGCGCGAACTCTGCTCCGCCTCCCGGGTTCTCGCCATTCTCCTGCCTCAGCCTCCCTAGTAGCTGGGATTACAGGCACCCGCCACCACGCCCAGCTAATTTTTTTTGTATTTTTTTAATAGAGACGGGGTTTCACCGTGTTAGCCAGGATGGTCTCGATCTCCTGACCTCATGATCCGCCTGCCTCGGCCTCCCAAAGTGCTGGGATTACAGGCGTGAGCCACCGCACCCTGCCCACAAGCAGGTTTTTAAAGTTCAAAAGCAGGGACAGACAGTGGGCTGATAGGTGCCTATCAGGAATTCTCATTGGTTTACAGAAATAACATTGCTTGGTGATTGGCTATATGTTGTTAAGTTATAGGGTATGGGGGTATAGGGATTGGTGTGGCATTATTAGGTTAATTTACAGCTACTTGAGGCAATAGCAAGCAGTTTCAACGGATGAATACATAGCTCAGCGCAGCTCAAAAGGAAGGAGCGGAAAGTGGTTGCTGTCTCGATTTAACGTCTCTCTGGGCCTGATCATTTGAAAGGGCTCACATTCCTCAGATAAAAAGTTTTTTTAATCTTTCTTCTTGAAAGCATCGATGATCAAAAGCTAAGTCAAGGGTGTCCCTCTTTGCCAGAAAGGTTCATTCCCGGATAGTCCTGTCCCAAGCAGGGGACAGGGGAGGAAAGAAGCCACCTCACTGAGGAATTTTTAAGAATGCCCAAAAGTCCAATTGAAAGGGCATTACAGCCAGGCATGGTGGCTCACACCTGTAGTCCCAGCACTTCAGGAGGCCAAGATAGGTGGATTGCCTGAGTCCAGGAGTTCAAAACCAGCCTGGGCAACATGGTGAAACCCCATCTCTACAAAAAATACAAAGTTAGCCAGGTGTAGTGGCACACACCTTAGTCCCAGCTATTCAGGAGGCTGAGGTAGGAGGACTGCTTGAGCCTGGGAGTTTGAGGCTGCACTGAGCTAATATCACACCACTGCACTCCAGCCTGGGTGACAGAGTGAGACTCGGTCTTAAAAAAAAAAGGGCATCATAGAGTGGCAAAAAAAAAAAAAAAAAGAGAGAGAGAGAGGGGCCTCAGTTAAGTCTACAGCTGCTGTCACTTATTGAATCATCTCTACTCTTCAGAATACCATGAAATTAGTTTTCCCAGAAGTAAAACGATGAGAGATACATAACAATAATGACATTGCACTTCATCATTCCATGCCCTTCGACATTTATAGGGCCATGGATGGTGATCTTTTCAAGAGACAAAAATAAACGCCGAACAGGTAAGTGCGCTATAATTTGAGTACATCAGCTTTTGGGCATTTAAACCATGGGTCAGAAATGTAGAGCAAGAGGGCAGGTTGGATCCTGATAGCAGGAGGGAGTGTTTTTCTTTTAACTTTCCAGTGGCATCATGGTGTTAACCACTGTTATTTCAGAGTGAAGAAACAATTTTTTGTTTGGTTGGTTTTGTACTTTTTATTTTTATTATAATTACTTTTTAAGACAAGGACTCTGTCTCCCAGGCTGGAATTCAGTGACAAGATCACAGCTCAGTACAGCCTTGACCTCTTGACCTCCAAGGCTCAACGGCTCATCCTCCCAAGCAGCTGGGACTACAGGCACACACCACCACACGCAGCTTATTTATTTATTTTTTGAGACAGGGTCTCACTCTGTTGCCCAGGCTGGAGTGCAGTGGCGTCATCAGGGTTCGCTGCAGGCTTGAACTCCTTAGCTCAAGTCATCCTCTCACCTCATGCTCCTGAGTAGCTGGGACTACAGGTGGGCACCACCACACCCAGCTAATTTGTATATATTTTATAGAGTCAGTGTTTCACCATTTTGCCCAGGCTAGTCTCAAACCCCTGTGCTCAAGTGATCCTTCTGTCTTGGCCTCCCAAAGTGCTGGGATTACAGGCAGTTATTTTGACAATACGATTACGATGGGTTAAACTGAGACGTGCGGCAGGAAGGTTAGGGTGAGTCAGACAGATTAGATAAACAGGTTTTGCTTGATATGACCCTGAGTTGCATCGTGAGTGCAATCAGGAGGAATACAGGTGAAATTTAGCACAGGATGTACCAATGGGTCATTATGGTCAAAAGTGGTTTGTGGTTTTGAGTGGCAAACCTGGAACCTTGTCAAATTTCCCACAGAGGTAATGGTTTGTGAGATTCTAATCAGAGAATTATCCCTCCCTGCTGTAATCAAATTAATTAGGGACAGTAAAACAGAAATCTGATCACAGGTATTCTGCTATGTATGTATGTATGTATATGTATATACACATACACGCAAGAGGAGTAGTGTGTCATATCTTAAGAGAATATGCATATAGGGTGATTTTACCAAAACCACCAAGAGACAACCCCTACAACTTAAAGGAGCCCTAATGGTGTATGTATTCCAGTCAG
Organism: Homo sapiens; assembly: GCF_000001405.40. Classification (NCBI taxonomy): domain Eukaryota; kingdom Metazoa; phylum Chordata; class Mammalia; order Primates; family Hominidae; genus Homo; species Homo sapiens. The sequence goes on along the minus strand of NC_000001.11, from coordinate 146,405,405 downwards.
CAAAAAAGAGACTAACTCTCTCAGGCACGGTCAGCACTGGAATTGTAACTGATTATACAGGCCAATATCTTGGGTGAAAGCGGACTACACCAGATGTCAGCTACTTGCCATCTCTGTCAGGAAGATTGTGAGTTACCTCTAAGTGAAAATCTCCACTGACAGATGTCCACTCTGGTAGGGTTGCCTTTTACAAGAGAAACATGAATCCATGTGTCAACGCCCTTAAGTTTACTGGCCTAGATTGGTCAGTAATACCTGTCGTCAGTTAGGTGCAGTGGCCTATGCCTGTGGTCCCAAATATTTGGAAGGTTGAGGCAGAAGGGTGGCTTGAGCCCAGGAGTTCAAGGCTACAATGAGTCATGATTGTGCCACTGCATTCTGGCTTGGGGAATAGAATGAGATCCCATCTCAAAAAAAAATATATAAAGTAATAATAATAGCTGATGTGGTCCCTTCCAACAGTCTTGGGGAGAATATTTTATTTGATGTTGTTTCCAGTAAACAACAACATCTCCAGGTTATAGGCCAAGATTTTTGATATTTTCATCTCCCAGGAGTTCATTATGAATGGAATTCTTTGTTAATGTAGAGTTCTTAGTAAGTTCTGTGAGATCTTAGCAGTAATGGAGAATGTCACCTTTAAGAAGTGCAGATTCATAAGCGCCTTCATCTAACCACTGCAAGGGTCTTCCTGTTATTATTTCAAAGAGGGAGAGTGTGGACATTTTCCACAACCAGTGGGAGATCCTTGTCCAAGAAAGGTTAAAAACTTCTGTTAGCTTTGCCAATTGAGTTTTTATTGTATCATTAGTGCATTCCATCGGCCCAGAGGATTAGGGGTGACAGGCACAATGGAAATGTTGGGACTTAGGCAAAAATGTTACAAATGGATCAAATTACCTGACCAACGAAGTGTGTTCCTCGGTTTCTATGGAGTTCAGATGGCACCCCCCATGAGGAATTACCTTTTCTAATCACAATCTACCTACTACTTGGGCTGTGGCTCATCGGCATGGAAATGCTCACCCCAGTGAGCATATACAAATTAGCACCAGAAAGTATCTGTGACCCTGAGATGGAGACAGCTGGATAAAGTCTAACTGCCATTTCTCGAAGGGTCCCAAAGGCAAAATGTCCCTGTGACCCATGAAGGGGTTTTCCAGGATTATGTTTGGGACAGACAGTATGGCAAGACTAAACATTTTCTGCAATCATAGGCAATGATTTTCAATACCATTGCTTTCCCCATGCCAACATTTTGTCTGAATTCCAATGAGTCAGCTTATGAAGTACTGTAAAAGGGTAATTGAAGCCTAAGGGATAGATCAGTGTATCATTGGGCCCATACCATATGACTGTTTCTGGAAGAAATTTGTTCCCTTTATCCTTCCAGAGATCCCTCTCCTGCTTGGGAGCTCCTACTTATGCTTCTTTTTTTTTTTTTTTTTTTTTTTTTTTTTTTGCCAGAGTCTTGCTCTGTCACCCAGGCTGGAGTGCAGTGGTGCAATCTCACCTCACTGCAACCTCCGCCTCCCAGGTTCAAGCAATTCTCATGCCTCTGCCTCCCAAGTAGCAGGGATTATAGACATGTGTCACCACACCAGCTAATTTTTGTATTTTTAGTAGAGACAGGATTTCACCATGTTGGCCAGGCTGGTCTCAAACTCCTGACCTCAGGTGATCCGCCAGCCTTGGCCTCCCAAAGTGCTGGGATTACAGGCATGAGCCACCATGCCCAGCCCACTTGTACTTCTAATGAAGTCTTCAATGGGTCATAAGTCAGCAAGGTCATTTCGAGGAGTTCTGTGTCTGATGTCACCTTCAGAGCTGCATTCTTAGCTGCAGCATCAGCAAAATGATTGTCCTTGCTCTCCAGAATGTCTAATTTTGAATGAACACGAATTTTGATGATGGCCAAAATTTGGGTCTTCAAATTGCTTCTAAGAGGTCAGAGATTTATTGGTCATTTTTGATGGCTTGACCTGATGAAATCAGATACCTATGTTGCTTCTAAAGCATTCCAAAATCATCACCTACTCCAAATGCATCTCTGCTCCCAGTGTAAATGTTAGGCTGAGGTGGAAGGATTGATTGAGCCCAGAAGTTCATTCAGGTCCAGCCTGGAAAACACAGCAAGATGTCCTCTCTACAAAAAAAAAAATCAAAGAATTAGCTGGGCATTGTGGCATGCACCTGTGGTCCCAGCTACTCGGGAGGCTGAGGTGGGAGGATTGCTAGAGCTGAGAGGTTGAGGATGTGGTGGGCCATGATGGAGCCACTGCACTCCAGCCTGGGTGACAGAGTGAGGCCCTGTCTCAATCAATCAATCAATAAATCTTAACCACTTAAAATACCAATGACAGATTTGCTTGGCCTTTTAAGTGCATTGCTGAATTCTCCCATCTACATTTTTGGGAACAACCTGGGGAATGGCAACATGGAGGTATTTGGCCAAAATGCAGACCCTTTCATTGTCTGCTTTAGTCTGTTTTTAAAAATCCTCTAAAGAATTATTCCAATTCGCCCTTTTCAACCATTTAGTGGCCCTGCCTTCTTACACCACATGTGAATTAATTGATAAAAATCAGAATATTCGGGCTAAAAGTTTGGACAATTAAGTCAAATTTTCTCCCAAACCCTATAGGATCTTGGAGGCTGCTTTAGAATTAGAAGGGGAAATTGATTTAAATTTCGATCAGGGAAGTCTTTTTTATTTTTTATTTATTTATTTATGTATTTTGATACAAAGTCTTGCTCGGTCACCCAGGCTGGAGTGCAATGGTGCAATCTTGGCTCACTGCAACCTCCACTTCCCGAGTTAAAGCGATTCTCCTGCATCAGCCTCCCGAGTTGCTGGGATTGCAGTCATGTACCACCATGACCGGCTAATTTTTGTATTTTTAGTATAGACCGGGTTTCACCATGTTGTCCAGGCTGGTCTCGAACTCCCGACCTCGTGATCCGCCTGTCTAGTCCTCCCAATGTGCTGGGATTACAGGCATGAGCCACTGCGCCCGGCCCAGGGAAGTCTTTTATAATATTCTTAATTCACATTTTGGTGAAGCAGTATACAGAATGGTAGGCTCCCCTCTTCCTGTGGAAGCCCCTACCTTGAAAGGGGCTGTCAGAACAGAAGTTTCAGGGGAGGGGCTAGAGCCCTGGGGACTTTCCTCAGGTGATGGTGATGGAAGAAGAGGCAAGGCAGGACCGGAGGGCTCAGGTAAGGGAGACTATGCAGGTGCAGGGGCAGGAGGAGAAGGAGCAGTTGGAGGCAAAAGAGACAAAGCCTCCTCAATATTTCTCAATTCAGAAAACGTGTCAGTTTACCTCCTTCAGCTTACTTCCTCACTGGAGGCAATTTTCGCAGTTCTTTTAGAAATTTCTAGGTATTATTGGAAGTAAGTCTCCCATTTAATTTGGTTCTAAAACCAAATTTTTCCAATTGTGCACACTAATAAATTATTTTAAGCATTTCAAAATATCCCCATTTTCTTCATTCTGCTTATGAGTTTTCCTGGTTAGGTGGGCCCAGTTTCTTGGATATTTACAAGAGGACGCTTCATAAGTGTTATACATAAACCCAGCTGATGTTTCTAAAGGTGGTTGTTTCTTCACAGTGTGCTAAATTTTGAAGCTTGATTTCCCATAATTCAGGAGCTTTTCAGATGACCAAGGCCTGTGATGTGTTTTGGGTCACAGTGTGGTGCTTATGAAGTCACTCTGACAGATAACACCGGAGTTGTGTATCGCTGTCTCAGTGGTTCCCACTGTTTCTAACCACCAGGTGGCCACAGAGTGCATGTGCTATGAGGGACCCGTCCGACATATACCCTCCCAGAAGAGCAGGAAAGGGGGTTCATAAAGATGTTCTTCTGATGGGGAGTGTCCTATAAGGCCACCTTCACATGGTGAGTAATGACCCCAACACCTCTGCAACATCCCCGATCACTTGGAGCACCTGAATGGATCAGCGGGAGCAGATCACTTCTTTTCTTCAGGGCAGGGGAATGCACCTCCATGCGCTTTCCAGTTAAGAACTAACAGGAATTAGTCACAAATGAAAAGCTAAGCCTGAATGTTCAAAACAACATGCTACATAAAATGACACCACCAGGGCCTACCTGCCAATACCTTGACCCAGAACTTCCTGCTGAGGAACAGAGGCAGGAAAGGCAGAAGCTCTCTGGAGAGCTCTTTGCCTGACTGTGACCCAAACTTTCTGTCCTGATGCAGAGGTGGAAAAGGCAGTTATTTCCCCCTGAGACTCAAACCTCTTACCCACAGGGTAAAGACAGAAAACCTCCATTCTAGAAAGGGAGAGCTGGAAAGGACACTCAAGCAAAGTCCAGGCCTTCAACCAAAGAGTGGGAAGGTCCAGATTTCAGGAGGATTCCCCACTTACTACTGCCCAACTGTTTCTCTCAGAGTCCAAACTCGAGGGCTTCAGAGCTGGCCAGGCACCCAGTCCAGGAGGAATGTGGTGTGATCTGAGAGATGAAAATACATGCCCCCTTATAGACTAAGACAGACTGTAAGGTTAAGGAAACAAAAGTTAGCTACAGGTCCAGGGTTCAGGGCTCATCTGGCATGGCAACGTCCTGAATTCCTATGGCTACAGGAAAAAACACACTGTTGCTAAACTCCTTAACAATAGGGGCTAGCAAGCAAACTGTCAAAATCTTCCCAGCCCTTCTCAACTGGATTTACAACCCAGATCACTAGAGCTCTGATGGGACAGAGGAGTGGCCTTCCATTCTTTCCCGATAAGCAACTGCAGATATCAAGCCAGTTTCAGCCATGTTACAGGGACTGCACACAAACTGACTTCGTGTCCAGTAGTTCACCTTTTGACATAAACAGCCAATTTCCACCTCATTTTAATGCTAAAATCCCTTCCCAATGTGAAGATGGGGTGCATGTTACATATATGTTTACCCGTTGCACATGAGCTCAATACCCCTCAGAAATGGCGTTTCCCCAAACCTGCTGAATATGTATGACTCTATTGTGTGATACACACCCTGTGAGGCACAAAAACCAACCTGCCCTCTCTCTCTCTCTCTCTCTCTCTCTGAAGAGAAAGCACCTCTTCAAAGACACACACCAGAGACTGTCTCTTCCCGGACTGCAAACTGATCTCACCAATAAAATTCTACCTACTATGTAGCCACCCTGGAGGCCTTTGAGAGGACGGTCAGATGGTCAGAGATAAGTTGCTCTGAATCCTGCTCCCAGGGCCAAAAACATCGACCTAGAAGGAAGGGGCTTAAGCACAACATATGATTTAAAGAGTTTGTTTGAGCCAGTGTGAGGATAGTTGCCCAGAAGGCTCAGAGCCAAGCAATCTTGGATATGGGTTCTGTTTGGCCTTTGTTACAAGCAGGTTTGTAAAGACCAAAAAGGGAGACAGGGAGTTGGCTGGTAGAAAGTTGCTTGTCAGGAACTCCCAGTGGTTTACAGAAATAACATTGATTAGGGATTAGCTATACATTGTTCAGCTACAGGGAATGAGAGATGGTGTCCAGTGCACGTGATTAGGTTACTTTATAGCTAACTGTGGCAATAGCAAGCAGTTTCAGTGGATGAATACATAGCTCAAAAGTGGGGAAGTGGCCGGTGGTGGTCATAATTCACATTTTGGTGGGCCAAGTTGGGCAGATCACCTTAGGTTAGGAGTTTGAGACCAGCCTGGCCAACATGACGAAACCCTGTATCTACTAAAAATACAAAAAAAAAAAAAAAAAAATAGGGGAGCATCGTGGTTCGCGACTTCAGTCCCAGCAACTCGGGAGGCTATGGCAGGAGAATTGCTTGAACCTGACTGGAGGAGGTTGCAGTGGGCCAAGATCCTGCCACTGCACTCCAGCCTGGGCAACAGAGTGAGACTCCATTTCAATACAATAAAAAAAATTTTTTTAACTTAAAAGATTTTAGAAAGCAGGAAGTAGGATGTGGTTGCTGTCTCATTTTAATGCCTAGCTCTGGGCATGCTAAGTTGAAAGCACTCATTTTCTTCACATGAAAAAGTTCTTTTCTTTTCTTTTTTTTTTTAGAGACACACTCTCACTTACTGTGCCACCCATAAAGTGAAGTGGCATCATCTCTGCTCACTGCAACCTCCACCTCCAGGGATCAAGCGATTCTCAAGCCTCAGCCTCCCAAGTAGCTGGGATTACAGGTGCCAGCCACCATGCCTGGCTTATTTTTGTATTTTAGTAGAGATGGGGTTTCACCATGTTGGCCAGGCTGGTCTCGAACTCCTGACCTCAGATGATCCACCTGCCTCGGCCTCCCAAAGTGCTACGATTACAGGCGTGAGCCACCATGCCCAGCCAATACCATTAATTTAATCTACAGCTAAATCTATTATTTTTTCATGTTACAAATTCAACAAGAAAATTTTTCCCTAATGAAACATCACATTTAAAGCATAAGTAGAATTAAAAAATGTAATAGACAGTGTCTTGCTGTGTCATCCAGGTGAGAGTGCACTGGTGCAACCACAGCTGACCAACCTGGAACTCTGGGCTCAGGCAGTCCTCCCAGCTCAGCCCGCCTTTTAACTTCTTAGAGATGGCATCTTGCCCTGTTGCCCAGGCTGGTCTCCAACTCCTTGCCTAAAGCAATCCTCCCACATCAGCCTCCTGATTTTCTGGGATTACAGGTGTGAGTCAACCAGCCTGGCATTGCAGGAAAAAAAAAAAGTCAAGAAATTATTCTTCATTTTCTTTTATTTTGAGTTGAGGTCTTACTCTGTCACCCAGGCTGGAGTGCAGTGGTACAATTATAGTTCACTGCAGCCTGGATCTCCTGGGCTCAAGCGATCCTCCTGCCTCAGCCTCCCAAGCAGCTGGGACTACCAATGTGAGCCACTGTGCTGGCTAGTTTTTTAAAATCAGCTCATTTTTAAATTTGTAGAGACAGGGGTCTCACCATATTTCCCAGGCTGGTATCAAACTCCTGACTTCAATCCTTCTTCTCTCCTCAGCTGCCTAAAATGCTAAGATTACAGGTGTGAGCCACCACACCCTGCTTAATTTCCATATTTTAATTTTATATACGTAATTATTACTGTCCTTAAGATAATTGGGGCAGTAATCTCTTTAAAGTTTTAGAGACTTAATTTATCTATTCACTCCACTGGAAGAGTATGCCAATTGGTTTCATAAGAAAATATATTTATAAATCAGAAAATTTCTTTCCACCAATCTAGGGGGCATTCGAAAGCAAATAATTGTGTTAAGTAACATCGTTTAAAGTGAAAACAGATGCAATGGTATTTATTAACAAGGCTTATCAGTGAGCGAAACAAACTGAAAAAAGGAACATCATTAGATCCTTGGAAAACCCTCAGTGCTGAAAATCTGAGTGATTCTGTGATACCCTTTTGAGTCTGGCAGGGCATTCTCTTTCCCCAGCATATAAAAGTGAGTAAATCATTTCTTTTCATCCATTTTCATTAAGAGCTGAACTTCCTTGATGTTCTGGAGATTATTAAATTTGATTTGTGGCCAGGCGCAGTGGCTTACGCCTGTAATCCTAGCACTTTGGGAGGCCAAGGTGGGCAGATCACTTGAGTTCAGGAGTTCGAGGCCAGCCTGGCCAACATGGCCAAACGCCATCTCTACTAAAAATACAAAAATTAGCCAGGCATGGTGTCACACGCCTGTAATCCCAGCTACTCAGGAGGCTGACGCACAAGAATCACTTGAACCCGGGAGGCCAAGGCTGCAGTGAGCCAAGATTGTGCCACTGCATTCCAGCCTTGGTGACAGAGCGCGACTCTGTCTTAAGCAAAAAAAATTTTTGATTTGTATAGTTGTGAGAAGTGCTTATGTTGCTGACTCCATTGCTTATTTGTGATCATATAAATCTCTTTTCCCCTTTCTGTAGTGTGATTTAAACTTAATCCTTAAAGGACATGTGTTTCAGCTGGTTAGAGGTTTTTAGCTACTAGAAACCTGAGTATACGAATCAAAGAAAACTGCTCCTTACCTGCCACAGACTTAGTTTTCTTTCTGTACTAAGATTTCTTTCAGGTATAGTAATTTGTTAAAGCCAAGAGCTCCTATGGAATGAAGTTAGGTGGCGGGAGTGGGTGGGGCATTGAGTAGTAAGATCGTCCTTATAATAGAGATGCCGCTCTTGCAGATATTGACAGCTATCGGGCCCAAAAAATTGTTACCAAACATTGGAAAGACAAGATATGAGCAAATTCTGATTGCTGCAGTCTCAAATATCAAGAAATACCATTATCCTCAGGACAATGAATAGACAATCAAAAAAGACTCACAGACTAGATTAGCTGTCATGTATCACCAAACACCTTGTCAAACACCACCCAACAGAGATTGTCCCCAGAAATTCATTTCATAACATCAAAACCAGAAACCCACACTGATGCCACTGATGGCAGAAAACAATGATGCAAGAAAGAGAGAGAGGGAGATAGAGAAAGGAAGGACTTGCCCAATGACCATACTTAGTATATAAAAGCAAAACAGCTCAATTTCTGCTCATGAGAACAAGAACTGAGGGAACAAGAACCAGTGGCTCTAAGGATCCAGGTCTGCACCAGGGGCCTGTTAGGTGCAGGATTCTGTTGGCTCCAATGATGGGTGTCAGATGGATTAATTTTTATGGACATAGCCTCTGAAAGAAATCAGTCGAGGAATAATACAGAGACACTTGTCTGCATGCTCATTCTCCATCAATATAGAAGAGGAACTGGCATTAGATTGTGTTCATCAAATAAAAGTAAAATCAACATTTATAAAGAAAAGAGGAAAGGGGAGGAGAAAAAAATGACTGGGACCATTGTGATTTTGCTCCCTTTGGATAAGCAACTTGGCAGAAAGCTATCAAAGAGGTCACTATGACCTGTCTTCTCCGGACCAGTGTGACTTGGTCACCACAGCAAACAATTACAGGCTGGGCACAGTGGCTCATGCCTGTAATATCGACACTTTGGGAGGCGGCGTGGGCGGATCACTTGAGCTCGCAAGTTGGAGAGTAGCCTGGGCAACATGATGTAACTCTGTCTGTACAAAAAATACAAAATTTAGCCAGGCATGGTGGTGTATGCTAGTAGTCCCAGCTACTCAGGAGGCTGAGGTGGGAGGATCACCTGAGCCTGGGAAGGTTCAGGCTTCAGTGAACCATGATTACACCACTGCACTCCAGCCTGGATGACAGAGTAAGACCATGTCTCTAAAATAAATTAAGTTTGAAAAAGAAACAGGGCCAGGCACGGTGGCTCACACATATAATCCCAGCACTCTGGGAGGCCAAGATGGGAGTATCACTTGAGCTCAGGAGTTCGAGACCAGCCTGGGCAACATAGTGAGACCTCATCTCTAAAGAATACATATATATTTTAAAATAAACATATATAATAAAATATATACTATATTTTATTATACATAATATATAATTGTATATATTTATTATCATATAATTTTAATAAAATATGTATATATTTTATTATGTATAATAAAATAAAAAGAAACAATTACAGATGTTGGAGGACTTTAAAATATCTCAGCCAGGTGCAGTGGTTCAGGCTGGTAATCCCGGCACTTTGGGAGACTGAGGCAGGAGGATCACTTGAGCCCAGGAGGCTGAGGCTTACAGTGAACTATGATCATGCCACTGCACTGCAACCTGGGTAACAGAGTAAGACTCTATCTCAAAAAATAAAATAACATGTCTTAGAAGTTTAGCTGTCCATCCTATGCAACTGAATATCCGTGTGTAATGTCCACCATGTCCTTCTGTTTTACCTCCCCCTTACTTAAACCGGAAAGGCACTTGTCCCCATATTAGAATATCATTGGCACATGGCCGGGCATGGTGGCTCATGACTGTAATACCAGCACGTTGGGAGGCTGTTCAGGAGTTTGAGACCAGCCTGGCCAACAAGATGAAACCTTGTCTCTACTAAAAATACAAAAATTAGCCGGGCGTGGTGGTGCAGGCTTGTAAGCTGAGATCACTCCACTGCACTCCAGCCTGGGCAACAGAGCAAGATTGTGTCTCAAAAAAAAAAAAAAAGGAAAGAAAAGAATATCATGGGCACATGTATAGAAAGTTTGTTAGGCCAGGTGCAGTGGTTCACACCTGAAATCCCAGCACTTTGGGAGGCCAAGGCAGGCAAATCTCTTGAGCCCAGAAGTTGGAGCTCCTGGGGGCAACCTGGGCAACATAGCAAGACCCTATCTCTAAAAAAAAAAAAAAAAGTTGGATTTGATGGTGCACACCTGTGGTTCCAGCTCTTCCGGAGGATCACTAGTGCCAGGGTGGCAGGGGCGGTGAGTTTGCAGTGAGCTGAGATCACGCCACTGCACTCCATCTTGGGTGACAGAGTGACACCTAGTCTCAAAACAAAAAGTAGGGGAGGGGAGAAAATTTGTTGTGTCAGCAAGTAAATGAAGAAAGGGACATTATTAGAGTTGAGAAATAAACTGGAATGTGATTTGGTACCTCTCCCGCAGAAGATAAGTTTGCTAAATGTGCTGAAATTAGAAGCATTGTATAAGGCCCTGTGCAGTGGCTCATGCCTGTAATCCTAGCACTTTGGGAGACCTCGGAGGTGCCCGAGCCCAGGAGTTTGGGGACCACCATGGGCAACATAATGAAACCCTTTCTCTACAAAAAATACAAAAGTTAGCTAGGCCTTTCGGATGCGACAACTAATTGTGCCACAGAGACACAACCCGAGTGGCTTAGGACTCTGGGAAGATATAATCTCCCCCGTTTATCTAGTGATCGATAATGCATGAACGCTTTAAAAGCTGGAATAGGCGGCCGGGCGCGGTGGCTCACACCTGTAATCCCAGCACTTCGGGAGGCCGAGTCGGAGGGACCACGAGGTCAGCTGATCCAGACCTTCCTGGCCAACAAGGCGAAACCTCTGTTTCTACTAAAACACAAAACATTAGCTGGGCGGGGTGGCGCGCGCCTGTATTCCCAGCTACTCCAGAGGCTGAGGCAGGGGAATCGCTTGAACCCGGGAGGCCGAGGTTGCAGTGAGCCAAGATCGCTCCACTGCACTCCAGCCTGGCGAAAGAGCAAGACTGTGTCTCAGGGAAGAAGAAAAACAAAACAAAACAAAACAAAACAAAACACCTGGAGCAGGCGTCCCTCAGTGGGCTCTAACCACCAAACTTTAGATTAACAGCCAAACGCGCTAACCGATTGTGCCACAGAGACACGTAGTGTACCTTCTTCTGGGCGCTGTAGGAAGGGTGCACTCACCAAACACTCCCCAACCCTCCCATCCTCAGAGCCCACCCGGCAGTACAACTGTGAAAGGCCTTGGAAAACTGGAGCGATGAGAGCGGTGAATCGTGTTGGTCTCATTGGAGACCCGCAGATTGGGAGATTCTGGAACCAGGACGACCTTGCCCCTCACCTGCAGCAGAAGCCCCCGGAAACGCCCGGCCCCGACCCGGACCTGAGCCGCCTGGGGGCCCAAGGGAAGCTGAACGCCCGGTGGGCTCCCGCGATGGTTCTTTGTGCCGCCTTGACCCAGTGAGGCAGCCTGTGCCCACCCTGCCCAGTCACTTTTGAGGCCGCTGCGGAACTTCCGCTGCCATCTTCGGATCCTGTGTCCCGCACGGGGGCTCCACCAGGGCAGGGATGGTGGTGAGGGTGGCTCGTGGGTCCCCTCGCGGAGAGCAGGGTCTGGCACTCACCAGCGCGCACGACGACTAGGACTTGTTGAATTAATCCATCGTCACCTTCAGCTTTTAGTCCTTTGAAGAGCCCCGAAAATGGAAATCATGAAATATTTTACCATGGGGAAGTTTTGATTTGTTTTTGAGACAGGGTCTCGCTAGGTCGCCCAGGCTGGAGTGCAGTGGTGCAAACACGGCTCACTGCAGCCTCGACCTCCCGGGGCCATCGTCGCCTTTAGCTTTTAGTCCCTTGAAGAACCCCAAGAATAGAAATCATGAGATTTTTCCATGGGGAAGTTCTTTTTTCAAAGCGTTTATTCACGTTGATTTCTAGGCATCCCCCGGGGAGGGCAACGGGCAGGGCCTCCAGTGCACCTTCTGCGCGGTGGAGCCGCGGGGGCTCAGCTGCGCAGTGGTAGGGTCCTGGGGCGGGAGGGCAGGAGGGAAGGGAAAAGCAAAAGCGGGGAAAGAAGCCGGGGAGCGGTGGAACACACATCCAGACCTCCTGAAAGGCTCGTGCAGAGGCACAGGCTGGATCTTCTGGAGGTGAGAATTGTTTTTTGTTGTTGTTGTTGTTGAAGCAGAATGGGGAGGAACTGAGGGGAAAATTCAGAGAGAACATGAAAGAGCTCCAAACGCGAGGACCTATAACTCCCCAAGAATAACATCTTCCAGAAGAACTAGACAGAAAACTGGGTGTCTGGGAACCCTGAAATCCCTGGAGGAGTAGCATCATCATGACCCTCTGTGTTCCTTTTGGCGAAAGGACTTGCTTCCCTTGTTTGTACAATTGTTTGTGTTTGTTAAATAAATAAAACCCTTTTCATATATCTTTGAAAGTACATTGGCTCTATTATTTTATGATTACAAACAATGCTGCAGTCATCATTCTTGTACACTTCTCATTGGCCACTAGTGTATTTCTATAGGGTAGAGGCCTGGAGAGCAGTTGCTCCAGCACAGTGATTACATGGTTTTTATATCATTCCATGTTCTTCTTCCCTTTGTTGGCTTATTAGCTATAACTCTTTCTTTCTTCTTGTCCACCTCATCCCCGACTTCTTTCCCTGCTTTTGCTTTTTCAGTGATGGCTTTAGGGTTTCCAGAATACATCTTTATCAGTGCCATCTAGTGACATTCTACCTCCCCTTCTGGCCATTATGCTGGTGTTGTCATGTAATTTGGTTTTAGACATGTTATAAACCCCACAATCCATTATTATTGCTTTTGTTTAATCGGTCAAATTATTTTAAAAGATTTAAATAAGAAGAACATATATATTTAACTGTGTACATACCGATTTCCAGTAGTCTCCATTTCTTTGTGTAGATCCAGTTTTCTGTCTGGTATCCTTATCCTTAGGCCTGGAGGACTCCCTTTGCATTTCTTGTCGTGTGGGTTGCTGAATTCTTTCTTTCTTTTTTTTTTTTTGTATGTCTTTAAATGTCCTTATTTCAATCACATTCTTGAAAGATTTTTCATTTTGGCATAGAATTCTAGGAAAACTTTATTTCTTTCAGTACTTTAGGATGTTGCCACTTTGTTTTTGTAAAACTGGCATAAAGCGGGCTTCTTGTACTTGTTATATAATTTTTGGAATGTGTATTTAAATTAAAAACATTAAAATGGGCTGGACAAGGTGGTGCACGCCTGTAGTCCCAGCACTTTGGGAAGGCGAGACAGGAGGATCGCTTGAGGCCCAGAGTTGGAGACCAGTGTGGGCAAGGCAGCAAGACCCTGTCTCTCTGTCTCTCATATATATACATACACATATATATATATATATGTATATATACATATATATATACACACACACATATATATATACACACACATATATATACACATATATATATACGCGCTCATGTGTATGTATATATGTGTGTATATATATGTTCATATATATGTATATATGTGTGTGTATATATATATACATATACACACATACATACATACATCGTGAATGTCCTAGATTCATCCTAAGTTCCACCAACAGTACACTTAAAGTAAAATGTGCCGAACCTGAGGGTCAAACCTACCTGCTGACGTGTAATTTGTGTTTGTGAGACATTCTCAACAGCATTTGCTTTCCCCTAGCATAGTGGTTTTCGTGTTTTCCTCACATCTGAATGTCTTCAGTGCAAAACCTGTCAGAATTCATTTCCTTTGCCGAAAGATTCTAAAATACTTTCTTTTTTTTTTTTTGAGATCAGCGCACTGCAACTTCCACTTCCCAAGTTCACAGGATTCTCCTGCCTCAGCCTCGTGAGTAGCTGGGACTACAGGCCTGAGCCAACACAGGCGGCTAATTTTTGTATTTTTAGTAGAGACGGAGTTTCACCATGTTGGCCAGGCTGGTCTCAAATTCCTGACCTCAAGTAATCTGCCCACCTTGGCCTCCCAAAGTGTTGGGATTACAGGCGTGAGCCACCTTGCCCAGCCTAAAATACTCTTACTTCAAGCAAAAGTGCATTAAAAACTAACTTCTCAGTTGCATCCCTGGAATCCATAGAAAGCCCGGGAGAGACAATCAAGTGCTACAGGATCAAGCGCTAAACAGGGGAGGACAAAGCATGGCTTCCTAACTAGGAGTCAGGGCAAAGTTATCTGCTTTGGTCTCCAATGGAGACCGGCACTTGGTTCACCTGCGACGGGAGGACCCGGCCCAGAGGAGGCGGACTTTCTCTTCATGGTGCCTTCAGACAGGAAATCTCCTAGGATTCCTTTCTTTCCCTTTGATCTACTCCCAACGCTCCCTTTCTGTTTCTTCAAGACCTTTTTTGGATCCCTACTGCGCAGGACCTAAGGGGCTGGTGCCCTTCCCTACCCTCCCTGCCTGGGTGTCTTCAGCACCCATGCTCACCCAGAACGTTACTGCCTGCCAGAGAGAGCGAGAGGACCAAGGAGGGCGGTGGGTGCAGTGGGAACCAGAGTCACCGTGTGCCTGTGCCTCGTGGGCTCCTCGCAGATTGAATAAACGCCCCCTGAAGCTTCTCTGCAGGTCACAGGGAAGGGGAGGGTGGCTGCCGACCCGGCGGGAGAAGCGTCAAGAAGCGTCGGGAGGACCTGACCCTACCCCTGGACCTTGAAGACAGGCCTGGCCAGGCTGATTTTAATGGATAGGCCCAAGGAAAAGGCTCAAGGGCGGCCCAAACCCCGACCCTGAGATTAAGGCTTTCAAATGTCTGAACGTTTTGATGTTGGTCAGTAGAATCCATCCCACCTTTATCACGAGACTCCTTTGCCAAAATTCAGAGATCTGGGATTCCTGCTGGTTGCCGCACAGAAAGCCAATCACCGAGACGCTTATCGCCAAGGAAGGCACTTTAATAGGGTGCTGCAGTGGGGGAGATGAGAACTCAGTCTCAAATCCATCTCCCTGACCAACCAAAACCAGAGGTTTAGATGGCAGGGAAGAAATGTTAACAATGAGTAAGAAAACAGGAAATAGGGAGGAGCAAGGAAGCAATCATGATGAATGAGGGGTCCCAGCATCTCATTTTCTGGATGAATTTCAGTACTTTGATAGCTTTTTTGACAGGCCTGAAGGTCATTTCCTGAGGAAGGAACTCAGATAAAACAAATACTAAGTTTCTTTCTTTTTTTTTTTTTTTTTTTGAGACGGAGTCTTGCTCTGTCGCCCAGGCTGGAGTGCAGAGTGGCGCGATCTCAGCTCACTGCAACCTCCGCCTCCCAGGTTCATGCCATTCTCCTGCCTCAGCCTCCCGAGCAGCTGGGACTACAGGCACCCACCACCACACCCAGCTACTTTTTTGTATTTTTAGTAGAGACGGGGTTTCACCGTGTTAGCCAGGATGGTCTCGATCTCCTGACCTCGTGATCCACCCGCCTCGGCCTCCCAAAGTGCTGGGATTACAGGCGTGAGCCACCGCACCCGGCCAACAAATATTAAGTTTCAAGCTGTAAGACCAGAAGGGTCCATTTCTAGGTTTATCCAAAAAAGCTACATATGGGACTGTGGGGTGGTTTTCAGACCAAGAAAGAAAAAGATTGTGCAGACCAAAGTCTGCAGTTAACCAAAGAAAAAACATAATTTTCTGACCAATAGGATGTATGGGATCAGAGAATGACCAGGCTATAGAAGAACCGTTTTTTGTCCTGAGCATAGGGGAAGGATGAAGTTGCACCAACTAAGGTGGAATTAAGCTGCAGATGGGGAAAAATCTGGATTTTGGTTCAGAGCCCTGGGGTCTTCCTTGAAAGAAGAACCCTGTCTCGGTTTCTGCCTCTCTCTGAGTCCTTTTGGAGGTTGAGGATGCTGAGGTCTTGGTGCTTGGCCCCCTCTAGCCCTGAGTACTTCCCCTCCTGCAGGGCAACCTGGCCCAGTGCCCAGGTCCCAGCCCCAGCGACCATTTCCCCCTACTTTGCTCCTAGCAAAGGCCTGAAGGCCTAGCGGTTCCTGCAGAACCGCTGTCTCCCTCTTTTGGATAAAGCAGAGAGGAAATGACCTGTGTGGAGGGAATCAGGGGCTGCATCTGCACGGAGGAGCTGAGGCAAGTAGGGCAGTTGCGGTCTGTCAATGTAAAGGACATTTGCCATCCAGGAGGTTGGGCTGTTATTATTAGTTTTTAAATTCGTCAATACAAACTTCAGGGAAATGTGTCTTCTTACTTGTAGGAACCTCACAAGACCTCCCATCTTATATTCCAGGGAGAATTGCTGCGTATTACACGAACACATAGGTGAGACTGCCATTCTGACCTGCAGGCCTCGATGCCCTGTGCAGGGGCACCAGGGCACTGGCAAAGCCCTTTCCATACAAAGAGCAAGCGTGTTATGTCTACAACCCAATGGCACCAGTTCCAAGTACAATTTCTACTTGGTTCTATGAGCTGAGTACACGTTCCCCCCAGCACAGAAATCCTACAAACTCCCATGAATGCTATAGGGAAAAGCAGGGGCTAGCCAGGTGTGATGGATCATACGTGTAATCCCAGCAGTTTAGAAGGCCAAGGCAGGGCGGATCACTTGAGTCCAGGAATTGGAGACCAACCTGGGCAACATGGCGAAACTTCAACTCTTAAAAAAACAAAACAACAACAACAACAACAACAAAACAAGAACAGAAATTAGCCGGCTGCGATGGCTCGTGCCTGTGCTACTCCAGAGGCTGAGGTGGGAGGATCGCTTGAACCAAGATCCCACCAGATACAGTGAGACTCTGTCTCAGGGAAAAATACAAACAAAAAAAAGAGGCTCTGTAAGAGGTGACTCCGGGGACAATGGAAAAACACTAAGGTTTTCAAGTGGTGTTAAAAGCCAGTAGGCCTTGGGGACCACTGAGCAATCTACAAAGCAGGGAAGCCTAGATCCCTGAGCTCTGCCCACCAAGTACCACCACAGCTAACATGAGAGACCTCCCCCACAGAGACTGAAATTTGCCTCCTGAGGAAACAAGTGACTACAGACATCTGTCCCAGGACAGTAAACAAGAAAATAAGGTCTCACAAAAACAAAAACAGCTGACCACACCATACAATCACTGAGACTGGGCCTGCGACTATAGATGAAAAAAACAAATGCTGTCTATTATTCATACCATGAAAGACCAGGGGAAAGCACGAACGCAGTCCCCTACTACTGTTGCGGGAATCAGGAGAACAAAGAGACCAACGGGTGGAACAGAAGGATTTTATTGAATGCACTCGGGCCTAGCATGAGCCCCGAAGAAAGACAGGGGGCTTGACTTTTATACACACTTCTGAAAGGGGGTTGGCTAGTTTGAATGGTGCAGCAGGAATTTGATGGTGTGAAACTCGCGGGGCAGGCAAGAGGGCTTACAGAAGCAGAAAGAAGGCAGTTAATCAAACTGTGACAGGTCTTGCAACGCAAGCACAGCTGGTAACCTTGCAGCTGCACTGAATGGAAATCAGGAACTTACAAAACTTGAATAATGACAAGTGGCAAGGGGGAAAGACAAGGCAGTAAAGACATTTGTTGTTTTTCCTCTTATACTTGCTGGGGGCGGACCGTGTTGACAAAGTCGCTGGAAATCACTGTCAGAGATGTAGCTTTTAGGATAGTATTGTCCAGGATCTGCTAGGCTCTATCCACTGCAGGCCTTGGTGGGGGGGAGGGGGGCCCTGCCAAGCACAGGAAAACTTGTCTTTTCGTTGTAACTTCTGCTTCGTTACTACAAATTACACAGCTGAGCTTCCCACCTTGGAGAAAATGACAGAACAGCACACTTGAAATGAAATAGTTGAGTCGGGTTTAAAAGGCATTTCAGTAACCATAATATCTGCCCTGCCACATAAATAAGATTGCACCTATCTCCGCCCCGCCACAGCTCCATACGCCTCACCCTTTAAACGCACAGTCACTTGCCCCAGCACCACTCCAGCCAATCCCCAACCACCCCCAGCCCTCCTAGCCCTCACACACAGCTGGGACTCTCAGGTCCGACCAGCGGTCCTGAACCCGCTCCCACGGCACGGGAAATCCTTCGTGGCGAAGCAGCAGCCCCTGCGCTGCCTCATCTACATAGAAACGCCCTATCGGTGATGTCACCGACAGTGCCTTTCCCAGTCTCCTTCTGCTCTTCCGCCCCACCCTCCGCCACTCAGCCTACCAACCCGCTGGGGGAGCCGACGGAGGAAGTGACGTCTGCTGTCCCACCTCTCCCTCCCGCCCTTGTCCTTTCCGGAGGTGCGCCCAGACCCCGCATCTAGTATCCCCCAAAGAAGCGACTACTTAACCTGTGTCCTGCGGAGGACCCTTCTGGCGGCCAGCTGGAAGCTGTGCGCCGGTCTTCAAATAGTGGCTTTTAATTCGCAGACTAGAACGTTTAGGATTACAAAGAAAACCGTTTCCTTTCAAAGCTGTTTATCTTTGTGAAGTAGCATTTTGCTTAAAATTGGAAGCCTTTGACTATCAGAGAGAAATCACATCTATGAAACTAGAGAGGCTGCTCAGATGACTGCAAACCAGCCATCCTTGCTGGTTTTACCAGTAGTAGTGTTATAAAGAATGTTGTCCAATTTCATGAGTCTCGTAGGTTTTTTTTTTTGTTTTTCAAATACAGTATTGTACAAAAAGGAAGCAGAATGTGGTTGCTGTCACAATGTAATGCCTCTCTGGGCCTGAGAATTTGGAAAGGCTCACACTCCTCATAAAAGTTCTCTTCTTTCCTCATTCTCCCTTTAGATAAAAAGTCTTTTTTTTTTTTTTTTTTTGAGACGGAGTCTCGCTCTGTCGGCGGGATCTCGGCTCACTGCAAGCTCCGCCTCCCGGGTTCACGCCATTCTCCTGCCTCAGCCTCCCGAGTAGCTGGGACTACAGGCGCCCGCCACCACGCCCGGCTAATTTTTTGTATTTTTAGTAGAGGCGGGGTTTCACTGTGTTAGCCAGGATGGTCTCGATCTCCTGACCTCATGATCCGCCCGCCTCTGCCTCCCAAAGTGCTGGGATTACAGGCGTGAGCCACCGCGCCCGGCCAGATAAAAAGTCTTTCTTGAAAGCATTGTCGATCAAAAGCTGTATCTCTCCTTGCCAGAAAGGCTCATTCCCAGATAGTCCTGTCCCACACTGGGGGCAGGGGAGGAAAGGAGCCCTCTCACTAAGGAATTTTTAACAGTGCCCAGAAGCTGAATTGGCATCACAGAATTGGGGGCGGGGGGGGGGGGGAGACAGAGAGATCTCGGCCAATTCTATAGTTGCTGTCACTTGTTGAATCATCTCTAGTCTTCAGAGTACCATGAATTTCGTTTCTCAAAAGAAGTAAAACAATGAGAAATACATAACATTAATAATTTGACTAGTGGAGATATAATGCACACAAGAATGATAATCACAAAGAGAATCTATATCCCGAAACAGTAAGGGAACCTATTCCATTAGGCAGCCAACTGAAAACATCAGGGAAAACATCAAATACCATTTCTTCTTTAGTGATTTCTTGTAGCCAAGTGGCTTCTTTTCTAATTTTTTTTTCTAGAGAAGGTTCTACTGCATGGGAAACATTTATGTATATGCAACAAAAGGTATTTGCCACCACACATACATCTCCCTGCTCAGCTAAATATATCATCTAAAGTGATGTGATTACCTAGTACAACCTTAGCCAGTGAATAAATAGCTTTTTATTGAGCTGCAAAAGAGGCCGCAGTTTCGTCAGCAATGTTTTTCTTTCTTTTTTCTTTTTCTTTCAGAGACAGCATCTGTCTCTGTGGCCTAGGCTGGAGTGCAGTGGTGCCATCATAGCTCACTGCAGCCTCCAACTCCTGGGCTTAAGTGATCCTCCTGCCTCAGCCCCCGAGTCACTGGGATTACAGGCCAGAGCCACCATGCCTGGTTTTCATCAGCAGTGTTTCCTGAGGTTACAGAAAGATTTATAATCCTGGGAAGAAACACTCCCTTGAAGCAAAAGTGCTCTCCCCGCAAAAATGCAAGGAGCTATCTTCTTGCTAGCCGGGCAGATAATTCTCAGGTTTTGCCGCACTGAATCTCTATCTAAAATAGAGCAGTGGTCATGCCTAGTGAAAAGTTAGAGGGAACTCACCCAATGTTGGGTTTCTTCAGATATATGTGTGTATATATATATATTTATATATATGTGTGTATATATGTGTGTATGTGTGTGTATATATATATATATATATATATATATATATATATATATATATCTCCAAATATCTTAAAGACACTGCCCTTCATCATTCCATGCCATTAGACATTTATAGGACCATGCATGGTGATCTCCTCCACACAAAAATAAATGCTGGTGCAGAACAGGTAAGTGAAATTGAGTACATCAGCTTTTGGGCATTTTAAACCATGGGTCAGAAATGTTAGAGCAAGAAGGCAGGTTGACAGCAAGAGGGAGTGTTTTTCTTTCAATTTTCCAATAGCAAAGTGTTGTTTGCCGCTGTCAGTTCAGAGTGAGGAGACAATTTGTTGTTGTTGTCTGGTTTTGTGGGGGTTTTTGTTTGTTTTTTAGTTTGTTTTTGAGACAAGGTCTCACTGTCCCCCAGGCTGGAGTGCAGTGGCATGATCAGGGTTACTTCTGCCTTGACCTCATGAATTCAAGCAAACTTCCTTACCAATCCTCCCGAGTAGCTGGGACTACAGGCATGTGACACCACACCCTGTGGTGTGAACTGCGATTTTATATTTTCAGTTGGCTCCCTAATGGAATAGGTTCCCTTACTATTCTGGAATACAGATTGTCTTCGTGATTATCATTCTCGTGTGCATTATATTTCTACTACCCTGCTAATTTTTTTCTTTTTGAGACAGAGTCTCGCTCTGTCACCCAGGCTGTATTGCAGTGGCAGGATCTCAGCTCACTGTAGCCTCCACCTCCCGGGTTCAAACGATTCTTTTGCTTCAGCCTCCTGAGTAGCCACCTGGCTAATTTTTGTGTTTTTAGTAGAGACAGGGTTTCACCAGGTTGGCAGGCTGGTCTCGAACTCCTGACCTCAAGGGATCCACCTGCTTCAGCCTCCCAAAGTGCTGGGATTACAGGCATGAGCTACCACGCCTGGCCCTCAAACCATTTTAAGTAAGCAAAGACAGATTTGTCTGGCTTTTTAGTACATTGCTGAATTATCCTCCAATCTATATTTTTAGGAAGGACCTGGGGAATGGCAACATGCACATATTTGGCTAAAATGTGAACCTTTCATGTTCTGCTTGAAAATCCTTCCAATTTGCCTTTTGCAACCAGTTAGTGGCCTTGCCTTCTTCACCAGAATGTGAATTAATTGATAAACGTCAGAATATTTGGGCTCAAAGGTTTCGACAGTTAAGTCGAATTTTCTGCCAAAGCCTATAGGATCTTGGAGCCTGCTTTAGAAATAGAAGAACGAAATGTGTTTAACTTTAGATCAGGGAAGTCCTTTATTTTTTTTTTATTTATTTTTATTTATTTATTTTTTTTGAGATGAAGTGTTGCTCTGTTGCCCAGGCTGGAGTGCAGTGGCGCGATCTCGGCTCTCTGCAAGCTCCGCCTCCCGGGTTAACGCCATTCTCCTGCCTCAGCCTCCTGAGTAGCTGGGACTACAGGCGCCCCCCACCACGCCCCGCTAATTTTTTGTATTTCTAGTAGAGATGGGGTTTCACCGTGTTAGCCAGGATGGTCTCCATCCCCTGACCTTGTGATCCGCCCGCCTCCGCCTCCCAAACTGCTAGGATTACAGGCGTGAGCCACCGCGCCCGGCTATAATATTCTTAATTCACATTTTGGTGAAGCGGTGTACACAATGGTAGGCTCCCCTCTTCCTGTGGGTTTGGGTTTTACCTTGAAAGGGGCTGTCAGAACAGAAGTTTCAGGGAAGGGGCCAGAGCCCTGGGGACTTTCCTCAGGTGATGGTGATGGAAGAAGAGGCAAGGCAGGACAGGAAAGCTCAGGTAAGAAAGACTATGCAGGTGCAGGGGCAGGAGGAGAAGGAGCAGTTGGAGGCGAAAGAGACAAAGCCTCCTCAATATTTCTCAATTCAGAAAACGTGTCAGTTTACCTCCTTAAGCTTACTTC
Source organism: Homo sapiens (assembly GCF_000001405.40). Taxonomy (NCBI): domain Eukaryota; kingdom Metazoa; phylum Chordata; class Mammalia; order Primates; family Hominidae; genus Homo; species Homo sapiens. The sequence continues at coordinate 146,383,232 of NC_000001.11, read as the reverse complement.
CTCAATGGAGGCAATTTTCTTAGTTCTTTTTTTTTTTTTTTTTTTTTTGAGATGGAGTCTGGCTCTATTGGCAGGCGGGAGTGCAGTGGTGTGCTCTCGGCTCACTGCAACCTCCGCCTCCCGGATTCAAGCAATTCTGCCTCAGGCTCCCGAGAGCTGGGACTACAGGAGCCCGCCATCAAGCCCGGCTAATTTTTGTATTTTTAGTAGAGACGGGGTTTCACCATGTTGGCCAGGATGATCGCCATCTCTTGACCTCATGATCCGCCCGCCTCGGCCTCCCAAAGTGCTGGGATTACAGGCCTGAGCCACCGCGCCCGGCGCAATTTTCTCAGTTCTTTTAGAAATTTTAGAAATTTAGAAATTTGGAAATTTCTAGGTCTCATTGCAAGTAAGTCTCCCATTTAATTTGTCTTGTTCTAAAACCAAATTTCTCTCTCTCTTTTTTTTTTTTTTTCCTTCAGACAGAGTCTCACTCTGTCGCCCAGGCTGGAGTGCAGTGGCGCGGTCTTGGCTCACTACAACCTCTGCCTCCCAGGTTCAAGCAATTCTTCTGCCTCAGCCTCCTGAGTAGCTGGGATTACAGGAGCCCGCCACCATGCCCGGCTAATTTTTGTATTTTTAGTAGAGACAGGGTTTCACCATGTTGGCCAGGCTGATCTCGAACTCCTGACCTCCGGCTCCCAAAGCGCTGGGATTACAGGCGTGAGCCACCGTGCCCAGCGTAACCAAGATTATTGAGCCATTCTAATTTGTCAAAAGAGTCACATTGATTTTTAAAAAAATAACGTAATGGGCCAGGTACGGTGGCTCACGCCTGTAATCCCAGCACCTTGGGAAGCCGTAGCGGGTGGATCACGAGGTCAGGAGTTCGAGACCAGCCTGAGCAACATGGTGAAACCCCGTGTCTACTAAAAATACAAAAATTAGCCGGGCGTGGTGGTGTGTGCCTGTAATCCCAGCTACTGAGGAGGCTGAGGCTGGAGAATTGCTTGAACCCAGGAGGCGGAGGTTGCAGTGAGCCAAGATTGCACCACTGCACTCCAGACTAGGTGACAGAGTGAGACTCCGTTTCAAAATGAATACATAAATAAGCAAATAATAATGTAATAAACGTTTTCATCGTTTACATATTAAATAGATGAAGGGGTGGCCTGCCCCTCCATACTTGTGGGCGTTTCTCGTCGGGTGGAAGGAGAGACTTGAGAAAAGAGAGAGACACAGAGACAAAGTATAGAGAAAGAAAAGTGAGCCCAGGGAACCGGCGCTCAGCATACGGAGGACCCGCGCCGGCACCAGTCTCTGAGTTCCCTTAGTATTTATTGATCATTATCGGGTGTTTCTCGGAGAGGGGGATGTGGCAGAACAATAGGGTAATAGTGGAGAGAGGGTCAGGAGGAAAACATGTGAACAAATGTCTCTGCATCATAAACAAGCTAAAGAAAAAAGTGCTGTGCTTTTGATGTGCATATACAGAAACATCTCAATGCCTTAAAGAGCAGTATTGCTGCCCACATGTCCCACCTCCAGCCCTAAGGGGGTTTTCTCCTATCTCAGTAGATGGAATATACAATCGGGTTTTACACCGAGACATTCCATTGCCCAGGGATGAGCAGGAGACAGATGCCTTCCTCTTTTACTAATCCTCCTCAGCACAGACACTTTACGGGTGTCGGGCTGGGAGACGGTCAGGTATTTCCCTTCCGGCGAGGCCATATTTCAGACTATCACATGGGGAGAAACCTTGGACAATACCTGGCTTTCCTTGGCAGAGGTCCCTGCGGCCTTCTGCAGTGTATTGTGTCTCTGGGTACTTGAGATTAGGGAGTGGTGATGACTCTTAACAAGCATGCTGCCTTCAAACATTTGTTTAACAAAGCACATCCTGCACAGCCCTTAATTCATTTAACCTTGAGTGGACACAGCACATGTTTCAGGGAGCACACGGTTGGGGGTAGGGTTACAGATTAACAGCATCTCAAGGCAGAATTTTTCTTAGTACAGAACAAAATGGAGTCTCTTATGTCTCCTTCTTTCTACATAGACACAGTGACAGTCTGATCTCTCTTTCTTTTCCCCACAATACTTACACTATTTAAATTGTTCAAAAGCATCAAAGATTCCTCTCTGCTGTCAACTTCATTCCATTTATTTTATTGTACCAAACTATCAAGACCATTAATTTAATCTACTGCTAAATCTATTATTTTTTTCATGTTAGAAATTCAACAAGAAAATTTCTCCCTAATGAAACCTCACATTTCAAGCATAAGTAGGCTGGGCGAGGTGGCTCACACCTGTAATCCCAGCACTTTGGGAGGCCAAGACAGGTGCATCACTTGGGGTCAGGAGCTTGAGACCAGCCTGACAAACATGGTGAAACCCCGTCTCTACTAAAAATATAAAAATTAGCTGTGTGTGGTGGCGTGCGCCTGTAATCCCAGCTACTCTGGAGGCTGAGGCAGGGAAATAGCTTCAACCTGGGAGGCAGAGCTTGCAGTGAGCTGAGATTGCACCACTTCAGTCTAGCCTGGGCTACAGAGCAAGACTCTGTCTCAAAAACAAATAAATAAGCATAAGTAGTAAAAAAAAAAAAATAAGATAAAAAATAAGGCGCAGGGTCTTGCTCTGTTATCCAGGCTTGAGTGCAGCGGGGCTATCATAGCTGACCAGCTTGGAACTTCTGGGCTCAGGCAATCCTCCTGGCTCAGCTTGCCTTGTATTTTTTTAGAGATGGGGTCTTGCCCTGTTGCCCAAGCTGGTCTCCAACTGCTGGCCTAAAGCAATCCTTCTGCCTCAGCCTGTTGAGTTGCTGGGAGTACAGGTGCAAGACATGCAGCCTAGCATTGTAGTAAAACAATTTTCAACAAATTCTTAATTTTCTTTCTTTTTCTTTTTCTTTTCTTTTTTTTTTTTTTTTTTTTTTTTTTTTTGAGTTGGGAGTCTCACTCTGTCACCCAGGCTGGAGGGCAGTGGCGCAATCATAGTTCACTGCAGCCTGCCTCAGTCTCCCAAGTAGCTGAGATTATAGTCATGCATTATCATGCCTGGCCAACTTTAAAAAATTAGCTAATACTTAAAAATTTGTAGAGACAGGGGTTTCACTATATTGCCAGGCTGGTATCCAACTCCTAACCTCAATTGATCCTCCCTCCTCAGCCTCCTAAAGTGCTGGGATTGCAGATATGAGCCACCATACCTGGCTTAATTTTCTTATTTTAATTTTATATAAGTGATTATTATTGTTCCTAAGATAATTGGGGCAGTGACTCCTTTAAAATTTTAGAGACCTAATTTGTCTATTCACTTCACTGAAAGAGTATGCCAGTTTGCTTCATGAGAAAATATCCTATATTAATAAAGCAAGAAAATTCCTTCCACCAAACTAGGGGGCATTCTAAAGAAACGAATTGTGCTAAGTAACATCACTTAAGGTGAAAACAGAGGCAATGGTATCTATTAACAATGTTTATCAGTGAAGGAAATAAACTGAAAATATTAACATCATTAAATCCTCAGAGGGCCTTCGTTGCTGAAAATCTGAGTAATATTGTGATACCCTTTTGAGTCCGGCAGGACATTCTCTTTCCAGGGCATATGACAGTGGGCGAATAATTTCTTTTCATTCATTTTCATTAAGGGCTGAACTTCCTTAATGTTCTGGAGATTATTAAATTTGATTTGTATAGTTGTGAAAAGTGCTCATATTGCTGATTCCATTGCTTACATATGATCATATAAGTCTTTTCTCTCCTTTCTGTAGTGTGGTTTAAACTTAATCCTTAAAGGACATGTATTTGAATTTTTCAGCTGGTTAGAAACCTGAATATACCAATCAAAGAAAACTGCTCCTTACATGCTACAGATTTAGTGTTCTTCCTGTGCTAAGATGTCTTTTAGATATAGTAAATTTGTTAAAGCCAAGAGCTCCTATGGAACAAAGTTGGGTGGGAGGGGGGACATTGAGTAGTAAGATCACTCTTGTAATAGAGATGCCACTCTTGCAGATATTGACAACTATTGGGCCCATAAAATTTTTAACAAACATTGGAAAGACAAGATATGAACAACTCATCATTGCTGCAGTCTCAAATATCAGGAAATACCATTATTCTCAGGACAATAAATAGACAATAAAAAAGACTCACAGAGCAGCTTAGCTGTCATGTATTACCAAACAGGGACTGGATCCTTGTCAACACCACCCAACAGAGATTGTCCCCAGAAATTCACTTCATAACATCAAAACCAAAAACCCACACTGATGGCAAAAAATAATGCTGCAAAAATGAGAGAGAGAGAGAGACAGAGAGAGAGAGAGAGAGAGAGAGAGGGAGAGAGAGAGAGAGAGACCTGTCCTACAGCCATACTTAGTGGGTAAAAGCCAAAGAGCTCAATTTCTGCTCATGATACTTAATAGAACAGAGGGAACATGAGCCAATAGCTCAATGGGTTCAGATCTGCACCAAGTGCCTGTTGGATGCAGGATTCTACTGTCTCCAATAATATGTCTCAGATGGACTAGTTTTTTTGTTTTTTGTTTGTTTTGTTTTTGTTTTTTATTTTTTATTTTTTAGAGAAAGTCTCCCTCTGTCGCCCAGGCTGGGGTGCAACGGCACGATCTCGGCTCACCGCAACCTCCGCCTCCCGGGTTCAAGCGATTCTCCTGCCTCAGCCTCCCAAGTAGTTGGGACTACAGACGCACACCACCACGTCTGGCTATTTTTTTGTGTTGTTTTGTTTTGTTTTGTATTTTTAACAGAGACAGAGTTTCACCATGTTGGTCAGGCTGGTCTCGAACTCCTGACCTCAGTTGATCAGAAGTAGGTGAGGTCAGAAAACATACCCTGGGAGAGGCTGGCACAATGCCCAGATCCGCCATCGCTAGGCCTGGGGTTTTCTTCTGTAGTATTCATGTAGTGCAGGGACAAAACCAATTAGATACTTCTGGGAGTTAAAAAGAGATTAATTTGCCGGGCGCGGTGGCTCACGCCTGTAACCCCAGCACTTTGGGAGGGTTCACGAGGTCAGGAGATCGAGACCATCCTGGCTAACGCGGTGAAACCCCGTCTCTACTAAAAATACAAAAAACTAGCCGGGCGTGGTGGCCAGCGCCTGTAGTCCCAGCTCCTGGTAGGAGGCTGAGGCAGGAGAATGGCGTGAACCCGGGAGGCGGAGCTTGCAGAGAGCCGAGATCGTGCCACTGCACTCCAGCCTGAGCGACAGAGCGAGACTCCGTGAAAACAAAAAAAAAAAAAAAAAAAAAGAGATGAATTTACAGTGTCATTTGAGAAGCGGTATTAAGGAATTTGCCAGGGTACTGACGCGTGTCAGGTGCAAACTGCAGGTTGAGAGAGAGCTAAGTATTTTCTGTCCATGAAGGTGATAAGCGAGGGCCTGAAGAAAGAGGAAGAGGGGAGGACACTGGCGCCAGAAATAGGAAAGGGCTGCTTGGGGGTGGGAAGGATGGGTCGGGGTGCTATCTAGAAAGCTGCCTGGCAATGGCTGTGGGATGCGGAAGCGAGACATCAAACAAGAAGCTGTCGCTTAAATAAAGTCTGAAGAAAGACTAGATATGTAAACGGCAGGAGATAGTAGGGAAACTGGACCCGTCTCCTCATAAAACTTCCCGCCTTATATTTCAGGGAGGATCGCAGCGCATTTCGGCCAAGACAGGTGAGACTGCGGTTCTGACCTGCGGGCCTCGATGAATTGCGTTAGGACACCTGGGCTCCGGGAGAGCCGTTCCACTCCGCAAAGTAAGCGTGTTATGTCTACAACCCAACGGGGACGCGCTAAGAGCCCCAAAGGCCCTGCTTTCATCCCAAAGAACAGCCCCCGCCTGCGTAGTTTGTACCCGGCTCTATGAGGTGAGAACACATTCCCCGATAGCACAGAAATCCTACAAACTCCTGAGGGGGCTGCGGCTAGAAGCAGACGCTGTGTGAAATGTGACTGGAGGTTAGGGAAAAACACGTAGATTTTCACAGACCCTGAGAACCCAAGAGACTGCAGACCATGGACAGACAAATCTCTGCAAAAAGCAGCCCCGCGTAGATAAAGGAAGAGCTGTGCGGCCTTCGCGCTAGCTAGCTTGTGTAAAGGTCGACGCTTCTTATTTCTCCCGAGGCGGGGAGAAAGCGACATATTACTACTATTCCTCAACCTCCGACTGTGAGAGAAACGATTAAGAGTAAAGCACAAGCCAGTAAAAAAAACAAGTAACCCTCGCCGTGCAGACTGTTCTTTAAACTACAAAAATCAGGGGAAAGCGCGAACGCAGTCCCCCACTACCACAAATTATGCAGTCGAGTTTCCCACATTTGGGGAAATCGCAGGGGTCAGCACATCCGGAGTGCAATGGATAAGCCTCGCCCTGGGAAAACCACCTTCGTGATCATGGTATCTCCCCTGCCAGGTAAGTATGAGCTTTTGCACCTCCGCCCCGCCACAGCCTCACACGCTTCACCCTTTACACGCACGGTCACTTGCCCCGCGCACCCCCCCCCCCCACCCCCCCCCACCCCCAGCCCTCCTAGCCCTCACACACAGCTGGGACTCTCAGGTCCGACCAGCGGTCCTGAACCCGCTCCCACGGCACGGGAAATCCTTCGTGGCGAAGCAGCAGCCCCTGCGCTGCCTCATTTACATAGAAGTCGCCCTATCCGTGATGTCACCGACAGTGCCTTTCCCAGTCCCCGTCTGCCTTTCTGCCGCTCAGCCTACCAACCCGCTGCCGGAGCCGGCAGGGGGAAGTGACGTCTGTCTCTCCCTTTTTCCCTCCCGCCCCGGCATCTGTTCTCGCCCGAAGAAGCTGGTCCTTAGCCTGCGCTGCGGAGCAACCTTTCGGTGGCCAGCTGGAGCCTGGGCACCGTTCTTCAAATAATGGCTTTTAATTCTCAGACGAGAACGTTTAGGATTACAAAAGAAACCGGTTCTCTTCACATCCTTATCCTTGTCATGTAGCATTCCGCTTGAAATTGGAAGCCGTTCAATGTCAGAGAGAAACCATATTTATGAAATGAAAGAGGCTTCTCAGATGACTGCAAACCAGCCTTCCTTACTGGTTTTATCACTGGTAATGTTATAAAGACAGTTGTCCAGTTTCATGAATCTTGTAGGTTTTTGTTTGTTTATTTGTTTGCTTTTGATGTTGTTGTTGTTGCTGTTGTTTTCCAAATTCAGTATTGTAGAAAAATATGCTGCCCCAGAAGAGATGATTGGACACTCTCCAGCGTGGTGTTGGACTTTGTCATCTCTTGCACAGCCATCTCCAGACCTTAGTGCTTACCTCACGTTAGTTTTTTATATTCTGCAAAGACAAAACCAAAATAATCCAAATTTGACACAAATACCTGGGATACATCTTATTTGAGATGTTTAACAAATGTCTGGATCATCTTTTCTTACATTGGATTATAACGCAGGAAACACTGTGAAGTAAGTAAAGTTGGAATCCAAGTCAAAGACCATTTGAATATTTACAAGTAGATTTGAGGCAGGAATAATACAGGGTGGCCGCAGGGTAACAAATTCTAGGCAGCAGATTTACATGACTTGAGGCTATGGGCTGATAAGACGCTGAAAAACCAGGGTGTGGACCAAGCTGGCTAAGACTGACTGGACCCAATGTGGTGCTAGATTTGAGGTAGGTTTTACCTAGGCCCTCATTATACGCTTATTAACATACTAAATCACACACCCACCAGTGCCATGACAGTTCTGAGACCAATATGTGATGTAAAAATGGATGGCACCACAGTTCCGAGAAATCTCCACCTTTACCCAGGAATTTTCACGAATATTCCACTCCTTGGTTAAAGAAACCCATCGAGATGAAACCCCAGAACCCATTGTTCTCTCTCGGGTATGCCCGAACTCCCCTTTCTTGAGTGTGTACTTTCTGCTTTGCAATACATCTCTTCTTTCACTATTTGCTGACTCATCCTTGACTTGGTTCTCCAGATGGTGTCAAGAGCCTGGACACCACAGCTGGGGTCGAGATCCCACCAGTGTCTGGGGACCTTCCCCAGGCCACCAGTATCAGATTCTATTCCATTGCTCAAATCACAAAACATTGAATGGAGAGGTCTCCTCTGGAGAGCATAAAGTAAAGATTCTGTGGCATGGTGGCCAGTTAGGCCACTGGAAGGCATGGCAAAATATTGAAAATGAGGGATTAGGTGACGGTATAGTAACTGCTGAATACTAAATACTTGATCCAGGCCCCATTCCCTGGAGACTGACAGAGAGACACATCGTCCAGGTAGTAGTGGAGAAATACTTTCTGGGTATCTGACCAGCCTTCGTGGAAAGAACTGGCACCATCCTGCAGGTGCAACTGCCTGATGGGTTCTTCCTGCCCATTGTACATACAAAATCAATTCATGGAGACCATGGCATTGCAGTAAAGAGTTTAATTGACACAGGCCAGCCACAACATGTGGGGGACGGAGTTATTACTCAAATCTATCTCACTGAAGGCTTGGAGGTAAGGGTTTTTTCAAAGACAGTTTGGTGGGGAGGGGGCCAGGGTTTGGGCAGTGCTGATTGTTGGGGATGAAATCACAGGGGTGTGGAAAATGGCCCTCCTGCATTGAGTCAGCTTCTGGGTGGGAGCTAAGGGACTGGTTGATTTGCGGGCCAAATGGTGACATCCAGTAGTCAGAAATGCAAAAGCCTGAAAAGGCATCTCAAGAGGCCAGTCTTAGGTTCTGCAATAGTGATGTTCTTCACAGTGGTAATTGGGGAAGCTGTAAATCTTGTGACCTCTGGAATAATGGCTGGTAATTATTTAACGAGGCATACATCTTAGTAGAATTCAGGTCCCTTTCATCCTCCTAACTTGGTGGCCTTTCATTAGTTTTACAGGGGTAATTTAGTTTTGGGGAAGGTTATCATTTAAACCCACCTTTCTGGCTGTCCCCAATGTTTTTGGCACCAGGGACTGGTTTCATGGAAGACAATTTTTCCATGGAAGGGGGTTTCCGGATGAAACTGTTCCACCTCAGGTCATCAGGCATTAGTTACAGTCTCATAAGGAGTGTGCAATCTGGGTCCGAGCTCCGACGAGAATCTAATGCCGATGCTGATCTGACAAGAGGCGGAGCTCAGGTGGTAATGCTCCAAAGCCTGCAGCTCACCTCCTGCCGTTTGGCTGGGTTCCTAACAGGCCATGGACCAGTACCTGTCTTGTGGCCCTGGGGGTTGGGGACCCCTGATTTAAACTATAAACTCAACTTTTCCCAAAGATAGCTTGGGAGAAATTGCACAGGAATGAGCAAAGACAGCTAGCCTGTGAGGCTAGAACCAAAATGGAGTCAGCCATGTCAGATTTCTCTGATTGTCATAATTTTGCAAAAGTAGTTTCAGAGGGACTACCCTGACACCTGTTAAAAGCATGAGGCGGATTTTATTGTATGTACTGCAGTAGGCAAGAGAGACCAGCAGAGAACCGAGCTCAACTCCAAATACAGCAAGAAGAGTTGAAGATTTATAGCCAATCGGCAAGGTAAGAAAGTCAGTGGATGGAAAATTACTAAGAGGAACTTGATTAGCTATCAAAGGTGGTTGGGAGGACTCTTGCTAAACTAGGCTCAATGGTATTCTTTTCTAAAACTGGACTTGGCAGGCCAAGAACTAATAGAGAAAAGGGCTCAGAGGAAACTGACTAAGGTTTGGTCAAAGATGGAGTCCTTGTCAACTCTACATTGAAGCTTCTGCAAATAAACAAAGACCAACCAAATGAAAAAAAGCAAAGGCTATTTATTCTGAGCTTGCTATGGCAGGGAGTCAGCCACTGTTACTTGTGTTTTGGCAGAGACTTGAAGGCAGTCAGAAGGGTGGGAAAGCTTTTTAAAAGGAAAGGCTTCAGGTATGCTTGGATTGGAGGCTGTCAGCACGGTGAAGCTATAGATAGACGAAAAAATCAAAATATTTTACCCCAGAATATATTTCTTTGACATATTTTAAGATGGCTGTCAGAGAGCCAGCAAACAGAAGTAACTCTGCAAAACTGTCTTTTGTAGGGGAAATTTACACCTGCAGAGAATCTGCATTAATCCAGCCTTCCCTTGTCAGCACTGAGAAATAAAAATAAGCCCTAGGCCCTACAACCAACTGAACGGACTCCCTCTTGGCTGACAGGACCACAGAGAAACCTTGAAAGCTGTTTCTGGCTATGACAGGATAGGAGGTCGGACATGCCCCCCTTAAAACCCCTCCCTCACTAACCGCCATTATGAGGCAGGAGAACAGCAGAGGGAGTTGGAAGTTGGATAAAAGGCAGAATGAGTAAAAGCAGAAACAGAAGCAAGGTGATGGGGTGGGAGAGCAAGAAGCAAGATAAAAGGCAGCAGTTGAGTGGCCAAAACAAAAAGTAAGATTAAAAAAAGCAAGCAAGGCCGGGCGCAGCCCCTCACCCCTGTAATTCCAGCAGTTTGGGAGGCCAAGGCAGGTGGATCGCCCGAGGTCAGGAGTTCGAGACCAGCCTGACCAATGTAGTGAAACCCCTTCTCTACTAAAAATACAAAAAAATAGCTGGGCATGGTGGTACACTCCTGTACTCCCAGCTACTCAGGAGGCTGAGACAGGAGAATTGCTTGAACCCAGGAGGCAGAGGTTGCAGTGAGCCAAGATCATGCCACTGCACTCCAGACTGGGCAACAGAGCGAGACCCTGTCTTAAAAAAAAAAAAAAAAAAGCAAGCAAGGACCCCATGGCCAGCAAGATCCAAACCAGGAAAGGGGCAGCTCTTCAGAGATAGGCATGTGCATTAGAGAGAAAAAGTATCCTTAACATGACTTCATATGATAATCAGCTCATTAAAGCTCATGCATACAGACTGCATATCATGCATGTACTTAAAATTATGGGATGGAGGCAGCATTCAAGCACACAAGGGCCAAAGTAACTAAGCAACCCACCTATCAATCAAAAGGCAAACAGTGGCTAAAGATTAGGCATCCTTGGCCGGGCACAGTGGCTCACGCCTGTAATCTCAGCACTTTGCGAGGCCGAGGCGGGAGGATCGTGAGGTCGGGAGATCGAGACCATCCTGGCTAACACGGTGAAACCACGTCTCTACTAAAAATACAAAAAAATTAGTCGGGCGTGGTGGCAGGCGCCTGTAGTCCCAGCTGCTGGGGAGGCTGAGGCAGGAGAATGGCGTGAACCCGTGAGGCAGAGCTTGCAGTGAGCCGGGATCGTGCCACTGCACTCCAGCCTGGGTGACAGAGTGAGACTCCGCCTCATCAAACAAACAAACAAACAAACAAAAACAGTAGGCATCCTTGTGAAGAGAAGGAAAAACACACACACACACACACAAAGACCCCAAGTACACCAAACTAATACTGATCTCATCTCCCAGAGGTCAGCCCACCCTCCCCACTCTGAGAGTGTTACTGTGCTTAATAAACTTTTGCTTTGCTTTGCTGCTTTTTGTGTGTCATGTACAGTTCTTTGTTTGGGACACCAAGAGACTGGAACTGCACGGCACCAGCTGGTAAGAATTAGGCTTTTTTGGCCGGGCGCGGTGGCTTATGCCTGTAATCCCAGCACTTTGCGAGGCCAAGGCGGGCGGATCACGAGGTCAGGAAATCGAGACCATCCTGGCTAACACGGTAAAACCCCATCTCTACTAAAAATAAAAAAAATTAGCCGGGCGTGGTGGCGGGCGCCTGTAGTCCCAGCTACTCGGGAGGCTGAGGCAGGAGAATGGCCTGAACCCGGGAGGCGGAGCTTGCAGTGAGCCGAGATCGCGCCACTGCACTCCAGCCTGGGCGACAGAGAGAGACTCCGTCTCAAAAAAAAAGAATTAGGCTTTTTTTTCCCTAAGGGTTAACAACAAACCAGCCCTTTGGAAAGACTTGCTTCACCACTGTTACCAACCAACGGCCTGATGCTTTTCCTCAGTTTTGTGATTTTGACAAAACAAGCAAGCAGCATTCCCTCCTGATAAGAGACCACCGACCTAGGAATGATTCTGGCCAGACTAGAGAGGATGCACAGTGAGGGTTTTCATGTCCTCTGCTTCAGCTTTTGATGTCAGAGGGCCACAAACTCCACTCTCAGATGATTGCTAATGCCACCATTTTATGAACATGGGCCCCATGGAGAGGCACGAAGCTCAATTGCACTTCTGCACATTTTTCCTCCTATAAATATTGCTATTGGAATATTATTTGGTACGGCTCCCGTGAAAGATACATTTGCAGAATGTACTCAAATTACAAGCATCATGTAAACCCTATAATGTAGCAATAGTGCATCAACTTCCCTACACTATAGAAATATCTGCGGTGTAGACATTTCCACAATGACCAAAGATATGTGTACAAGAAAGGTGGCTGCAGCATTCTTTGTAATCCTAAAACAATGAAACCTACCTCATCTCAAAAACTTTATTTTTTTATTTTTATTTTTTTTTTGAGATGGAGTCTCGCTCTGTTGCCCAGGTGGGAGTGTAGCAGTGCAGCCTCCACTGGTGCAGCCTCCACTGCAGCCTCCACCTCCCAGGTTCAAATGATTCTCCTGCCTCAGAATCCCAAGTACCTGGGATTACAGGCACATGCCACCATGCCTGGCTAACAAAAACATTTTGAAAAGGGTTAAATAAATCATGCACAAACTGAGGAAAAATACTCTTTTCAAAAATGATGGAGAGGATCACTATGATGATGAATGATTCCACTGGTCACATTATTGATAGAGCAATCAGTAAATCCAGGCACATCCTGGGGATATTACTGACCTCCTATTATTAAAATATGAAAAAATGGAGGCATGTAAATTACTCGTTTAAGCGTATAACGGACTGAATTAGAATTTTATCACACCAGAAGTGGGTTCCTAGGTCTCTGTTTCAGGATTCCTGAGTTACACACGTATAAACCCAGGATTTCAGGAGATACCCGGTTAAGAATCCGGTCGGGGAGGTGGGCTGGCCCTTGACATGGATAAGTCACAAATTAGTGGCTTAGGACTCCAGGAAGATAAAATCTTCCCCATTTATCTAGTGATTGACAATGCGTGAATACTTTAAAAGCTCGAACAAGCGTCCCTGGGTGGGCTGGAACCACCAACCTTGCGGTTAACAGCCGAACGCGCTAACCGATTGCGCCACAGAGACAGGTACTGTCAGTTCTACTGGGCGCTATAGGAAGGGCGCACGCACGAAACTTCCTCCGTCCCTTGCATCCTCAGGGCCCTCCCAGCAGGACGACTGAGCAAGGCCTTGGAAGACCGGAGAGATTGGAGCGGTAAGTCGCGCTGGTCACGTTGGACACCTGCGCGTTGGGAGATTCTGGAGCCAGAAGGATAGCCGAATGGCCTTCGCCCGCCCTGCCCCTCGCCTGCTTCAGAAACCCCCGGAAACGCCCCGGTTGAGACCCCGGCCCGAGCCGCCTGGGGGCCCTAGGGAGGCTGAACGCCCGGTGGCTCCCGGGATGGCTCTTCCCGTTCTTTGCGCCGCCTTCACCCAGTGAGGGAGCCTGTGCCCTCCCTGCCCAGTCGCTTTTGGGGCCGCTGCGGAGCTTCCGCTGCCATCTTCGGATCCTGTGTTCCGCACGGGGGCTCCACCAGGGCAGGGATCGTGGTGAGGGTGGCTCGTGGGTCCCCCTCGCGGGGAGCAGGGTCTGGCACTCACCAGGGCGCAGGACTAGGACTTGTCGAATGAATCCATCCTTTTAGCTTTTAGTCCTTTGAAGAGCCTTGAGAATGGAAATCATGAGAGATTTTTCCATGGGGAAGTTCCTTTTACAAAGCATTTATTTACGTTGACTTCTTGGCACCCCGCGGGGCGGCAACGGGCAGGGCCTCCAGTGCACCTTCTGCGCCGTGGAGCCGCGGGGGCTCAGCTGGGCGGTGGTCGGGTCCTGAGGCCGGAGGGCGGGAGCAGGGGAGGGGAAAAGCAAAAGCGGGGAAAGAAGCCGGGGAGCGGTGGACCAGACGTCCAGACCTCCTGAAAGGCTGGCGGGGAGGCACAGGCGGGATCTTCCGGAGGTGAGAATTTTTTTTTATTATAGCAGAATGGGGAGGAATTGAGGGGAAAATGGAGATAGAACCTGAAAGAGCCCCAAACGCCAGAACCTGTAGCTCCCCAAGAATAAGATCTTCCAGAAGAACTAGACCCAAAACTAGCCGTTGGGGAACACCGAAATCCTTGGAGGAGCAACATCCGCATGACCCTTTGTGTTCCTTTAGGCAAAAGGACTTGCTTCCATTGTTTGTTCAATTGTTTGTGTTTGTTAAATAAATAAAACGATTTTCATGTATCTTTGAAATTACTTTGGCGCTACTATTTTATGATTGCAAATAATGCGGCAGTGATCATTCTTGTACACTTCTCATTGGCCATTTGTGTATTTCTATAGGGTAGAGGCCTGGAGAGCAGTTGCTCCAGCATAGGGATTACACAGTTTTTGTTTGTTTGTTTGTTTATTTATTTATTTATTTATTTTTGAGACAGAGTCTCGCTCTGTCACCCAGGCTGGAGTGCAGTGGCGCCATCTCAGCTCTCACTGCAACCTCCGCCTCCCGGGTTCAAGCGAATCTCCTGCTTCAGCCTCCCAAGTAGCTGAGATTACAGGTCCGCGCGAGCCACCACATCGGGCTAATTTTTGTATTTTTAGTAGAGACGGGGTTTCACCGTTTTGGCCAGGCCGGTCTCAAACTCCTGACCTCAAGTGATCTGCCTGCCTTGGCCTCTCAAAGTGCTGGGATTACAGGCATGAGCCACCGCACCCAGCGATTACATGTTTTTTTTTTATATATCATTCTATTTTCTTTCCTTATTTGGCTTATTAGCTGTAACTCTTTCTTTTGTTATGTCAGTGATGGCTTTAGGGTCCCTAGAATACATCTTTATCCATCTGCCATCAAGTGACATTATACCTCCCCTTCTGGCCTTTATGCTAGTGTTGTCAGGGAATTTGATTTTGGACATGTTATAAACCCCAACATCCAAGTACGTACATAGCGATTTTCAGTCGTCTCCATTTCTTTGTGTAGGTTCAGATTTCTGTTTGGTATCCTTATCCTTAGGCCTGGAGGACTCCTTTAATATTTCTTGTAGTGTGGTTCGGTGAATTCTGTCATTTTTTTGTATGTCTTTAAATGTCCTGATTTCAGTCACATTTTTGAAAGATATTTCAATTTGGCATAGAATTCTAGAATAACTTTTTTTCTCTCAGTACTTTAGGATGTTGCCACTTTGACGCTTTGTCATTGACATATATTTGCTGTTTTTGTAAACTTGGCATAAAGTGGGTTTCCTGTACTTGTTATATGATTTTTGGATTGTGTATTCAAATTAAAAGTATTAAATTAAAATTAAAATGGCCTGGGCGAGGTGGCTCACACCTGTAATCCCAGCACTTTGGGAAGGGGAGGCAGAGGATCGCTTGAGACCCAGAGTTGGAGACCACCCTGGGCAAGATAGCAAGACCGTGTGTGTGTGTGTGTGTGTGTGTGTGTGTGTGTGTGTGTGTATGTGTGTGTATATATATACACATAAATATGTATATATATTATATGTATGTATGTATATATAAGTCCTACAGTCACCTTAAGTTCCACCAACAGTGCGCTTAAGGTAAAATGTGCCCAACCTGAGGCTCAAACCTACCTGCTGGCACGCAATTTGTGTTTGTGAGACAATCTCAACAGCATTTGCTTTTTCTAGCATAGTGGTTTTCCTGTTTTCCTCACATGTGAATGTCTTCAGTGCAAAACCTGTCAGAATTCATTTCCTTTGCTAAAATGTTTTAAAATAACTCTTACTTCAAGTAAGTGCATTAAAAATAAACTTCTCAGTTGCATCCCTGGAATCCATGGAAAGTCCAGGAGAGACAATCAAGTGCTACAGGATCAAGCCCAAACAGAACAGGACTAGGCATGGCTTCCTCACTAGGAGCCAGGCCAAAGTCATCTCCTTTGGTCTCCAATGGAGGCCAGAACTCGGTTCACCTGCAACGGGAGGACCTGGCCCAGAAGAGGTGGCCTTCATCTTCATGGTGCCTTCAGATAGGAAATCTAGGATTTCTTTTCTTCTCTTTGATCTACTTCCAACTCTCCCTTTCTATTTATTTATTTATTTATTTATTTATTTATTTGAGACAGAGTCTTGCTGTGTTGCCCAGGCTAGAGTGCAGCGGGGCAGTCTCAGCTCACTGCAACCTCCGCCTCCTGGGTTCTAGAGATTCTCCCGCCTCAGCCTCCTGAGTAGCTGGGATTACAGGCGCCCGTCACCGCGCCCGGCTACTTGTTGTATTTTTAGTAGAGACAGGGCTTCACCATCTTGGCCAGGCTGGTCTCGAACTCGTGACCTCGTGATCCACCCACCTCGGCCTCCCAAAGTGCTGGGATTACAGGCGTGAGCCACCGCATCTGGCCCTCCCTTTCTATTTCTTCAAGACCTTTTTCGGATCCCTCCTGCGCAGGACCTAAACGGGCGGTGCGCTTACCCACTGGTCCCTCCCTGCCTGCTGTCTTCGGAGCCCTAGCTCACCCGGAACATTACTGCCCGCCGGTGACAGCGAGAGGACCAAAGAGGGCAGCGGGTGAGGTGGGAACCACAGAGTCACCGCGCACCTGCGCCTCGCGGGCTCCTCGCAAATTGAATAAACGCCCCCTGAAGCTTCTCTTCAAGTCACAGGGAAGGGGAAGGTGGCTGCCGACCCGGCGGGAGAAGCCGGCCCTGCCCCTGGTCCTTGAAGACAGGTTTGGCCAGGCTGATTTTGACTGGTAGGCCCAAAGAAAAGCCTCAAGGGCAGACCAAACTCCGACAGGCTCCGAGATTAAGGCTTTCAAACGTCTGATCGTTTTCAGCTTGGTCAGTAAAATCGATCCCGCCTTTATCAGGAGATTCCTTTGCCAAAGTTCAGAGACCTGGGGTTCCTGCTGCTTGCCACACAGAAAACCGATCACTGAGACGGTTATTGCCAAGGAAGAGGCTTTAATAGGGTGCTGCAGCGGAGGAGATGAGAACTCAGTCTCAAATCCATCTCCCTGACCAACCAAAACTAGAGGCTTAGATGGCAGGGAAAGAAAGTGACAATGTGTAAGAAAACAGGAACTAGACCGGGCGTGGTGGCTCACGCCTGTAATCCCAGCACTTTGGGAGGCCGAGGCGGGCGGATCACGAGGTCAGGAGATCGAGACCATCCTGGCGAACACGGTGAAACCCCGTCTCTACTAGAAATACGAAAAGAAATTAGCCGGGCGTGGTGGCGGGCGCCTGTAGTCCCAGCTACTCGGGAGGCTGAGGCAGGAGAATGGCGTGAACCCGGGAGGCGGAGCTTGCAGTGAGCCAAGATAGCGCCACTGCACTCCAGCCTGGGAGTCAGAGGGAGACTCTGTCGCAAAAAGAAAAAAAAAAAAAAAGAAAAAAGAAAAGAAAGAAAACAGGAACTAGGGAGGGGCAAGGAAGCAATCAGGATGAATGAGGGGTCCGGCATCTCATTGTCTGGGTGACTTTCAGTTCTTTGATATCTTTTTTGAGAGGCCTGAAGGAAGGAACTCAAATAAAACAAATATCGAGTTTCAAACTTTCAGATCAGAAGGGTCCATTTCTATGTTTATCCAAAAATCTACGTATGGGACTATTGGGTGGGTTTCAGACCAAGAAAGAGTGTGCATATCAAAGTCTGCGGTTAACCAAAGAGAAAACATATTTTTCCGACCAATAGGATGTATGCGGGTCAAAGAACGACCAGCCTACAGTACTGTTTATTGGCCTGAGCATACGGAAGGATGAAGTTGCACCAGCGAAATGGGATTAAGCTGCAGGTGCGGGCTGGGCGCGGTAGCTCACACCTGTAATCCCAGCACTCTGGGAGGCTGAGGTGGGTGGATCACTTGAGATCAGGAGTTTGAGACCAGCCTGACCAACATGGTGAAACCTCGTCTCTAATAAAAATACAAAAATTAGCCGGGCGTCATGGCGGGCACCTGTAGTCCCAGGTACTAAGGAGGCTGAGGCAGGAGAATCATTTATTAGTAAGGTCATTTATTAGTAAGGAAGAGAAGCAAGCACCAAGATTTAAGGCAGGAAGGGATAGGCTAACTCTACTGCTTTGTGCAAATGTAGTCGGGTTTATGATCAGGGCTGCCCTTAACTATAAAGCTGCTAACCCCTGAGTCTTGAAAGGGAAAAGAGAAACACTAGTTGCCAGTCTTTTGGTTGTACAACAAGAAGGCCTGGACTATGAGAATGCTTTTTCTGGATTAGTTCCATCAATGCTTTGTCCCTGAAGTCAGAAGTACCTTGCCAGTAAGGGACTGCTTTTTAAAGTTTTTTGTTGTTGTTGTTTAATTGGAAAATGCCCCCTGGCCACCCAGAACCCCATGAGTTCAACACCAAAGGCACTGAAGTGTTCTCCTTTTCCCCCAAACACATCTCTACTTCAGCCTCTAGATAAGGGAGTCATAAGGACCTTTAAGGCTCTACATATGGCACTCTATGGAAAGGTTTGTCAACATTGCAAAAGAGAAACCCAATAGAGAGAACATCATGGAAGTCTGGAAGGCTTATACCTTTCAAGATGTCATCAGTTGATACAGAAAACCATGAAACTCAAAACAATAAATTCGTGCTGGACAAAAGTACAATTTGTGTCCAGATGTTGTGCATAGCTACAGAATTACGACAAACCCAATTTAGAGAAAACCATGGAAAGAAGTATGGATATGAAGGGAAAAAAAGGTGTGGAGTGAAGGGTTGCAAGATATGGATCTTGGAGGAATTTAAGAGCTAATACACACCACACCAGAGGAATTAACAAAAGATGACTTCATGGAGATGAGTGCTTCCTAACCAGTGCCAGATAATGAGGAAGAAGACATAGGAAAAGCAGTGCCAGAAAACAAATTGGCATTCAACAATCTGGCAAAAGAGCTTTGATTATTCAAGACTACTTTTGACTTCTTTTATGACATAGACCGTTCCATGATACAGGAACTGAAACTAAAGCAAATGGTGGAAGACGGATAGGTACTACACTGAAATGTTTTTAGAGAAATGAAAAAGCAAAATAGACAGAAATAATGATGTATTTTTGTAAAGTTTCACCAAGTGTGCTTGCCTCTTTTGCTTCCCCTTCCATCCCTTCACCCTCTTCCACCTCTGCTACCCTAAGACACAAAGACCAGCTCCTCCTCCTCCTCCTCTGCCTACTCAACACGAAGACAACAATGATGAAGACCTTTAGGGTGATCCACTTCCACTTAATGAATGGGTCATATATTTTCTCTTCCTTACAATTTTCTTGATTATAATTTCTTTTCTGTAGCTTAGTTTATTGTAAGAATACAGTATATAATACACATAGCATGCAAAATATGTCTTAAATGTAACTCATGTTATCAGTAAGCCTTCTGGTCAACAATAGGTTATTAGTAGTTTGGGGGGAATCAAAAGTTGTATGCGGATTTTTCACTGTGTGGGAGGCCAGCTCCCCTAACCCTATGTTGTTCAAGGGTCAACAATATTCTTTCTCACTGGCACTTTACTTTCCATAAATTCAAATCCCAAAAGTAGAACTGCAAGTTCAAAAGGATTTTTAAAAACATAATTACTGTCAGATTACAGAAAGTTTCCAATTTCCATTTTCACTACCAATGTACAATGTTGGCGTCCCTGAATCCTTATCAGCAATGAATTTTTAAATATACTATAAGAGATGAAAAAATTTTTTTTAAATTTGGAATTCCCTGATCACTAATGAAGTTAAGCATCAATATTATTCCTTTAATATGCAAATGCTGAAAATACATTTAACTATAATAGATGTCAAAAATCTGTAAATCAGGCTAGGTGTGGTAGGCACTCACCTGTATTCCCAGCCACTGGGAGACTTGAGTCCAGGAGTTCCAGACTGTAGTATGCAATGATCAAGCCTGTGAATAGCCACTGCACTCCAGCATGGACAACACAGCAAGACCCCATCTTTTTTTAAAAAAAAGAGTCTATAAGACAAAGGTCCTCATAAATTAAGAGAAGCCAAGACAGTCACTGTGACTGCAGAATATTTTAATTTTTTTTTATTATACTTTAAGTTCTAGGGTACATGTGCACAACGTGCAGGTTTGTTACATATGCATACATGTGCCATGTTGGTGTGCTGCACCCATTAACTCATCTTTTACATTAGGTATATCTCCTAATGCTATCCCTCCCCCAGCCCCCCACCACAGAGCAGACCCCAGTGTGTGATGTTCCCTTTCCTGTATCCATGTGTTCTCATTGTTCAATTCCCACCTGTGAGTGAGAACATGCGGTGTTTGGTTTTTGGTCCTTGTGATAGTTTGCTGAGAATGATGGTTTCCAGCTTCATCCATGTCCCTACAAAGGACATGAACTCATCCTTTTTTATGGCTGCATAGTATTCCATGGTGTATATGTGCCACATTTTCTTAATCCAGTCTATCACTGATGGACATTTGGGTTGGTTCCAAGTCTTTGCTATTGTGAATAGTGCCGCAATAAACATACGTGTGCGTGTGTCTTTATAGCAGCATGATTTATAATCCTTTGGGTATATACCCAGTAATGGGATGGCTAGGTCAAATGGTATTTCTAGTTCTAGATCCTTGAGGAATCACCACACTGTCTTCCACAATGATTTAACCAGTTTACAGTCCCACCAACAGTGTGAAAGTGTTCCTATTTCTCCACATCCTCTCCAGCACCTGTTGTTTCCTGACTTTTTAATGATCACCATTCTAACTGGTGTGAGATGGTATCTCATTGTGGTTTTGATTTGCATTTCTCTGATGGCCAGTGATGATGAGCATTTTTTCATGTGTCTGTTGGCTGCATAAATGTCTTCTTTTGAGAAGTGTCTGTTCATATACTTCGCCCACTTGTTGATGGGGTTGTTTGTTTTTTCTTGTAAATTTGTTTGAGTTCATTGTAGATTCTGGATATTAGCCCTTTGTCAGATGAGTAGATTGCAAAAATGTTCTCCCATTCTGTAGGCTGCCTGTTCACTCTGATGGTAGTTTCTTTTGCTGTGTAGGAGCTCTTTAGTTTAATTAGATCCCATTTGTCAATTTTGGCTTTTATTGCCATTGCTTTCAGTGTTTTAGACATGAAGTCCTTGCCATGCCTGTGTCCTGAATGGTATTGCCTAGGTTTTCTTCTAGGGTTTTTATGGTTTTAGGTCTAACATGTAAGTCTTTAATCCATCTTGAATTAATTTTTGTATAAGGTGTAAGGAAGGGACCCAGTTTCAGCTTTCTACATATGGCTAGCCAGTTTTCCCAGCACCATTTATTAAACAGGGAATCCTTTCCCCATTTCTTGCTTTTGTCAGGTTTGTCAAAGATCAGATGGTTGTAGATGTGTGGTGTTATTTCTGAGGGCTCTGTTCTGTTCCATTGGTCTATATCTCTGTTTGGTACAAGTACCATGCTGTTTTGGTTACTGTAGCCTCGTAGTCTAGTTTGAAGTCAGGTAGCGTGATGCCTCCAGCTTTGTTCTTTTCGCTTAGGATTGACTTGGCAATGCGGGTTCTTTTTTGTTTCCGTATGAACTTTAAAGTAGTTTTTTTCCAATTCTGTAAAGAAAGTCATTGGTAGCTTGATGGGGATGGCATTGAATCTATAAATTACCTTGGGCAGTATGGCCATTTTCACGATATTGATTCTTCCTATCCATGAGCATGGAATGTTCTTCCATTTGTTTGTGTCCTCTTTTATTTCCTTGAGCAGTGGTTTGTAGTTCTCCTTGAATAGGTCCTTCACATCCCTTGTAAGTTGGGTTCCTAGGTATTATTTCAAATATTATTGTAAAACAATGAGATATTGAAACATACATTGGAGCAAACTCTTCTTCATTCTTAAATCCTTTCAGCACAGAGACAATCAACTGACTGTGTGGGTACTACCTGACCACTATTGGAGTCTCTTTCATCTGCCTGAGTCTGTGCAACAATATGAAATTATAATTTTACTATGCACCTAAACTTTCCTCAATATATTGAATTCTTACAGAATTTGAAGAGTCAAATTTTGTAAATCCAGTTACCTTTTTCCACTACTCTAGGCCTCATATACTATCTGGCCTAAGGGTTAAAGGTCCACAATTGAATAAGCCAAACTTGTTAATTTGAGGGTAAAGCATGTCAAGAAATCTGGCCTTAATGTCCAATGAACTTATGTCATATTAAGTAGCTGGATAGAAACATGCATTCCAAAGTGGATACTGTTTATCAGGCTCAGTGCTCTATTCTTGACAGTAAATCCCAGAATAGGGTGGATGCTTTAATTTTGTATTAAATAGTATTAGGTGTAATATCAAAACCACTAAGGGAACACTAATGATGAGAATAAGAACACTAGCTGTGGAGCTGGCAATTTTCTATAGAAATCCTATCTCTTTCAATTGCCTGTTTAGTGGGCAAGTGTTTCAGTTCCTATAATATCTAAATTGGAGAAAATCACCCCACCTACTTCTTCAGGTGTTATGATAATTATGAGGGATAACATCTTTTTAAGTGTTTAACACAATTCCTCACACATAGAAAGCAATAATAAACATTGGCTAGCATTGTAAGGATGGATTATTGTCTTCCAATGTGTTTTCTTACATTTTCTTTCTGGGATCTTGAGTGAAACATGTGGATCTAGAACAAGAACAAAATGATGTTACCTTGATGATCTCTATGTAGGGTCACACTCAAGGCATCTTAAAATATTTTGCTGGCCAACAAAAGACACCTCCTGTTCTAATTGGGCATTGTCCTTTTCTTTAAACTATGCAGACAAACAATATTATAAAGTGAGAACATCCGCATAAAAAACCTAAACATAAATCTTAATAGTGAGTTCATGAAAATTCTTACTGATGAAATGGCAATGTCACAGACTGACTGTTTATGTCCCCCCAAATTTGTATATTGAAATCCTAACCCCCAAGCTACTCGTGTTAGGAGATAGAGCCTTGGGGAGGTGATTAGGTCATGAGGACAAGATTCTCATCAATGG
Organism: Homo sapiens; assembly: GCF_000001405.40. Lineage (NCBI taxonomy): Eukaryota > Metazoa > Chordata > Mammalia > Primates > Hominidae > Homo > Homo sapiens. Next base: position 146,360,243 of record NC_000001.11, on the reverse strand, counting down.
AATTTGTGCCCTTATAAAAGAGATCCCAGAGAGCTCATTGGCCCCTTCCAAAGTATGGGGATACAGCAGGAAGTTGCCATCTATGAGCCAGAAGGGTGAACCTCACCCCAGATGCTGAATCTGCCTTGATATTGGACTTCCCAGCCTGCACAACTGTAAGAAATTTCTGTTGTTTATAAGTTACTCAGCTTGTGGTATTTTGTTACAGCAGCCTACACAGACTAAGACAAGTAGCATTTTGAGGATTAAAATTTCTTCATAAATGAATAGAGTATGCCCTGTTAAACCATATTCTCAGCTAACCCCGTTTACTCACTGTTCCTCTTTATTTTAGTTTCACATTTTTGCTATTTATCTCTGTAATTTTATTCATTCTTCACAATTTGCCATTCTTATACTTCGAATCATGTTATCAGTTTATAATACCTCCATCAAATGATAGTCTGCATTTGTTTATCCTTGGCTGATTCAAAACACTTGGCATAATTTCCTTAAAGGAAATCATCTTCATCCCACCTCACAACACTGTATTATTTTCAATTAATTTCCAATAAACTCTTAATTGTCCATGCTCTGTCAGAGTTGGCAGAGTTAATCCCTGTTTAAGCTAATAGGTTCAACTTCTTCAACAAACAAATCTTTCATGAAAGCTGCTGACAAGCCAGAGTATTAATTAAATCTAGTTTCATTGCTTCTCACTTTCCTTGATCTTTCTCTCTTGTTCTTTGGGAAACAGTCACAGAGTTCTGGCACTAATAAATACTATAAAAAGTAGGAAATACAGTCTAAAGAAGCAGAATATTCTGTTTAAAGTTGATGTGGTGCTTTTTGTGCACCAAGCATTGGCTCAAAAGCCTGAAAATTAGGCAGCAATACTTCCTAAGCTCATCTTCAACCATAAGGCAGAAAAGCCAAACATATCTGAAAATATAATATCACTGGTACCTTATACCAGCACTAAGAATAAGAAAACCCTGGAAAGTGGCTTGAGTACAGTATTTTTCTATTGGAATTAATTTTTCAAAATGGAAAGGACTTCATTGTTATTTTTATTATAAAATTAGTATATGTTTATTATTAAAAATAAGTACAAAAATCTCTAAAAGAAAAAGGGAAAAATTACCAGCAGTTCCACATTCCAGATATCATCACTGTTAGCATTTAGGATACAAATATCCAAACACTTCTTCTATCAATACATTTAATTTTTAAATTTGACCATTACGCAATGTACACATGCACTAAAGCACCACACTGTACCCCATAAACATGTGCAATTATTATGTCAATTAAAAACAAAATAAAAGCATTTTACAAAAAATCATGTTATTTTTAATAACTTGTTTTTCTAATTTTATACACCATAAAATAAATGTCTTTACATGACATTTATTTTATGATAATAACTAATTTATTCATTTAAACAGCAAGGTACATTTCGTTCTACAGATATACTATATAATATTTACTCCGATCTCTGGATGAGAATTTATGTTGCCTGTAAATATTGTATCACAAACATTATAAGAATAATCTCCGTAAAGGTTTTCTTCCTGAATTATTATTTGGGTAGAAAAATTACTAGAAATAGAATAACTGGGTCAAAGATTAAAGACAATTTAAATTTCAATATATAGAATCAAATTATTCTCCAAAATATTGTACTCTACAGTATTTGAATTTTGATTTTTTTCTCCATTTTCACTACTGCCAATAACTTTAATCTTTGTCAATAAATGAGACAAAAAAGACAAATAATGCAATATTATACAAGGGAGATTAATAGGTAGAAAAAGAAATGCAATGGCCAAGAGTAACAGAAGATGTTCAACATCAATCCAATCAAATTAATGAGTCTTTAAAATGCAATAGCAGTCAATGTTAGCAAGAGTGTAGGTATTAGACATTTTCATAGGAATATAAACTAGGGCCATGTTTTAGGATCATATTAGATCGCAGCAATTAAAAAATGTTAAATTCATATGTTCTATAGCAACTTCTCAGGTTGGAATTTATCACATGGAGAATCTTGTAAAATACATAAACCAAGATATGTTATTAATGTTATTGGTAGCCTATTGTTTAAATAAAAAATATATTTATACAATACAGTTGTTAAAAGTTAAGAATATCTTGAAGGTAAATTATTAAACAAAAATAGAAAGCCTAGGCCAGGCAAGACTTCATCTCATGCTTATAATCCCAACACTTTTGGAGACTGAGGCGGGAGGATTGCTTGAGCCCAGGAGTTTGAGACCAACCTGGGCAACACAGTGAGACCTCATCTCTAGAAAAAAAAAATACAAAGCCTAGTTCTGAACATCCTTTTGTGTAATACTAAAAGATAAAATTTTATTTTCTAACTTGTTTAAGATCTATATTCTATACGGGGGATGTGTATTAAGGTCATTTTTAAAAAGATACTCAAGAAATTGTCAACAGTGATTATCTTAAGGAGAGATTCCAGATGTCTGGGGGTAAGAGACTAGAGGAAAGAGAATTTTATATTTCATTTTTACCTTTATTTAATTTTTTGATTTTCTTACTGGGTGCATGAATTATATTTTTATGTCAGCATGTTTTATCAGATAAATAAAATTATGAGCTATTTCTGTTTTCTCTCATTTGTTTTATGTTTAAGTAAAGGAAAATGAGATATGTCTTTTTAAATTAGATAATCTTGAGTCCATGATTATTATGAAAGCCCTCTGTTATCTTTTTCCTTCCTTTCACAATGACTATTTATGTTGTAGAATCATTAATTTCTCAAGACAAATGTCTTAGAAGGTAGATACAAAAAAATGGTATACATTTTTTGATTCAAGCTAATTTCATGTTATGAACAAAATTACGTAATGTCATTTCTAAGACCTTTCTGTGATCTATCAATCCACTAGGTTAAAGAGCAGAAATCACTTCCAAAACAAATCCTTTTGCAGTCAGCAAAATGAAGCAATTATATGAATAAGTTTTTCCACTTGGCCTATTTTTCTACCCATGGTTATTAATCAGTCTCACTGACTACATTTTCCGTTTTACATCCCCTTTCAGGCACTACTGCAGATGGCCAAGCATATCACATTTTGTAAATAAAATAAAACAAAATCTTTTCCCATTGAGCAAATGGATATACTTCACCTCTAATGCTTCCAGTCTTTCTCAGATCATTCAAAAAGCATGATATGGTTTCCATAAAAGGACATTCATCCCATTTGACTAACTGGAATTTCTTTACTCCAGCTAATCTTTACCAAAGAGCTGAATTAATTCAAGTTGACACCCTGTTATCTACCAGCTCTTCCAGCCCTTTTGCTTGATTGTTTTGTCATTTTGCCTTTTCTTTTCTTCTAAAGTGGGAGTATGGAGATTTACCCTTCTGAAACAGCTGTGTCACATCATGATCCTTGAGGATACCAGCTCTTAACTGGCTGCACATCAAAATCACTGTTTCCTTTGACCAATACTCTAGACACACTCAAGCAGAGATTCTGGATTCTGATTTAATTGACACAGAGTAGGGCCTGGGCATTTTTACAGCTCCCCACATGATTCTATTGTGCCTCATCTATCCTAGCCCTTAAGCAGGACCAAACATTTGTTCTATCTTAATTATTATTCTCTTAAACTTAGTCCAATTCCTTACAACTGATAGCTTTCTATATACTCATCTGCCTTGAGTGATGACAATTGATATGGTTTGGCTGTGTCCACACCCAATCTCATCTTGTAGCTCCCATAATTCCCACATGTTGTGGGAGGGGCCCAGTGGGAGATAACTGAATCATGAGGATGGGTCTTTCCTGTGCTGTTCTTGTGTTAGTGAGTAAGTCTCATGAGATCTGATCATTTTTAAAATGGGAGTTTCCCTGCACAAGCTGTCTCTTTGCCTGCTGCCATCCATGTAAGATGTGACTTGCTCCTCTTTGTCCTCCACCATGATTGTGAGGCCTCCCCACCCATGTGGAACTGTAAGTCCATTAAACCTCTTTCTTTTGTAAATTGCCCGGTCTCAGGTATGTCTTTATCAGCAGCATGAAAACAGATGAATACAACAATACTGTAACAAATCTACTCACATCTGTTCTCTTTATAGGAATTGCAGTGCTACAATATTAGTGGCTCTTAATTCTAAGAGTGTTAAAAAATATTAATGCTTGTCTCACCCCTAAAGTCTAGGGTGTGACCTGAGTATTAGGTTATTTAAAACTTTTCTCAGGTAATAGACATGTGCAGCCGAGGTTGAGAGCCACTCTATAGGGCCAAGATATGTAAGAAAATTCAAGTCCTTTAGCTGGGCATGGTGGCACGCAGCTGTAGCCCCAGGTACTCTGGAAGCTGAGGTGGGAGGATTGCTTGAGCCCAGGAGAGAGAGGCTGCATTAAGCTATGATCACATCACTGCACTCTAGCCTGGGTGACAAAGTGAGATCATGTCAAAAAAAAAAAAAGAAAGAAAGGAGAAAGAAAAAGAAAGGAAGAAGAGGAAGGAAGGAAGGAAGGAAGGAAGGAAGGAAGGAAGGAAGGAAGGAAGGAAAAGAAGACAGAAAGAAGAAAGAAAGAAAGGAACAAAGAAAGAAAGAAGGAAGAGAAAAAGAGAGAGAGGAAGAAAGAAAGAGAGAAAGAAAGAAAAGAAAAAGGAAGGAAGGAAAGGAAGAAAGAAAAAGAGAGAAAGAAGAAAGAAAAGGAAAGAAAGAAAGAAAGAGAGAAAGAAGGAAAAGAAAGAAAATTCAAGTCCTGCCTTGTAAAATGCAGTACTCCATTTTCCCAAAGAGATCCCAAGGGAAACTTAACTACAGGATAAAGACAGACAAAAGGACATAAATTACAACTACTCTAGGTTCACATATTATTTTGTTTCTGAAATGGGTTTTAAAATATCTATGTCAGAGTTCATTTCTAGAACTTTATCTCTAGAAAACATATTTTCACTTCTCAATACAGGAAAATGGAGATTGGAAAAATGAGGTTGGAAAATGATTTCCATGCTTATCTCTCAGCTTCTTTTTTCAACTTCCCTTTTTTCATCTCCGTATCTTCACTGATACCTAGGAATCTCTGTTACATCACAGTCTTCAAGAGCTTTGCTCACAGCGAATTAGTTAAGACATTAGCTTTCAAAAGTATATGATATTCTCTCACAAGCATTTGTCTACTTTTAATAGGGCAAGCTATGTAAAGATGTTAAATCTCATTCCAGAAATACCACATCTACTCTACCTATTTATGAGAACAGTCGTCTCTAGACCAAGATAGAAATTCATAGTTAGGAAATAAATCCCTGTAGGGTTTTTCCACAGTCCCAACATGTCCCCTACTGTCCCGATTTTAGCAACAAAAATCCCCCATCCAGAAAATCCTTCATTCCTGAGTAAGTTGAAAGATTGGTCACCCTATTTCTATCTGTGTCTCTTTCTTTCATAATTGGCTCATAATCATAGCAGTCACAATTTTGAAAAATTTTATTTTACTGAATTACTCATTGCTGTTTTCTCATTTTTTAAATAATAAACACTTATTAAGAAACATTGGAAATATACCGAAAATAGTAAACAATAAAACAGAAACCATTGGCAGAAATCGTCACTATTAAAATCTTAATATACTCCCTTCCAATGTTGTTTCTGTTAATGCAAATTGAAAAATCAGAGATTCGCCTCTGTGAACTAGATCTCTTTTTACCTTTAGATATTATTTGACAAATACATAGCTCAATCATCTATCCAAACTTCTCTTTTACAGACTCCATGCCAATTAACCTTCTCCTATGAAACTATTATTTCTTCACATAGGATAAATATGGTTATTGACACACAAACTTTCTTAGTTACACTGCAATCCAGTTGTGCGTCCCTAAATTTATACCAATTGGATTTAGAATGATCATTACTAAAGAGGCTTGGCCTTATCTCTTGCAATTTGCTTCTTCCTTCTTAAATTCAATTCTTGTAATGTAACTATAATTTGGGGGTATCTTTTTGCCTCATATTCAAGTTCTCTTTCAAACTGAGGTACATTTCTGTATTTCTGTATTTGTATATTGCATATAATAGTATAGAAAACAATAATGAGATTATAGTGTACATAAAAGTTTTGAAGTATAATTAAATATTTAATATATAAATATATTAAATATGGGCTGCTGACTCACCAAGCCTGGTTTGGCTTCCATCACTTGTGTAATCAATCACCTGTATTAAATCACCTCTGCTTGAAAGACGAAGAATAGTTTCTGATTTATAAGCAAACATTGAAAGCTCTTCTATTTCTTGTTTGCTAAACAAGATTTGTCAAAGTTAAATATTTCATTTTATTGAATTCACTTTTTGCCTCTCCTACAATGATGATTTGCTTTTCCTCCTTTAACTTGTTAATGTGATGAATTATACATAGTTTTTTTTTCTATTGTTAGAAATCCTTGCATTCATGGAACAAACACAATTTTCATACTATATTATCTTTTTTATAGACTTCTAAACTTAATTTGCTAACTTTTAATTTAAAATGTTTGCCGTTAGGTTCATGAGGAAAGTTGGCATGTAATTTTCCTGTCTTACACATTTCTCATATAATATTGGTATCAAGGTTGTACTGGCCTCATGAAATGAACGAACAAATGGACCTTTTTTTATTCTGGAGTTGTTTTTATAAAATGGAAATAATCCATTTCTTGAAAACATTTGATAGAACTCACCAGTAAAAATGTCTGGGCCTGCTGGTTCTCTTCTTCTAAGAAGAATTTGGAACTTATAATTAAAGCTCCTTTAATGTGTTAGAAAACTTTCCAGGTTTCCTTGAACATTAATAAATTCCAATGACGAAAAGCCCTCAGATATTAAATATAACCTTAAATATAACCTTCCCCCAATTCAATTTTTCTTTTGCAGATATGATTAGATACTCTAATTTTTCAACCTCTATTTCACATATCCATTTTCCTTTCCTCCTCTGTACTGTCTTCAGCATAATTTGTTTAGTCTAACTTCCAACTCACTTATTTTCTTTTTGGTTCTATCCAATATTGTGTTTAACCTGTCCATTTAGTTTTTAATTTTCATTATATTTTTTATTTCTAAAAGATCTCTTAAATTCAGTTTCAATCTGCTTAATATAAGATACATACACTGTCTCAATTTATATTCCTGGCACACCTCATTGATTTTTTAAACATATTAAACACAGCTTTTATAGTTATATAATCATCCTAATATCTGAAATCTTTATGGGCATAATTCTGTTTCTGCTCATGATGTTTATTTCCTCATGAGTTTTGTAAGAGTCTTACTTTTTTCTCATTTTGGATGAAATTTTACCTGTGGCCATTCTTTGAGACATGGGCTGAATGTGGGTTTCTCCAAAGACACTTTGCCTTCGTCTTGTGTTTGGTGGTAATACCAACATGGGATAACTATAAAATAAATTATCAGTTTCATGTGTGGGTTTTTTTTAACTTATACTTACAGTGAAAATTTAAACCACAAATTCATGTGAAGATGGCCTTCTCATTTTTCCTCTAAATAGCACCGAGTTTGAGGCAGGAAAATTTCCTGGTTGTCTCCCGCTGAGGAACAGGTTTTTATCTAGTTTATCCTTTCCCTGAAATTATAGTCCTTCGTATCTCTGGCTTTCAGCAGTTTTCTCCTGTAAGACTGCTATAATGGGCAGGCACTAGGTTTTGTCTCACACTCTCCCATATCCCAGGTGGTCATAAAAATTGAAGCTCAGGGTACTAGGGCCAGGACTGTCCTTATGGAAGCTTCTGGTTTGGGGGTCTGCATACCTCTCTGGATTTATGTATTCTCCTTATGCTTGGCCTATGTGGTTCACCTTAGTTTCTATTCAAGTCAGTAATATACTTTTGAAAAATGACATGTACATTTTATCTGGTATTTGTAGATTTCATATAGCAGGATAGTGATTCAGCAAATTTAGTCTACCACAATGCTGGGAATAGAATTCCCCTAATTTTTGAAAACATTATATCAAATCATGTTTATTGCCATTAATAGTCTTATAAATGTGCTTTTAAGTAACTGCATTTTGTCATAGCTCATTGTGATTGTATATTTAACTAGTTCACCCCTACCTCATGTTTTTTGGGAGTGAAGGTTGTACTCAACTCATTATGTTAAGTAATACTACAGTAAACATCAATCTATACATGCATTAATAATGATTTCCAAGAAAGTAGTGACACATGGTCATAATCATCTTTGAGGCTGATGGTACATATTTTCAAATTGCATCTCAGAAATAATATACCAATCTGTGCTCTAATCAGCCGCATATGAAAGTGTCATCTTTCTGTTCTCCAACCAATACAACTACTACTGTTTTTATACCTACAAATCTGACAAAGATGGGAGAAGGGATCTTATAGTTTCAATTTGTATTTCTTTGGTGACCAATGTACTAAATTACTCAATGTACTAAATTACTCTTTTCCTGTTTATCATCCATTTCAAACAAAATGTAAACCATTTTTTAAATTTTTTTATATTAATGCAAATTGTAAATCACTACTTTATTTATTCAACTTCCTAAGCAAAATTATATGTTGTCCCATTTATACATTTTATATTAGATCATTCTGCCTTACATTTATATCCTAAAACTGTCAGAATTATATAATAATTATGAACAGTTGATTATAAATAATGTCTTTATTAGGATATTTCACCATAAATCTAAATTTCATCAATCTTTCTTTAAATATCTCTACACAATGTCCTCTTGTATTATATTAATAATTGCAGATACACTTCTTTTTGCTATTTCTATTAATTCTTTCCTATTCCTATTGTATGTTAGTCTCCCATTTTCTCCCATAAAATAAATAAAAATTTTTCTATCAGATTCTGTGATATATTACTTCTTATTCCCAGCCTTCAACATTTTAAGAATTCAGATTGACCTTTTCTCCCATTCTTATTTCAAGTTATCAGCATGTCGATACTTGGGAAATCTCATCAAGTGTTTAACAGTGCATACCTTACTGATTCATTATTTATTTCAATTTAATCTTTCTTATTTTCATTCAACTTTTTTCTCAGTAATACAACTTTTTCAAGCTTTTTATTTTCTAATGCATTTCTCCAAATAGCAGCCATAACCCTTATATGCCCTCTTTCAATGACAACAACAAAAGTGTGCTAGGCTTCTTGGAAGAAAATAATGATACCAATTTAAGAAGGAGAAAATTGATGTACTGATAAACAAATGGGCATCTTAGGATCATGTTTCTCACAAGTAAGGCAGTTCCAGAAATTCCTAGGACCATAATGGGTTTTATTCTAAATAGGTTAAACATATCACTTAAAAAATTGTTTTCTACAGTTCTCTAATATTGCTTACAATTGTCCACGTTTCCATGTTTATAAACTTGCACTTTTTTTTTTTTTTATGGAGTTTTGCTGTTGTTGCCCAGGCTGGAGCCCAGGCTGGAGTGTAGTGGCGTGATCTTGGCTCACTGCAACCTCCACCTCCCAGGTTCAAGCAATTCTTCTGCCTCAGCCTTCTGAGTAGCTGGGATTACAGGTGCGTGCCACCACACCTGGCTATTTTTTTGTATTTTTAGTAGAGACGGGGTTTCACCATGTTGGCCAGGCTGGTCTCGAACTCCTGACCTCAGGTGATCCACCCGCCTTGGCCTCCCAAAGTGCTGGGATTACAGGCATGAGCCACTGCTCCCGGCCTTATACTTGCACACTTTTTAATTCTAAGACCTTGCTACTCAGTGAGGGATCCTGGGACTAATACCATCAGCTTGACTTGAGGCCGTTTGAAGGCAGACTCAGAATCTGCAATTTATCAGGATCCCCAGGTAATTTGTATGTGCAGTCTAGTTTGGTAGATCTGCTCTGGCAGACTGGAAGACTCTTCTATCTGCCTCACGTAAGGTGCAGGTGACATAATTAGGTAATCAAGCAAAAGATCACATATTTTAATAAGAAAGAGACACTGGCTATTATTTTGAGTGGCAAAACAGGTTATTCAGTCCCAGTTTAAAATGGAAATGACAGAGACCAAGATGAAGATTTTTAATTTGAGATGTGCCTGCGATGCAATTACATTTGCTGAATGAAACTGCTTCAGTAATTAGATGCAGGTTTCTTCTCTCTTCTTTTTGAGATGTAAAGAAGACACAATAGACTCATGGAACTTAAAGAACTAGACGCCAGCTAACAAAACATGCTATCCAGACTCTTCCGTTTCACCATATTGCTTTCTTGAAAACATAGGACAGTGCCAGTTTAGCACTGAAAAAAATCAGTTCTCCTAATTCTAAAAAGAGGAGACAGCCAGGCGTGGTGGGTCACTAAAAATACAAAAAATTAGCGGGCATGGTGGTGCATGCCTGTAATCCCAGCTACTTGGGAGGCTGAGGCAAAAGAATCACTTAAACCCGGGAGGTGAAGGTTGCAGTGTGCTGAGATAGCGCCATTGCACTCTCGCCTGGGCAACAAGAGCGAAACTCCATCTCAAGAAAAAAAAAAAAGAGAGAGAGAGAGAGAGAAACTGTAATTTCATTTCAGAAGTTTTATAGGGTACTATTTCCAATTCTTTTTTTCTTACTCCATTAAAGTGTAATTAGCAGTATGTGAAAATTTCCACTTTATCCTCAATCAGAAGCCTCTCCTTCCAATTAGCATATATTTTTTCTATTAACTTTGTAAAGTGGGATTCTTGTTTTATACATACCCCTGGAAAGTATACTTAAACTGTGAGACCCTGGGATTTTATATTTCCAAATAGAAGATACCATCCTCTTGTATCACAAAATGTACCTAAGATGGTTTGGATTATATTTAAATATTCTTGAATGAAATAGACTTACTGACTGAAGCCAATTATTATATTTTTCCACACCAAAATAAATGCAATAGGAAAAGATGAAAGTTCTATGTAGTATTCCTGCTTCCATATTGCACAAATTAGAAACATACATATTCCATTATGTTACAGGGTCTAGGGCTTTGGGAGGACAAGGCTGCAGGCAGCCGAGATTGTGCCGCTGCACTCCAGCCTGGGCGACAGAGTGAGACCTTTTCTCAATAATAATAATAAAAGTAAAAAGAAATATAATATTTAATCAATATATGCACACACATGGGTTTATCATGACACACATGACATGTGTGTACACTGAAAAAAATGAGTAAATCTAGAAACCTGTATTGCCTCAATAGCTAGCTAAGTACTTCAATATGCATGTTTATTTCAACAATTTTGTGTTAAGCTTCAGTGGTAAATAAGCAGAGTACACTGACCATAATGAATACTTCTTTTGATGAGGGTTATCACTACACAATTAAAATATTACATAGTTGGCTGGGCACGTTGGCTCACACCTATAATCCCAGCACTTTGGGAGGCCGAGGCAGGCAGATCACCTGAGGATGGGAGTTCAATACCAGCCTGACTAACATGGAGAAACCCCTTCTCTATTAAAAATACAAAATTAACCAGGCGTGGTGGCACATGCCTGTAATCCCAGCTACTCAGGACGCTGAGGCAGGAGAATCACTTGAACCTGGGAGGCAGAGGTTGTGGTGAGCCGAGATAGCGCCATTGCACTCCAGCCTGGGCAACAAAAGCAAAACTCCGTCTCAAAAAAATATATAATAATAAATATATATATATTATATATAATCAATATAAATATAATATGTATTATACATATAATAAATATATATATTATATATAATAAATATATCATATAGATGATATAGTTTAGAGTTAAATACTGACTGCTCTTGGGAACTTTGAGGTATTCTGAGGGATATAAATAACACGAAGAGAATAGCACATTGGCTTGAAGCAGATTAGAGTCTGCTACCTGCGTGAATACTTGCTTTTCATGAACTATGAGGATGCCCTTAGCTTTTGAACCACTTCTACTTGTGTTGAAATTTACCCTTTAATTTTGGGGTTTGACAGGCTCTGCCCTTCTGTTATGCTTGAGTCTGGCTTTTCCTACTCTGACTCACTTTGATTCTTGACCTCTGAATCTTATTCCTGTTTTACAATAAACACACATCGCACATACGCCAATTAGTAGAGTGGAAGAGGGAAAAATTGCCAAGGAACTATGTTTAATTTTGTTCCTTTCGCAAACCAGACACCATAACAGAAAAATTTTAGGAACATGTGCATGTTCAGTAGCCTTCAATGCAATTATACTGGTTATTAAAAAGTGTTGGATAATCAATATTTTTTAAAGATTCACTAGTCCCTTCTGATAATTTTAGAACTTTGGGAAGTAATAATACAAATGTATTTTTAGCTGTGTCCTTTAATCTTTTACTGTTTCCTCTATGTGTGGTGTTTGGTTTGTGTGTGTGTGATAATTATTATAAAAATCAGAGGCTAACAGAGGTGTTATTCACGAACTTTTAAATTTTTTTTATTTTTATTTTTTTTAGTTTTTTTAAGAGACAGAGTCTCGCGGTGTTGCCAAGGCTGGATGCAGTGGCGCCAACTCAGCTCACTGCAACCTCCGCCTTCAGGGTTCAAGCGATTCTGCTGCCTCAGCCTCCCAAGTAGCTGGGACTGCAGGAGGGCACCACGATGCCCCACTAATTTTTGTATTTTTAGTAGAGATGGGGTTTCACCATATTGGCCAGGCTGGTCTTGAACTCCTGACCTCATGATCCGCCCACCTCAGCTTCCCTAAGTGCTGGGATTACAGGTGTGAGCCACCGCGTCTGGCTGCATGACCTTTTAACTTGTCTCATACACTCAATATTCTCAAGATATACCTTCCAAAGTGAAAAATTATGGCACTTTGCAGCCCTGACCACTAACTGAGAACTTTGATGCTTTGGATTTTGGAGACCTCATTTTATCACCTGGTCCTTTTACTTCATGACTTGTCATGCTGCCACCTTTTGATGGGATTGAGATCAAGATAATAATTCCCAACTGGTCAGGAATATTGTGCCCCTTTGTTTTTATATCCAGATGCAATAGAGCCTCTGACACACCACTACTATTGTTCTTAGGATTTGGAACAAAATGCTTCTTTCTTTGACAAAATAAATGTTTTCTTTAAAGAACTCTTGATTGATCCTGGACCATTGTAGAAACTGAAGTCCTATCAATGCAAAAAAATATGACAACATGAGCTGCTTATCATGAAATAAGTGTTTTCCAATTAACTATCCTGCTTCATCAGCAGGTAGGAATAATAGAATCTATACCTATGTCTTCATGGGAAGTTCTCTATGGCCAGTTGATTAGTGAGGGAAAAATTGAGCCTGATTTACAGAAGTCACTGTACAACATCACAGCAGCAGCCAAAAGTAGATTGCTTAGGCATTATAACCTACGTGAATGCAATTTTAAAAGAAATTCAGCCTATGTAATTGGTTGTCCACGATGTCTAGAAGGAGAGATATTATTGATGTATATGTGGCAGCTAATAATTTGTCTAGATAATTAGGGACTTGGAGCCAGGCCTGATGGCTCACACCTGTAATCCCAGAACTTTTGGAGGACAAGACAGGTGGATTGTCTGAGGTCAGGAGTTCGAAACCAGCCTGGCTGACATGGTGAAACTCCGTCTCTACTAAAAATACAAAAATTAGCCAGATGTGGTGGTGTGTGCCTGCAATCCTAGCTACTTGGGAGGCTGAGGCAGGAGAATCTCTTGAATCCAGGAGGAAGAAGTTGCAGTGAACCAAGATTGCACCACTGCACTCCAGCCTGGGCAACAAAGCGAAACTCTGTCTCAAAAAAAAAAAAAAAAAAAAAGAAAAGAAAAGAAAAGATAATTAGGGACTCGGAAAGACAAAGACTGAAGGATTGGTGGCAATGAGTTTTGGGGAAAAAATATGTAGATGAACCACAGAAAATGAGCCAGAGTGTAAGAATATTTGTGCTTAATACGAATGCTCACCAAACTATCATCAGGAAGGTTATCAAATAGATATGAAGGTATGAAACAATCTCTTTCACCAGGCACTACATTGCTTGCTCAGAAGGCTAATAAACAGCAACATTGGTGGTAGCAGTAGAGAATACACATAGGTTTAGCAACATGTTGGACTTTACCACTCTCGCTTACAAAAGCCTATTTAGCTGTCAAGACTATTAGGTGTCCAACACACAAGCAACAAAGTCCAAGGCTAAGCACACAATAACATATCCTGGGTGAATAAACCAGTCACCTTTTGTCAGACTTGTTGATTTTATTGGAGCTCCTCTATGATAAAGGCAACAAGGAATTTTGTAAATGGAATCTACCTTTATCCTTGAATTACATTTGCTTTACCTGACATCATTTTTCTCTGATCGCCACTCTCCACGGGTACATTGAATGCCTTATATATACTGCCATAATATCCTGTTCTACATCCTTCTATTAAAAGAACTTGTTGTATAACAAATGAGTAGATATTCATTGGACTCACCTGGTCTGCCATTTATCCTATCACTAACCAAAATTATTATTATTATAGAATGGTGAATATTTTATTAAAGACTCAATCACAGTGCCAGCTGGAGACAATGGCTTATAAGGTTGTACTCATGCTAGAGGATGTGGTGGTGTATCCTCTGAACTAGTAACTAAGTATAAGCTTGTCTGGTGTCTCCCATATAAAAAATACAACAATCTTTGATATTTGTTATGAATGTTGAAGTGACTCCTTTTGTCATTACATCTAATGATCCACTCCAAATACTTGTCTCTTGTCTCTGAGATTCTAGGTTTTTGCAGAATTAGTACCCAAAGGGAGAGTCTTAGCAGTATTCCATTTTACAATCCATCCTTCGTTAGAGGATGAGAGACTTCTATCTAGCCTTTTAGGTTGCCTGAGACCTTTAAACAAACAGTCAAAAATTTAAAATTTAAAATGCGGCTACACTGTTGCATGGGGTAGTAAATCTTGACCTTAAAACTGGTATTTGTAAGAAAAACAGAAAGAATTCAGGGATCCCCTTTGATGGCTCCTAATTCTATACAGTCCTGTAAATATTCCTGAAGACTAACCAGGTGTGGTGGTGCACACCTGTAATCCCAGCTACTCCAGAGGCTGAGGAAGAGAATCACTTGAACCTGGGAGGCGGAGGTTGCAATGAGCTGAGATTGTGCCACTTCACTCCAGCCTGGGTGACAGAGCAAGACTCTGTCTCCAAAAAAAAAAAAGAAGAAGAAAGAAAGAAAGAAAGAAAGAAAGAAAGAAAGAAAGAAAGAAAGAAAGAAAGAAAGAAAGAAAGAAAGAAATGAAGACTGCCAAAGCTTGGAAGCAACCAAGATGTCCTTCAATAAGTGACTGCATAAGCAAACTGTGGTATATTCCTACAGTGGAATATTATTCAGTGCTAAAAGGAAAAAACTATCAAGCCACAAAAAGATACAGAAAAAACAAAGACATTTTGCTAAGTGAAAGAAGCCAGTCTGAAAAGGGTACATACTGTGATTTCAACTATACGACATTCTGGAAAAGGCCAAACTATAAAGACAGTAAAAAGATCAGTGGTTATCTTTGCAGACGCCACCATCGCTGTGAGCCCTGTACTATCAGCCATGGTCAACTCCGTCGTCTTTTTTGACATCACCGTCGACGGCAAGCCCTTGGGCCGCATCTCCATCAAACTGTTTGCAGACAAGATTCCAAAGACAGCAGAAAACTTTCGTGCTCTGAGCACTGGAGAGAAAGGATTTCGTTATAAGGGTTCCTGCTTTCACAGAATTATTCCAGGGTTTATGTGTCAGGGTGGTGACTTCACACGCCCTAATGGCACCGATGACAAGTCCATCTATGGGGAGAAATTTGATGATGAGAACCTCATCCGAAAGCATACAGGTTCTGGCATCTTGTCCATGGTAAATGCTGGACCCAACACAAATGGCTCCCAGTTATTCATCTGCACTGCCAAGACTGAGTGGTTGGATGGCAAGCATGTGGCCTTTGGCAAGGTGAAAGAACGTGTGAATATTGTGGAAGCCATGGAGCACTTTGGGTACAGGAATAGCAAGACCAGCAAGAAGATCACCATTGCTGACTGTGGACAATTCTAATGAGTTTGACTTGTGTTTTATTTTCACCACCAGACCCATTCATTCTGTAGCTCAGGAGAGCACCCCTCCACCACATTTGCTTGCAATATCCTAGAATCTTTGTGCTCTTGCTGCAGTTCCCTTTGGGTTCCATGTTTTCCTTGTTCCCTTCCATGCCTAGCTGGATTGCAGAGTTGAGTTAAGTTTATGATTATGAAATAAAAACTAAGTAACAACAACAACAACAAAAAAGCTCAGTGGTTGCCAGGAGTTTGGGGATGGGTAGGGAGATAAATAGTTCTGAAACAGGCGATTTTTAGGGGATTGAAAATACGTTGGTAATAATGTAATGATGGGTACATGACATTATGCGTTTTGCAAAACTCCTAGACCTGTACCACACAAAGAGTGAACCCTAATGTAAACTGGGGGTGGGATAAAGGTGACAGTATGTGAGAACTCTGTACTTTCTGCTCGATCTTTCCATAAAGCTAAAACTGCTCAAAAAATAAAGTCTATTATTTTGTTAAATGAAAGAAATTAACAATGACCATGGCACGCTCACACAAAAAGATTACCAAGGACATTTCTCTGTCAGGAATGAATATTTGGTCATCTCACAAGGCAAAACCCTGACTAGCAGAGGTGTTAGCTGAGGGCACATGGCCATAGATGCCAATAGTGACCTGCTGGCCACTTGCAGAAAGGAGAGCCTTGACATCCAAACACATTGTTTCTCTTGTATTGTCCTGTGCATACTTATGTATCTTAACAACTTTCCTTCCTTCCTCTCCATTTATCCCTCTTTTTAAAACAGGGCTTATTGAGGGTGATTAACTTAATTTTTAAATGATATATGGCAGAATGTCAAGAGAGTATAGTGAAGAACTTCGTAGAGGAATGGACATAACCCAGAATTCTTAGACTTAGAGTACATGGTGTGATTGAGAATTTTTTATTGTTTCATTGTTCAAGAGATTGTAGGTACATGTTCAATTATTAGAGAAATAGTTGCACTCTGTTAGAAGGAAGCTTGGGTCTTTCGTGTTTACTTTCAAAAGGGAAAGTTTATATTGATATTGAGCAAGTTAAAGCATGAATATTTATTATTTGATGTTTGTTTCTGTGTTTGAGGAATTCCTCAGCCTCTCAGTTTTGACGAAAACAAGAAACCACCTCCTGCTTTAGAAGCTAAAATGCCAAATGCTTGCTTTCTCAGCCTCCTTTGCAGCTAGGGTACAAGCATATGACTTAGGTTTTGCCAATCTGTTTGCCAGTGCTGAATTTCGACTTTGGAATTAATAAAAAAAGAAGCAGATTCAGTTATGCTTTCTCTTGTTTCTGGTGGAGGCCATGTAGCAGCTGCTACAATATCTGTTGCAAAGCGAACAAGTGGGAGTGGTGCTGGTGGCTTTGCAGTTAGCCTAGGATTGAGCAATTGCTGCAATTGTTGCTCTCTGCATCTTCGGTGTTACTTCTTACTGGTGGTGACAGTGGTTTCCTCCCTGGATGAGTTCTACAGCATGGTTTGGGGTACATTTCCTGGCTGCCTAGCTTTGATCTGGCTCTCTAGCCTTCTCAACAGTTCTACAAGTTCCCCACTATTTCTGTGATAAACCTATTTATTGTTAATGTCAGCCATAATTGGCTTCTGTGGTTTATATTTTTTAAAATTCCAAGATATACCAACGTAACAGATAGCTCAACAAACATATGTCTTTTTAAATTAAGATATATTCTGTGTCACATGAAGTACAATGGACAAAATGCAACAAATTGAATTGAGCTAAAGACCAAATATATATTAAGCCTGGCTGGTCTTAAAAATGTAACTGGATACAGCCAGGCATGGTGGCTCACGCCTATAATCCCAGCACTTTGGGATCCTGAGGTGGGCAGATCACCTGAAGTCAGGAGTTTGAGACCAGCCTGGCCAGCATGGTGAAACCCCATCTCTACTAAAAATGCAAAAATTAGCTGGGTGTGGTGGTATGCCCCTGTAATCCCAGCTACTCAGGAGGTTGAGGCAGGAGAATCACTTGAACCTGGGAGGCAGAGGTTGCAGTGAGCCGAGATCATGCCAATGCACTCCAGCTTTGGCAACAGAGCGAGACTTTGTTTCAAAGTAAAAAAATAAAAATAAAAAAATAAAAACGTAACTGGATAGACCTAAGGTTCTTGAATAAGCAGAAAATAATTTAGGTAAAAACCAAATAATAAACTAACATTCTGAAAGGTTTAGGATTTAGAGGCCCAAATGTCTTAGCTAAAAGTGTTCATTCTAACCTCACAGGAAAATTGAAATATGAAAATATACAGAAAAATCTTAGGCAGTATTTATCAATTTTAAGAAACAACTATTTACAGGTTTTTCAATAGGCATTACATTAAAAATGAAATATATAGTTAATAAATATGAAAACTGTGGATATAATCAACACATTTATTTTACTTCTTGAAGTGTTAACATGTGCTGTCTCAAATATCAACAGTGTACACGTGAGAAAAAACATTTTACATAGATTTTCTGCGACAGAAAACAGCATCTCATTAGACATCCCAAGTTTTTTCATTTGGAACACACACCCATTCCCCAGTATATTAGGGGTAATAATAATTTAAAGAGTTTAATTACTTTTTACTACTAGAAAACTAATTTTATGTTTGGCACAAATTTCTGAAATGATATTCCACTGCAAAGAATAATACCTATATATGGCCAGAATTACTTTTTTTCTATAACATTAAGATAATACTTGTCAGCCTGAGCAACAAAGTGAGACCTCATCTTTACAAAAAATAAATAAATTAGATGGGTGTTTTGGTGATGAGGGTCTGTAGTCCCAGATACTCAAGAGGCTGAGGTGGGAGGATCCCTTGAGCCTAGGAGGTCGCGGTTGCAGTGAACTATGATTGCACCACTGCACTCCAGCCTGGGTAACAGAGCAAGATCCTGTCTCAAAAAAAAAAAGATAATATTGGTATAATTCAGGGTTTTTGCCTCAATCCCCATGCTTCTTCATTTGACCTTCCCTGACTCCCTGATGAATTTTAGTTTGAATTTTTGCTATAGTCCAGAAGTTAATTTAAAAGATCTTAAAATTTCCACCTGCCTAGATATTACTTATTTGTTACACTTTAGTCCATGATTTCTATTGTCATTTACATTACCCCAAAAATATGACCTGCTGAATTTCTGCTGTCATGAATTGACTAACATATTTTGGGCCTAAAACCTTTACATTTAGAATCTTTTTGTTTCGTATTGGAAAATATTGTAAGTCCTCCATTTATTGGTCAAAAGCACTGCCTATTTATTTCCATGCTTAATCAGAGAGACTTTCTAATAGTTATTTAATATTATTTACGTTCATTCACTTGTTGACTATAATGACGTTAGTTGCTATGATATTTTTAGGTCATTAATATAATAAAAATATGTCAACTTTTCTCTTCCAATGTGTCTTTGGGTTATTAATTTTTAACTCAGGTATCAAGCTTGTAAAATGTTTAATGGCTTATAATAATGTCTAACACATAGTATCCACTGAGTTCTGATAACTCCGGTTTATCAAATTCTCTTTTTTTGTACCATTCTCCAAATGCAATGCTATTTGGTTTTATTTTTATTTTTTAAAAATGTGCTGCCTGTTTTGAGTCTCTAAAAGTGTGAAATGCTCAGCATTTCCCAAATGTATTTGAACATGGAGTGTTATATTTACTAAAAAGTTAACAAGCAAGTATTCCCCTAAACACTCTAGCAAATACTACTAGTACAGACAAATTATGATGTAACGTTATAGTACATTTTAACTTATTAGGTTAATTTTGGTTGCAAACAATCAAAATTCAAAATGGCTTGTATAATAAAGAGATTTTGAACAATAGTATAGGCTCAAGATAGTTTAATGCAGAAGTTTAATAATGACACAAAATAAATGCTTCTTGTCCTCCCTGTTTCTTCACTCTACCTTAAGTGATATAGATTGAATGTTTGTAGTCCCCCAAAATTTGTATGTTTAAATCTAATCCCTAGTGTGATGATATTTGGCAGTGGGTCTTCGGGGGGTGATTAGGTCATGAGGACAGAGCCCTCATGAATGGGATTAGTGCCCTTATAAAAGAGACCTTAGAGAACTTCCTAGCCCCTTCCACCATGTGAGGACACAGCAAAAAGACAGCTGTCTGTGAACCAGGAAACAAATCCTCATTAGACCCTGAATCTGTTGACACCTTGATCTTGGACTTCCTGGCCTCTAGAACTGTAAGAAATAAATTTATGTTGTTCATAAACCATCCAGGCTGTGATATTCTGGTATAGCGACCTGAAAGGACTAAGACATTAGGTCTCAGTTTTATTCTATGGCTTAAAATATCATGTCATGAGTAGACAACTTCCAATCCTAGTACCTCGTGCTTCCTCTGCTGCATTTGGAAAGAAGGCATTTCCCTCTTCAATCATGGAATGAAAAAGTTGTACTTCATTCTGATTTGATTAGCAGAAGGCACAGGTTCCTTCCATGCACCAATTACAATGACCAAGAATTGGGCATGGGACTCATGTCACTTAAACATTGTGAAGCTGAGAAATTCATTATTTGGTTAGGAGTGTGTGAGAGCAGGGAACACTGAATGCTTGAGACACCACCACGATGTCCACTACATGTATTTCCATTTCAGTAAACATTTCCATTAAGATAATGCTAGAACAAAATCAGAGGGGTAGATCTTGGTGTCCCCAACTTTTGTTGACCTAACAAAGTGAAGTTGCTTCAACTGGACACTTCTGAACCACATTTATGCCTATATGTTCAGTTCAAATCTATTATAAGCAATTTTCAGGTCCATATGTTTAGGATATTTCATTTGTTTGGTTATGCATTATATGTATACATGTTTTTAACATACATACGCCTCTACATATATTTTGGAGGCCTTTACACAAAAGTGTTTTCCCTAAAGGGAGAAGAGAAAAGTTGAATGCAGAAGTAGAAAAAAAAATTCATTTGCACTTGTAGTATTTATAGCTAAATATTTTACATTACAGATGTATTAAAATTTTTATAATTTTAAACACTACTTTAAAACAGGGAGATGGTTTACCTTCAAAAAATTTGGCTCTCAACTCAAAGTTATCAAAGTATATCCTAGATGTAGTTTGCTTGTCAGGCTTCTACATGAAAATCTAAAATGCTCCTGCATTTCAGAATGAGCCTAACATATGTAATTGCACTCATCCACTATGTCTACATTGCCAACCAAATACTGACAGAGAGAGCTAGAGTGCCACAGAGAGCTGGCAGTTCCTCTGTTTGCATTAGCTTCTACTTGCTTCTTCATCTTTCCTCTATGTCTGACACATTTCATGTTACTGTTTTTAAATGTTCCCTTAGCTACAGAGCTAATGTGCTTATATCTGTAAGGGGTCTCATGTGAACCTCTAAATAATTAAAGATTCATTAGCTCCCTGGAGGGCCACCATGATTTCCAAAACAAGTCACAATACCTAAAGATCTAATTGTACAATTTCCCTCAGAAATAGCCTTGAGAAAGAAGTCACATCACTCAGCAATGAGTATTATAATTACTCACAGCAGTTTTCATGGTACTATATAACATCCAATTTACAGAAGTAAAGGTAATGTAATTCGAAAGAAAAATAGCTGGTTTTAAGGAATGAAGGGCCATGTCAACTATTGGAAGCATCTTTGAACTGGAGCCTCTATGTTCGGGTTTCACCAGGTTTATGTTTTTAATTAATATCCTATTCAGCTTGCTGTAATTTCCATTGAGGTTTTCTAGAACAAGACAAGTCAGAAATTGATCTTTAATTATAAGCTAAGAGCAAACTGCCAAAGAACTGAGAGAAATTTTGAAGAAACAGGTCTATCAGGACTAACCATTTTAAGATAATAAAGACTAATCAGACACACACACATATGCACAAAAAGAGGGAGAGAGAGAACAAAAATCCTATGAAATACATTTTAAAAACTTAATTTTTTTAAGAAGAAGCATTTGATCTGCCAAAGAGAAGAGTTAGCAGTTTGGAGATCTGACATTGCTAATCTCAGGGCAAGAAAATAACAAAATAAGACACCAAAGAATTACCTAAACTGTGGAAGATGAAGCTTTCAGAGTTCTCACAGAGAAATGGGATACTAAAGTACCAAGTTTAAGAGGTGTAATCTATTAATGTTTAATTTATGTCCCAAATACTTAAAAACTATGTTTCATTGTTATACATATTTATTTTATTATAAAGATAATGAATGCAGTAGGGTTAGATTTAAATAATTCATTGGGTTTAAAATGAGAAATGAAAGTCTGGCTTTTTACAACCTACAGTCTTATCACCAAAGTTAGCTATTGTTAATAACTTCTTGTCCATTCTTGTATGTGTTATGGTTTCTTTCTTAGAAAGAAGTATGCTATACTAGTATACATGCTATTTATTCATGAACCTTGCACTTATCATGTAATCATATGTCTTAGTGGTCTTTTCATAATAGATGTCTCTCTTTCCCACGCTGTCAGTGGTGATTGCATGAGGCATTGTACAGACGTACCAATAATTACTTACTCTGTGTCATATTGTTGGTTATTCAGATTGTTTTCACTTTGCCCTTGCAGACAACACTGCAACGAACATCCTTATGCATATCTTATTCCAAATACATCATCGTGATGGCTGTGTGAGAGAAATATACATTGTTGATTTTATTTTTTTATTTTTTATAATTTCAACTTTTGATTTTAGATACAGTGGGTACATGTGCAGGTTTGTTACATGGGTATGTTGTGTAATGCTGAGGTTTGCGGCATGATTGATCCGATCACTCAGGTACTAGGCATAGTAGTTGTTTTTCAACCTTTACCCCCTCCCTCCTTCTACCCTCGAGTAGTCCCCAGTTTCTATTGTTCCCATCTTTGTGTCCACGTGTACTCAATGTTTAGCTCCTGCTTATAAGTGAGAATATGTGGTATTTGGTTTTCTATTCCTGTGTTAATTCGCTTAGCATAATGGCATCGAGTTGCATCCATGTTGCTGTAAAGGACATGATTTTATTCTTTTTTATGGCTGCAAAGTATTCCATGACATATATGTACCATATTTTCTTTATCCAAGCCACAGTTGATGGGCACCTAGGTTGATTCCATGTCTTAGCGATTGTGAATTACACTGCTGATTTTAATAGAAACCACTAATTTTTATGCCAAAAAAATCATCAATGTGCACATGCTCCAAGGCTGTGTGAGCATAGCCCTTTTTCTTGGGATGTCAACAACACTGGGTTTTATCAAAATATAATTTTTGCCAATTTATTAGTTAACAAATGCTAACTCAGTGCTACTTGGATTTGAACTACCACTGCTGCTGAGCAACTTTTTACATATTCACTGGCAATTTA
The DNA here is from genome assembly GCF_000001405.40 of Homo sapiens. NCBI lineage: Eukaryota > Metazoa > Chordata > Mammalia > Primates > Hominidae > Homo > Homo sapiens. Next base: position 146,336,829 of record NC_000001.11, on the reverse strand, counting down.
TTTATCTTTCTCTGTTGTTTATCTTTTTCTGTGTAATAATTTTCCCTATTTCTACTCTTTTAAACATTAAGGTTTCACTGTTTTTTTTTTTTTTTTTTTTTTTTTTGAGACGGAGTCTCGCTCTGTCGCCCAGGCTGGAGTGCAGTGGCGCAATCCCGGCTCACTGCAAGCTCCGCCTCCCGGGTTCACGCCATTCTCCTGCCTCAGCCTCCCAAGTAGCTGGGACTACAGGCGCCCGCCACTATGCCCGGCTAATTTTTTGTATTTTTAGTAGAGACGGGGTTTCACCGTTTTAGCCGGGATGGTCTCGATCTCCTGACCTCGTGATCCGCCCGCCTCGGCCTCCCAAAGTGCTGGGATTACAGGCGTGAGCCACCGCTCCCGGCCTCACTGTTTCCTTAATAATTTTTAAGTTTAAAAAGTGACCTTTTGGCTGGGCGCAGTGGCTCACGCCTGTAATCCCAACACTTTGGGAGGCCAAGGCGGGTGGATCACAAGGTCAGGAGATCATGACCATCCTGCCCAACATGGTGAAACCCCGTCTCTGCTAAAAATACAAAAATTGGCTGGGGTGGTGGCATGTGCCTGTAATCCCAGCTACTCGGGAGGCTGAGGCAGAAGAATCACTTGAACCAGGGAGTTGGAGGTTGTAATGAGCCAAGATCACGCCACTGTGCTCCAGCCTGGCGACAGAGCGAGACTCCGTCTCAAAAAAAAAGTGACCATTTTATCTGCTGCATATAATTCTAATGATATTTCTCAATTTGTTTATCTTTTAACAATGGTAATATATAATGTCTTGCTATTTAGAAAGATTTTTAAAATTATTTTACATAAAGAAATTTTTATTCTTTGCCATTAATACTTGCAGGTTTGGAATTTTCAGGACCTCCTCAAAGGCCACCTACAGGAAATGCTCTTCAAAGACATTTCACTTTTTCCCCACTTGATTGTGGAGCAAAGGCTAACACTGGCAATGCTTTGAAGTACTTGAGTCAAATGGGCCTCTCATGTGGTCATTACTATACTCACTCTTAGGCTCCAATGCAAATTGTTTGCTTACACCAACTACTCTTGCTTTCCTTTAATAGACCTATTCCTCCTGGGCTGTCTGAAACTAACATTTCATTGTAAATAAAGTCCTGCAAGTCCTTGGTATCTCAAAGAACCCTCCTTCCATTTAGTTTTAGGAAAACTCTCCTCCTAAAACTCTATTCTTGTCCCTGGAGTCCAGATCCCCATTCCTTGCAACAAATGAACTCTTGATTTGAACACTGAAGGGAGATAATTGGAAGTTTGACTTTGTGTTCTAGGTTTTCCCTGCCAATATATGCAGCGTCTTTAAAACTAATTGGGCTGAGGCAGGAGAACTGCTTGAACCCAGGAGGAGGATGTTGCAGTGAGCCGAAATTGCACCATTGAACTCCAGCCTGGGTGATAGAGCAAGGCTCCATCTCAAAAAAAAAAAAAAAAAAAACAGCAAAAAGAAACTAATTAGGTTCAAGAAGTTTGAATGAATTCAACTTAAACAAGCTCTTAAGCAGACATGTTGGAAGTTCCAGAAAAGACAGTTTGGGAAAATATTTTATTAAAAAAAAAAAAAAAGACTGTCCTCCACTTCCTCACTCTTTCTTCCCACTTATTTTCACTCCACTGGTGCAGTTTGGTGTCAACTCTCCTCACTCTACTGAAACTGCTGCAGCCGAGGTTACTAGTTATTTAATTAACAAAAGCAATAGATTTTGTTTTTTTTAATTGCATTATACTCTACTATTTTTTGACATTTAAACTATTGACAATGTCTTTCTTGAAAATGTGTCCTTTTTGTTTTTTTCAAAACACGACTTTCTCCTTGATGTCCTCCTTTTTCTCTCATTATTTCACCTTTACATTCTCTGCTGACACCTTTCACCTTACCAAACCTTAATTAAATGTGTATGCTTCCCAGTCTCCCGTTCTTGGCTCTCTTCCCTTCCCTCTTATTGATCATTATTGTATTCTGTGATCTCACCAATTCTCTTGGCTTTAACAATAACCAGATGACTCCAGAAAACTATTCAAAATTCCGGACCTATGGAGACTTTGCACCCAGATATGTACCAACAACTCAACCTCAGTTATCTCTAATATTATCTCATTAAGTGCCCTCTAACTACAGAATGACTCCTCCTTCTGGGTTTCCTCTGCCTGAATGGCACCACCATTCAGTGGCCCACGACAAATGTGGACCTCATTTGGAACTTCTCCCTTTCCCTCATGTTTCATTTTCTCTTGGCTAAAGAGTTATTAGATTCTTCATTTTTAGCTTTTCTCTAGCCTATCTTCAATTTTATAGTGGACAGTTATGTATACCCTATATCCCAGGAGAGAAGGGATATCTTCTTCTATGCCCCTACTATGAACTAGCATATCCTTTGAGTCCTTTCTTTGTATGAAGCACTGGGGAAATTTAATCAACTTCATAATCACTTATAATCCTCACAGTAATTTTATGAGATAAGTTCTATTTATTATCCCTACCTTAAGGATGAGGAGACTGTGGTTTAAAGAGCTTAAGTAATTTGGGCAAATCATAAAAGAAGCAGTGAAGACAGAATTCAAATCTAGGCAACCTGAAATCTGAGCCTGAGCACTTTGCCTCCCTAATAACTATCTCCCTTTGAGAGTTGTATTACAAAGTTGACAACATTTAGCAACCCTTATTCCCCTCCCCACCCCTATCTCTCTCCAAGAAATCTGCTGTGAGGTAGAGAATGTGTTGATTTTCTCTGCAGTTTTTAGTGCATAGCATAGGGCTTAGAAAGGAGAAAATGATGAAAAATATTTATTAAAATAATTGTTTTTCTTTGATAGTTGTTATAACCATCTAATTGTGAGTGCTTAACAATTACTATAAAGGAGAATGGAAATCACAGATCTTTTCACAGAATTTTTTTTTTTTTTTTTTTTTGAGTCAGAGTCCAGCTTGTCACCCAGGCTGGAGTGCAGTGGTGTGATCTCAGCTCACTGCAACCTCCACCTCCTGGGTTTAATCACTTGCCTTGGCCTCCTGAGTAGCTGAGATTACAGGCGTGCACCCCCACGCCTGGCTAATTTTTGTATTTTTGGTAGAGATGGGGTTTCACCACATTGGCCAGGCTGGTCTCAAACTCCTGACCTCCAGTGATCCACCCATCTCAGACTCCCAAAGAGCTGGGATTATAGGCTTGAACCACTGTGCTGGGCCTTTCTTAGAGAATTTATAGTTTACCTGGAAATGTAAACCATATGTACTTAAACTGAGGGATATTTACAAAAGAGCTTTCTACTTAACCCACAAGAAGCTATATTAATAACAAAGCAAATCAAGCTTGTTCACAGGCAACTGAATGGAATGAATGGTTTTGATTGGTCTTGCCAGTTATATTTCTAACAAGAGAAAATTCAATGTGAGCCTCATTTGGAAACAAGATATTACAGAGAGGAAAATTTGGGATTAAGGTCAGATTTGGTGCAACTATGCTAGATACAGAAAAGGCAAACTTTCAGCTCAATCCCCAGCTAAGTACAAGTTCAATGGTGAAGGCATAAGAAAATGAGCCATTATAATAAGTCTGAAATAAGTTTATGATTCCACCTCAATATGGGCATGCAATATATTCTAACATTTAATCCCTGGAAAAAATGATGACATCACACTGAAATCTTGACTCATAAGAGAACTTTTTTATGCTGTTCCCTAAGTCAGTTTATTTCTACTTCATTCTTGTGTTAAGGGTAGGCTCAATTCTTACTCATTCAAAAACGGTATCACCTGAAGCTTTTCTTTAATTCTTGTTTTCTCTGCAGTGAGAAAATTAATCAAGGGGTTAAAATGTATATTAAATTATATATGTATTATATATAAAAGTTATATAATATAGATCAGAGAAGAATATATTGCATATGTTATAGGCTGAATTGTGTCCTTTCCCCAAATTAATATGCTGTACCCTGCCCCCTGCCATCCCAGTATATCAGAAGGTGGCTATATTTGGAGATAGAGACTTTTAAGAGGTAACTAATGTAAAATGAGGTCACATGTCTGGGTCCTAATCCAATATCACTGGTGTCCTTATTTGAAGAGGAAATTTAGGTACAGACATACATGTGCACAGAAAAAAGTCCATGAGAAGACAAGATGAGAAAATGACTATCTAAAAGCCAAGGAGAGAAATTTCAGAATAAAATTAACATATCTGATGCCTTGACCTCACACTTCTAGCCTCCAGAACTGTGAGAAAATAAATTTCTGTTGTTTAACTCATCCAGTCTGCAGTAATTGTTATAACAACCCTAGCAAAGTAATATAGGAAGTATATATATATATATATACACACATACATATATATATATACACATATTTGTGTGTGTGTGTGTGTATATATATATATATATATATATATATATATGTGATAGAGTAGATAGATAGAGACATATACAGTCATCCCTCAGTATTAGTGGGGTATTGCATTCAGGAGCCCTGCATATACCGAAGTCTGCACATACTCAGGTCCCACAGTCAACCTTGCAGAGCTCGCATATGAAAAGTTGGCCCTCCACATATGTGGGTTTCACGTCCCACAAATACTATATTTTCAATCTGTATTTGGCTGAAAAAATCCACCTATAAGTGGACTCACACAGTTTAAACCAGTGTTATTCAAAGGTCAACTGTTGATATATAGATATATAAATATCTCATATGTATAGAGCAAGCGGGAGAAAAAATCTCTAATCTCTCTTCCTTCCTGCTCTTTTTGGATTGCAAACTCTTCTCTCATAAGTACAAAAAGTAATGTTAACAAAGTAAAGAGAATTGGAAATAGTAGTGTTTTTGACCACTAGTGTTTTGTAATTTTAGAAAAAAAATTACTGAAATGTAACTTTTTATTTATATTGAGATGTTTTGACTCATACTCCAATCATACAGAAATAATAGATAAAATATGAAAAAGACTTCTTTTTACATACATAGCTGGATTAAAATATTAGAAATAATTTTCTTCCCTCAAAGGATCCCCTATTTAATAAACGGTGCTGGGAAAACTGGCTAGCCATATGTAGAAAGCTGAAACTGGATCCCTTTCTTACACCATACACAAAAATTAACTCAAGATGGATTAAAGACTTAAATGAAAGACCTAACACCATAAAAAACCCTAGAAGAAAACCTAGGCAATACCATTCAAGACATAGGCACGGGCAAAGACTTCATGACCAGAACACCAAAAGCAATGGCAACAAAAGCTAAAATAGACAAATGCAATCTAATTAAACTAAAGAGCTTCTGCACAGCAAAAGAAACTCTCATCAGAGTGAACGGGCAATCTAAAAAATAGGAGAAAAGTTTTGCAATATACCCGTCTAACAAAGGGCTAATATCCAGAATCTACAAAGAACTTCAACAAATTTACAAGAAAAAAACAACCCCATCAAAAAGTGGGCAAAGAATATGAACAGACACTTCTCAAAAGAAGACATTTATGCAGCCAACAGACACATAAAAAATGCTCATCATCTCTGGTCATCAGAGAAATGCATATCAAAACCACAATGAGATACCATCACATGCCAGTTAGAATGATGATCATTAAAAAGTCAGGAAACAACAGAAACTGGAGAGGATGTGGAGAAATAGGAATGCTTTTACACTGCTGGTGGGAGCGTAAATTAGTTCAACCATTGTGGAAAGCAGTGTGGCGATTCCTCAAGGATCTAGAACTAGAAATACCATTTGACCCAGCGATCCCATTACTGGGTGTATACCCAAAGGATTATACATCATGCTACTATAAAGATGTATACATGCACACGTATGTTAATTGTGGTGCTATTCACAATAGCAAAGACTTGGAACCAACCCAAATGTCCATCAGTGATAGACTGGATTAAAAAAATGTGGCACATATGTGCCATGGAATACTATGAAGCCATAAAAAAGGATAAGTTCATGTCCTTTGCAAGGACATGGATGAAGCTGGAAACCATCATTCTCAGCAAACTATCACAAGGACAGAAAACCAAACACCGCATGTTCTCACTCACAGATGGGAGTTGAACGATGAGAATGCATGGACACAGGGTGGGGAACATCACACACTGGGGCCTGTCAGGGGGTGGGGGGCTGGGGGACAGATAGCATTAGGAGAAATACCTAATGTAAATGACAAGTTGATGGGTACAGCAAACCAACATGGCACATGTATACCTATGTAACAAACCTGCATGTGATGCACACGTACCCTAGAACTTAAGATTAAAAAAAAAAATTTCTTCCCTCATGAGGTACAAAGCCAAGCATTACACTGGGGCCATGATAGTCCAGGTTGCTGAAAGATTTAGATCTAAAGACTGAAAATTGGGATATATATTGAGAGAGAGAGAGAGAGAGAGAGAACAAATGGTAACCTAAATTTAATAAAATAATAATAGACAAATTAGGGTAACAGGCATATGAGTATTTTTTGTTCTAACAATTCTTTTATTTTCAAACTTATCTATAATCTTACATTTATTTCCCAATAAAAAGGATTTTAAGTTAAAAAAAGAAAGTTTTTCTGTAGTAACATTTTCACAACTAGGGCCTTTAAGACTGAGGAAATACTCCAAGCTCTGAGCAAACTCAGTAAGTATAAATCCATATGTAGACATACCACAGTAAAATGCAAGATACTAAAGACTAATACAATATTTTCAAATCAACCAGAGATGGAAGGCAGATTACCTGCAAAGGAAGGACAATTACTTTATCACAGACTTCTCTTCATCAACGAGAACAGACAATACAGGAATAACATCTCCCAAGTTGTGAGGGAGACTAACAGATGACATGAAATTCTACGACCAAATAAAGCATAATTCAATGGGCAGCAGTTAACAGAATTAAGCTGTTTCCAGACATCTATGGAGAGATTTAACTCAAAGATGTCACTGTAAATTTGATTGTTGAGATGTAGTAATGCATACTTGGCAAGGTTATTGAATTAGTTAAACGATCTTCAAAGCTTAGGTCATGTATCTTCATTAAACACATGGTGCTTTGCATTTACTAAAGAAGGGCTTCCGTTTTCTCTCCAAATAAATCATTGCGACCTTAGCACCCCAAGTGTAAAAACCTCTTTTATTTCTATTCTTGATCTCTAGTCCCTGCTTATGTGTATGCATAAATGCATGACACCGTGCTTCTCTTTTAGTTATTTATTTCTAGAGATCATGTCTTTGAAAATCATTATATTCCCAACAACTATTTAGAGTGGTACTAAGCTAACTTGGTTTATGGTGTCAACCGCATAGCAGTTATTTGATTGGCCCATTCCTTTATAAAATATTTTATGCTTAGATGATGAACTCTACATAAATTCAGCCAGGAGAATGTTTTCCTTGGCAATCTCTGGGAGATTACAAATGTTCCTTTTTTTTTTTTTTGAGATGGAGTCTCGCTCTGTCTCCCAGGCTGGAGCCCAGTGGCGCGATCTCGGCTCACTGCAAGCTCCACCTCCTGGGTTCACGCCATTCTCTTGCCTCAGCCTCCCGAGTAGCTGGGACTACAGGTGCCCGCCACCACGCCCGGCTAATTTTTTTGTATTTTAGTAGAGACAGAGTTTCACCGTGTTAGCCAGGATGGTCTCGATCTCCTGACCTCATGATCCGCAAGCCTCGGCCTCCCAAAGTGTTGGGATTACAGGCGTGAGCCACCGTGCCCGGCCTACAAATATTACTATTAACTCCTCCTTCTGCTAAGAAATAAACCAAAATAAAATTATTCACAAATATAACTGTTTTGATCATGCTTTCAGATGATATGTAAAGTAGCCCACAGAAGGTAAATAATATTCAGGGGAAATAAATTATTACTTAAGAGTGGGTGCTGAGAAAAAGAAATGTGTGAGGTGTGAGGTAGGAAGTATGTGAGAAAAGCTAGGGCACAGTTGTGTCTTATATTTTTGTTAAAATCTGCCTGTTAAGACTTCCTGATTGGGTAATGGGAATGATACAGTAAAATACTCTTCCTCAGAGTGTCTGACACCATTGTGATAATTTACTACATAAAAGTACAAGTTACATTATATAAAAAGACAGAATGGCCTGGCTCAGTGGCTCACGCCTATAATCCCAGCACTTTGGGAGGCTGAGGCGGGCGGATCACGAGGTCAAGATATGAAGACCATCCTGGCCAACTAACGTGGTGAAACCCCGTCTCTACTAAAAATACAAAAATTAGCTGGGCATAGTGGCGCACGCCTGTAGTCCCAGCTGCTCGGGAGGCTGAGGCAGGAGAATGGCTTGAACCCGGGAGGCGGAGGTTGCAGTGAGCCGAGATAATGCCACTGCACTCCAGCCCGGGGGCAGAGCGAGACTCCGTCTCGACAAAAAAAAACCAAAAACAAAAAAAAAAAGAATATACATCTAATAATGGGAAGATGTTTGCTTTCTGATTCCAAGGATTTGCGGTTTTAAATTGACTCTCGTTTAGCCAGCCTCAAAGTATTTAGGCTAGATTTTTAAAAAAGTTTGCATGGTACAGAGATTTTGCTTTAAACTGTTGTCAGTGCTATTACTTTACAGACAACTTTGTCTTGCTTTTTATGTCTCACCAGCTACATTATTGAGCAGGGGGTGTGTGATTTGGTTTTATGTGAAGCTGCCTTCCCTAAGAAGTTGGCTTTTGCCTACCTAGAAGATTTGCACTCAGAATTTGATGAACAGCATGGAAAGAAGGTGCCCACTGTGTCCCAACCCTATTCCTTTATTGAATTTGGTAAGTTTTTGCCCCTCACTTCTCTCTATCAAGGGAGCAAACAATATGGAGAAGCTATTTGTTACACTGATATAATATTTATACATTTTTTCTGATGTTTACTTGCTGAAGTTTTAGCTTCTGCTTCCTTTTCCATTCCACTTCTTTTTGTCTTTTTGAGTGACTAAGGCTTTGTTCTGAAAAGTAATTTTCTCTAGTCTTTTGATCTTTCCCCCATAGAAATTGTTGCCTTTTGCCCTTTCTGTTATTTGGTTTGATTCTTCTTTAGAGTCACATGTGACAGGAACTTTGCTAAAGATCTACTTGATTGGCATATAATGGCTGAGTTCTTCTTTACCCCAGTCCACAGACTCACACTCACAATAAGGCTCATTTTATGGAGATCAGAATTGGGAAATCAGAAAGAATGATGTTTTGTTTCTTTTAGTAGAATAAGATCCTCTAATTAAAAAAACAAAACAGAACAAAGAAATAGAAGATACCTGGTACTCATGGTATTGGGGTATAATATTTACTACATTCAGGAATAGTGAGCATAGGTGTCTGTATTTGTACAAGAATTATAGAAAGACTAATTACTAATCAGACCTGGTAAAGTATCTGATGGTAAGGGATCAAAGGAAATGTCCTAAGTACAGTAAGTACAGGGAGTGAGAACAAGTAGGATCAGGCTATATCGCTGAAATTTTTAGTTAAAAGAGAAATTGGTTTTACTGGCTTAGAATTTTTGAAGTGTTTCAAGTTTGCTAGATAAATGGGTCATCTTGCTTTGGAAAAACACTCTAGTGTTTCATAACTATATACTCTCCAAGTGCTGCTTTATATAATGTCCAGTTTTTCAAATTTTATTTTTATAGACAGTAATACTCCCATAAACCTCCCTCAAAAATAAGACAAATGTATCAGGGTCATACAGGAAACAGATGGCACACCCAAATTAGCTTAAGGGATTATATACAAAGATATGACTAGGCTGTAGGAGAATTACAAGGTACAGTAACCTCTGACCAGTAGCATACTGGTTGTTACCATCCCTAGGCCTGAATGTATAAGGGGGAGGAGCAGTTTCTGAAACTGAAAAGGAGAAAATTTCTAGAGAAGGCCAACTTGAGAGGAGCGTAACTTTTGGTAGAGGGATACTTCCAGAAGAAGGTTATTTCCTTCTCTGAAAGAAGCCAGGGGAACAAATACCCGGACATCACTCACTGTCTGTTCTCCTTCTTCCCTACTGTTGGGGCTTCTTCATTGCCTGAACCTAACTGGCACAGAGCAAGGAGTCTATTGAGGCGCTTCATCCAAGTCAGCTTCCCAGTGCAGAAAGCAAGGTGCAGGAGGGCAGAGAGGAGATCTAAAGAGGCAAATGAAAGGGGTACAGCACACTTAAATTAAGATTTTTGCCAAAAGTTGAAAATATCTTTAATAATAAGTCGTTCTTCCTATAGTTTTGAGAAATACTGATATGAGCAAAAGATGGATGAGACTTCAGTTTTTATTTATTTATTTATTTACTTAGAGACAGAGTCTCGCTCTATTGCCCAGGCTGGGGTGCAGTGGCATGATTTTGGCTAACTGCAACCTCTGCCTCCTAGGTTCAAGTGATTCTTGTGCCTCAGCTTCCTGAATAGCTGGGACTAGAGGTGCACGCTGCCATGACCAGCTAGCTAATTTCGGTATTTTTGGTAGAGATGGGAATTTTGCCTTGTTGGCCAGGCTGGTCTCGAATTCCTGGCCTCAAGTGATCCACCCATCTTGGCCTCCCAAAATGCTGGGATTTATACGTGTGAGACACAGTGCCTGGCCGAGACTTCAGTTCAGTTTTATATTGGTATTTTGGAAAACTCCCTATTACATACTTGCTTTACCTGAGGTTTAAGAATGGAATGAAACTGGGAATGTATATTAGAGAAAATAAGGTTAAGTTTCTCAGCTTTTTAATGATCATGAGCCCTTTTGCCATGTTAGGCTGTAATAATGCTAGAGTGTTACCAGCATCCTTTTAAGGAATGTGTAGAGGTAAGTAACACTTAGCCTAAGGGTCCTCAGAATACTGTTTGAAAATTTCTGTTTTCAGGAAAGGCTTACTATAGTGGGTCTTAATTTCTCTAAGGATTCTGATAGCAGCCTTAGATAGCAAATACTTCTAATTTAAAGGTATTCAAAGGACATTTCTCCTGAATGGTCGTCTAATTATACCTTTACATCTTACAAATGAAATAATCAAAGCCTAGATTTTGATATTCAACCAAGAGTTTGGTTAACCATGGACAGTGGCAAATCCAGGAATAAAGTCAGAACTGTTTTGGTTTTTTTGTTTTTGTTTTTGAGACAGAGTCTTGCTCTGTCACCCAGGCTAAAGTGTGGTGGTGTGATCTCAGCTCACTGCAACCTCTGCCTCCCAAGTTCAAGTGATTCTCCTGGCTCAGCCTCCTGAGTAGCTGGGATTATAGGCGTGTGCCGCCACGCCTGGCTAACTTTTTATATTTTTAGTAGAGACGGGGTTTCACTGTGTTAGCCAGGATGGTCTCGATTTCCTGACCTCATGATTCACCTGCCTTGGCCTCCCAAAGTGCTGGGATTACAGGTGTGAGCCACTGCACCTGGCCAACTCAGAACTTTTAATTTCCTACCTCAGTACTTTGATGGCCATGAAAGAAATGGTCAGTTTTCTTCATCATTCTAGATACTTTCATTCAGAAAACCAAGAAGCTCTACATTGACAGTTGTGCTTGAAGAAACCTAGGCTCCATCAACACTGAATTGCAAGATGTGCAGAGGCTCATGGTGGCCAATATCGAAGAAGTGTTACAACGAGGAGAAGCACTCTCAGGTATCTAAAAGCAATGAGTCTTATGAAGAAATGGTTCTCATTCCATAGACAAGGATAGCTTATTTTGCAGTGCCTTTTATGCTATTAGATTCTACCTAGAACTGTTAAGAATTTATCTCCCAGAAGTACATTACATTACAATGCTTCCAATATATTTTTTTTCCTAGCATGATTAGTTTTTATTGAGTTGGAACAGTGTAAAGGACTCATCCATATTAGAAGCAATGATTATTTCTAAGATATTCACAAAATTAATTAAATTATGTAACTTGTATAAATTAAGGGAAATGAGTGAGAGAAAACTCAACAATGTATTGCAGTGGTTTTTTGAGTAGCCTCTTTGGGAGACTTTACTGCTGCCAGATCAATCTTTATAAAATGCCATTTTCATCAAGGCATTCCTCTCTGAAAAACTTTTAAATCTGGGACTACAAGATAAGATCCAGTCTGACTTATTTTTCCGTCAGTCAGCCATTGTTATTGAGAGCTTGTTATTTGTAAGGCGTTGTGCTCTACATATGGAAAATAAGGAAGATGCAAATGTCTGTCATTCTCTAGTTCACAAACATTCTTCTGTAGCCACACCAGCTTCTTTACTATCCTTAGTGGTCTATTCTGCCTTATGCTGGACCTGTTCTGTATGTAAGACCTCCATAAGAACTGTCTCTTTAAAGAACCTTTCTCTGATCCTTATAGCCTGTATCACACTAATCTCTTCTGTCCTTTAAACTCCTAAAGCACTTAGTAACATAATGGTTTTAGCACATATTACATGTATGCGTGTTTACCTAATTTACCTTAAATATATTTATTAAATACCTCTTACCATATTAAATATATATTTAATATATATTAAATATATATTTAATATATATTAAATATATTTCCATATAACATAAGTATATGTTTCATATATTTATATTAAAGTAGGCAAACATATTTGGATAATTAAATATTTTTATATAATTTCATATATTTTTTTGAGACAGAGTCTTGTTCTGTTGCCCAGGCTGGAGTGCAATGGCACGATCTTGGCTCACTGCAACCTCCATCTCCTGGGTTCAAGCGATCTTCCCACCTTATCCTCCTGAGTAGCTGGGGCTACAGGCATGTGCCACCACGCCTGGCTAATTTTTGTATTTTCTTAGTAGAGATGGGGTTTTGCCATGTTGTTCCGGCTGGTCACAAACTCCAGGGCTCAAGCAATCCACTCACTTCAGCTTCCCAAAGTGCTGGGATTACAGGCATGAGCCACAACACCCAGCCCTTTATATAATTTTAAAAGTGTAGGTAATTAGGTAAAATTAGGTTAAAAGTATATGTATATTTACCTGATATTTCAATATTACCTAAGTGTTTAATGTGGACATGTAAGCTCTTTAAAGATAGTGCTTATGTATTTTATATCTGTTTCACATACTCCTTATATATCCCCCACAGAAATGGTCACAAATAGTTTCCTTAATAAGTATTTTTGAATTCAGCCATGCTATATATTCATTAGTAAGTGAGTTTTCTTTTATTATGAACTACAAACTTTAACCTTTTTTTGAGTAGTGAGCAGTTATTCATTTACCTTCACACTCTTTAAATACCAAATTTTGAGTGAGTGAGTGTGTAAGGTTTTGTCATACAGACTTGCAATTCCTATATGGGATAAAGTAGACTAGCACAGGAATTTTTCTTGTATCACTCATGCAAGACTCTAAATTCCTTAAAGGCAGGGATCATGTATATTGTGATCACTGTTGTATCCTCAGCACTTCACATGGTGCCTGTCACATAAATATTTGTTAAATGACTTCTCCAAGCAATAGCTTTGTCTTTATGTTATCCTGTATTTCAAAACGTTCATATATAAATTCTCTCAACTATGACTTGTTTCATAGGGTCTAATAATTGTTCCTCTGCTGAGTTATTCTCAGCAGATTTAGATTCATTTAGCAAATGTTTATTGAGCACTAACTATATACCAGGCCCTGTTCTGGGCATTCAGGATATAGCAGCAAACACAATAATTTAAAATCCCTGTCCAGTGAAGTGTATATTCTTGTAGGCTCTGTAAAAAGATGCCCTGTGCATTGTCATGGTTATTTCTCAGTCCCTGACTCTTCTTCCGTGACTAGATGTTTTTCTTACTCATGTGATCAGTTGCTAATTCAGACGTGGCTGTCATGCCTGTGTTATTAAGTAACGCCATGTTTCCCAATCAAAACCAGTCTCTATTAAGCAACTCCAAATATTCCAAAAGCATTCTTTAAGGAAGAAACAACCGGATTGCAAAATAGTTTTTTCTGAAATTTCAAGAAGTGAAAAGTTTGATCAGAATTTATTATGTCAAATGGAGAGTTTGTGTTTATTATTAAAATATGCCCTATATTTTAATATGGTCTAGCTTGTGTCTATCTGGCTATTTCTCTAAGTGTTTAGTTAACTGTTATAAGAAGATAACAACATTACAAATGTCCTTGGGGGTGAAAAAACTTGCCAGAAAATACTAAAAAGCTTAATTTACTTGCGTTTTTTTTTGTAGTACTTATTGTATTTTAGTTACAACTTTCCTATGTCTTTTGAAATATAAATCCTGATAGCTTTAACTTCATAGTAGTCTCTACTATGTGGAGAATCTTAGAAATGTTAGCAGTCATCATTGAAGTATAGCTTAAGACTGTGTTTGGTAAATTGAATTTTCTGGTTATCTGAGTTTGTTTTACATGGATTATCATTATCGTTTTTCAAAATATAAGAGAATATGATTCAGACCATTAGAAGATTATGAAGATAATAATTATTAACATGTAATAATTATTATAATTTATCATGTGCAGGCATTGCTGCTCACTTTACAGGCAATCTCATGTACATACAACTTTATGACATAGTTACTGTTATTATCCCCAATTATAGATGAAGAAACTAGGTTTTAAATAGGTTACATGACTTGACCAATGTCACATAACTTGTACAGGTGATATCTGAACCAAAGAGTCTGAGGCCAGAACCTGCACTTCTAACCACCTTACTATATAGCCTCAAAAATTCAGACATAATCTGATCAGCATCATCAGTTAATTAGTATATGCAATGTTAGCCTCAAAATAAAAATGATGATTTAAGATTCATGGTTGTTGCAGTGCTGCTCATTTTGGTTATTTTTAATGCCTTAATACTTTCGGTAAAATACTTCCAGGGACTAATTAATGTTTTCCTTTTTTCCTCTTTGACAGCATTGGATTCAAAGGCTAACAATTTGTCCAGTCTGTCCAAGAAATACCGCCAGGATGCGAAGTACTTGAACATGCGTTCCACTTACGCCAAACTTGCAGCAGTAGCTGTATTTTTCATCATGTTAATAGTGTATGTCCGATTCTGGTGGCTGTGAAATAATGAATACAGTCACTGGTAAGGGAGAACCTAGAACCCAGTAGGTGTATATTTTCAGGAAACTGAGCTCACAGAGATGTGTATTAGAATCCAAGTGGAACTTCTGCCTCTAAAGACCTTGCAAGAAAAGAGATGTCCTGAAAATGAAAGGTTGCACCTCATTTAATGAAGCTTAACCCTATGTAGAAAGTCTCTTTCGGGGGCAGAGGCTTTCTCTGGGTGCCAAGCCATATATATTAGGGAATAGTAGATTGTTATTTCGTTTTTTCCCTCCCAGTGCATTTTAAAAACAGCACTGGCTGGGGCATTCTCATTCTCTGATGGAGCCATCAATGAGATTTAACTTAGTCAACCTGTGCTAGCAACATTCTGAAATTCCTTCAAAGAAGGCAGTCCTTTGGGAAGGTGTTTTTTTTTTTTTTTTTTTTTGACTCTAATCAACATTCCTTTTGTTGGTGACATTTGTGATTTTCAGTAATCTGAGTTTTTGATGGCCTTTTAAACAAGACTCCAGTATGTGAAGGTTAATTGCTGTGCTCCACAGATCTTGTCTATTGGCCCCTGTAGAAAGTTAACCTTTGTTGTTTTCCTTTTATAATTTGCTTATTGCACAATTGCTTTAGGGTAAGTGAATTATATTAAGATGCCTTGAAATTATAGCACTCCTTGATTAAGAAGCTAAAATGTTTCTCTCATTTACTCCTTAAACAAAAGACTTAAATTAGTTTGGGTCATTATTACTTTTATTTTGCAGCATTTGGTTTGTTATTAGTGTAAGAGCAAGTATAGGATATGGAGAGGCCCCTGGCTTCATGAGAACAAAGGCAGGCCCAGGTTATAATTACAGCTTTCTCCTGCCCCTTCTTTACTTTCTCTACCACAGTTTTCTCCACTGTTTGTTTTCCTCTTGCCACAATTTGCTAACACTTAAAAAATTTTCCTGCACCCAGTAGTTTCATATCCTGTAGACATCCTCTTAGGACATTCTCAAATTTCAAAATAAAAAATGTTCATCTATGTAGTTAATTAAAGTTAAAGTTTTTGCAGATCAACTACTCAAACTACTAAATACATTTACCTGAGAAAAAGTCTCTGAGAGCACTTCATTCCTGTTTTAGTTCGTGTAAATTCTCTGAGAATGTTCTGGAGATAGATAACTCATTTACAGTGGTTTCTATTAACTAATTAAAGTACCCATGATTTTTTCCTTTTCTGCTCAGGGATGATGGAGATTTCCTTTTACCTTTTTTAATGGGGTAAATTTTTTAATGGGGAAAATAGGCCTTTTAAATATTATTGCCAGGGTCTGCAATATAACTTAAAATTCCTGTACATACTGCAAATATTTCTTTAAATTGCACAGGAAAATGAGCAAACTTTTTATTTCTTAATATCTTTGGCAAAAAACTTTAACCAGTAAGCAATTTTATAACCCTGAGGGATCATCAAAGATACTATCCTGATTCCTGGTAAGGAAAAATATATTATTTCCTTATAACAAGGCAAGGAGAAATGCTATTTTATTCCTGATAATTTATATAACTAGAATAATTTTTTTCCTTTCTTTTATGGACCTAAATCTGCCAATTGGGAATTTTGTGCATGAAATATGAAGTTACTTTTTATAGATAATCAGTGCTTTTAAGTCCCTAAAAGGCTCCTGCTGAAGTAATGATGATGTTAATAATAAAAGCCTTTGAAAGGCTGAAAACCTACATAGTGGTACCATAGTATTTGGAGCTTCTATAGGAGTGGAGAGGGGCAGCTCATTGTTGAGAGTTGCATGCTGCAACCTAATGGTCAGCAATGAAAGAAATACTTGTAGAATGTTCACTTCAGTGTGAAGTTTTGTTATCTAGTTAATTTATATACATATATCCTTTGTAGATACATTTCTATCTAATCTTGTTGAGCTAATTAAGAAATAAGGGGTGGGGTAATTGTCAACAAAGGGAGAAGAAAGTGGTTTAAGATCAGGGCAGCAGAAAAATTAGAGAACAAGAATATCATAATATGGCTCCTGGTTTTCTTTATAAGAGACAGTGGGAAGATCTGACTAGATGAAATGTATCATCAACCAAACTGGCATCTAAAATAGAATGGGATAAATACTGTATGGGGTTATTGGAGGCATATTAAGAAAGGACACCTAATTTATTTTGGGAAGAAGTATGTTAAGAGAAGACTTTCTAGAGAAGGAGAATGGGGCATTCTAGGAAGAGTCAATGGCATGTGCAAAGGCATGAATAAAGACAGTGAGGCATATTTTGGAAATGTAACAGCTTGATTCAGCTTAGCCCATAGGGTAAGCATAGACAACAGAGGAGACTTGAGGAATGAGAACTAGATGGGTACACTATCATAAAGGGACTTGTCTATCATGCTGAGGAGTTTAGACCATCTTAATGGTAGTGGCCAAGGATGGCATCAGATTTATAGTTTCAAGTGATCATAATATTGGCATAAAAGATATATTAGGGAGGAAGCCTGAAGTAGGGAGATGAAAATAAGGAGCCATCAAAGGCAGAATGAAACTTAGGCAGATTTCAAGTGATTTTCAAAAATGATGTGATCAGAGGTACCAGATAATAACTATTACATAACACTTTCTTTGTTAGGAGCTTATTTCTCACACTGACCAAAGCTTTTGAAGTAAGTACTCTTTACACCACTATATAAATAAACCTTACAAAGGATTCTGCTTTGAGGCATGAGAGAGTTAAGTCATTTGCCCAAAGTCACAGAGTTAGAAAGTAATAGAGCTAAGATTTGAACCTAGGCAGTTTGGCTCCAGAGTCTGTGCTCTTACACTATATTACCACCAAGAGGTCAAATAAATACCAAAGAATGTATTTTCGAATTTAACAATGAGGAACTTAATCATACAGGCAGAAGTAATTCCAGAGCACCGGAGACAGAAGCCAGATTGCCATATGGGTTAAAGAGTGTGTAAACCACTAGGAAGTAAAGACATAGAACTACTCTCACAAGTGCTTTTCTGGTTATTGTGACGCTGAACTTCATGGCTTGTTTTAATTAAGACATCTTACAAGTGTCAAAATTTGGAAATATTTGGACACTGTACACTCTGGTTATTTAAATATCTAACAGCGGTTCTTGAGCATTTTGAGAAACCTTTGAAAATCTGATGAAAGGTATGTGCCATTACTCTAGAAAAATGTTCCTGTGTACATGCACATCAAGTATCACATACTGTTTCAGGCTGTTCAAAGACTACAAAGTCTGTTCATGACCTAATGGTCCATGTTCCCTCAGTTAAGAGCTCCAGAGATAAAGGATGTGGAACTCAAAGGTAAGTACCCAGAGCCTTGAAAACTCCATTTGTGACTTGGAAGAATTCTACAATTTGAATTAACTTTGTGGAGAGAGATATATTTTTGAAAAATTGTGTGTACCCAAAAAATTTCATATCAAATAATATTTTCCTGTAGTGCATTCAAGGATCTGGTTCCACAGCAAAAAATTGTTTTGGTCTCAGTTCCTCAAAATCACATTTAAGGAGCTTGAGATTTATATTTTCTACTTAATAAGTCTTACAAAAGCAAGTTAAGAAGGAAAATGGACAATCATTTCTGCACATATAGGGTTTAATAAAACATGTATAATAAAATATCTCATATTTTAAATTTCCACCTTATTGGTAGCTTTCATGACAAAGGGCTAGGGTGCTGGTGGCCATACAATTAAGGTTTTTGGTTAGTTAGTTAGCAGAACTGACTGACTCCTACCTGGTGGGTGTTTCTTTTGTTTGTTTGTTTGGTTGGTTGGTTTTTTCCCAGATGGCTCAGGAGGAAGGTAAATAGCAGTCATTGTATGTGTGACAGAGTTTGAGATAGAATGAGCATATTGAATCTCACATCCTGTTCTTATTACTGTCAGGCAGCGCTGACCTAGCAGTATAAAACTATCTGAAGCAATGTAGTCACTCAGTTCTCATAAAGTTTATTTCAAGTACTGTAACAATTCATGTTTGGATTAGAAAAGTCACTAGAAATTTGACTTCCATATAGTAATCTATACTTTTTTCTCTCATTTCCTTCATTTTTTGAGCCGTAAGTGTAAGGCATTTTGGTGGTATTATTACAATGGTTATGAGGAGTTTCTTTGCTTGCCCAAGGTCACATAGCTAGCAAGTTAAAGTAGATTCAAATCCAGGCCTGCTAGATACCAAATTATTATTTAAGAGTACTTTTCACTACTCCTAAATAATGACACAGATATGTTTGTCTTACACATTTCACTTTATTGTCAAGTTATTAGTATGTTTATTTTCAAAAGGTATTTTTTGCAATTTCTTTTTATTATTCCGTACTTTTTAAATTTACTTCATTATCACGTCTTCCTTTATTCTTTTTAAATAGTTTTTGCTTTTGTTATTTTGTTTTCCCTTTTTTACTCTTGGTTTGTAATACATCTTTCCTTATTTGCTCCTTTCTCATTTGATCTCAATGTTAATCCAACTGTTTTCCACATCTGATTCACTAAAATTTTAGCCCTTAAAAAAAAATTCCTGTTTTTCCTATCTCCTCTTGCCCATTCTCTTCTCCTTGCCTCACTTCTTTTATCTTTTTCCATTTTACTTTCATTTTTTGTTTCTCTAGATGTTGTTTTGACATATGAGTTAATGTACTGGTACAATTTTGCATCTGTAAATTAGAGCTTCAGAATCAACTGAGTGTATTTATTCTTTATTTTTAGGCCTAAATTTATCTTACCTTTTATTGATTTTATAATATACTATACTCTTTCATTTTAGTCTGCATATGTTAGCCAAAGAAGATATGCCCCTGTTTTAAGAAATCTCTGTAAAAAATGTCAAGTGTGACAAGAATTCTTCAAGAAACAAGCTCCTCTAGTTTGTCTTCTATATTTAGAGCTTCAACAGTTACCTATATTACTGGTAACTCCCAAATATACCTTCAAACTTGTTTTTTGGGCCCAAGTTTTTTGCTTCATAGATATCTGTTTTGAATATCCCATAAATAATTGCATCTAAAGCATACCTCCACTCCATTGTTCTCACAGATAAAACCAAACCTGTGCTTCTTCTTATATTTCTAGTATTTAAGCGTCACCTGCCACCCCTTTACCTGAGCTACAAGTCACGCATTGCATTAGACTCCTCTGCTTTCTTCTTTCACCTCTAACTAGACTATTAACCAAAAATTTTTAAATATAACTTTCAAAAGGTGGGGTTTTATTACATCATTTCCATCCTTTATGTTTGGGTTCGAGCCCTCATTAACTTTAACATGGATTCTTGGAGTACCCTCCTTACTGATTTTGTTACACGTGTCCCTCTTTTAGTCAGTACTACCATGATAATACCATGGATAATAATTTTTTCATTTTTATTTTTAGTCTTGCTCTGTCGCCCAGGCTAGAGTGCAGTGGCGCGATCTCAGCTCACTGCAACCTCCACCTCCCGGGTTCAAGTGATTCTCCTGCCTCAGCCTACTGAGTAGCTGGGATTACAGGCACCTGCCACAGCTCCTGGCTAATTTTTGTGTTTTTAGTAGAGATGGAGTTTCACCGTCTTGAACTCCTGACCTCATGATCCACCCTCCTCGGCCTCCCAAAGTGCTGGGATTACAGGCATGGGCCACTGCGCCCGGCCAATAATTTTTCTTTTTTTTGTGCTAATCATACTACATTTTCTTTAGAATAAAAGATCACATACTTCAGTTTGCCATTCGCAGTCTGGCCCCATTGTGCCATTCTAGACTTACCTCCTGCCACTCCCCACCAGCTTTGTTTTGTCTTAGCCACACAAAATAATCTAGCGTCTCTAACCAGTCAAACATTTTACCTTGTGCCTTGGCTCACTCTGTGCCTTTTCTCCAGAATATCTTTCTGTGTACTTTTCTCCCATCCTTTTACCTTTAAACCTGCTGCTATGGTTTGGATGTTGTTTGGCCCCTCCAAAACTCACGTTGTAGTTCAATTGCCAATGTAATAGTGTTGGGAGATGCTGCTTTTAAGAGGTAATTAGGTTGCTAAGATGGATTAACATCTTTCTCTTGACACTGAGACTGGGTTCTCCTGGGAATGGTTAGTTCCCAAGAGAGTGAGTTGTTATAAAACAGTGCTGCCTCTTCTATTTTGCGCTTTTTGTTTGCACAAACTCGGTCCCCTTCTGTTTCTCTACGATGTTTTGATGCAGCATGAGGCAGTCATGAGAACCCACCAGATACAGCTGCCTGATCCTGAATTTCCCAGCCAACAGAACCAAGTGCTAAATAAAACTCTTTTTAATAAGTTACCCACTCTCAGGTATTCTATTATCGCAACAGAAAACAGTTTAAGACACCTGCTAGGCTCCTAACCTTGAGGGGCTAGAAAACAAAGCCAGAGGTCCAGTACCAGCCTCCTCAGAGTTAGAATACACAGCTCATGAGTGCTGAGCTCAGCCTTGGCCCCTACAATCTTCCAGAAATGAGGCCACTTGGCTGAGCCCATTATATGCAACATTCAGACCCCCAAGGGCATCAAAGAAGACAAAAGCAGAAAAACCTATCCAAGAAACAGCAACTTCAAAGGTTGAAGCAACATCAGACCACACAGGTGAGAACCAGCACAAGAACTCCGGCAACTCAGAAAGCCAGAGTGCCTTCTTACCTTCAAGCAACTGCGCTATTTCCCCAACAGTGGTTCTTAACCAGGCTGACATGACAAAAATAGAGTTCTGAATATGGATAACCTTGAGGAACATAGATGCAAAAATCCTCAACGACTCAATTTGCTGGACTAGCAAACCAAGCCCAGCAGCATGTCAAAAACGAATCCACCACAATCAAGCAAGCTTTATCCCTGGGATGCAAGTTTGGTTCAACATATGCAAATCAATAAATGTGATTCATCACATAAACAACTAAAAACAAAAACCACATGGTCATCTCAATAGATGCAGAAAGGGCTTTCAATAAAATTCAACATCCCTTCATGTTAAAAACCCTCAGCAAACTAGGCATTAGAGGAACATACTTCAAAATAAGAGCCATCTATGATAAGCCCACAGCCAACATCATACCGAATGGGCCAAATGCTAGAAATACTCCCTGTGAGAACCAGAATAAGACAAAGATGCCCACTCTCACCAATCCTATTCAACATAGTACTGAGAGTCCTAGTCAGAGATAACAGGTTAGAGAAAGAAATATAAGACATCCAAGGAAAAGAGGAAGTCAAACTATCTCTGCAGACAATATGATTCTGTAGAAAACCCCATAGTCTTTGCCTAAAAGCTCTTTGATCTGATAAACAATTAGCAAAGTTTCAGGATACAAAATTAATGTACAAAAATTAGTGGCATTTCTATACACCAATAGCATTCAATCTGAGGGTCAAAATCAAGAATGCAATCTCATTCACAATAGCCACACACACACAAAAATACCTAGAAATATAGATAACGAGGTGAAAGATCTCTACAAGAAGAATTACAAAACACTACTCAAATCAGAGATGACACAAACAAATGGAAAAAGATTCCATGCTCATGGATAGGAAGAATTAGTGTTGTTAAAATGGCTGTACTTCGCAATGCAGTTTATGGATTCAATGCTATTCCTATGAAACTACCAGTGACATACTTCACAGCATTAGAAAAAAAAACTTTTAAAATTCATATGGAACTTAAAAAAGAGCCTGAATAGCCATAACAATCTTAAGCAAAATGAACAAAGCTGAAGGCATTACACTACCCAATTTCAACTATACTACAAGGCTTCGGTAACCAAAACAGCAGGGTACTGGTACAAAAACAGACACATAGACCAATGGAACGGAAAAGAGCCCAGAAATAATGCTGCACACCTATGATCTGATATTTGAAAAAAGTTGACAAAAACAAGCAATGAGAAAAGGACTCCCTATTCAATAAATGGTGCTGAAATAAGTGGCTAGCCATATGCATAAGATTGAAACTGGACCCCTTCCTTATGCCATATACAAAAATCAACTCATATGAAGTAGAGACTTAGATATAAAACCTAAAACTATAAAAGCCGTGGAAGATAGCCTGGGAAATACTATTCTGGAATAGGACCTGGCAAAGATTTCATAACAAAGATGCCAAAAACAATTGCAACTACAACAAAAATTGACAAATGGAATCTAATTAAAGAGCTTTAGCATAGCCAAAAACAAACAAACAAAACAGTGAACACGGTAAACAGATAACCTACAGAATGAGAGAAAATATTTGCAAACTATGCATCCTAGAGAAGTCTAATATCCAGAATTTATAAGGAACTTTATAAGCAAAAAACAACCTCATTAAAAAGTGGGCAAATGACACGAACAGACATTTTTCAAAAAGACATACATGTGGCCAAGAAGCATATGAAAAAATGTTCCACATCACTAATAATTAGAGAAATGCAAATCTAAACCACAATGAGATACCATCTCATACCAATCAGAACGGCTATTAAAAAGTCAAAAAGCAATAGATGCCGGCGTGGTTGCAGAGAAAATGGAACACTTATATAGTGCTAATGGGAATGTAAATTCGTTCAGCCGTTGTGCAAAGCACTTTGGTGATTTCTCAAAGAACCGGCAACAATTACCACTCGACCCAGCGATCCCATTATTGGATATATACCTAAAGGAATATAGATTGTTCTGCCATAAAGACACATGCACGCATATGTTCATCGCAGCACTATTCACGATAGCAAAGACATGGAATCAACCTAAATGCCCATCAGTGGTAGTCTGGATAAAGAAAATGTGGTACACGTACACCGTGGAATATACACAGCCATAAAAAAATAAGATTATGTTCTTTGCAGCAACATGGATGGAGCTGGAGGCAATTATCCCAAGCTAAATTATGTAGGAACAGAAAACCAAATACCGCATATTCTCACTTATAAGCGGGAGCTAAACATTGAGTACACATGTACACAAGGGAACAACAGACACCAAGACCTACTTAACGGTAGAGGGTGGGAGGAGGGAGAGGACAGAAAAACTACCTATTGGGTACTGTGCTTATTACCAGGTAACAAAATAATCTGTACACCAAAACCTTAAAGAAAAGTGTTTTAAAAATGTAAAATAAAGCATATAGCAAAACAAACAAGACACCTGGTAAAGTTCTGCTCTTCCTTCAAAGACCCAGCTCAAATGTCTCTTTCATAAAGCCTCTCTGACATTCTCATACCCCCCTTCTCTCTGACCTGGGAGAAGCTGTGTTTTCATTCTCCCACAATAACTTGTTCATATTTCTATTATAAAACCTACAAATTTAAACTAGCTGTCAGTGCATACTTGTTTGTCTCCTTGGCTATGTGCCTCATGAGATGCCTGGGATAGAGATCAATTATTATTCAATTTGAATCCTTGGCATTGGGTGCGGTGGCTGACACATTGGAGGTGGGCAACAAATATTCGTGGTATAAGTTCATTGAATTACAGAGATGTATGCATAAGTTTTTTGGAACTGGGTTTCATGAATCATAGGTACACACAATTTGAATAAAAGAAGGAAACAAAGTGGGGCAAAAGGGTGTAGGTCTAGTAATGAAATGGGAAAAGAAAGGCACATTGAAAAGTCGCAACAAAAGAGAGAACCAGTACAATTATATCAACATATAGTAAACACATTGGAGAAGGGAAAACAATACAGCAAGTGAAATTGATTCTTTGGTGGCAGAAACAATTGAAAGGTATGGAGGCAAAGAAGGAGGAGAAATTAAGGCATAGAGATAAATTAGACTTGGGGAGAAAGCACAGAAGTCAAATATAGCAACAGATCTTGGACTGGGAATGTTTCCAATTGACCATTATGCTTACGATTACTTTTATGTTGTGGAGACAATATTTAAGGAGCATTTCAGATCTGTTAACTAATTTTTTGAAAAAGTGACTCCAGTTCACTGATAAATACCTTGACCAATATGCCATATAAAGTAAGAAATATTTTACCGTACCCAAGAAACTGGTTTTACTGGCTTAGTTTTGACCAACTGATGGCAATTTGTACTTGCTAAACTCCCAATTTTTTACTTGCTGGTTGTGTAGGTAGGCAGTGAGGTTTGTTGGACTGGGCATGCAGGGACAAGCAGTTAGGCCAATACATGGACTGAAGATTATATCTATTTTTCTGCCTTTTGTTTAGCTATTTGCATAAATATACAGAGTGGGTTTATTTGCACACTTAGAGCTTTAGAATAAAAGAACTTTGACTTTCAAATTGGTTTTTCTTGATTTTTTAAAATTTTTATACTCCACTTTTTCTTCCGTCTTTCTCAAACTCATTTTTCCCTAGTAGCAGAGTTGAGACTTAATATTACAAAACTCTGCTTGCTTTAAAGAATCTAAGAAGAAGAAGAAGAAGAAGAAAAGACACTAAAGAACTTCCAAGCAGAAGTTTAAGAAGTTCTGCTATAGCCCATCCACTCGTTTGTGGAATTTAAATATATCCGTTTTTGCCACAATAACAGCGTAGCCTTGCTAGAATCATATACAAAGCAGCAGATTTCTTTCTATAAATTACTGGACACTGTGGTGTAATGTAGACATTGCTGAGGAGGGATGTAACTGCAACAGAAACAAATTACTTACATTGCATGCAGTAGGGAAGTGGGTGAAAAGAGCATTGAACTCTGAGTCGGGAGACGACTTCAAGGCCCAGCTCAGCACTCTAGCAGAACTTTAGGTAAGTTTTTTAGACACTATGTACTTCAGTTTCCCCATGTGAAAATGAGAATAACGTCTGTTCTGCCTACTTCACTTGAACTATTTGAGGATAAAAGAAGGTAAAATGCAATAATGGTCATGAAGATTTTATAAACCTTGAAGTGATGTACAAGTATACCATACTGTTTCACTTTTATTACTATTATAACTGTTTAAAAAAGCATTTGTGACCAGTACAATCCTGGCTTTTCTCTGGAGACTAACATCCAGTTTCATAGTTATTTTACTTTTGATAGGGAAAAGGGAATTATTCCTGTTATATATTGCAATATTTAGGATCCTCTAGCAATTTCTCAGGCTATGACTTCATGTTCCCAGAAGAGGGCAGCAACACTCCAAAGGCTCTGCCTTTTCCTCAATTAAAATGTCTAAAGCAGTTTTTCCTTGAGAGGAAAAGAACTATACTGTAAAGAATAGCCCTTTAAAAATGATGGTATTTAGGTGACAAAGCTAATCCTATTACAATAAATATAACATTCATTCCAAATAAGATTTTTCCTTTTCTCTGTCCTGTGAAGAAAATAATTGACTGTTTCTTCAATCTCATGTTAATTATTTGACTTATATTTCCAGAAACTCCTACCCATGTTTTTCCATTTAACTCTAGATTTGTAGATCCTACTTAGCACCAGTTTTTAAATAAATTGTTTTGTATGTGTAAGAGAAAAGGTGTTCAGGCCTGATTTATAGTTTAGGATGCCTACCTAAGTCCAAAGAGTGATCCTCAGCAGTGTCTAAATGTGTTCCTATCATAGAGTATATGTTTGTCATTCAGATAAAATGTTGTCTACATCTAATCTTTCTCATTCTTTCATTATTCAAATATCCCCGTGCCTTTCTATCTTTAGTCAGTGAATTATCTTGTAATGACAAGAGCAGCTAACATTTGAACTGTTCTTAACTCACTTAGGCCGGAGGTTGCAATTTTTTTTTGTCAAAAAATCAGACCTTGGTGATAACTTGAGCAGTAGGCTATAAGTAACTAGTAGGCTAGCCTACTATAAGTAGGCTAGGCATATTAATAGCGTATAAGGTGCTCTCACAGACATGTTTTCCCTTTGATACTCACCATAGCCCTGTGAAGTTGATAGCTACTATCCCCCATTTTACAGATAAATTTTCTAATCTGTAATCAAAATAGCTGCTCTTTGCTTGAAGAAAAAGTCCAGAGGGACACCCTATATGTCAAGAGAGCTCCAGGGGGTGGGTAATTTCTTTCATAATTGCTAGAAGAGCCAATTCTGAATATGAGGCTTTTTCTGTCTGCTTTATTACAACCAGAGATGGAATAGGAAGGCTTTCAGTTACAGTTTATCAATTCCTTCTGCTTTTGCCAGTTAATCTCTAGCTTTACTCTTTTGAAAAAACTACCTGTTTCCCACTCCACTTCTGCTACCACCACTACCAAGTCAGAGTCCTCTTTCTATTCCAGCCAAACCTCTTCCTGTTCTTGAGAATTGCATCACATTCTTGGCTTAACGTAACCAACACCCCCACATTGGCACCAGGGAGTGTGTAGCCCTT